>NW_018654722.1:0-690932 GCF_000001405.40 Homo sapiens
ATGTCAAAACTTAGTCCCCAGTGCAACAGTGTTATGAGGCAGGACATTTAGGAGGTGATTAGGCCATGAGGATTCCACTGTCATGAATGGGGTTAATGCCTTTATAAAAGGGTTTGAGGTAGTGAGTTCCTCCCTTCTATCCCTTCTGTCATGTGTGGACACTGTGTTTGTCCCCTCCAGAGGTCGCAGCAACTTGGACACAGACAGTAAGCCCTTACCAGACACCAAATTCACTGGCTCCCTGATAGTGGGCTTCCCAGCTCCCAGAACTGTGAGATAATAAATTTCTGCTGTTTATAAATTACCCAGTCTAAGATCTTTTGTGATAGCAGCAGGAATGGACTAAGTCATAAATTGGTGCCAATGAAGCAGGAAATTTCCCTGACCTTTTCGTGGGCAGGAACTGGAGTGCATAGGCACTAGAAATAGTCAGCTGCTTTGGTGCCAGCAGAGTGGACTCCACTTGCTTGGTCCCACTGCATTCCACCCCTCACAGGAGGGGGAGCACAGGTGAGTGGGTGCAGGAGCCGGGGTGAGTGCTTTTGGCCACCGGCAGGAGCAAAACTCCATGTGGCCTCGCGGCAGCATCTATGGGGGTGCCCATTATCCCTGAAGCCCTAGAAAGAGTGTTACAGTCAGTGCTCTTTTAGCTTTGCCATTCGCGGTTGGCTTAAGTGTTAACGGCTCAGTGGAGGGTCAGTGTGACAGCCTTTTGCACTGACACTCGAGTTCTTATTCAGTGTCCAGGAGGAATAAGGTTGCACAAACAAATTGGAGATGGTAAATGTGGGGGATTTTATTGCCAATGAAAGTGGTTCTCAGTGGGAAGGGGAGCTGAAAAGTGGATGGTGTGGGAAGATAATATTCCCCTAGAGTCCAGCTGTCCCTGGCTGAACTCCTCTCCGAAGCAATGCCATCAAGCCGTCCCTTTGAAGTCAAGCTGCTTCTCTCCAATGTCCAACCATAGTCTCTGATGTCCAGCTGCTTCTCCTCTTCTCCTCCCTCTGCTGATGGGGCCTGGGGATTTTATGGGAATAGGATGGGGGGTGGGGCAGGCCATGGGAGGTTTTGGAAAAGGCAACATTTGAGTGGGAAAACAGGATGTAAACTTCTCACTTTGGGCCGTGGTATTAGGCTTTTCAGCTTGTGGGTGGGGCCCTCACCATGGATTCACCCTCTTCTGCCCAGAATTTCCCTGCCTCTTGTCACTGTCTCCAAGAAGTGGGCCATGGACTCACCCTCTTCTGCCCAGAATTTCCCTGCCTCTTGTCACTATCTCCAAGAAGTGGGATGCTTCCGTAACAAATACCTAAAAATGTGGAAGCAGCTTTGGAACTGGGTAATGGGTAGAGGCTGAACCATAAAGGGCTATTTGGATGAGGACTCAGAAGAGGGCAGCTGTGGAGAGAGCCTCAATCTTCTTAGAGATTATCTAAGAGGTCATGAACCGCATGTTGTGAACAGAATATGGACAGTAAAGGCCATTCTGAGGAGGTCTTAGATTGAAATGAGGAATACCTTATTGGAAATAGGAGGAAAGGCCATTCTTGTTACAAATTGGCACAGAACTTGGCTGAGCAGTGTCCATGTCCTAGTAGTTTGCAGGAGGCAGATGTGAACTAGGATATTTCATGGAAGAAATCTCTAGGCAGAGTGTTGAGGGTACAGCATAGCTTCTCTTGACTTCTTAGAGTAAAATGCAAGAGAGAGAAATGAATTAAAGATGGAATTTATAATTAAAAGGGAAACAGAACTTAAAGAGTTGGAAAAATCTTAGCCCAGGTAGGTTGTAAGGAAATAAAAGGTATATGCAGGAGAGAACACCAAATGGTGTGCTCAAGGGAACATTTGATAAGGAGATTAGAATGAAGAGAAGGAAGCCAGATGCTATTCATCAAGACAATGGAAGTATGCCACTGAAGGCATTTTGGAGATCTTCAAGGCTGCCATTCCCATCATAGGGCCAGGGTGCTAGAGCCTTGAGGGCAGAATGGTTTCAAGGGAAGGGCGCATGGTGCTGGAGAAGCCCAGGGAACTTGTGGGACCTCCAAACTCTCTGTCCAGGGCTGCCTCAAGTTTCTGCTCCTCACATTCTGGTGCAGCATCCCTTGGCTGCCCTGGATTGGCTGAAGTGGTGTTGGTGTGTTGGGCTGCCCCTCCAGAAGGCACAGGAATAACCCTTGGTAGTTTCCACATGGTACTAACTATGCAGGTACACAGAGCACAAGACCTGGGGGGCATGGATTCCTCCACCTAGATTTCAAAGGATGCCCCAGAGAGCCTCAGGGCCCAGGCAGAGAACTGCCACAGGAGTGGGGCCACCACAGACTGGTGGAGTGGTGGGAGTGAGGCTATCCTTAAGACCCCAGGATTGTAGAGCCACAAGTATGCAACGCCAGCCTGTGAAAGCTAAAAGGCACAAGACTACAACCCATGAGAGCTGCAGTGTGGAATGTACCCAGGAAAACCAGTGAGCTCTTTCCTTCCATTCTTTCTGCCATGTGAAGATACAATATTTGTCCCCTCCAGATGTTGCAGCAATGTAGACACAGAGAGAAAGTCCTCACCAGACACAGACTCTGCTGGAACCTTAATCTTCAACTTCCCAGCCTCCAGAACTGTGAGAGAATAAATTTTGGGGCTGGGTTGCCCAGGGCCTTGGGGGACAACCCCTGCCCCAGTGTGTCTAAAAGGTGAGACATGGAGCCAAATAAGATTATTCTCAAGCCTCAGTATTTAATGAGTAGACAGTGTTGTTTGCCTTATTGGGTTTTGGACTTACTTTGGACCTATTGCTTCTTTTTTCTTTTCTATTTCTTCCTTTTGGCAGTTCTGTAAGGAGCAGTTCATTTCAGGTTTGGAAGGCTGTTGGAAGAGACATTTTCCATCCTGGGTCAGGAGGAAGGAGGTATGGGCTCCAAGAACCCTTCCTAGCTCCCTTATTTCCAGAGGCAACTATACCTTCCTCCCTTACCAAACAATTTTTACTCTGTCAGAAAAATTTTCTTAAACTTGGAAATAGGCAGAAGAGATGACAGGGCATTTACCAGTGTAGTGGGCTTAGTTTTCTATTGTCTATTGTCTTTGGGCAAAAGTTAATGTTTGGTTTTTGTTTGAGATGTGAATAATTTCTGTCCAATACAACAGATGATCCTAAAGGTTCTGGTTTGTTTTCTTGTTGGACTTTAACCAGTCTCTAACCCAGCAATCTTATGCTAATATTTTCTACAAATATCTAGCTTCTCAAATGTTCTTTGAATCAGTTATAACATCTTATTGGTTTCCTGAGTTGAATAAAACTTGAGAGTCATGAGAGTCATGATGTTACATTTTTTTGAAAATTATACTTTAACACTTTTATTGTGTACAGAGGCAAACAAAAAGGAGAAGTTATTAGACATTGCAGAACCATCTTATTAATTATGCTGCTGAACTTCTCTCTCTCTGTTTACCTTTCACATGAAGAAAAGTTTGTTCTTTTTTCTGAAGAGAAAACTCTCCAGTCATCCTTTATCATTCTGTAGCTGCCATATAATACTCTGCTTCCTCAAAAAAGTAGTTTGAAAAATTGTCTAAATTGTCTAAAAAGTTGTCTCAGACCAAATGTTAAGGCTGTACGTAAAAAATATTATGAATATGTAAAGTTGATGTTAGATAGGTTTGGAAAGTTTCATGCCTATGTAAGGTAATTACAATGACAAGAAAGGAATTCTTTGTGTGCTCCTACTGACTCTTAACTTTGCTATAAAGTTTCAACCTCTGCTAGGCACTTTCAGGATCTCCACCTGCCCTTTACCTCCACTAGCTTTAATGAGCTCTTAAAGTAAGTGAAGACTTCCAGCTGCAACAACTCTGCAAAGACTTTCTCTTGTATCGCCATAGAAACAAGACCTTCACTGTAAAAGAAAAAAATCACATTATAATGAGGAAGACTGCTATAAAATAGGGATTAATGAGTTGAATAGCAAACAGGGAGGACTTGTAGTAGGAAGGAACTAAGTGACAGCAAGGACAGTTGGAGGAAGGAGATAGGATTAATTGTGGGCCTCAGAAAGGGGAGACAAAATGTACAGTCTAATATTTGCACTATGAGCCTGAGTTCTTACATACCACAGTTTCTGAGTGCAAGCTCCCACTATGGTGATGGTGAAGCAATAAGCAAAATATTCATGACCCTGAGTTGCTTCTAGATATTATTTTTGGAGATTCAGCAAAAAATGACAGATGAGATTTAATGAGCTTAAGAAAAAGATTGTGCAAATTTATAAGAAAAATACGATGCCTAAGTAGATAATGGGCAAAATTATCAAACATAGTGCATAACAAGTATAGGAGAGGAAACATAATTTTCTCCTCCACCCTTCATATTTCTTAGCTGGGACTTTATGCAACAAAAGGCAAATTAATAAGAGAAAAACAAGCAGAAGTTTAATAACATGTATACCTCATGTATTCGGATGGTGCAAATGTAATAGCAATTTTTGCATTGTTGAAAGTTACTATTTGATATTGAAATACATTCTTAAATACATTCTTAAATGTGGTTATGTTATACACCATTTTAATGCACATTTCTCATTTTATTTTATTTTTTTGCTAATGACTTAATACTTGCTGTTTATTTTATATTTATTTTAGACTATGGAAATGATGTTAGACAAAAAGCAAATTTGAGCGATTTTCTTATTTGAGTTCAGAATGGGTTGTAAAGCAGCAGAGACAACTTGCAACATCTACAGTGCATTTCGCCCAGGAACTGCTAACAAACGTATAGAGCAGTGGTAGTTCAAGAAGTGTTGCAAAAGAGACAAGAGCCTTGAAGATGAGGAGTATGGTGGCTGGCCATCGGAAGTTGACAACAACCAATTGAAAGCTATCATAGAAGTTGATCCTCTTACAACTACACGAGAAGTTGCCAAAGAACTCACCTTGACATTTCTACAGTCATTTTGCATTTGAAGCAAATTGGAAAGTTGAAAAAGCTAGATAAGTGGGTGCCTCATGAGCTGACCAAAAATCCAAAAAACTTCATTTTGAAGTGTCATCCTCTCTTATTCTATGCAACAACATGAACCATTTCTCGATTGGATTGTGACGTGTGATGAAAAGTGGATTTTATATGACAACAAGTGATGACCAGCTCAGTGCCTGGACCAAGAAGAAGTTCCAAAGTACTTTCCAAAGCCAAACTTGCACACAAAAAAAGCATGGTCACTGTTTGGTGGTCTGCTGCTGGTCTGTTTTACTACAGATTTTTTTTTTTTGATGGAGTCTTGTTCTATCATCCAGGCTAAATGGGCTTCCAATGGAACCAAAAAAGAGCCTGCATTTCCAAGACAATCCTAAACCAAAAGAACAAAGCTGGAGGCATCACGCTACCTGACTTCAAATTATACTACAAGGCTACAGTAACCAAAACAGAGATATAGACGAACAGAACAGAACAGAGCCCTCAGAAATAATACCACACATCTCCAACCATCTGATCTTTGACAAACCTCACAAAAACAAGAAATGGGGAAAGGATTCCCTATTTAATAAACGGTGCTGGGAAAACTGGCCAGCCATATGTAGAAAGCTGAAACTGGATCCCTTCCTTACACCTTATACAAAAATTAATTCAAGATGGATTAAAGACTTAACTGTTAGACCTAAAACCATAAAAACCCTAGAAGAAAAATTTTGTGTTTTTTTAAAGCCAGTTACAAAAAAGGCAAAGAAAAACCTTTTGTAGTGTGATTGTTTTTTCTTATTGGAAGCCCGTTTAGATAATCTGGAAATTAAACTATTAAGTTTATGTCAGAGAAGACTACTGTTTAATTTTGACCTTCAAGATGAAACATTTTAGCATTAGGCTATAATAACAGAACAGGAGCTGACAAAGACTGAAGAAGTTACTATCTTAGGCCTTTTCCAGGGAAAGAAAGCTGAAGCTGTGGGACACAGCAAGTTGAACTTTTGAGATACGATTCTGAGAAGGTTTTTTATTGTTGTTGTTTTAAAGAAACATTTACAATTTTAAAAACTTATAACCAACTTAATTAAATACAAAATTTCTTTCATAAATTCCCTTTTATGAATCGTTTATGACTTACACAGACCATTTATGACATGCTTGGACTTTCTGACTTCTTCTAATCACCACTTTTTTAAAAAAACAACCAGTCATTTTATTTTAGAGTTTACTATAGAAGATTGTTTTTCTATAAATTTTTTATAACCTTCCTTACTAAAAATTCTGCTTTACCTTTTTTTAACTTTAAATGAGGTTTCAATGTTTACATTTTAGTTTGATTATAAACAATGAGTCTTATCTCAGCACCAGCAGCTTAGTAACAGCAGATTTAAAGCAGGTAGAAAAACAGAGGCAGAAAACTTTCAAAGACTTAACTCTATAGTGCAGGTTAACCATTTGAGCTTTGAGTTTTCCTGTTATAGTTTGCCAATCAGTTTGAAATGTGCACAAAAAGAGGCTGTAATAGGTAACCAGCTAGAGTTTTAAAGAGAACAACAAAATCAGGGGTTAGGATGTCAGAATCTGCCTTCTCCTTTTTAATGCTGGACCCCTGGATTGAACAGGAAAAAAAGAAAAAAAGAAAAGAGAGGAGTGGAGAGGAGAAGGTTAAGCTTTATAGGATGGCTTGTGAGCCTTCCAGCCACTGCACATTGTAGTTCAGGGCTAGCACCCCTCCCACCCTTGTTTTTCTTCCATCAGAGAGAGCCTTAGCACCCTAGACTGCAAAGTGTGGGATGAATTCTTCCCACCTCCGCAAGTCACGAGTTAAGGTGAGCTGTTTTCTTTTTTTTTTTTTTTTTTTTTTTTTGAGACGGAGTCTCGCTCTGTCGCCCAGCAGGCCGGACTGCAGACTGCAGTGGCGCAATCTCGGCTCACTGCAAGCTCCGCTTCCCGGGTTCACGCCATTCTCCTGCCTCAGCCTCCCGAGTAGCTGGGACTACAGGCGCCCGCCACCGCGCCCGGCTAATTTTTTGTATTTTTAGTAGAGACGGGGTTTCACCTTGTTAGCCAGGATGGTCTCGATCTCCTGACCTCATGATCCACCCGCCTCGGCCTCCCAAAGTGCTGGGATTACAGGCGTGAGCCACCGCGCCCGGCCAAGGTGAGCTGTTTTCAAAGATGAGAGCCCATTCAGCTGAAAGCCATTGAGGGTTGGGATTCTTTCGTGGGGGCCCTTTGGCTTTCAGGGCAGTTCCATTTCCAGTGGCCAAGCATGTAGCCAAGCAGGCAAGCTGTGTGAGGTTTTTCCCCATTAATCTCATTGAGGCAGTTTGTCTTTTAGTGGCCTGGCCCTCTGCACCAGTGGCAGTTATTTGGAGGAGTGTTTTTTTTTTTTTTTTTTTTTGAGACGGAGTCTCGCTCTGTCGCCCAGGCTGGAGTGCAGTGGCGGGATCTCGGCTCACTGCAAGCTCCGCCTCCCGGGTTCACGCCATTCTCCTGCCTCAGCCTCCCAAGTAGCTGGGACTACAGGCGCCCGCCACTACGCCCGGCTAATTTTTTGTATTTTTAGTAGAGACGGGGTTTCACCGTTTTAGCTGGGATGGTCTCGATCTCCTGACCTCGTGATCCGCCCGCCTCGGCCTCCCAAAGTGCTGGGATTACAGGCGTGAGCCACCGCGCCCGGCCCTGGAGGAGTGTTTTTAGAGTAGTCTGGAGTGGGCTGGGGCTTGTAAAGCAGCCAACAGTTTAGCCTGCCTTTTGTCTTTGCATTTTTTTTTCTTAGCCTTGTTTTCCTTATTCTGCTCTTGGTTATAAAGACTGAGGAGGCTAATTTGATAATTTTCTGCATAGAGGCCATGCTATGTTACACAAGAAAATTAGACATTTCTTTTTGAGGGTTTGGGGGTCAACTTTGTCCTAGAGCTTTAGAATAGAGCCTAGAGGCGAGTCAGAAGGAATTGACAGGGGTTTTCCCATGGTGGGACTGGAAAACACACAGCTGGGGGCTAATTGAACTGTACTTTCACTTGGGGCACTTCACCAATGAAAAGGGTTTCACTTATGTCAGCTGAGAGACTCAGGGTGCACTTTCTAAAGGGGCATCCCACCTGTTGGAAAAGACCATTTGGAGCTCAGGGGTCTTATACTAGATGGCTAGTCTAGGTACTGTCTTATACTGGGTGATTAGCCCAGGTACAAGGGAAAAATGTGTCAGGAGTTGGTTCCTTCTGGTGGGTTCGTGGTCTGGCTGACTTCAAGAATGGAGTCACAGACCTTCGCGGTGAGTGTTACAGCTCTTAAAGATGGCATGGACCCAAAGAGTGAGCAGCAGCAAGATTTATTGTTAAGAGCAAAAGAACAAAGTTTCCACAGTGTGGAAGGGGACCTGAGTGGGTTGCAGCTGCCGGCTAGGGGGTGGCAGGCTTTTATTTCCTTATTTGTCCCCTCTCATGTCCTGTTTCTGTCCTATTAGAATGCTCTTTTCTCAATCCTCCCCATGATTGATTACTTTTAGAATCCTGCTGATTGGTCTATTTTACAGAGCGCTGATTGGTGCATTTTACAGAGCACCGACTGGTGCATTTTACAATCCTCTTGATAGCTACAGATCACTGATTGGTGCGTTTTACAATCCTACCTACAAAGTGCTGATTGGTGCATTTTACAACCCTCTTGTAAGACAGAAAAGTTCTCCAATCCCCGCTTGACCCAGGAAGTCCAGCTGGCTTCAACTCTCAAAAGGGATAAAGAAAGATCTCTGCTTAGTGTGGGTCCAGGAGAGGGGGTGGGTGGGGAAAGACTCACTGTTCTGAGGCTGTCTGAGATCGCCTGATTTAGCAATGTCCAGGACAGGACAACTGGCTGAGTCCATAGGAGAATTCAGAGTGAGAAAAAGAGGGTCTAAATCACCTAAAACGTGTATGAACTCACTCTGAACGAGCTTCCACTGTTTGTTGCATCACATGTAGGGACTAGGGACTTTTCAACCAGGAAAGATAGGAGAGAGAGCCTTCCTCCCTTCTGGGCAAGGCAGCCAGCTCTGTTCACCTTTTAGCTTTCAGGCAACACCAGAGAGTGGCTTCGTCAAATATTATACCATCAATTTCCAGAGAGATACTAGAAGCCAGCTACTGAAAGACTGAAAAGAATAAGCAGAGTTAGGTCCCTCATCTGAATGAATGATGGTGGTTAGACACTTTCTCATGGACACCTTTTAGTCCCACCCTCAGTGTAGCTCTGGCCAGAGACCTGCAATCGTCTCCATGCTTAGATGCTGTCCACTGAAGGTTCCAAGTTGGAAAAAGGGAGATGGGAGAGAGTTCCCTATGAAGAGAGAGAGTTCACGTATGGGCCACCAAAATGTCTCGGGTGAGCGATGACTATTTGGGCTGGTGGTGCAGGAGTAAAATAATTTACTGAGACAGTTGTAGGTAAAGAAAGACAGATTTATCAGAGAAAGTGGGAAAACACATTGTGAGGAGGCAATGGGCAGGTCAGCAGAAGAGAAGCTGACTTCCAGGAAACAAGGGTTTGATGGAGATTTTATAGCATAATGTTTATGTTGTCTGTTGAAGAGGGCTTTGTGCAGTATTGATAACACCAAGGTTGCAGTGAGCTAACTTGCAGGTGTTTGGTGATAGTTTGGCACAGGAAGATTGTGAGTTATTTGTGCAGGAGGGCTACGTGTCTTAGGCCATAAAGAAAGGCCGACTTATAGCTTATCTGCTTTCCCTTATTCCCACTAGCCTGACTCCTTTTCCCTAATTAGGACTCCACACTAACCATGGGAGGAGTGTAGGTTATAGTTTAACTTTGAAGCAATGATGATAATAGTCTTTCCTAAAACTAACCCTTGCAAACACCTTGCTCAGTGACCAAAACTGCCTTTGTAAAACTAATAAAAGCCGATGAGATTAGGATTATGGCAGGGGCCCTAATTCTGCTAGTATGTAGGCATAGTTAGATGATAACCAGCCATTGTTCTGGAGGTCACAAACTTTGCAACTTTCCCAGTTGCTCCCATAGATAATATCACTATTGTAGTTTCTACAATAGTAATGGTAAGTTCTTTTGAGATGTTTTTCTGATTTTTACATCCTGAGACTGACTGAGTCCACCTGGACCCTTGACTCATGACTCAATCAGTCCTATGGCACCTACCCACAGGCTGACTCAGCACACAGGACCATTTTCTACACCCCTATGTTTTCATCCCCAATGAATCGGCAGTACCTATTCCCTAGCCCCCTGCCTACCAAACTATCTTTGAAAAATGCTAGCCTCTGAGTCATTAGGTAGGCTGATTTGAGTAATAACCCCTGTCCTTCCACTAGGCTGGCTTGTGATAATTAAGTTCTTTTTCTATTGCAATACCACAGTCTCAGTGAATTGGTTTTGTCTGTGCTGCAGGCAGGAAGAACCTTTTGGGCAATTATACTCACTGTACTTTAACCATATTGTTCTCTTTCTGTTTCTTCGATAGGCCAGGCTTGCTCCAGCATTAGGACAATTGCATTAGCTGTTCTCTCTTCTTGGGACACTTCTCCCTTAGATAAGTGCATGGTTTGCAACCTTACCTCATTCAGATCTTTATTCAAATGTCACCTTTGTATTGACCCCTTTATAAAACTGCACCTCTCTACCATACTTTTTTTCCTGGCTTTATTTTTCTTCCTAGCACTTATCACTATCTAACATTCTATGTGGGACCTCCATTTCAAGTCAATCTATCTACAAAGTTCATCACTGTCTAGTAGCCTTGAAAAAGGTTTTAAATTTTAAAGCCCAATTAAATTCTACATTTCATTGCACCGCAAGTTATTGCGTGTTTCTAAAAATAAGACAAAAAGAAGGACCTTTGAGTCAAATCAAGATTTACAAGGGTATTGACTCTAAAATGTGAAATTAGCTGAGTGAGAAGCCCTCTTTCCTTGTTATGTGGTAGTCACAAAGATGACTGAACTTGTCCTTACTGCAGCTTAGCTATCTCAGACCAATGTCTATTAAAGCTGGAGCTTTAGGAAACTTGTTAGAAAAATATCAGGGTGTTAGAAAATATTGGCAGTTTCTTGTGACCTTTAGTAAGGTCTTACCAAAAAACAAGCCAAAAGGATAAGATTTGAACTGAGCTGACCTGGCTGAAAGTAGAAAGGGAACAACATACAACTTTGTTAATAATTATCCCTCTGCCTATGGGTGAGATTGCTGAGGCTCGGTTAACTATGCTTCTTATAGAATTGCCAAAACCAAAATTTCCGCCCTGTTTTAAAATTAGCATAAAAGGCAAGGAGGTGTGAAACACAGCAGGGAGATAAAATTGGGATACCTGAGAGGCCAGAGAAATGAAGGAAGCTGGAGTCCCTGGGCTCTTCCCACATACCTCCTTTCTCAAACTATCTGATTCAAGGAATCTTTCTTCCTATTTGTTAGGGTTAGCCAATGGGCTGCAGGCTGGTCACAGGTGCACATCATTCTGCCTCACCTAGTGTTTCACCAGAGGTTTATTGCCTTCACCTTATTACTTTCCAAGAAGGAAATGATTAAATTTAGGCCTAGGGCTACAGGCAAAGTTCTGAGGCTATAGAGACAAGACAGAGTACAGGTCTGTGAACCCAAAGGTTCTAATGCCTATTAGAGTTTTATTGGAGTTGGTTATCAGTGAAATTCCAAGCCTAAACAAAATGGTAACTTATGTTTCCTCAGCCTCGAGGGCAGTCATAGGCCCCCACCTCTCATAAACTATGTCAGCAGGAAGTGGGCTGCTAGAGAGGTTCAGTCTCCAGAACAGATTTCTATTTTATGATGTTTTCTATACCCTTCTTAGCATGGCCATGGATAAAAGAGGTCTCCCAGTGGGACTGCAGGCAGGCATATTGGCTGACTAGTAAATTCATTCCTTTGCCGAGACAAGAACTCCATGCTATCCCTGCCCAGAAATAAGTACTTTCGGTGGATGGCTGCTGTTTGTTTCCTTTTCCAGATGATAGTATGTTTTAATTTAAAAATTTTATATTTCCTTTCACCATTTTATATCTGCTGGGGTGGTAAAATGTATCAGTTAATCATAGGTGCATAGCCATGAGGAGAAAGATTTGAAATGAAGAGGAATGCCCATATTTCAAGGATCTAGAGTTGGAGCTGGATGCAATAATAACATTACATTTGGTCATTTCTCTTTCAGAATTAGGATATTTTCATTTATAAATGGGATAGTTGCATTGCACTAGGTGGGGACATTTGTGATACTATATGTATGAGAAGAAAGAATGCTAAACATCCAAAGGGTAGAATATAGTGGATATATATTGTTCCTCTATCCAGAATCTCTTCTTTGGGGGAAACATCCTTTCCCTACTCCGTGTGCACCTGGGTATCAGCAAAAGTGTCTGCCCTATGTCTTGGTTGCACACCTGCTAGAGACTATGCAATCAGCATTCTCCATTCACCTGGCCACAGGGTTGGTTTGGGGATCGGTGCATGACTTAAGATGGGCCAGTTAGAATTGTCGCTGAACTCTTGTGATAAAGCTAAGATTTTTCTCATTCCGATTTATGATTCTGAGAGTATTTGAAATTTGGTAACTAACTATGGTGGTCTTGGAAGAAGTCCATCTGAATAAGGAGGGAATAAGGCAGAGGTTTAAAATTAAATTCAGAATTAAAAGATGAAGCGGAGGATAAAAAAGGGGATAGTTGGAGAGATAGAGATCCAAACCATTTTCTGAAAACTATTTCTGAGTGTCCCTGGGTCTATCAATAGCTGTGACAGAAGCCAGCTCTACCTGTATACTTTCCATTTATACTATACAATAAATTTCTTTTTTGTTAAATGAGTTCAAGTTGGGTTTCTAATACTTGCAACAGAAAGGGTCCTGATTTAGGCAGTAGCTACCACTCAATCTTCCATATACTGCAAAGCAGCCTGGCTCTTGTCCTCACCACTCCTCTGCAACTGCTCTTGTACCATTGACTTTCTGGTTTCTAAAGCTGATGAATCTTTTTCTGTATTTACCTTCCTAGATCTTTCTACTGAGTTTGATGCTGTTTATAACTCTTTTTCTTGAAATTTTCCTCCATTGATTTTTGAGAGATGCTGTTCTTTTTGGTTGTTGTTGTTCCTACTAAAAAAATTTTTTTTATCTTCCAGGCCAGTGCTTATCTCTAGAATGATTTGCTTCCAAGTGTTATGTTCTAGACTTTCTCATTGTTTCAGTATACAACTTCTCCCTGGGCAACTTTGTTCATTTCTGGAGCTTCTATTGCTATCTATACACTGAGTACTTCAACACTTTTATCTTTAGACTGGAGTCTCCTGATTTAAAGTCTACTGCCTTCTGGATGTATCTGCTCAGATGTCCTTCAGCCATCTCAAAATCATCATCTCTCAAATCTAACTTTATTGTTTATCCACCCAATTATACTCTTCTTCTAATGTTCCCAATCACAGTGACTGGTACCACATGTAAGCATTTGCTTTTGTAAAAAATCTGAGTATGATTGCTGACTCCTCTTTTTCACCCTGTCATCATATCTGTGGATTATGTTTCACAGATATTTCTCAGATCCATAGCTACATATCCATATCTCACTCACCAGGGCTACAGAGGCCACGCATTTCACAGCTCCAGGAGCACCAATCTCTAGGTCTCAAAATGAGTGAAATCTTGATGGCCAACGGATCTGATTTAGGTTCTCTTAATTTCTCACATAGGTTACTGCTGCAGCTTCCTAATGTTTTCTTCACATCCAGGCTCTCATTTCTCTTCAATCCTTTCTCCAAATGTGGCAAAAGATTTCTCCTAAATGCAAATGAGAGCATATCACATTTGTCCTACAAATTCCATTGCTTGCCCTACCTTTCCGCCTTAATCTCTTACCACTTCAAATATCTTTTTATACTTTTGCCTTACCAAATATTTGGAGTCCTCAAATGTGCCATGCTTTCTCCTACCAGATATATTTGCATCTATGCCCCTGTGCTTTGAAAATACATGTTTATTTATCTTGCTAACTCTTATTTATCTTTCTAGATGCAGCCCAGGATTAATTCTCCAGCCCACTCCAGTTTGGGTTGGCAGCCTTTCCTATGTCTTATATTCACACTTTACATTTACCTCTATTATAGCACATACACATCATGTTGAAATATGTTTTTACTTATCAGTCTTGTTCATTAGATGGAAGTTTCTTAGGGGAAGAGACCTTGAGTTATTTTTCTGT
Source organism: Homo sapiens (assembly GCF_000001405.40). Classification (NCBI taxonomy): domain Eukaryota; kingdom Metazoa; phylum Chordata; class Mammalia; order Primates; family Hominidae; genus Homo; species Homo sapiens. Next base: position 14,176 of record NW_018654722.1, read on the forward strand.
GTATTCCCAGAGCCTGGCAAATCACCTAGTGCATATTAAGTGCTCAATAGTCTTAAGAAACTCGGAAGAAGAAAAACAGTTTTTGGTATCTGTCCACTGCCTGCCAGCATTCCAGTCCCATCTGTCTGGAAGGTGGAAGGGAGGGGAAGATGTTCCTTAGTAATTGCTATTCATTCACTCAACATTTATCGAGTACCCTCCATTGTCAGTTATCATGCTAGGCACTTTCACACCGTCAGATCGTTTAGTTGATTCAACCACATCATCAGGAAAGCATTTTTTTTTAATTTTAGAAATAGGGCATTCTATATAGCAGCTTTTTTTTTTTTTTTTTTTTTTTTTTTGAGACATGGTCTTGCTCTGTTGCCCAGGCTGGAGTGCAGTAGCACCATCATAGTTTACTGTAACCTTGAGCTCCAGGACAAAAGCAATCCTCCCACCTCAGCCTCCCGAGTAGCTGGGACTACAGGTGTGAGCCTCTATGCACAGCTAACTAATTTTTTTTTTTTTTGGTAGAGACAGAGGTTTTTCTATGTTGTCTAGGACAGTTTCAAACTCCTGGCCTCAATTGATCCTTCTGCTTCAGCCTCCCACTGCTGGCTTGGATTACAGTAGTGACCAACCCAGCCCTACAGCAGCATTATTGAAGCTAAGGCTACCAGAGTTTTAAGTTCAACAACTTAACAATTTAGCCAATTTTTGTTGACTTAAATAAGCCATCTATTGCCAGTGTTCGATGTGCTCTCTTTGGCAGCACACATATTGCCAGGGTTTCATATGTTCTCCACTCAGCTTTAAAGACATTTTTAAAAAATGAAACTTCCACGTTTATGCAGCCAAAAGACACATGAAAAAATGTTCATCATCACTGGCCATCAGAGAAATGCAAATCAAAACCACAATGAGATACCATCTCACACCAGTTAGAATGGCGACCATTAAAAAGTCAGGAAACAACAGGTGCTGGAGAGGATGTGGAGAAATAGGGACACTTTTACACTGTTGGTGGGACTGTAAACTAGTTCATCCATTGTGGAAGTCAGTGTGGCGATTCCTCAGGGATCTAGAACTAGAAATACCATTTGACCCAGCCATCCCATTACTGGGTATATACCCAGAGGATTATAAATCATGCTGCTATAAAGACACATGCACATGTATGTTTATTGCGGCACTATTCACAATAGCAAAGACTTGGAACCAACCCAAATGTCCAACAATGATAGACTGGATTAAGAAAATGTGGCACATATACACCATGGAATACTATGCAGCCATAAAAAATGATGAGTTCATGTCCTTCATAGGGACATGGATGAAGCTGGAAACCATCATTCTCAGCAAACCATCGCAAGGACAAAAAACCAAACACCGCATGTTCTCACTCATAGGTGGGAATTGAACAATGAGAACACAAGGACACAGGAAGGGGAACATCACGTACTGGGGCCTGCTGGGGGATGGGGGGAGGGGAGAGAGATAGCATTGGGAGATATACCTAATGTTAAATGACGAGTTAATGGGTGCAGCACACCAACATGGCACATGTATACATATGTAACAAACCTGCACATTGTGCACATGTACCCTAGAACTTAAAGTATAATAATAATAAAAAAAAATTCCTGTTCAAGATGGCAGACTCAGCCCACATTTTGTCTCCACTCATTTTTGAGATGTCATTGAAATAATATTACATGAGTATAAAAAACACCCACATAGCAGTGAAGTAAATAGAATTAGATGGAGGTCATTAGTTGCTTAGAGATTGTGTCAGTTATTAAATCTATTGTCTTTCGGCTGCAAACACACCCTTTGTGCCCCTGCTTGTGGAACTAAAACATTGCCTCCGTGCAGCACAGCACGCCATGCACAGCTCCTCCTGGGGCTCCAAAAGCAGTTTCCCAGTGAGTTCCAACGGTGTGGCACCTCTGTGTGCATGGCTCCCCCCAGTATTTCCTTGATGGCTTTGTAGTGAGTTCCTAGGCACAGGACCTTCCTGAGATGCTTCTCCTGATACCCCAGAAGGTGGCTTTCTAGTCACTCTTCCTAGCACCATACCTCAATGAGCTTATCCACCACCTAGTGAGTCATGAGCCATGCAATGCTCTCTCCAACAATATCTGAATCAAAGCCCTGGGTGCAGGGGAACTTCAGATTTGCTCCTTCCTCAGGGGCTCTGTTTCAGCCTGGAGAAATGGTTGCACCCTATGTCTTCTATTCCTGTTTTGGTAAGAGTTCTGTGGAAAAATTCAAAGAGACTCCCTTTATTAAGGGTTTGAGATATACATTAGTGCAGAGACCGGAATCCTTGCAAATCTCTGTAGTGGTTTTATTTGTTGGCCAGATATGACTGTAGAAAGTGTTACTCACTATTGAGATGGCCTCCCTGATTTCAGTGGGAATAATGGGTTTTTAGAATAGCAGAGGACTGGTGGTATCACTTAACCTTCAAAAACAAAGTAGTACTTCTGTTGTAAAGAGCAACAAGGACATGCTGATTGTTAGAATGCCTCGGCTCACAGAGATATTTGGCGGAGGCAATTGATCACTGTGTTTGTAGAAAAAAGATAGATGGTCATCCTACTAAATTATTGTTTGACCTATATAATAGGAAATACTCTAGATACAGTAGTCAGAAACCTGACTTGAGTCACCACAGTGGAGAGTCATGATCTCTTACTCAGTTTCCAAATCTAAGTTAAGTCATGGATACAGAACCTCTTGATTAAAGGGGAGGCTGAGTCCTTTTGAAGAATAACCCTATATCATTTCCACAAATACATACCATAAATCTTCCTCCAAGCCTTCACCAAATGTACTGTGATAATTTACTAGGTAACTGTTCATTAGAGGAAGAAAATACCCAGACCTTGCTGGGGTTGGTAGACACTGACTCTGAATTGGCATTGACTCTTGGGGACCCAAAGCACCTCTTTGGTCTACTATTAAAGTAGGGGCTTACAATGGTCAGGGGACCAGCGGAGTCTGAGCTCAAGTGGGCCTAGTCATTCCATAGACTCACCCTGTTGTTATTTCCCCAATTCCTAAATGTCTAATTATAATAGGCATAATTAGCAGCTTGAGGAATCTCCACATTTGTTCTCTGACCTGTGTGGTTATATATATATCATATATGATATATATATGATAAAACCCATCAGATTTATAGATCTAAATATAGAAAAAATGGAAATTTAGAATATTATTTAGGTATAATCTTGAAGTGGATGAAATATTTTGAAACATGGCATGAAACCCAGAGCTCATCAATGAAAAAGATAAATATATCTGGGTATATAGCAATTTAACTTTTTTTTTTTTTTTTTGAGATGGAATCTTGCTTTGTTGCCCAGGCTAGAGTGCAGTGGTACAGTCTTGGCTCACTGGAACCTCTGCCTCCTGGGTTCAAGCAATTCTCTGCCTCAGCCTCCCGAGTATCTGGGATTACAGGCACCTGCCACTACACCCAGATAATTTTTTTTTTTTGTATTTTTAGTAGATATGGGGTTTTACCATCTTGGCCAGGCTGGTCTTGAACTCCTGACCTCATGATCCACCTGCCTCGGCCTCCCAAAGTGCTGGGATTCAGGCGTAAGCCACCGGGCCCAGCCAATTTAACATTTTTTTATATGGCAAAAGATACCGTAAACAAAGTCATAGACAGATAGTAGACTTAGAACAAATATGTGCAAACATGTAATTTATAATATGCAAAGGTTTCCTATAAATTGATTCCCAAAAAACCCTCAAATAGCTCAATAAAATAATGGATAAAAATGTGAAGAGAAAATTTACACAAGAATATAATCAAACGATCCATAAACATGAAAAGATATCTCACCCCACTAGTAACAAAAACTCAAATTAAAGGAAATATGCAATAACATTATTAGTATACCTCATGATCTTCACCTAAATTAAAAGCAATCTAAATTCCTTCTCCTAAATTAAAAGGAATCTAAAACTAACAGCCTGATTTTTACCTTTTGACATCTTTCTCTATGTGTAAAAATATGTGTAAAATGTGATTAGAAATGTAGAGAATTTTGTTTGTTTTTCTAAAACTGGTATATATCTCTGTAACTTGTTTTTCTCATGTGATAAAATATAAGGAACATTCATTCAAGTAAATAATAGATGTGGTTTTTTAAAAAGCTGCATCATAATAATAATCCATTGAATGGATATGCCATAATTTACCTAACCATTAATCCATTTATTGGACAGAGAAAATAGTAGGAAGTATACAAAAGACTAAGACTTAGATTGACATCAAACCCCTTGTCAGCAATAGTAATGTTAGAAGACAATGGAGCAATGCCATGAAAGAGGGATATTTTCTTTTTTTCTTCTTTTATTTTTATTATACTTTAAGTTCTAGGGTACATGTGCACAACGTGCAGGTTTGTTACATATGCATACATATGCCATGTTGGTGTGCTGCACCCACTACCTCGTCATTTACATCAGGTAGATCTCCTAATGCTATCCCTCCCCCCTTCCCCAACCCCATGACAGGCCCCAGTGTGTGAGGATATTTTCAACTGATAAAAGTTTACAATTCCTGTAGAAGATACAACAGTCATGAACTTTTATGTTTCAAATAAAAAGGCAGCCTGATGGCTTTTGTCAGGCCACATAACCCAACATGGCTGGAATGGGCTTGCTTACCTCTTTGAATTTCTATCCACACCAATCCCCACATAAGCGAAATTCAAATACACAGTGTGACAGGGTGACCAATAGTGAATGAAATGAGCCTTATACATTGCTATTAGGAGAATAAAGGGGTACAGACTTTCTGAAAACCAGTCTGACAGCTGCACTGAAAACCAGTTTTACAGCTGCACTGAGACTTTAAAATATTTATATCTATCATTCATTAATTCTACTTACCTGAAGCTTTATCAGTAAGGATGAGCACGGCATTACATATAATAAGGAAAAACTGAAAACAGCGTAAACACTCAACAACAGTGAAACTGTTAAATTAATTATGGACCATTATTAGGTGGCATATACATCTTTTAGAAATAGTATTTTTAAAGACTATACAACGCCAGGAGGAATTGCTCAGGATTAAGGATTTTAAAAGTCCCAAACAAAAACCCCAAGAAAACATGGATTTAAACACTGCATTGTAAAATATTTTGTAGCCTGGAAGTTTGCTTCTGGAAGTTACTGTAAAATCTCATTAGACTTTTAGTTAGAAAGAGAAAAAAATCATCACAGAACATAGACTCAACTGCAAACTTGTAAAACTAGACATTCAAGGAGAAGACAGTGGAAAAGTTTATTGCATATGAAGGGGCATTAGTGCTTTGGCAGAGAATAAGAGAGTCCCTTGCACTTAATGCACAATTTGTTTTGTTAGCTAGAATTGAATAACAATATTCTGGGTGTGTTGGTATACCACTGAGAATAAGCATAGTCACTGTCCTGAAGAAATTTAACATGCCATGTCAGAATACAGATAAGTACGTTATCAACTGAAACAGGTAATTATGGTCATTACAAAAGTGCATTAAGTGAAAAGGAGAATCATGGTTGTGTTGGTGGCTTGGACATCAAATGATTACTCTTGACATGGGGCTCACATTTAAAATCTCCCCATGGTGACCCATTATCCTGTCCTAACTTTGCCTCCCTTCCCTTCTGGGGCATTCCCACTATCACACACGGTACATGATAGTGAGAAACATCATATCAATATCATATGATACATGATAGTGGATTATACAATCCTCTGACTCCCATTTCTTCTTCCTTTCCCACTTTCACCCTAAGGCAAGCAAGAGCTCTTTGCAGGATGGAGCCACTATAGACAGATTCTGAGGGGCTGACCTATACTGGGGTGTGGCATGTGTCCACACGCATGGGCCTGAACTCAAGGGGAGTATTCTGGAGGAAGAGAAAGAGGAAAAAGAGAGAAGAAGGGGTGGAGCTTGAACCTAATGTTTAAGTATTTGTGCACAAGGGAGACAGCACCTGGGAATCCATGGATGGAGCTGACACCATTACAAAGCAACACTTCCATAAATCAGAGGCAAAGGCAATTGGGTTCTGTCCTCAGGTAAGGTAAGGTTCTGTCCTCTCCAGAGAGGCATCTTGTCTCCTAGGAATACTGGGTGGAAATGTCCCCTCAGGGCTGGGACTATGAAGACAGGCTGCTTCCTTTGTTGAGTTTACTCCCTGCACTACAGGATGCCAGAATGGAGCTGGGCGAGCGCTTGCCCTGCTCACCACCAGGAGTGACCAGATTGTGGCCAGGAAAGGGCTCATGGACTAGTCTGCAGTAGTTGTACGCCTCTGTGTGTGAAGTACACATGCTTCTCCAAGTTCTGACCCTGCCTTGTTACCCTTTGGCTATGAGGTTCTTATTAGAAGAAATACTTTCTTTTAAAACAAACTTTTTTTCCCTGAGGATAAAAAACCAAATCTCTATTGGGCTGCAGAAGCCAACAGCCACTGCCTGAGGCACTACTGAGCTGGCTTCACTCTTAGGGGCCTGGAGGCTTTCCTCTCCTCAGACCGGTACCAGTAACCGGTTCATGGCCTGTTAGGAACTGGGCCACACAGCAGGACGTGAGCCGCGGATGAGCAAGTATTACTGCCAGAGCTCTGCCTCCTGTCAGATCATCTGCAGCAATAGATTCACGTAGGAGCATGAACCATATTGTGAACGGTACATATTAGGGGTCTAGGCTGTGCACTCCTTATAAGAATCTAAGGCCTGATGATCTGAGGTGCAACAGTTTCATCCTGAAACCATCACCCTCTCTTCCCCTGCCCTGCTCCATCTGTGGAAAAATTGTCTTCCACAAAACCAGTCCACGGTGCCAAAGAGGTTGGGGACCGCTGCCCTAGGCAACTCCTTCCAGACGTCTCCCACTGATTTCCATGTCTAGGAAATGTGGGGTTGAAACAGCAGATTTGGACCATGGTAATCTTTCAGCAAATCTAAGAACACTACAGTTTTTATACAATTTGCCCAATTGCTTGTGTGCAACTTGTTCAAATCTTAAAAACAGATTTCACTATTGGAACTTTAATAAGTATTGACATTTGAAGATAAACTTTCAAAATCCTCTGTGGTGTTACAGCATATTTTTAAAGATAGGATCTTTATAATATAAAAGCCAGACTTAGAAAAGTTGGTAAGAGAAGAAAAATAGAGAGTCAAAGGAAAGCAAACGCTTGAAGCCCTATCACCCAAAGAAAATTGCTTTTGAAGTTTTGGTAAATTTCATTTCCATTTTAATAATTTCTGCCTTTATCTTTTTTATGACCTTTCTATTTTGAGTTTATCTGCTATTCTTTCGGAAGCTGCGTGGTTTAAAATAATGCTTTTACAATTTTCCATCTTTTTAAAGTGATTTCCAATGAATATATCTAAAACTAAATATCTATCTATTTTTTCCGAGTATTGCTTTGGCTATATTAAATACACTTTAAAAGTGTGGCCTGTTCTTATTGTTCATTTCTAAGTATTTATAATTTATGTTTTAATTTATTCTTTAACTGAAGAATTTTTAATAAGGCCACTTGATACAGTTGTGTTATCTATAGTTATCTATAGTTTTGCTGTCCAGTGTGGTAGCCACATGTATTAGTCTGTTCTGTTCTCACATTGCTATAAAGAAGTACCTGAGACTAGGTAATTGACAAAGAAAAGAGATTTAATTGGCTCATGGTTTCAAGGCTGTACAGGAAGCATGATGCTGGCTTCCTTCTGGGGAGGCCTCAGGAAACTTACAATTATAGTGGAAGATGAAGGGGAAGCAGGCACATCTTACATGGCCAGAGCAGGTGGAAGAGAGACAGACGGGCGAGGTGCTACACACTTTTAAACCACCAGATCTCCTGATAACTCACTCACTATACAGTACCAAGGGGGCATGACAATAAACCATTAGAACTTCACCCATGATCCAGTCATCTCCCACCAGGCCCCACCTCCAACATTGGGGATTACGGTTCAACATGAGATTTGGGTGGGGACACACATCCAAACCGTATCACCACATGTGGTAATGAGCACTTGAAGTGTGGGTAGTCCAAATTGACATAGGCTTTGAGTGTAAAACACACACCAGTTTCGAAGACTTAGCATGAAAAATTAATTACTTTTTATATTGATTATATATTAAATGATTGTATTTTGGATGTGTTAAGTTGAATAAAATAAATTATTAAAAGTAATTTCACCTGTTTCTTTTTTACTTTTTTAAAAATGTGGCTACTAGAAAAGTTTAAGTGACTAATGTGGCTTGCATTTGTGGTTCACATTATATTTCTATTTGATTGCATTAAGCCATAGTTTTATTCTTGAACTGTTGATTCCAGAGAGAGATGTGTTAAATCCATCTACTCAGATTCATAACGGATTGTGAGGGAGTGTATCTTTTATCAACATAAAAAACTGTATCCTTCTTTGTCCTTTTTAATGTCTTTTGCCTTGAATTCTACCTTTTTCTGATTTTCATATTTCTATGCTTGCTTTCTTTTCATGAGCATTTTACTTGATGTATCTTTCTCGACTCCTTTATTTACAAATGTCTTGCTTGTTTTTATTTTAGGTGAATCTTTTGTAAATCGTATATAACTGTTTTTCAAAATAAAGTTTGAAAGATTCTTCTTTTTAATATATTAATGCAATTTGTTCACATTTATTGGGATTGTTAATATGTTACAATTGGTTCCTGCAAAGTTCTTTTGTGTTTCTAATTACAAGGCTATCTCTTTTCTGACTTCTGGTATATTGGGTTAGTGGCCTTCCATTCTTATCATCATTATTCACAATGGGGGTAACACCTTTGCCAATGGCTGCCTGGCAGAGGGTAGGTACTGGGGAAGGGACCATCTTGGCCAGCTCCTCTCAGCACAGCACCTCTCAAACTGTCACCCCGACCACCTCCTACCTTCCTGTGTCTGCTGCCATCCAACTCAGGGCGCCATAACTGTTCTTACCTTTGGACACAGTCTGCTCTTCCATGACTTTGGGCGATGGTTTATCTTTCAGTGTGACTCCATTCCTCAAAAATTTTGGTTAATTGAGAACACCAGTTCATGTTTTCATGCGCTGCTATTGATTTTTTTCTTTTTCTTTTAACTTTCTTTTTTTTCTTTTTCTAATGATATATTGTGCAGGGACAGGCAGGAGTGTGGCTTAATTTATAATCTTTATCTCATTATGGTGTATTTCTGCTTTTTTCTGTATGTATTATTTTATTTTGATGTAATTTTGATTATTCAATATTTGCATACACAATGTTGTGTCCTGATTTTCCACTTAGCATTTTAACATAAGCATTTCCCCCATACTATTATGAACCATTTAAAAACTTTCATTTTACTATCTGCATAGTCCCATCAAGGAAAAATGTCCAAAATTCCTTATTATTGTGAATTTAGGTTATTTTCACTTTTCTGCTATTATAAAAAGATGATAAAGTTACTTGCGCATATAGCTATGTTTTATTTTGAATTGTAGTCCTAGGTGGAGTGTTGAGCTTCTTATAGATTCCTAGCAAAGAGTATAAGTCATTCAGATTTGCTCTAATTTTAGTAAGACAGTGTATGTGCTCAGAGCACAAAGCTTCTTTGTGCTATTGAGGTTCTTGTGTATCATGTGTCACTGAAAACCAGGAGGCTAGGACAAATCTTCAACTAGGATTAGGCCTAGATTTAGGATATAGTATTATAACTGTTTGGATGCCTGTGGATACTGTAGAATGTTCTTGGCTGACATCACTCTCAGGAGGGTGAGTTATGGCAAAATCGACCACATTTTCTGGACTAAGATGGGAACACATCTCATATGTGCTTCTTTATCTGTACTATTCAATATGATAGTCATTAGCAACATGTGACTATAGCATGTGAAATGTGGCTAGTCTGAACTGAAGCCTGCTGTAAGTATACAATGCACATATAATTTTTCAGTATAAAAAATATTTGGCCAGGCACAGTGGTTCATACCTGTACTCCCAGCACTTTGGGAGGCCAAAGCAGGAGGATCACTTGAGCCCAGGAGTTCGAGACCAGCCTGGGCAACTGTTCAATATGATAATCATTAGCAACATGTGACTATAGCGTGTGAAATGTGGCTAGTCTGAACTGAAGCCTGCTGTAAGTATACAATGCACATATAATTTTTCAGTATAAGAAATGTTTGGCCAGGCATGGTGGTTCATGCCTGTACTCTCAGCACTTTGGGAGGCTGAGGCAGGAGGATCGCATGAGCCCAGGAGTTTAGAACAGCCCAGGCAACATAGGGAGATACTGTCTCTACAAAACATTTAAAAATTTGTCAGGTGTGGTGGTGTGCACCCGTAGTCCCAGATACTCTGGATACAGAGGCAGGAGGATCTCTTGAGCCCAGAGGTCGAGGATGCAGTGAACACTGATTGCACAACTGCACTTCAGCCTGGGCAACAGAGTGAGATCCTGTCTCAAAAAAAAGTTAAATATATCATTAATGTCTTTATATTGATTTCATGTTGAAATATATGGCTCATATTATATTTATTTTGGCCGGCACTGTTATAGTTCATTCATTAGAAGATCAGGGATGTATGAAGCCATGTTTCTTACCTCCTCTTCTGTAATACCTTATAAGTAATTTTCTGATACACTTAATTAACACTGCAGAGGGACAATCTATTTCATCTGCATCAGCAGCAGCTCCGTTGCCGTCCTTGAATCTGAGCATGTGAATCTAAGGTTCATGGTTTCCTTTCTGCTCTGTACTTTCTAGCACTCCTGCTTCCTGAAGGTCAGTGGAGGTTCTCAGGGACTATGTTAGGTGCTCAAGAGCACTTGGAATAACTTCGAAACAGGAAGCTTTAGATTAAAAGTGCACTATTGCATAAAGTAGTTCCTACATGTAGGAACATGTAGATTTGCCAGTTTATTCATTCAACACTTATTTACTGAATGCTTCTATGTGCTAGTCACTGATGTAGACACTTGAGATACGCCAGAGACCAAAGACAGAGATCAGTGCCATCTTGGAGCTCACATTCTAGCAGGGGGTATGAACGGTAAACAATAAACATTTAAATAAGTCAACTACATAGGATGTTGGAAGGTGATAAGTAGGGTAGAAAAGAAAAACAATAAGAGGGATTCAGAGTGCTGGAAGTAGTGGGGATAGACTGCAACTGTAAACAGAGTGATCAGAGCGGGCTTCACTGAGAAGAGACATTTTAGCAAAGACTTGAAGGAGGGAAGGATGATAGGTGTGTAGACATTTGGAAGAAAAACATTTCAGGTAGAGGCAACAGCTGTGCACAAGGCTTCAGGCTGGAGTGTGCTCAACATGTTTGAAAAACATTAAGGAAGCAGGGGTGGCCAGGAGGAGAGCAGTAGTGATGTCAGAGGTAAGGGGGCTTCACAGATCACTGAGAGCCTTACAGGCCATTGTAAGACTTGGGCTTTTACTTTGAGGGCAACGGGAGCCACTGTGGGCTTTAAGGAAAGGAGTCACCTGCTCTGGCCTACATGTTTAAAGGATCACTCAGACCTCATGTTGAGGTTAGACTTCAGGTAGGCAAGGAGAGAGGTCATGGTGGCCCCACTAGGTGGTAGCAGTGGAAATGGTGACAATGTTACATTTTGATGTATAGTGAAGATGGAATCAACAGGATGTTCTGACAGGTTGGATGTGAGGTATGAGACAAAGATAGGAATCAAGGATGACTCCAAGTCTTGAGCCAGGGCTATTGGAAAGATGGAGTTGCCTGCCATCAACAGAGGAGGGGAAGGCGGCAGATGGAGCAGGTTTGGGAGAAATATGGGGAGTTACATTTGCGTAATTATATTATCTATTGCTCTATAACAAAACATCCCAAAATCTAGTAGCTTAAGACAATGACCATTTATTATCTCACAGTTTTTGTGGGGCAGGGATTCAGGAGTGGTTTAACTGGGTGGGTTGGGCTCAGAGTTTCTCATAAGGTTCTAGTCAGGATGTGAAGCAGGGCTTTAGTTTCTGAAAGTTTGTCTGGGGCTGGAAGAGCCACTTCTAAGATGGCTCACTCAAGTGGTCACTGGCACAAGGTGAGCCTCTTCATAGACTGCCTGAATTTCTGTGTAGCTGGCTCCCTCCAAAGCAAGGGAGCCGAGAGAAAGAGAGAGGAGAGCTTAAGAGAGAGCAACCAAGATGGAAGCCTCAGTGCTTTTTCTGACCTGGTCCCCAAAATCGCATGCTGTCATTTTCACCTTTTTCTATTCATTAGGAGGGAGTCACTCCAATTCAGTCCCATACCAAGCCCCAGATCTGAGGAGCTGCCACCAGTTCTGCTCCCGATTCTCTCCTGGCTCAGGTTTCTGAGGCTGTCTCAGTGAGTTTAGACTCACTGGCACCTGTCCCATGGGCCCCCTCTGGGCTGTCACAGGGACACCTCACCTGCCCACAGCCACAGCTGAGAGAAGACACCTCTGCCCAGGCCCCTTCCCAGCCAGAATCCAGGAGTATTCCAGGGGCTCCCACTGCCCCTGTAGACCCCATGCCTGACGTGCTCCCCTGCGAGGGCTCAGTCCTCATCTCCCCCAACCTGACCCTGTTGGCAGAGACTGGGTGCTGTGATCTGGATGAGCCATCCTGTCCTCAGGGAGGCTTTGTCCCGCTGACCAGGCCTCTCCTCTCTCCACCTGCCCCACTTTGTCTCTGTGGTTCTCACAGTCCATGACCTTCCTGGCCCATCTCTGCCCAGGCCAGCCTCTTGCTTTTATAAAAAACTGAAATTTCAGCACCTGCCCCAAACAGGGCCCCACACAGGGCTGGTGTTTATGCCTTGAGAATTCTTACCTCTACTCATTAAAGCAGAATGAATACAGCAGCCTTCTTGACTTCCTCCCCTGATATTATTTTCAGTGACCTGTTTTTCTGGAGGGTGCTGTGCCCTGCGGCGAGTCTGTGCAGCAAATCACAGTGAGGTGGTTTTTAGCCAAGTGTTCCCGGGGGGCAGGGCACATGCCTCAGGTCCCTTTTTCCTCCATGACTCAGCGGTCACATAGAGAGCAGCAGCGCAGACCCTCAGTGCCTCCCCTCAGTCTGGTCCGTGGGACTCCAGGTGAGCAGAGGTGCCGGCTGAACGGACAGGCCCCCTTCCCCTCCTCTTTCTGACTTCAAATCCCAAGCAGGAACGCAAAGGCCCTGGCCCTGCTGCTGAGCCAACCTTTGCCCCATATGGAGAAGATGGGGTGAGGGCTCCATGGGAGCTGGGGAGACTTTGCCTTGCTCTCTGCTACCCCGAGGCAACACTGGGGGATGGGGCCCAGGAAGTGGAATATCCCAAGGAGAGCAGGGTGGAGTGTGCCCTGGATGCCAGGCTCTCATGTCACTTCCTAAACCACGTCTCCAGGCTTCTTGGGCCCCACAGGATGTGACCAACACAGTGAAGGGGAACATTTGGAAAGAATGTGGCGGGCGGACTCCACACCCAGAGGGGAGCCCCAATCACCTCTGACGTGCTCTGTCGTCTGAGAAACGCAGGCCAGTGGTAGCTGCAAGGATGGGACAAGGCCATGTGGTATAGCCATGAGACCTTAACCTTTCCAGAGAGGCCAAAAGAAGCTCCTTCAGTCCCTCCCCTGCTGGGGTCTCTCATGGCGGAGCTACTCTCCACCTTTTGCCATTCGTCTGGGCTTGTTTGAGTCCAAGTCAGCAACTAGTTACTGCTCCTGCTCCGAAGTGAGATTTGCAACCCAGGCCACTCTCAGTGCATTTTCCTCCTGTGGGAGTGGCCGTCCCCAGGTGGCAGCCTCACACTGATGGCTCCATGTTCCCAGGTCCTGTTCTCCAGAATTCCAGATGCTGATTGGCCCTGCCTGGGTGCTAGTTCCTAGGAGTCCTGGGGCATCTGAGCAGGGGAGCTTGTGTCGGACCTTCTCAGCTCTAACTTCCCCAAAGAAGTCACTTCTTCCCAGAGACCCTGGCACTGTCCCTACTTTCCCTTCTTTCCTCTTCCTCAGTTCTGCCTCCTCGTCACTTGGAAGCTCATTTTCTGGAAGCAAATAGCTTCTTAATTAGGTACATCTTCCACTTGTCATGCCTGTCCGCTTCTAACAGGGGAAGGCCTGTGGTGCTGATTGCCTCTGCTGCTGTCTGTGCACCTCAAACAGTTAGTGGGGAGTTTGGGGATAGGGCAGTGGAGTGGTTGCCAGGATGAGGGAGGTAAATATTGATCCCGCATGATAGTAAAATCCAAGTGCACAACACTGGATGCCTGTCCTGCCCACATTTAAAACTGCACTTATTGCCATTATCTCATTTAGTTCCTAAAGCCCCAGGGCTGCCATGTGTGGTTGTATAGGTTGTTCACTGCACAAGGTCGCCTAGTCTAGAAACAAGTAGGAGCTGAAATCCAGTCCATGCTCTGCTTGACAAGACATGTACCCTGGCTTGGGGCTACATTCACCCGAAGAACAGGGTGGCTTTACTATTTGCTCTCACAAAGTCAGGCACTAGTGGGGCTGCATAAGCTCAGAAGAAAGTTTTTTTAAAAAATTTACACCAGGGGGCACTATAGGCTATCAGTGTCCCTGCATGACATTCCTATGACTGTCACAGAGCAGGCCTGATAAACTCCCTGTGGCAGAGGAGGAGATTGAGACATGGAGATGATAAGTGACTTGCCCAAGGGCGACCAGTCATGGTAGAGCAGGAATCTGGTCATGGGTCTCTTTAGTGCATTTCCCTGGCTCTGCACCCTAAGCAATTCTCTCTGGGCTAAGCATGGGTGAACACAGCCTCTGCCTTCCTGACTTTTCTTTAAGCCCAGGCTTCATTCCGCTCCTGCTCAGATTTTGTTCACTGGTAATTTCCTGGAGTGGAGTGGGAGAAACATGTGAGTGCAGGTGTGAGTGCTGGTGTGAGTGCAGGTGTAAGTGCAGGCATAGTCATCCTCCATAGCCTTGGGGGTCTAGCAAGAGCCCCTCTCCTCCAGCGCAGTGCACCTTATCCATTTCATTTCCTTCTTAGATGCTGGAGGCCTATACCACCAGCAAAACTGCACTGCTGGGACTCACCAAGCCCTTGGCTATAGAGCTGGCACCAAAGGGTATCCAGGTGCCCCGCCTGTTGCCAGGAATCATCAAGAACTGACTTTAACCACATGATGAGGGTTCAGCAGCTCCCAGTTGCCCCCACCAACCACTTTGTTGGTTTCCCCAGTCTGGCCATGGCTTTGTGAGACCAGCAGCCTCTCACTTCCTGTATCTGCACCAGGGCTGTCCTCTCTGGGAGCAGTCGAGGGACTGCAGACCCAGCACTGAGCAGGGCCATCTGCCCACAAGGGCATGAGTCTGCCATGGCAGCCTCTCTGGCCCTTCACAGTTCTATTTAGCACTGAGCCTCTGAATTTTTTCAGGTTGAAGATAATCTGGCTCTGCAAAACTCCTTTAAAAACCCCTGTGGATAGCAGAGACAGGTAGTCTTCTCCAGGGGAGACAGGGCTCTCGGACTGTATCCTCACCTATCAGCCCGTCCTCTCACAGAGTCTGGGGATGCACAGCCCATGAGGTGGGATCTGGAGGGCATGAGGGGCCCCACCATATCTCTCTATGGAGCCCAGGCCTCTGATGGGCCAGGGAGGTGGGATTCAGGGCTGGAGGTGGTGCTGGGCCCTATGTTCAGAGCAGCAGGACCAGCGATCAGAGTTCATTAGAGCATAGGCTGAGGCCTCAGTTCTGTTCTCTTTCCATGCAGGGGTTAAGAGGACTGTGCAGGAACCATGTCCTTCCTGCACTCTACAGATGCCAGCTACGTCACTGGGAAGAGCATCCTGGTGGCCGGCTTCTCCCAGAGGCTCTGCAGGCTGTGACTCTGGGTATAGATACTGCACTTTACCCTGGGGACCAGATAGTGATTGGATAGGAGGATGAATGAAAGCCAGGCCCTCGGGGGTGTCATAAGTAGCAGGGGCCAGTTTGCACATAGAATTCTAAGACAGACCCAGTGTAGGGCATGACTGGGGATGGGACAGAGTTGCTTCTTGAGATTTACAGAGCATGAATCTATGGGTTTTTGTGTGTTTTTCTTGGCAGCAAACTTGTTTTGAAACTCCTAACCTGGCCTCCTGGTGTGGTTGGCAAATACAAGTAGCTTCTTTGCCTACAAACACCATCACTGTCTCAGTGGCCTGTTTCCTCACCACTGCCCCCATCCTTAGGAGCTCCTTCCTCTGTGTTTGTCCCAGGATTCAAGCATCTTGAGAACCTAGAAAAGAGAAGCCTTTGCCTGAGGAGTTAAGGATGTGGATCATTAAAAGTGGTGCCAAAATGCCCAGGAGTGCAGCCAACAGCCCACCCCTAGGAGGCCAATGACTCTAAGAGGAGATTCACTCAGTTTTCTCCCTCCCCATTTTCTCACCTGGGAGCCCTGGAAATGATCCTGGATTAGGAATGGAAGATCTGCTAAGAAAGAATTCCTCCTCTGCCACCGTCTTTATCTCCCTGGGCTTCTGTTTCCCTGGCTATTAACTGAGGAGTTGGACTGATAGCCCCACGTCCTCCCCTCTGGCTTTCTGTGAGATGCCACTCAGTGTTTCCCAACACTCTGGCCTCCAGGTCACAATGGTCTCCGTGGTTCCGGCTCTCCGCAGTGGCATGTGCCACTCTGAATGCTGTCACCATTGCAAGGTGATGTCCCCTCTCATGTGGTAGCAAACTTAACCTATCAGGGAGCAAAGAAGCTGAAGAAATCTGGGGCCTTCAAGGGGCATTGCTCAGACCTCAAGCTTCACCCCACACAAAGTGTGCTGTGACACTCCAGTCCTTGTCTCCACCTTCTCCAAGCTCACACCATTAGCTCTGCTGTCTTCTTGTCTATGCTGTGCCATGTCCCCTGTCCCCTGCCTGGCCCAGCCTCCCTGGACCCTCACCTGTCTACCCCAATGGCTATTAAACTGTCACTTCCATCTACCCCTGCAGTTCCACTTCTGTCCACTCTAAGCAGTGGCCTGCCTGTGTACTCCCCAGAGAAAGCAATGGCGATGAGACGGCACTCCTTTAATCTCCCCTACTCTGATCCAAACTTACATCTGCTTCTGTTCTTACCAGAAAGTTCACATATCGGTGGAAGAGGTGCATCTTCCCTCTCCAAGGGAATCTTTCCATATTCACGTTCACTCAGAATCTCATTTTCTCCCACCCCTCTGGGCACCTCGTTCCATGAGCCATCTTCTCTCTTATCTGCAGCTTCAACCTCTTGGAGCACTTTAATCTAAAAGCAGAACAAAACCAACCAACCAATAAAACTCAGACTCTCCAATATCTAGTCATCCTCTAGCCATCATATTCCTTCACTCTTCCCCATTGTAGTCCCCCTCTCTCATGCCATCTGAAAGTTTTGTTGTTGTTGTTTTTGTTTGTTTGTTTTGTTTTGAGATGGAATCTCACTCTTTCACCCAGGCTGGAGTGCAGTGGTGCAATCTCGGCTCACTGCAACCTCCACCTCCCAGTATAAGCAATTCTCCTGCCTCAGCCTCCTGAGTAGCTGGGATTACAGGCATGCCCCACCATGCCTGGCTAATTGCAAGTTTTATTTTCCTACATTTTTGGGTATTTAGAGTTTAGAACCCTGTTACTCTCCACACACTCAAATACTCAGTAGGGTCTTCAAGGATTATTTCCCAGCCTCCCAGGAAAGCCTGTAAGCCTGTTATTATCTACGGTTTTATTTTATTTTCTGTCTTCTCAGAAATTTGCCATTTCTGGAGTATTTCTACAAGGGGGCTTGGCTGCCTGGGCAATCACCTCTTCTTTCACTTCAGTCCTGCTCCAGGGAAAAATTCTCCTAAGTCTCTGGGGAGAGGGGAGCAGCTATCTGCCATAGATTTTCTTCCCAGTTCTGGAAACAAGTTCCTGGCCATAAATGAAAGTCATTGATTTTCAGACGAACTTCCAGGACACATTCCTGACCCTTCCCAAGGGAGTTTACAGTGTGTAACCCCCTGGACAGCTCATAACAGAACTGGGCTGGCCTCTTTCTGCTGGACATAGGGGGCCCCTGTGGTCCATGCTGGAGCTCCAACCCAGCAAAGACGTGTCCCCACTCTCCCCCAGTTGGTATCTCCAGGCTCACAAAGGGGCACTCTGTTTTCCATGGCCACAGCCATGAAGCATTTGGACACCATAGAAGGAGTCATACTGGATGTGAGAAGTGGAAAATTTCCTCGCCCCCACGGAAGCATGGAGATTTACCATGTGGGAATCCCTTCATTAGGGCTTCCAAAGTATGTATTAAGATTCCCAAGCTATCCATATGTCTATGTGTAGAAAAAAGGTAAAACTATATAAGTCACAAACCATTATTTCTTTGGCTCCAGCCCATTTGCTCCTAAGGAGCATGAGGGAGTGTGGTTTCCTCCCACTCCAGTTTTAAGGCACCAGCTACATTTGCACATGGGCTTCATAGACTTTTGCAAGTGGGGGATCTTTCTCATCCTCTCTCCACCTTCTTTCTTCTGCTCATAAAGGAAAGTACATCATACAGTAGCTGAGCCCTTTCAAAAGTGCTGGTGAGGAAATGTCTACCCTTCCCTTCACTTTGTTACTTCCTCCTGTAGTCTGAGGAGGAGCTAAACTGAAAGGTCACATTACTGATGGTGTCTTACGGAAGCAAGGCAGTCTTCTCCGGCTCTATTCTTCTTGGACCACCTGGACTTAGGCAAGCAGGACTTATTTCTGCTAGAACTAGTTGGATTTCTGCTGTGGGTTAAGGATGTTTTACCTGACCTTGCTGAGTACATCAGGTCAGTCCTACTCTGCCAGTTACCTTCAATTTGGAGAGCAGGGAGAGGAAAGCCTTGTTCTCCAATTCAGCATTAACAGTACGAAGGTTACCCTGACTTTGATTCCCATCTGTCTTCTTCCATATAATTCTCAACTTCCTAGAACCCACTAGGGAAGCAAGTGTGATTAGCTCCTTCCAGTGACTATCCCAGTCAGGAAATTGATAGAATACATTTCCTTCCTCTCTGCTCCAGTTGGGCCTGCTAAGAACTCTTGGCTTACTCAGGCTGTTCTAAGGATGAAACTCCTGCTAGGACACCACTGCCTGTGGCCATGAATGTTGGTTCAGATGTGGGTCCTGCATGCCAGTGCTAAGTGTGCTACATTTCATTTACTGCCAAAGCCATTCATGTCATCTCTTGTTTCTGCTAAAGTCAAAGGCCTTGACTGCTGTGGGAACAACAGTTACCAGTTCTCAGGAGGGCTTGTGTTCTCAAAGATGAAATGCTTCTTTTTAATCACACTTACTTAAAATTTTTTACAATTTCATTTTTAAAATCTTGTCTTAAGTACTGGAATTGGACTTCAGGAAAGCTAACAACAATGTCAAGCAGAATCACTGGGAAGTTAAGATTCTTCCAAGAATACTTGTTCAGTTGGGCATACTCATTGCTTTTCAGACAATGATGGGTGAATCCGCTCCGTCAAGCTAGCATCCTTGCATTTCCAACATTATACAACAATTTCTGAATGTATCATTGCTTTAACAAGATGGCCCAGTTCCATCTTGATCTTTTGTGCCGTATAAGGCAGCACTTAGAGAACCTCTGGTTGCTGTGCCAAGGTACAGTGAAACTCAATGAGCCAGATCTACACTCAGCCTTCCTACCCCAGCCCCGCACACGATGCTGAATAAAGTAAGAAACAGAATGAAATTTACATTGCAACATAAGTTTAAAAGTATGCATACAAAATGCCAACATATATTTTAATAAGAATGTATACAAATAAAAAGATACAAATCAAGTGTATTAGAGTGGATGCCTTTGAGTTTGAGGGGAGGGCAATGGGAGTGAAGGTTGAGAATAGAAAGGAATAAGTAAATAAATAAATGAAATAAGAGTGGAGCCTTGGATACACAAGCTAGAGCAATGGAGCAATGGAACAAACCCTGGGTCCTGGGACTGGATGTCATAGCCAAGACAAGCCCTGCATGGTGGAACCACTGAGCTTATAACTCCTTGCTGCCCTCCTTCAATAAGGAAGGATCTTTATGCTTGGCTGGGGCCACAGCTGTACCATGAAGGTAAAGAACGGAGGCGGAAGTGATGAAGCAAGAGAAGGAAATGGACTGCTCCACATGAGGAAGGGCAGGGAGCCACTGGAGAAAGCAAATAAAATATCTGGGAAAATATCTGGTGGAAAAAGTTTGCAAGGGTAAAAGGAAGATGAGAGAGAGATAGAGAAAGAGGTCCCATAGGTTGTGTGTATGTGAGAAAGTACTGATATGTGGAACTTGAAGGTTGCTGGGTCCTAGAGAATGAGCAAATTTGCATAAGAAGCCCAGGAACATTCTGGGAAGACAGCAATGCATCCACATCCTCTTTCAATGGATTTAAAATCAGGATTACCTGTGGCAACTTGACCAAGGGCCAATAAAGCTTCTAGCATATAATATAGCAGAATATGTTCATGATCTCCTGGTAGGGAAATATTTCTTTAACAAGATGCAAGAATGCCAACCATACAGAACAGATTAATATATATGATAACATTAAAATTAAGAACTTTCCTTTTAAAGATGGAATCTCACTCTGTCACCCCGGCTGGAGTGCAGTGGTGCAATCATAGCTCACTGCAGCTTCTAACTCCTGGGCTCAAGGGATCTTCCCGCCTCAGCCTCATGAGTAGCTGGGACCACAGGTGTGCACCACCATGCTTGGCAAGAACTTCTTTTTCTCGATAGATGCTATTCACAGTATTAGAAGGTAAGCCACAGAGTGGGAGAAAACACAAGCAACAAACAACCCAAAAGCAAAGGGCAAGAGACTCAAGCAGACGCTTTACAAAACGGGATTTCTAAATGACCCATGAACATACGAAAAGGTGCTCAGCCACATTAGTAATCAGGGAAATTCAAATTAAAAAATGTAAGATGCACCAGAAAGTTATGAAAGCCTGACAATACCAAGTGTTAGTGAAGATATGGAGCAATAGGGAGCACAAATATACTACTATTGGAAGTTTAAATGGATACCGACTTCCACTGTGGAAAACAGTACAGCATTTTTTACTGAAGTTGAACATACCTTAAGGGACAGCAACTCCACTTCTAGGTACATAAACAACAGCAACATGTGCACCGTGTAGCTTTATTTGTAATAAACCTAAACTGAAATAATCCAATATTCATCAATAGGAGAATATACAAATAAATTGCGGTCTAGTCATAGAATGGCATACTATACAGTTATGAAAATTAATAAACTGAAAATGTATATAATATCAAAGACTGTATATATGTATATATACTCAAATGTAATATGGAGTTAAGTGAATCAGTCATAATAGAGAATATGTTGTATAATTTTATTTATGTGGTGTTAAAAGAAACAAACCCACAAAACTAAACTATAGTGCACAGGAGTACACTTAGTGCTTTGGCAGTAGGGATCTAAAGAGAAGCAAGGTGGTGGTTGGCCGTGACAGTCAGAACACTGATGGAGGGGTAGTAGAGAGAGGGTGCTCACAGGGGAGGATGAAAGGGTCTTTGGGGTGCTGGCAATGTCTGTTTATTGGCCTGGGTGGTTATATGGATATTTACCTTGAGATAATTATTGTGCTTGTGGAACATTTTTGTTTTGCAAACTCCATTGTAGGTGTGTTCTACTTCACAATCTAACTGGACCCCTACCTATCACCATATACAAAAATTAAGACAGATTAAAGGCTTAAATATATAAAACTTCAAGCTATAAAAATCCTCAAAGAAAACCCAGCAAATACTCTTCTCAATATCTGCTTTGGCAAATAATTTATGGCTAAGTCCTTACAAGCAATTGCAACAAAAACAAAAATTGCCAAGTGGGACCTAATTAAACTAAAGAGCTTCTGCACAGCAACAGAAACTATCAAGGGAATAAACAGACAACCTATAGAATGGGAGAAAATATTTGCAAACTATGGGCTGACAAAGGGCTAATATCTAGAATCTATAAAGAACTTAAATCAATAAGCAAAAAAAAAAAACCATTAAAAGGGGGGCAAAGGACGTGAACAGACACTTCTCAAAAGAAGACACATGAGCAGCCAACAAACATATGAAAAATGCTCATCATCACTAATCATCAGATATGTCCTTATGTATGCAATGTTTAGCTCCCACTTAAAAATGAGAACATGCAGTATTTGGTTTTCTGTTCCTGTGTTAATTCGCTTAGGATAATGGCCTCCAGGTGCATCCATGTTGTTGCAAAGGACATGATTCTGTTCTTTCTTATGGCTGCATGTTATTCCATGGTGTATATGTGCCACATTTTCTTTATTCATTCTACTGCTGATGGGCATCTGGGTTGATTCCATGTCTTTGCTATGGTGAATAGCACTACAATGCAAAGAATGCAGAGAAATGCAAATCAAAAGTGCAAAGAAATACCATCTCACACCAGTCAGAATAGCTTTTGTTATAAAGTCAAAAAAATAACAGATGTTGGCAAGGCTGCAGAGAACACTTATACACTGTTGGTGGGAATGAATATAAGTCTAGTCACTGTGGAGAGCAGCTTGGAGATTTCTCAAAGAGCTAAGAGTTGAACTACCATTCAACCCAGCAATCCCATTACTGGGTATATGCCCACAGGAAAATAAGTCATTCTACCAAAAAGACACGTGTACCCATATGTTCACTGCAGTGCTATTCACCATAGCAAAGACATGGAATCAACCCAGGTGCCCATCAGCAGTGGATTGAATGAAGAAAATATGGCACATATACATCATGGAATAATATGCAGCCATAAAAAAGAACAAAATCATGTCCTTTGCAGCAACATGGATGTATCTGGAGGGATTATCCTAATCAAATTAATGCAGGAACAGAAAACCAAATACTTCCTGTTCTCACTTATAAGAGGGAGCTAAATATTGGGTACACAAGGACATAAAGATGGGAACAATAGATACTGGGGACTACCAGAGGAAGGAGGGAGAGCAAGGTACAAGGGCTGAAAAATTATCTCTTAGGTACTATGCTCACTCCATGAGTAATAGATTCATCTGCCCTCCAAACCTCAGGATCATGTAACACACCTTTTAACAAACCTGCACATGCACCCCAGATTCTAAAATAAAGTTGAAAAAAAGTTGCTCCCTCTCCCTCTCCGTCTCCCTCTCCACAGTCTCCCTCTCCCTCTCTCTCCACGGTCTCCCTCTGATGCCGAGCCGAGGCTGGACTGTACTGCCACCATCTCGGCTCACTGCAACCTCCCTGCCTGATTCTCCTGCCTCAGCCTGCCGAGTGCCTGGGATTGCAGGCGCGCACCGCCACGCCTGACTGGTTTTTGTATTTTTTGCTGGAGACGGGGTTTCGCCGTGTTGGCCGGGCTGGTCTCCAGCTCCTGACCGCGAGTGATCTGCCCGCCTCGGCCTCCCGAGGTGCCAGGATTGCAGATGGAGTCTCGCTCACTCAGTGCTCAATGTTGCCCAAGCTGGAGTGCAGTGGCGTGATCTCAGCTCGCTGCAACCTCCACCTCCCAGCCGCCTGCCTTGGCCTCCCAAAGTGATGAGATTGCAGCCTCTGCCCGGCCGCCACCCCATCTGGGAAGTGAGGAGCATCTCTGCCTGGCCGCCCATCGTCTGGGATGTGAGGAGCCCCTCTGCCCGGCCGCCCAGTCTGGGAAGTGAGGAGCCCCTCCGCCCGGCAGCCGCCCTGTCTGGGAAGTGAGGAGCCCCTCCGCCTGGCAGCCGCCCCGTCCGGGAGGGAGGTGGGGGGCAGCCCCCCCCCCCGGCCAGCCGCCCCGTTCGGGAGATGGGGGGCACCTCTGCCCGGCCACCCCGTCTGGGAAGTGAGAAGCCCCTCTGCCTGGCCGCCACCCCGTCTAGGAGGTGTACCCAACAGCTCATTGAGAACGGGCCATGATGATGATGGCGGTTTTGTCAAATAGAAAAGGGGGAAATGTGGGGAAAAGAAAGAGAAATCAGATTGTTGCTGTGTCTGTGTAGAAAGAAGTAGACATAGGAGACTCCATTTTGTTCTGTACTAAGAAAAATTTTTCTGCCTTGGGATGCTGTTAATCTATAACCTTACCCCCAACCCCGTGCTCTCTGAAACATGTGCTGTGTCCACTCAGGGTTAAATGGATTAAGGGTGGTGCAAGATGTGCTTTGTTAAACAGATGCTTGAAGGCAGCATGCTCATTAAGAGTCATCACCACTCCCTAATCTCAAGTACCCAGGGACACAAACGCTGCAGAAGGTGGCAGGGCCCTCTGCCTAGGAAAACCAGAGACCCTTGTTCACATGTTTATCTGCTGACCTTCCCTCCACTATTGTCCTATGACCCTGCCACATCCCCCTCTCCAAGAAACACCCAAGAATGATCAATAAATACTAAAAAAAAAAAAAAGAAAGAAAAGAAGAAAAAAAGTTTAAAAATTGCTTTACATATATATATACACACACACACATATACATATATATACACACACATATACATATATGTATACACACATATATATGTGTGTATATATATATATAGCAAAGTGAATACAGATGTTTGGAGTGGACTTGCTTGCAAAACTCTGAAAGTTGTGGGTTTGGGTTTTTTCTCTTGTGAATTGGTGGAAGAAAAGTGGTGGTATGTGATTCTCTGGTATTTCACTTGGAGCCTCTTTTCCCTTCTTCCTCTTCTGCTGGGGCTTTTTATACCCAATTGGCAGCTGATGTTGGCAAATATGGCCAACATCAGGAAAATTCAAGCACTGGGGCATCCAAGGAAAATCACCAAGTCTCATCAACTCTAGAGTACAGTATACATTAAGGATTCAAGTTTTCTAGATGTGACATTATAGTCTATACATACTGCTCCAAGGAGTCTGTAAAGAAACCAAAAGCATGCTCCCAGAGCCCAAGAATAGCAGTGTGTGAACTTGGAGGTTTGCTGTGATACAGCAAGGCTGCAGATATTGATGCAGTGGGTACATAGAGGATCTCAGGTCCAGTGCTCTGAGACAATGTGCTTTGGAATCAAAACTACTAAAGACGAAGATAGCAAACCATTTTTAAAGGTTGCATGGTCTAGGGCTTTTGGAAGCATATGCTGTCTTTCATGTTTGTCCTGCATGATGAATTACAGAAATTAGATACGGAAAGAGTGAATTGATTGGGTATAATGCTTACCATACATTATTAGGAACCACTGATCACAAAGAAATCAGAAATCCCTTTGTGTTTTTGTTCCGGTCATATCATGTTTACATAGTGTTTAGAGGAAACTGTATAAGAGGGGAATGTGATTAACTATTTACACATTTTAACTAATGACACAGAATACTTACCATATTTGAGTTTAGGAGAAACGGAGAAATAATAACTGTGAGTCTGTGGGGGCATATTAGCTCGAGCGAGTGTATAAACCATTGCATTTTTAGATATTTTACAAAATCCTGAGACCTATTATGAGATTTTATTTTATTTTATACTTTAAGTTCTAGGGTAAATGCGCACAACGTGCATATTTTTTACATATGTATACATGTGCCATGTTGGTGTGCTGCACCCATTAACTCGTCATTTACATTAGGTATATCTCCTAATGCTATCCCTCCCCACTCCCTGGTGTGTGTTGTTCCGCATACTGTGTCCAAGTGTTCTCGTTGAGTTCCCACCTATGAGTGAGAACATGTGGTGTTTGGTTTTCTGTCCTTGTGATAGTTTGCTCAGAATGACGGTTTCCAGCTTCATCCATGTCCCTGCAAAGGACATGAACTCATCCTTTTTTATGGCTGCATAGTATTCCATGGTGTATATGTGCCACATTTTCTTAATCCAGTCTATCATTGATGGACATTTGGGTCAGTTCCAAGTCTTTGCTATTGTGAATAATGCCCCAATAAACATACGTGTGCCTGTGTCTTTATAGCAGCATGATTTATAACCCTTTGGGTATATACCCAGTAATGGGATGGCTGGGTCAAATGGTATTTCTAGTTATAGGTTCTTGAGGAATCGCCACATTGTCTTCCACAATGGTTGAACTAGTTTACAGTCCCACCAACAGTGTAAAAGTGTTCCTATTTCTCCACATCCTCTCCAGCACCTGTTGTTTCCTGACTTTTTAATGATCACCATTCTAACTGGTGTGAGATGGTATCTCATTGTGGTTTTGATTTGCATTTCTCTGATGGCCAGTGATGATGAGCATTTTTTCATGTGTCTGTTGGCTGTGTAAATGTCTTCTTTTGAGAAGTGTCTGTTCATATCCTTTGCCCAGTTTTTGATGGGGTTGTTTGGTTTTTTCTTGTAAATTTGTTTAAGTTCTTTGTAGATTCTGGATATTAGCCCTTTGTCAGATGGGTAGATTACAAAAATTTTCTCCCATTCTGTAGGTTGCTTGTTCACTCTGGTGGTAGTTTCTTTTGCTGTGCAGAAGCTCTTTAGCTTAATTAGATCCCATTTGTCAATTTTGGCTTTTGTTGCCATTGTTTTTGGTGTTTTAATCATGAAGTCCTTGCCCATGCCTATGTCCTGAATGGTATTGCCTAGGTTTTCTTCTAGGGTTTTTATGGATTTAGTTCTAACATTTAAGTCTTTAATCCAACTTGAATTAATTTTTGTATAAAGTGTAAGGAAGGGATCTAGTTTCAGCTTTCTACATATGGCTAGCCAGTTTTCCCAGCACCATTTATTAAATAGGGAATCCTTTCCCCATTCCTTGTTTTTGTGAGGTTTGTCAAAGATCAGATGGTTGTAGATGTGTGGTATTATTTCTAAGGGCTCTGTTCTGTTCCATTCGTCTATATCTCTGTTTTGGTAGAGTACCATACTGTTTTGGTTACTGTAGCCTTCTAGTATAGTTTGAAGTCAGGTAGTGTGATGCCTCCAGCTTTGTTGTTTTGGCTTAGAGTTGTCTTGGTAATGTGGGGTCCTTTTTGGTTCCATATGAACTTTAAAGTAGTTTTTTCCAATTCTGTGAAGAAAGTCATTGGTAGCTTGATCGGGATGGCATTGAATCTGTAAATTACCTTGGGCAGTATGGCCATTTTCACAATATTGATTCTTCCTATCCATGAGCATGGAATGTTCTTCCATTTGTTTGTGTCCTCTTTTATTTCATTGAGCAGTGGTTTGTAGTTCTCCTTGAAGAGGTCCTTCGCATCCCTTGTAAGTTTTATTCCTAGGTATTTTATTCTCTTTGAAGCAATTGTGAATGGGAGTTCACTCATGATTTCGCTCTCTGTTTGTCTGTTATTGGTGTATAGGAATGCTTGTGATTTTTGCACATTGCTTTTGTATCCTGAGACTTTGCTGAAGTTGCTTATCAGCTTAAGGAGATTTTGGGTTGAGACGATGGGGTTTTCTAAATATACAATCATGTCATCTGCAAACAGGGACAATTTGACTTCCTCTTTTCCTAACTGAATACCATTTATTTCTTTCTCCTGCCTGATTGCCCTGGCCAGAACTTCCAACACTATGTTGAATAGGAGTGGTGAGAGAGGGCATCCTTGTCTTGTGCCAGTTTTCAAAGGGAATGCTTCCAGTTTTTGCCCATCTAGTATGATATTGGCTGTGGGTTTGTCATAAATAGCTCTTATTATTTTGAGATACGTCCCATCAATATCTAGTTTATTAAGAGTTTTTAGCATGAAGGGCTGTTGAATTTGTCGAAGGCCTTTTCTGCATCTATTGAGATAATCATGTGGTTTTTTGTCTTTGGTTCTGTTTATATGATGGATTATGTTTATTGATTTTCGTATGTTGAACCAGCCTTGCATCCCAGAGATGAAGCCCACTTGATCACGGTGGATAAGCTTTTTTATGTGCTTCTGGATTCAGTTTGCCAGTAGTTTATTGAGGATTTTTGCATCAATGTTCATCAGGGATATTGGTCTAAAACTCTTTTTGTTGTGTCTCTGCCTGGCTTTGGTATTAGGATAATGCTGGCCTCATAAAATGAGTTAGGGAGGATTCCCTCTATTTCTATTGATTGGAATATTTTCAGAAGGAATGGTACCAGTTCCTCTTTGCACCTCTGATAGAATTTGGCTGTGAATCTGTCAGGTCCTGGACTTTTTTTGATTGGTGGGCTAGTAATTATTGCCTCAATTTCAGAGCCTGTTATTGGTCTTTTCAGGGATTCAATTTCTTCCTGGTTTAGTCTTGGGAGGGTGTATGTGTCCAGGAAGTTTTACATTTCTTCTAGATTTTCTAGTTTATTTGCATGGAGGTGTTTATAGTATTCTCTGATGGTAGTTTGGATTTCTGTGGGATGGGTCATGATATCCCCTTTATCATTTTTTATTGCATCTATTTGATTCTTCTCTCTTTTCTTTTCATCTCCTTTTTTTTGTTTGTTTGTTTTTATGAGATGGAGTCTCTCTCTGTTGCCCAGGCTGGAGTGCAGTAGCGTGATCTTGGCTCACTGCAAGCTCTGCCACCTGGTTTCATGCCATTCTCCTGCCTCAGCCTCCAGAGTAGCTGGGACTAGAGGCACCCACCACCACGCTCAGCTAAATTTTTGTGTTTTTAGTAGAAACGGGGTTTCACCATGTTAGTCAGGATAGTCTCAATCTCCTGACCTCATGATCCACCTGCCTCGGCCTCCCAAAGTGCTGGGATTACAGGCATGAGCCACCGTGCCTAGCCCTCTCTTTTCTTCTTTATTAGCCTTGCTAGTGGTCTATCAATTTTGTTGATCTTTTCAAAAAACCAGCTCCTGGATTCATCGATTTTTTGAGGGTTTTTTCTGTCTCTATCTCCTTCAGTTCTGCTCTGATCTTAGTTATTTCTTGCCTTCTGCTAGCTTTTGAATGTGTTTGCTCTTGTTTCTCTAGTTCTTTTAATTGTGATGTTAGGGTGTCAATTTTAGATCTTTCCTGCTTTCTCTTGTGGGCATTTAGTGCTATAAATTTCCCTCTACACACTGCTTTAAATGTGTCCTGGAGATTCTGGTATGGTGTGTCTTTGTTCTCACTGGTTTCAATGAACATCTTTATTTCTGCCTTCATTTCGTTATATACCCAGTAGTCATTCAGGAGCAGGTTGTTCAGTTTTCATGTAGTTGAGTGGTTTTTAGTGAGTTTCTTAATCCTGATTTCTAGTTTGATTGCACTGTGGTCTGAGAGACAGTTTGTTATAATTTCTGTTCTTTTACATTTGCTGAGGAGTGCTTTACTTCCAACTATGTGGTCAATTTTCGAATAAGTGCAATGTGGTGCTGAGAAGAACGTATATTCTGTTGATTTGGGGTGGAGAGTTCTGTAGATGTCTATTAGTTCTGCTTGGTGCAGAGCTGAGTTCAATTTCTGGATATCCTTGTTAACTTTCTGTCTCATTAATCTGTCTAATGTTGACAGTGGGGTGTTAAAGTCTCCCATTATTATTGTGTGGGAGTCTAAGTCTCTCTGTAGGTCTCTAAGGACTTGCTTTATGAATCTGGGTGCTCCTGTATTGGGTGCATATATATTTAGGATAGTTAGCTCTTCTTGTTGAATTGATCCCTTTACCATTATGTCATGGCCTTCTTTGTCTCTTCTGATCTTTGTTGGTTTAAAGTCTGTTTTATCAGAGACTAAGAATGCAACCCCTGCTTTTTTTTTGTTTTCCATTTGCTTGGTAGATCTTCCTCCATCGCTTTATTTTGACCCAATGTGTGTCTCTGCACATGAGATGGGTCTCCTGAATACAGCACACTGATGGGTCTTGACTGTATCCAATTTGCCAGTCTGTGTCTTTTTATTGGAGCATTTAGCCCATTTACATTTAAGGTTAATATTGTTATGTGTGAATTTGATCCTGTCATTATGATGTTAGCTGGTTATTTTGCTCATTAGTTGATGCAGTTTCTTCCTAGCATCGATCGTCTTTACAATTTGGCATGTTTTTGCAGTGGCTGGTACCAGTTGTTCCTTTCCATGTTATTGCTTCCTTCAAGAGCTCTTGTAAGGCAGGCCTGGTGGTCACAAAATCTCTCAGCATTTGCTTGTCTGTAAAGTATTTTATTTCTCCTTCACTTATGAAGCTTAGTTTAGCTGGATACAAAATTCTGGGTTGAAAATTCTTTTCTTTAAGAATGTTGAATATTGGCCCCCACTCTCTTCTGGGTTGTAGAGTTTCTGCTGAGAAATCTGTTGTTAGTCTGATCAGCTTCCCTTGTGGGTAACCTGACCTTTCTTTCTGGTTGCCCTTCACATTTTTTCCTTTATTTCAACTTTGGTGAATCTGACAATTATGTGTCTTGGAGTTGCTGTTCTCGAGGAGTATCTTTGTGGCATTCTCTGTATTTCCTGAATTTGAATGTTGCCCTGCCTTTCTAGATTGGGGAAGTTCTCCTAGATAATATCCTGAAGAGCATTTTCCAACTTGGTTCCATTCTCCCCATCCTTTTCAGGTACACCAATCAGATGTAGATTTGGTGTTTTCACATAGTCCCATATTTCTTGGAGGCTTTGTTCATTTCTTTTTACTCTTTTTTTCTCTAAACTTCTCGTCTCACTTCATTTCATTCATTTGACTTTCAGTCGCTGATACCCTTTCTTCCAGTTGATCGAATCAGCTACTGAAGCTTGTGCATTTATCACGTAGTTCTCGTGCCATGGTTTTCAGCTACTTCAGGTCATTTAAGGTCTTCTCTACACACTTTATTCCACTTAGCCATTCATCTAATCTTTTTTCAAGGTTTTTAGCTTCTTTGCGATGGGTTCGAACATTCTCCTGTATCTCGGAGAAGTTTGTTATTACCGATCATCTGAAGCCTACTTCTTTCAATTCGTCAAAGTCATTATCCATCCAGCTTTGTTTCATTGCTGGGGAGGAGCTGCAATCCTTTGGAGAAGAGGCACCTTGATTTTTAGAATTTTCAGGTTTTCTGCTCTGATTTCTCCCCATCTTTGTGGTTTTATCTAGCTTTGGTCTTTGATGATGGTGACATACAGATGGGGTTTTGGTATGGATGTACTTTCTGTTTGTCAGTTTTCCTTCTAACAGTCAGGACCCTCGGCTGCAGTTCTGTTGGAGTTTGCTGGAGGTCCACTCCAGAACCTGTTTTCCTGGGTATCACCAGTGGAGGCTGCACAACACCAAATATTGCAGAGCAGCAAATGTTGCTCTCTGATCATTCCTTTGGAAGCTTTGTCTCAGTGGGGCACCCGGCCGTATGAGGTGTCAATTGGCCCCTACTGGGAGGTGTCTCCCAATTAGGCTACTGGGGGTTCAGGGACCAACTTGAGGAGGCACTCTTTCCGTTCTCAGATCTCAAACTCCGTGCTGGGAGAACCACTACTCTCTTCAAAGCTGTCAGACAGGGATGTTTAAGTCTGCAGAAGTTTCTGCTGCCTTTTGTTCAGCTATGCCCGGCCTTCAGAGGTGGAGTCTACAGAGGCAGGTAGGCCTCAAGGAGCTCGAACTGGCTCCACCCATTTCGAGCTTCCTGGCTGCTTTGTTTACCTACTCAAGCCTCAGCAATGGCAGACACCCCTCCCCTAGCCTTGCTGCTGCCTTGCAGTTCAATCTCAGATTGCTGTGCCTGCAGTGAGCAAGGCTCCGTGGGCATGGGACTCTCTGAGCTGGGTGTGGATATAATCTCTTGGTGTGCCATTTGCTAAGACCATTGGAAAAGTGCAGTATTAGGGTGGGAGTGTCCTGATTTTCCAGGTACCATCTGTCACAGCTTCCCTTGGCTAGGAAAAGGGAATTCCCGAACCCCTTCCACTTCCGGGGTGAGGCGATGCCTCACCCTGCTTCAGCTCACACTCCGTGGGCTGCACCCACTGTCCAAGAAATCGCAGTGAGATGAACCCAGTACCTCAGTTGGAAATGCAGAAATCACCCATCTTCTGCATCGCTCATGCTCCAGCTGTAGACTGGAGCTGTTCCTATTTGGCCTTCTTGGAACTCTATTATGAGTATTTTAAAACAAAATATCCCACTTGTGCCTAAGCAGTATGTACAATTTGGCACAACTCAGTTTCTGACAGTTCTGTTCTGTTAGGAATTTTACAATAAATACTCAAGTGAGTGCTGGTGTGGGTAGGATTTGGAGGAATTGGCAGCCACCGGTGCTGATTCCATCCATAGACTTTTCCTGACTAGTTCATTCCTTTCACTTGACCTGCCCCAGACCACCCTTTCCTGACTAGAAAGAGGCACATATGTGCCTCAAATAATAATATATTTAAAAATATATATTGTAATTTATCTGTACAGTAGGACATTGCACTCATTAAATACTTTGAAACCAGTCAGAACTTGAGGAGTTGCTTGTGCCCTCTGTAGGATTTGAGCATGGAAAGATGACTTGGGGGCAGATGTGGAAATGGAAGCAACTTCAAGGATTATAAATCATTCTACTATAAAGACACATGCACATGTATGTTTATTGCAGCACTATTCACAATAGCAAAGACTTGGAACCAACCCAAATGCCCATCAATGATAGGCTGGATAAAGAAAACGTGGTGCCTATACACCATGGAATATTATGCAGCCATACAATAGGATGAGTTCACGTCCTTTGCAGGGACATGAATGATGCTGGAAACCACCATTCTCAGCAAACTAACATGAGAACAGAAAACCAAACACCACATGTTCTCACTCATAAGTGGGAGTTGAACAATGAGATCACATGGACACAGGGAGGGGAACATCACACATTGGGGCCTGTTGGGGAGTGGGGAGCTAGGGGAGCTAGGGAAGGGATGTAGATGACG
Source organism: Homo sapiens (assembly GCF_000001405.40). Lineage (NCBI taxonomy): Eukaryota > Metazoa > Chordata > Mammalia > Primates > Hominidae > Homo > Homo sapiens. Next base: position 46,848 of record NW_018654722.1, read on the forward strand.
GGTTGATGGGTGCAGCAAACCACTGTGGCACCTTTATACCTACGTAACAAACCTGCAAATTCTGCACATGTATCCCAGAACTTAAAGTACAATAATAATTTTAAAAATGTAAGGAGGCAGCATTATGCTAAACTTGAAAAAAAAAAAAAGTCTAATCTCTTCATTAGCAGTCTAATCTCAGACTACACCTTGGGACACTGAATTACAAGAAGTAATTGAATTCTGATTAGCACTTCGGGGTAGCATTTGGCTTGCATTTGGGCATATATTTGCTACACTGTCTCTTCCATTTACTGGTATTGAAGATGGTGGTGGCTGACACCTTGAAAATAGAAGCAAATTGAAGCTGGCTGAGCTTGGTCTCCTCCTGATTCACTCCTTCCCCCACCTCCCAGCTTCTCTCACTCTCTCCCACTCTCCGAAAGACCTGTGTTCCCTCAGGTAATATTAGCTGTAGATTAAGAGAAACTCAGACTTACATGACATAGCCACCTGAAAAGATTATCTTAAAGCACTACCGCAGAGTTCCTGAGGGGTGGTAAGCAAGTGCCCCCACAGATGCCAGTGATACCCCCGAAAGGCTTAAAGTTTTGCTTTTGGTTTTGTTTTTAAAATGAAACCATCCTGAACTTTCCTGGTTCCAGAGCAGTTCGCTTAGGTCAACACTGGTGACACTCAATGGTGTCTGAGTCCTCTGGACCGAGTGTAGCAAGCCCATGTTTCTTATATCGATGTGGTAAAAGGGTTTCCAATATGCAGCCTTCTTCTCTCATGTACCCTCAATTTCAAACTTTAACCACAGGTCTAGAGAAGAAAGTGCAATGAGTGCACAGGGGAAGACACAAATGACAAAGGCCCACTTTTTATGGTTAGGAGAAAATTCAATTGTTCTTATTAAGGATAGGATGTCAAAATAATTTTTCTCATCAAATCAGTTACGTAGCAGGTGTGGGAAACACCGGAAAAGTAACAATGGAACATATAAAAGCCTCTTTGGAAGGTGGAAGCCTATTTAAAAAGTGAATAAATTTGAATAATTTAATAGTAAGTGAGGACCTTAGAATTATAAGTATGTGGAGGTGAACTTAGCAAACAGTTTTCCTTGACTAAAATAATTGCAGTTACTTTATGTTCAAAGTATTTTGAAGGAGTAGAAATGTAGCAACACCTTTGAAGATAATGCCCATAGGGAGTATGTGGGAACTGGCAATCCAAAGTTACATAATTAACTAGATTCTAATTATATCTACTTTTTCTGTGCTTCAAATGAGAGGTCTCACATAAGAAAGAGGAACTAGGCCGGGCGCGGTGGCTCACGCCTGTAATCCCAGCACTTTGGGAGGCCGAGGCGGGCGGATCATGAGGTCAGGAGATCGAGACCATCCTGGCTAACACGGTGAAACCCCGTCTCTACTAAAAATACAAAAAATTAGCCGGGCGTGGTAGCGGGCGCCTGTAGTCCCAGCTACTCGGGAGGCTGAGGCAGGAGAATGGCGTGAACCCGGGAGGCGGAGCTTGCAGTGAGCCGAGATCGCACCACTGCACTCCAGCCTGGGCGACAGAGCGAGACTCCGTCTCAAAAAAAAAAAAAAAAAAAAAAAAAAAAAAAAAAGAAAGAGGAACTAAGGCTGAGGGCAGTGGCTCATGCCTGTAATCCCAGCACGTTGGAAGGCCAAGGCGGGTGGATCACTTGAGGTCAGGAGTTCCAGACCAGCCTGGCCAACATGGTGAAACCCTGTCTCTACTAAAAATACAAAAATTAGCCAGGTGTGACGGTGCCTGCCCGTAATCCCAGCTACTTGTGAGGCTGAGGTGGGAGGATCGCTTGAACCTAGGAGGCAGAGGTTGCAGTGAGCCGAGATCACACCACTGCACTCCAGCCTGGGTTACATAGTGTGACTCCATCTCAAAAAAAACCCCCAAAAAAACCTAAAACAAAAACAAACAAAAAAGAGTAACTTGGTTGAATTTGAAATTTGCAAAGAATGGGCAGATTTATGTGTTGGGAGCATCAGTCAATGCAAGGTAAATGAGGCCATAAGGGGCTGGTAATTCCTCTGATGTCACACTTTTCTTTGAAAGAATTTATTATATGATTCAAACAAATGGAAAGAGATATGTCATTGACAATGTCCTCAAGAAGATCCCTACAATAAATATGGCATCTGGTTTCATAGCTCTCATCTGCTGGTGCGTCATAGAAGAGAGGTCAGTTCTGAAGTCTGTAGAAAAGACATATAATTTCCCCAGGGATCTGTCAAACAACTCTGATAGAGAGATAAAATAGGGAAAAAGAAGGATAAGTCCTTCCACACTCATAACAATGGTTGTTATGCTCCCAAAGACTTCTATTACCCCATTCCACTGGCTGGGGCCAGTAATATACCACTGAGTCTTAGTCCTACCCTGGTTTCTGTGTCAGTCCCCTCTAAGGCAAGGACTGTATCAATAATCTCAGTCGTAACTCATCTTACCAGGCCCAGCCTCAACCACTCACGTGTTACTTCTCACATTCCCACCGCTGCCAGTCCTGGGAGCATGCGGCCAGTCCTCCAGCCACCCTTCTTCCCCTCAGATTGGCCCAGTCCATCAGCCTGGATCTCTGTGGGTTCCCAGCCCTAGGTTCAACAGAGATCACTGGTCCAGGATCTAAATCTAGGGCTTCCCCTAAACCCCAAGCAGGTAGACAAGATCCTTCTTCCCATCAGATATCCTAGGTCACAATCCCTTGCCCCAGGGAATCCCTGGTCCTGAAAATGACCAAGATAATCCCCAGTGATGAACTCCTCCCTCTTCCCGGAAAGGCCAGTTGTAAACCATGCCTGATGCACACCTGTGTGTGCCATGTTCTTTGCATAGTTGATCTCACACACAGAACCAAACTTCCAGAGTCCTATTTGGGTGCTCTCCTCATGTCAAGAACTCGCCAACTCTTGTCTTATTGCATCTGACCTATTCTGCAGGTTATATGAAGAATTTCTCAAAGACTGAAGAGAAGTGAGATCTATTACATATTCCACCTACTTTACATTTAGCAATAGCCGCTCACAACCTTTACCAAAAGGAAGAATCTCTAAATTCTTTGCTCTGCTTGTATAAAGAATAAAATAGTCCAGCTATCATGTCATTTCAGATTCAGCCAAACAAATACCAATTGATATTCACTAAAATAAGGCCTCCCTGTTAGATAATTGTTGTTCTGTGTGGCTTCTTTATATTTAAAGCAATCTCCAGCATGCCTCACTGCCTGATGGCCTGGGGTCTCTCAGGCCCTGCTGCAGCCATCTGCTCACCTGGCCCGGAAAGCAGTGTTGCAGGGCCAGGACCTGGCGAGGGGGTCGGGCACTGGGACCTAGTGGAACATGGCAAAAAGTCCAGGTCAGACAAGCACCTGTACGAGGAGTATGTAGAGAAGCCCTTGAAGCTGGTCCTCAAAGCAGGAGGGAACCAAGTCACCCAGGTCTCCAAACGCTTGGGCTTCTTAAAAAATAAACTCGGGCTTATTTTAATGAATATCAACTGGCACCGAGGCAGGTTCTGGGGGAAAGAAAGGGGAGAAAACAGAGAGGAGTAAAGGAGGATGAAAGAAAGTGAGTTCCAGGCAGTGTGGAGAGGAGGCAGAGGAAGAGCTCCAGTGTCACTTCCCTGTGAGATTAGACCTGCCTGCTGAGAAGCCTCTCACAAGCTCTTCCGCCAAGCAAGAAGCTGAACAGACACCTCTTCAAGATGCTTTGAGTCAACTGATGAGACAATTGCGGAGAAAAGACCCAAGGGCTTTCTTTTCATTTCCTGTGACTGATTTTATTGCTCCTGGCTGCTTCATGATCATTAAACACCCAATGGATTTTAATACCATGAAAGAAAAGATCAACAACAATGACTACCAGCACATAGAAGAACTAAAGGATAACTTCAAACTAATGTGTACTAATGCCATGTTTTACAACAAACCAGAGGCCATTTATTATAAAGCTGCCAAAAAGTTACTGCACTCAGGGATGAACATTCTTAGCCAGCAAAGAATTCAGAGCCTGAATTCTGAAGCAGGGCATAGACTTTATGGCAGACTTGCAAAAAAACAAAAACAAAAACAAAAAACAAGAACAACAACAAAAAAACCTTGAAAGCAGAAAGAGAACAGACACTCGCAGAGTGGGGTGGACAGAAGCTGCTGGCCAAGAAAGCTGGAGATGCTGAAGCACAAGCCTTCAAAAGTCCCAGCAAAGACAATAGAAAGACAAAGTTATGCCTGAAAATGAGTTTGAAAGCAATAATTTAGAGAGAGAGCAGAACCAGGTTGAACCGCATCGTTAAGGAATCTGAGGAAAGCTGACCAGGTGGCTTGTTAATAGTGCAAATTTGAAAGAAGAAAACCAGATGGAACAACGACCTTGGGACTTCCCCATCCTGTGGGTCCCATTGTAAGAGTCAGGCGATTGCCCTGTGAGACTGGGAATGACAACTGGAAGACTTCTGTCAGGAGTGAATACTTTGCAGGGGTTCAAAGAGGATAAATGAAACAAAGTAACTCTCGTGTTGTATTTGCACTATGAACCCTACAGTTCTTGTGCACCATATTATGACTCCACATTTGCAAATGTCAGCAAGGATGATTCTGATTTAACCTATTCAAACTATGGGGAAGGCTGATCTTCCAGGTGCTTTCAGCATCCTTAAGGTTTTGGCCACATGCCAAGATCATCCATATGTTAGTTCACTGAATGTTTTAACAAGAGGAGAACATTCCAGGACCCTACAAGAGCTGGAGATGTCATCGCCTGAAGATGAAGGTCGTACTAGGATACTTGTCACAGCAAATGAAATGGAGATTACAGAAATAGAGCCAGCAGTGCGTTTGGACTCCAATACTCAGGACAGGCTCATAGCACTGAAAGCAGTAACAAACTTTGGCACTCCAGTTGAAGTTTTGAACTCTGAAAAAGCTGTCATGTTCAAAAGAAACTTGACAAGACCACCAAATTGTTCAAGGAGCTCCAGGAAGCCCAGAATGAGCTTTTGAGCATCAGACACCCTCCCAATATGATCTGTCTCTTGGGTCCCTCATATGGAGAAATGCGTCTTTCTAAACAAGTGACCAATAATCTTAAAAAATGTGCACAGCATGTAACTCCACGTGATATTGTAAGCATGTATGGAGTTCAAAAAGCAATAGGGTTTCCATTATTTGCCTTATTGTAGAAAACAACTTCATAGATTTAACAGAAGATTTTGAAGAACCTAAAAAGATTGATGTTGCTGAGTGTGGATTCGATGGGATTTGAAGCCAACCGGTATTTGATTATATACTGTGTACACATCTTTTTTCATTCTTAACTTGGAAATGCTTTTCAGAAGATATTAAATATTTGTAAATTATGTTTTTAATTAAACTTTGGAATAATGAATTTTAATGTTCCAGAGTTTTGACTTGTATTGGGTAATAAAGCTGGACCTGGGACTCAAAAAAAGATATGTTCGCCCTCCCTCTCCTCTTTATCCATAATTACAATATTCAATATGGAAAAGAAATTTTAAAAACAAGAAAATAATTCAAGAGAAGTTGTTAAATTTGGAGATCCAATTTCCAAATAGGAGTTTCTAAAAGTGAAAAAACAGACAAAAGGATCAAAACCAATTCTCAGAGAAAACATTATTTTCGAAAAACAAAAAACAGTTACAGAGAGTACCACCAAAGTCCCACACAAAAATCAAGAGCAAAAAGCAACACCATAACATAATTTCATAAAAATTTAAAGCTGTAAGGGAAAAGATAATTCTGCAAGTTTCCGGGCAAAAAAAAGTAGGTTATTTTCATGGAGTAAAATTTCAAACTAGCTTTGACTTTTTCCACAGCAGTGAGCAATGCTGGATGACAATGTGATGACATCTTCTACAGAGGGGAAAAAGTGCAACTCAAGAATAATGAACCACATCATGCCATTTGTATAGGGAAGTAACAGAGAGATACTTGCAGACATGACCAATCTTAAAAAAATGTGGCAGCAGGGGCTTCTTTTGAAAAAATCGCTCACAGCTACAATGTATAGTATGCAAGAATAAAATTAGAGAAAGAAATTTGAATGGATAATGGCTAAAAAATGAACCTGTGAGAATTATTGATACCAACTATTGTTAAAGAAGTAAAAATAACTGTGGAAGAATTACTCCTGATACTGCAGTAATTATTTAAAATAAGACACAGAAAGTATAAAAGAAACATGAAGAGAAAAAAGTGAGAAATATCAAATTTAATTATGAATGAGAAATTGAATGTAGGGAATAGGAGATGCAGACAAAAAAAGTAACATCCTTTGTCTTTCTTGCAGGGAAGTACAGCAGGCTTTTGATTAGGGAAAGAGAGAAATAGAATGCTTATAGAACATTTCAAGATATTTACATGAGGCTTTAAAATAGATTTTTTTGTCTTCTAAAACATTTTAAAAGATAAAGGGAAAGGCTGGGCACAGTGGCTCACGCCTGTAATCCCAGCACTTTGGGAGGCCAAGGTGGGCAGATCACGAGGTCAGGAGATCGAGACCATCCTGGCTAACACGGTGAAACCCCGTCTCTACTAAAAATACAAAAATTAGCCGGGTGTGGTGGTGGGCGCCTGTAATCCCAGCTACTCTGGAAGCTGAGGCAGGAGAATGGTGTGAACCTGGGAGGTGGAGCTTGCAGTGAGCCGAGATCGTGCCACTGCACTCCAGCCTAGGTGACAGAGCGAGACTCCATCTAAAAAAAAAAAAAAAAAAAAAAGATAAAGGGAAAAACATAGTCCATATAACCAGAGACAATAAAGTTGCCTAATATATACTGAAAAAGTTAACACCAAATGTACCAAACACTGGATCTCATATAAATAATGTAAACCCACCATTAAAAGGCAGTTTCTGCCTAAACCAATAAACAAACTTAATACAAGAGATGCCAATTAGGTTAAAGTTATAAAGGTTCTAAAAGGTTAAAGTTAGAAAGGCTCATCCAATATAAGTCATTTAAAAACAGCAAATAAGTAAATAATTATAAAACCAGGACATAAAAGTTGATAAAAATTAGTGTCAAATAAAAGAGTTAGAATAAAAGTTGATTAAGCATGATATAAAGTTTCAATAATACAAACTACCAATATTCAATTTAAATGGAACCATAAAAATGGATATTAGAAATGTGAAATTTTCTATTATGATATGATCTTTCATGTTATCGAGAACTGAATCAAGCACAACTAAAAATCAGTTTTTACTCTCATTTATCTATTATAGACTTTTTGTTGATTCTATAAGCAGGAACTGATTGTATAGCAATATGTATATTCTTGGCTATTAATATTTCTGCAAACTTGCAAACTAACTTAATACTATTGCAAGGATCAGGAGACAGCATACGTAAAGCCTGCAATTGGGTAACATTGACCAGAGATGGTTAATCTTGATATTAACTATTAAAATATCATTGGATAATGATTATAAGACTTTGGTCAACTTGGTAAATATTTTCAAGAATTCTGGTTTAATGTGGCGTGATGGCAAAATGGACTTTATAGCTGGAAACAGCTTTTATGTATAATTATACAGGTACTAATTTTCTCATTTGCATTGATATTAAGGTAATATTGATATCAGTTAATATTAATTGGGAAAACTGCCACTCATATACAGAATTTTTGTAGGGAAAGGGGACAGATAGAAGAGTAATATACCCTCATAGGAACATTTCCCTTCATTTACAGAGATTACCAGAGAATTAGAGACTCTGCAAAAGATTTTGATCCTGCTCTTCAAGTAAAAGACAGCTTTAATTTTAAAGGGTGGACAGCCTGAAAACCATCATTTATCAAACCCTGAGGCATGTTCTGAAAGAAAGAGTGTGAAGAAAGGGAGCTGTCCAGGCTTTGCATGTCAAAGGGCCAAGTCTGTCCTGGGAAGAAGCTGCAGAGCTGATGCTACAATCAGGACGGTGTTTCTGCTTATGAATATTAATTTAGGCACTAAAATCCCTGGGAATTAATGTCTGTCCTTAGGAGGTATGTGTGTGGTCAATAGTTATGTAATGGATAATTAGGATTAATAAGAATACACAGAGGGCCTCACAATGACAGGAGCCTCTAAAAGGATGTGACTGGGAGGTGAATGCTCACCTGCACATTTCTACTAGACTTCCTGTGGAAGCTCTTGTGATTATTTTATATGGAATAATCTGACCTTTGGAAAGTGGACTGTAGGGCTATTACTGTGTCTCTCTGATATGGAAAGGAAAGGAGTTAGACCCTAGAGCCAGTTTTCTAACTAAGACTCAAAATCCAGAGGCAGTAAACAACAAAGAACAACACACCACATACACACACGCGCACACACACACAGAGAAACAAATTAGGATGCCTAGAAAAAATGGTTGGTTCCAGGGATGGGGCAAAAACAATATAAATTGTATTTTTAATTTTTCTTTCTTTTATATTCTGTAAAAGAAAGATTGAGGAATTATTACAAATTGAAGGACACTAAAAAGACAGGTCAACTATGCAATATGTGGTCCTGGATTGGGTCTTGGCTAGAAAAAGGACATCAGTGAAAAACTGGTGAAATTTGAATAAACTATGTTATTTCATTAACAACATTGCATCACTGTCAATTTCTTGGTCTTGATAATCGTGCTATGCTTATGTAAGATATTAACATCAGGGAAAGAAGTGAAGGGCATATGTAAACTCTCTGTACAATTTTTGCATTTTTTTCTGAAAGTTTAAAATCATTTCAAAATAAAAGTTAAAAGAAATCTAAAGGAATAAACTCCTCCTTGAGGTGGCTTTGTGAAACAATATTTGTATATTAAGCACTTACATAAATGGGAAGAACAAGAAATTTAAAACTTTCTAAAAAATTTTTTTTACTTCTTATACTTTAAATATGTGGTTCTGTAAGAAAATTTTTTCTTGGTAAAGCTGTAACAGGAAAAAAGACTTAGTGAGCTTCATTAATAGCCTTGGCTATTACAAGAAGTATCTTATTAAAAACTTTAAAGTTTTAATATCTGCTATATAATGACACAAGAAAAGAGATCACGTAATACTCCTAATTATGGTGTCCCTTTGGAAAAATTATACAGGTTTAATAATTTTGATTTAAAAATAGCTCTATATCTTTCCCCACCTTCTACCATATAAAAATAACATTAGCACAACATTTTGGTTTATGAAAGCCTTGGGTTTACTTTTTCATGAAAAGTTTAATTAATTTGAATTTTCTAAATTTCCTCTACTAGTTTTGAGGTTGAATGAACTAAAATCATTTTAAATTTATAAAATTGTAAAATTATGTGTTCAACTAAATAACTTGATAACATGTAGTCTTTATAAAAATAGGTTAATTTTTATAATTCTACAAAAGACTCAACATATTAACTTAAATTGTATTTTCTAGACCCTTAGTTAAACTTCTAGTACTTGAGATAATATAAATTTGAGTTAACTAATAAATGATCTTTGGACAACATTATTTTAATATATCTGTGTTCTTATTTAATTCTCCACATAGTAGTGATCCATTACCATATTTAAAAAGATGTATAAATGTCTGGGTTAAAAATATATTTTTTATTAATAGACATTTATCACCACAAGTTAGTATTGAAAGTAATCTTTTCTTATATCCTTCCTTTATGTTCCTATCTGGAATGTAAAACAGTCTACCTAACTTGATATGTTTGATATGTGGAGACTGGAATTTGGGAAGACACACAAGCATTTAAAACAGTACATGATGTCAAGAAGTCTGTATTGATTGATCGGAGACATTCAGGAGTAACATTATTTTTCTCTCTATTTTGCTCCATAGAATGTCAAAGAATAGACAAGTCCTCTTTGTGAACATCAAAAGCCTCTTCTGCAAATGGATGATATACACCTTATTGGTGAGGGAGGAAGTTGGTATCTATCTATTCTAACTGGTTTATTGAACATACTGGTGTTTGTGAGGTGCAAGCAGTAGAGAAAAAACACATTATTTGCTCACAACACTAACTTTCTTTCGTGCTACTTTGAATCTCCACTTTCTATGCTTTCATGAAATTGTGGGTAGATCTGATAGCTTTTCTGGTCAATTCCAGTTATTAGTGAATAGTCTCACTTTCTGGTTATTAACGAATTTGGTCCAGTTTCATATCAAAGCTTTAATCTCAACCAATTTAATGCTTCTTCCCAACCCCTGGCTCAGTCCTCACCTAGGCTCAGAAACCTAAAGCCCAGAAAAGATGTCCTGTTTGGCTTCTCACTATTTCTCCCTTAACTCTTTTCCTCTATTTCTGCTATGATTTGAGTGTGCCTCCTCCAAAATTCATGTCAAAACTTAGTATGTCCCCTCTGGAGAACGTAGCAACAAGGTGCCATCTTGGAGGGGAGAGCATCCCCCGACCAGACACCAAACCTGCTGCTGCCTTGATCTTGGACTGCCCCAGTCTCTAGAACTATGAGAAATAAATTTCTGTGGTTTACAAATTATCCGTTCTGTGGCATTTTGTTATAGCACAGAAATGGACTGAGACACTTTCTCCTTTACTCACCTTGTGACCTCCGGTTCCCTGAAGTCTGGCACAGGGGGAGGAAGAGCAGCAAAGGGTGGAAAAGATCTTTAGTGACTGAGACAGTTGTAATCTGGCTTTGATGCCCTCTGCTTGTGGCCAATGTCCAAATGCTTGACTTTTTACGAGAAGATGTTGAGGCTCACGGGAGACATTTACCCAAACTTCCTTACCCAGCCAACATGCCCTCCATTTAAAACTCCATACTCAGACCTTGGCACCCTAGATCCCCCAGCCCAGCACCTCCAGCCTGTTTTTGGAGGGATACTTTTCTTTTTATTATTATTATTCTTATACTTTAAGTTCTAGGGTACATGGGCACAACATGCAGGTTTCTTACCTATGTATACATCTGCCATGTTGGTGTGCTGCACCCATTAACTCATCATTTACATTAGGTATATCTCCTAATGCTATCCCTCCTCTCTCCCCCCACCCCACAACAGGCCCCGGTGTGTGATGTTCCCCATCCTGTGTCCAAATGTTCTCATTTTTCAATTCCCACCTATGAGTGAGAACATGCAGTGTTTGGTTTTCTGTCCTTGCGGTAGTGCTCAGAATGATGGTTTCCAGCTTCATCCATGACCCTGCAAAGGACATGAACTCATCCTTTTTTATGGCTGCATAGCATTCCATGGTGTATATGTGCCCCATTTTCTTAATCCAGTCTATCATTGATGGACATTTGGGTTGGTTCTAAGTCTTTGCTATTGTGAATAGTGCTGCAATAAACATACGTGTGCATGAGTCTTTATAGCAGCATGATTTATAACCCTTTGGGTATATACCCAGTAATGGGATGGCTGGGTCAAATGGTATTTCTAGTTCTAGATCCTTGAGGAATCGCCACACTGACTTCCACAATGGTTGAACTAGTTTACAGTCCCACCAACAGTGTAAAAGTGTTCCTGCTTCTCCACATCCTCTCTAGCACCTGTTGTTTCCTGACTTTTTAATGATCACCATTCTAACTGGTGTGAGATGGTATCTCATAGTGGTTTTGATTTGCATTTCTCTGATGGCCAGTGACGATGAGCCTTTTTTCATGTGTCTGTTGGCTGCGTAAATGTCTTCTTTTGAGAAGCGTCTGTTCGTATCCTTTGCCCACTTTTGATGGGGTTGTTTGATTTTTACTTGTAAATTTGTTTAAGTTCTTCATAGATTCTGGATATTAGCCCTTTGTCAGATGGGTAGGTTACAAAAATTTTCTCCCATTCTGTAGGTTGCTTGTTCACGCTGATGGTAGTTTCTTTTGCTGTGCAGAAGCTCTTTAGCTTAATTAGATCCCATTTGCCTATTTTGGCTTTTGTTGCCATTGCTTTTGGTGTTTTGGACATGAAGTCCTTGCCCATGCCTATGTCCTGAATGGTATTGCCTAGGTTCTCTTCTAGGGATTTTACGGTTTTAGGTCTAACATTTAAGTCTTTAATCCAACTTGAATTAATTTTTGTATAAGGTGTAAGGAAGGGATCTAGTTTCAGCTTTCTACATATGGCTAGCCAGTTTTCCCAGCACCATTTATTAAATAGGGAATCCTTTCCCCATTTCTTGTTTTTGTGAGGTTTGTCAAAGATCAGATGGTTGTAGATGTGTGGTATTATTTCTGAGGGCTCTGTTCTATTCCATTCGTCTATATCTCTGTTTTGGTACCAGTACCATGCTGTTTTGGTTACTGTAGCCTTGTAGTATAGTTTGAAGTCAGGTAGTGTGATGTCTCCAGCTTGGTTCTTTTGGCTTAAGATTGTCTGGGCAATGCGGGGTCCTTTTTGGTTCCATATGAACTTTAAAGTAGTTTTGTCCAATTCTGTGAAGAAAGGCATTGGTAGCTTGATGGGGATGGCATTGAATCTATAAATTACCTTGGGCAGTATGGCCGTTTTACCAATATTGATTCTTCCTATCCATGAGCATGGAATGTTCTTCCATTTGTTTGTGTCCTCTTTTATGTTGTTGAGCAGTGGTTTGTAGTTCTCCTTGAAGAGGTCCTTCACATCCCTTGTAAGTTTTATTCCTAGGTATTTTATTCTCTTTGAAGCAATTGTGAATGGGAGCTCACACATGATTTGGCTCTCTTTGTTATTGGTGTATAGGAATGCTTGTGATTTCTGCACGTTGATTTTGTATCCTGAGACTGCTGAAGTTGCTTATCAGCTTAAGGAGATTTTGGACTGAGATGATGGGGTTTTCTAAATATACAATCATGTCATCTGCAAACAGGGACAATTTGACTTCCTCTTTTCCTAACTGAATACCCTTTATTTCTTTCTCCTGCCTGATTGCCCTGGTCAGAACTTCCAACACTATGTCAAATAGGAGTGGTGAGAGCGGGCATCCCTGTCTTGTGCCAGTTTTCAAAGGGAATGCTTCCAGTTTTTGACCATTCAGTATGATATTGGCTGTGGGTTTGTCATAAATAGCTCATTATATTGAGATACATCCCATCAATACCTAGTTTATTGAGAGTTTTTAGCATGAAGGGCTGTTGAATTTTGTCAAAGGCCTTTTCTGCATCTATTGAGATAATCATGTGGTTTTTTCTTTGGTTCTGTTTATATGCTGGATTACATTTATTGATTTGGGTATGTTGAACCAGCCTTGCATCCCAGGGATGAAGCCCAATTGATCATGCTGGATAAGCTTTTTGATGTGCTGCTGGATTCAGTTTCCCAGTGTTTTATGAGGATTTTTGCATCGGTGTTCATAAGGGATATTGGTTTAAAATCCTCTTTTTTTGTCGTGTCTCTTCCAGGCTTTGGTATCAGGATGACGCTGGCCTCATAAAATGAGTTAGGGAGGATTCCCTCTTTTTCTATTGATTGGAATATTTTCAGAAGGAATGGTACCAGCTCCTCCTTGTACCTCTGGTAGAATTTGGCTGTGACTCTGTCTGGTCCTGGACTTTTTTTGGTTGGTAAGCTATTAATTATTGCCTCAATTTCAGAGCCTGTTATTGGTCTATTCAGGGATTCAACTTCTTCCTGGTTTAGTCTTGGGAGGGTGTATGTGTCCAGGAATTTATCCATTTCTTCTAGATTTTCTATTTATTTGTGTAGAGGTGTTTATAGTATTCTCTGATGGTAGTTTGTATTTCTGTGGGATGGGTGGTGATATCCCCTTTATCATTTTTTATTGTGTCTATTTGATTCTTCTCTCTTTTCTTCTTTATTAGTCTTGCTAGCAGTCTATCTATTTTCTTGATCTTTTCAAAAAACCAGCTCCTCGATTCATTGATCTTTTAAAGGGATTTTTGTGTCCCTATCTCCTTCAGTTCTGCTCTGATCTTAGTTATTTCTTGCCTTCCGCTAGCTTTTGAATGTGTTTGCTCTTGTTTCTCTAGTTCTTTTAATTGTGATGTTAGGGTGTCAATTTTAGATCTTTCCTGCTTTCTCTTGTGGGCATTTAGTGCTATAAATTTCCCTCTACACACTGCTTTAAATGTGTCCCAGAGATTCTAGTATGTTGTGTCTTTGTTCTCACTGGTTTCAATGAACGTCTTTATTTCTGCCTTCATTTCATTATATACCTGGTAGTCATTCAGGAGCAGGTTGCTCAGTTTTCATGTAGTTGAGTGGTTTTGAGTGAGTTTCTTAATCCTGAGTCCTAGTTTGATTGCACTGTGGTCTGAGAGACAGTTTGTTATAATTTCTGTTCTTTTACATTTGCTGAGGAGTGCTTTACTTCCAACTATGTGGTCAATTTTCAAATAAGTGTGATGTGGTGCTGAGAAGAATGTATATTCAGTTGATTTGGGGTGGAGAGCTCTGTAGATGTCTATTAGTTCTACTTGGTGCAGAGCTGAGTTCAATTCCTGGATATCCTTGTTAACTTTCTGTCTCGTTGATCTGTCTAATGTTGACAGTGGGGTGTTAAAGTCTCCCATTATTATTGTGTGGGAGTCTAAGTCTCTCTGTAGGTCTCTAAGGACTTGCTTTATGAATCTGGGTGCTCCTGTATTGGGTGCATATATATTTAGGATAGTTAGCTCTTCTTGTTGAATTGATCCCTTTACCATTATGTCATGGCCTTCTTTGTCTCTTCTGATCTTTGTTGGTTTAATGTCTGTTTTATCAGAGACTAGGATTGCAACCCCTGCTTTTTTTTGTTTTCCATTTGCTTAGTAGATCTTCCTCCATCCCTTTATTTTGGGCCTATGTGTGTCTCTGCACATGAGATGGGTCTCCTGAATACAGCACACTGATGGGTCTTGACTGTATCCAATTTGCCAGTCTGTGTCTTTTTATTGGAGCATTTAGCCCATTTACATTTAAGGTTAATATTGTTATGTGTGAATTTGATCCTGTCATTATGATGTTAGCTGGTTATTTTGCTCGTTAGTTGATGCAATTTCTTCCTAGCATCGATGGTCTTTACAATTTGGAATGTTTATGCAGTGGCTGCTACCAGTTTTTCCTTTCCATGTTTGGTGCTTCCTTCAGGAGCTCTTGTAAGGCAGGCCTGGTGGTGACAAAATCTCTCAGCATTTGCTTGTCTGTAAAGTATTTTATTTCTCCTTCACTTTTGAAGCTTAGTTTAGCTGGATACAAAATTCTGGGTTGAAAATTCTTTTCTTTAAGCATGTTGAATATTGGACCCCACTCTCTTCTTGCTTGTAGAGTTTCCACCGAGGGATCAGCTGTTAGTCCGATGGGCTTCCCTTTGTGGGTAACTCGACCTTTCTCTTTGGCTGCCCTTCACATTTTTTCCTTCATTTCAACTTTGGTGAATCTGACAATTATGTGTCTTGGAGTTGCTCTTCTCCAGGAGTATCTTTTTGGCATTCTCTGTATTTCCTGAATTTGAATGTTGGCCTGCCTTGCGAGGTTCGGGAAGTTCTCCTGGATAATATTCTGAAGAGTGTTTTCCAACTTGGTTCCATTCTCCCCGTCACCTTCAGGTACAGCAATCAGACATAGATTTGGTCTTTTCACATAGTCCCATATTTCTTGGAGGGTTTGTTCATTTCTTCCTACTCTTTTTTTACTAAACTTCTCTTCCTGCTTCATTTCATTCATTTGATCTTCAATCACTGAAACCCTTTCTTCCAGTTGATTGAATCGGCTACTGAAGCTTGTGCATGCCTCACACACTTCTCATGCCATGGTTTTCAGCTCCATCAGGTCTTTTAAGGTCTTCTCTATGCACTTTATTCTAGTTAGCCATTCATCTAATCTGTTTTCAGGGTTTTTAGCTTCTTTGCGTTGGGTTCAAACATCCTCATTTAGCTCGGAGAAGTTTGTTATTACCGATCTTCTAAAGCCTTCTTCTCTCAACTCGTCAAAGTCATTATCCATCCAGCTTTGTTCCATGCTGGAGAGGAGCTGCGTTCCTTTGGAGGGGAAGAGGCACTCTGATTTTTAGAATTTTCAGCTTTTCTGCTCTGGTTTCTCCCCATTTTGTGGTTTTATCTAGCTTTGGTCTTTGATGATGGTGATGTACAGATGGGGTTTTGGTGTGGATGTCCTTTCTGTTGGTTTGTTTTCCTTCTAACAGTCAGGACCCTCAGCTGCAGGTCTGTTGGAGTTTGCTGGAGGTCCACTCCAGACCCCGTTTGCCTGGGTATCACCAGCGGAGGCTGCACAACAGCAAATATTGCAGAACAGCAAATGTTGCTGTCTGATCATTCCTCTGGAAGCTTTGTCTCAGAGGGGCACCTGGCTGTATGAGGTGTCAGTCAGCCCCTACTGGGAGGTGACTTCCAGTTAGGCTACTTGGGGTCAGGGACCCACTGGAGGAGGCAGTCTGTCCATTCTCAGATCTTGAACTCCGTGCTGGGAGAACCACTACTCTCTTCAAAGCTGTCAGACAGGGACGTTTAAGTCTGCAGAAGTTTCTGCTGCCTTTTGTTCAGCTATACCCTGCCCCAGAGGTGGAGTCTACAGAGGCAGGTAGGCCTCATTGAGCTGCAGTGGGCTCCACTTGGAGAGATACTTTTCAATTCCAGTTCCGTTCCACAAGGACCACCTCAGACCACAGGAACACTCATCCCATCGCTGGAGGAGGTAAGGCTGCACCCATGCATATTAAAACTATACCCAAGGGATTCTATTTAATGGAGGTGACCGATTGATGGCACAGGAAGAAATTGATGCCACTGAAAGAAGAATTTATTATGTATATTTCCTAAAAGAAGGAGACATGTCACACCACCAAGACCACAGGGGAAATACCAGGTTTGGACAGGCAGAAGCAAGAGTGAGGGGAAGGCCTAGGCCACAGCCTTTGTTGAAGTTTCCATGGGAAAAGCAAGAAGGGCAGAGTAAGCACTTTAGGATTGGCTATTTGAATAATTCCAGAGGGCTTTGAGGCATAGGGGTTGTCTCTAGTTGCCTGGTACCTGGCCTGGGATGATTTAGGGCAGGAGGGTGGCTTAGCTTGGTATGTGAATTAGATACGGAGGTGGTTGGGGCTATAGACTTAGGATTTGTTGGTTTGCAATGAAAGATGTGCTTGTAGGCAAGTTGTTATTATCTTTAGGAATTAGCAAGCCCTGGGAGGCAGTTCTCTCACTGGGTCTATAAGGCCTGCAAATACTAGAGCATTAAAAATACAGAATATAAGGAAAATCTTATTAGTATAATTGGACCTGTAGTGCCAAATAGGCCAACACAGAATCTAAAAAAAAACACAGAACACCATGGCAGCCTCTTCTCACTCTGCTCACAGAGGGAACTTTGTCACAGACTGTGGCCTTTAGACTGCTTTCCTGGTAGTGACTCAAATACTAGTTTCTGTATCCCAAAATTTCAAGGGAAACATGACAACTTCTCTGGGTGACTCTTAAGAACCAGCATCGGGAGATATACCTAATGCTAGATGACGAGTTAGTGGGTGCAGCGCACCAGCATGGCACATGTATATATATGTAACTAACCTGCACAATGTGCACATGTACCCTAAAACTTAAAGTATAATAATAAAAAAAAGAACCCCCTCATTTGGCTTAACCTAAGAGGAAAACAAGCTCTAAAAAGGAGAAATAGTACATGGCTCTGACAACTCTCCAGTCTCTCATGCTCTAGAGAAACGCTGTCTCCTAATATTCTACCTCTCCATGAACTCTTAGTCTTCTCTTATGTAACCTGGAGGCAGAGGAGAGGCTAAAGGTGGAAAGAAAACAGGTATTAATGTCTCTTTGCATGTCCCAAATAGCTGATTCATCACTTAGAGTTTGGTCTTTGAGGCCTTTGCTGAAAATCTAAGACAGGAAAAGTAACATCTAATATCCTATTATGTCATCAGAATTTAAAAATGCACATTTCTTTGGGCACAGCAATTCTTCTTCTCTGCATTTGTCTTACAGATACAAACATACATATACAGAAAGACATATGTACACAGATATTCATTGCAACTGTATTTGTAAAAGCAAGAGTTTGAAAACAATATGAATGTCTCTTGATAGGGGATGTATTTTGGCACATCCATTCAATAAAATACCATGTAGGCATAAAAAGAAAGAGGCAGCTTTAATTTACTGATATAGTATAATTTCCAAGATAGATCTTTAAGTGGAAAAAGCAAGGCACTAACATGCAAAAATGTACCCAATAAACAGTCTATGTGTAAGAGTCTTTGTTAGTAAATGCACAAAATATCTTTGGAAAAATAAATTAAAATTTGGTGACAGAGTTTGTCACTAAGAGGAAAAACTAGGGAGTGGGTGGAAAGGAGACATATTTTTCACTGTATATGCTTTGTTATGTTTTGAATTTTTTTACCATGTACATCTATTAATCTTCCAAAATGCAAATTAATAGCTTTCCCTTCTGTACCCTGCCTAGCTATCCCTTGTAAGGTTCTGCACTCTATTTAGGAACAGAGGTTTTCCTTGTGATTTCTGTCTATTTTCCTACCCTAGTTACCAGGGCTGATTAATGTAGAAGGAAGTCCCAAAGTCCATTTTTTCCTTCTACCAAAAAGCCTAGGTTTTAGGACAACTAGAATTACCCAGCTGGTGGGTACCCCTGGTGCCTTCCATAGTTCTACAAAACTGTGTACCCCTAAATTGCCCTCCCCCACAAGACCTATCATTCCAGAAGGCAAAGAGAAGGAAAAAAAATGGAGAAAGCTCTTGTAATTGGTTTTAAGAATTTACAAACTTTCTGGCTCCAGACCTGGGTTATTGTCCATTGGTGACTTTACTGTAGGTTCTTGCTATTAGGATACTCTTCTCCTCCTTTCTTCAGAAAGAAAGTCAATGGGTGGGGAAACAGAATATGATACCAACCCTTGGTTCTTTTTCTATCTCTGCTTTGAGTTAGCTGTGAGACCTCGTCAGTAGTAGTTATAATATAATAGCACATTGGCACTGAAGCTCACCCTGGCTCAACATGCCATGTATCCTATGTGCATTACTCACCCAATCCTCCCAGTGACCCCATGAAATAGTGACCATTATTAATTCGGTTTTATAGATAAATTAACTCTCTCACCCAAGGCCATACAGCAGAGCTAGGACTCTCATCCCTGACTGCAGAATATCTGGGATAATTTGCCCAACTCTCTTATATTCTCATCCCTTATTCATAAGATACAGAGATGAAACAAAGCTTCCATGGCCCTTCCCAGCTCAAGTTATGGCAAGACTGTAATGCTATGACTGCCTAGAGCCTGGACTTTGTCTCCCTTCTCTGTCACCTGAAGCCTCCCAAATATTAGATCTGAGGCTTTTCTGCTCAGCCCAGAAACGCTAATGGCTTAGCCCAAGACTTCATGGCTCTGCCACTTCCTTCTGTGCTTCTAATTTGGAAATCCTGGAACCCAAATCAGCTTGCTTGTCAACAGTGATCAACAATCCTTTCAAGTGTCTTGGTAAACATCTCTTCCCTTTCCCCACAAAGGCCGAGGCACAACTTCACACTCTCCTCACATCCTTCACTCACCCCATCCCATGGCCCCCACCCTTTCTGAGACCTAGGTTCATGGAGATATATGAGAGGTCTTCAGAAATTTCATGGAAAATGAGTATTATGAAAACACTATGCATAGATTTCAAAAATTTTTTGTACCAAAATAAACTAAGTTGTTTTAACATATCTTAACCGGATCTAGTTTGAGGTACTAAAAAACATAAGACATTAGTTTGAGAAGAGCCCCCATCAGAGCAACATGAATGCTGTTAAAATTAAAGCAAAAACAAACCTCAAATTTATGGTGAAGCTTGTGTGGAAGAATGACAATTTATGAAAACTTTATAGGGAAAATGCCTCAAGGAAATTAGCAGTTTACAAATGGATAACCTGTTTTAAGAAGAGGCAAGAGGATGTTGAAAATGAAGGCCACAGTGGCAGACCATCCACATCAATTAGTGAGGAAAAAATTAATCTTGTTCATGCCCTAATTGAAGAAGACTGATGATTAACAGTAGAAAAAATAGCCAACACTATAGGCATCTCAATCAGTTCAGCTAACACAGTTCTGACTGAAAAGTTAAAATTGAGCAAACTTTCTACTTGATAGGTACCAAAACTGTTGTGCCCATATCAGCTACAAATAAGAGCAGAACTTTCAGTGGAAATTATCCAAGTGAGATCAAGTGAGGTCAAGATCCTGAGACATTTATTCAAAGAATTGTAACAGGAGATGAAGCATGGCTTTCCTAGTACTGTCTTGAAGACAAAGCACAATCAAAGCAATGGCTACCAAGAGGAGGAAGTGGTCCAGTCAAAGCAAAAGTGGACCAGTCAAGAATAAAGGTCATGGCAACAATTTTTTGGTATGCACAAGGCATTTTGCTTGTTGACTTTGTGTAGGACCAAAAAACAATAACACCTGCTTTTTATGGGAGTATTTTGAGAAAGTTAGCCAAGTTTTAGCAGAATAATAACCAGGAAAGCTTCATCAGAGTCCTTCTCCAACATAACAATGCTCCTGATTATTCCGCTCATCAAACAAGGGCAATTTTGCAAGACTTTCAATGGGAAATCATTAGGCACCCAGCTTACAGTACTGATTTGGCTCCTTCTGACTTATTTTTGTTTCCCAATCTTAAAATCTTTAAAGGGCATCAATTTTTCTTCAGCTGATAGTGTAAAAGACTGTATTGACATGGTTAAATTCCCAGGACTTTTGCTTCTTTAGAGATGGACTACATGACTGATATCATTGCTTACAAAAAATGTCTTGAACCTGATGGAGCTTATGTCAAGAAATAAAGTTTTAATTTTTTATTGTTATCTTTTTTGGAATTTTTGATATATATATATTTTAATCTTCTAATCCCTTTTTTTCCACAAGCTTTTTGAAGTCTCCTCATATGAGGCAATGCCGTGTAAAGTGCTTCAAGTTTCTCTTCCTTTCAATCTTCTCTGTGAACTTCTGTGATTCCCAAGGCAGAATCAGGTGCTCCTTCCTCTATCACATGTGGCCCCTCTTCATTTGTAAGGAAGACTCTAGGGATCTTTTATATCATAGTATTATTACTTATCATTGTATTATAACTGTTTGTCTTCACCAGATTATGAAATTGAGGGTCATGTTTATCAAACACAGGGTCATGTTTATTTTTCTAGCTCCAGCAAATTACCACAGAGCCTGACACACACACCACAGTCTCCATGAATATGGCAAAGTTTTTGCAGGATAAAAACTTAATATTATATGCATTTTAGAAAGATCATTCTGACAGCAACATGGAGGATGAACTGAGAGGAGTGAGATGTCAGACAGGGAGAACAGTTAAGAGGCCATAACCCAGGCCCCAAATAGCTGGGATCTGAATCAGGGTAGGGGGAGCAGAAGGTAGATACAATTGGGCAATTCTTGGAACCAATTTGATATTGAGGGTGAGGGAGGTGGAGCTTTATATATTGTAGTTCCTGGTTTGGGCAAATGGATGGATGCTGTTGCCACTGATTGAGATAAGAAATCGTTAATTGACAATAAAATATCAAGCTCCATTTTAGTCAGGTTGATTTTGAGGTAAATTTTTCAGTAGATAGTTGGCTATTTGGATTTAAAATATAGAGGAGAGGTTTGGGTTAACAATATATTTGGAATGCACCAGGATCTACAAAAATCATACCCTTAAGAATTTCAAGACAGAAGAAAACAAAATTATTAGTAAGAGATGACATTATTTGATGAAAAAATATATATATGCCCTTAGGAAACATAGTTTTCTGTGTTGCCCTTTCCTTCTTTATTGAACTGTCTTCCATTTCTACAGGAGTACAGCATAAACCATCTAAACACTATGGGAAATGGTTGTCTTCTATGAAGTATGTTTTCAAGGACCCACATTGCAATTCCCTTAGCTGGATAGGGGATGCCAAACGGCAACCCAGAGCCCTGATGAATAGGGCACTTCCTACTAGAGATTCAAAGAATCTTTCTCACAAAAAGGAAAGAAACCAGATTCTATTAACCAAGTTGAGCCCTGACACTGAAGGGATTTTTCTGTCTATAAAGGTGAAGAAAAAGAAAGAATATTTTAAATAATTCTTAAGAGGTGGTGTGGTTACTTTTTTTTTTTTTTTTAGGTTTTTAGGAGTCTTGCTCTTGTTGCCCAGGCTGGAGTGCAGTGGCATCATCTTGGCTCATTGCAACATCCACCTCCCAGGCTCAAGCAATTTCCTGCCTCAGCCTCCCAAGTAGCTGGGATTACAAGTGCCTGCCATCATGCCCAGCTAATTTTTGTATTTTTAGTAAAGGCAGTGTTTTACCATGTTGGCCAGGCTGGTCTTGAACTCCGGAACTCAGGTGATCCGCCTTGGCCTCCCAAAGTGCTGGGATTACAGGTGTGAGCCACCATGTCCAGCCGATTACTTTGTAATAATAACACAAGATAGCAGCCAGCAGGTTATCCCATAGAGTTTGTGTATCTGGACTGCTGCAGGCTTTTTAATTTACTCAAATAATTTAAATTTCAGTCCTAGTAAATCTAAAATTAGGTTTATCATTCAAAAGTTGCTGGAATGAATGTTTCCATCAGCTAGTGAGATCTTTGTTCTGGTGCAGGACAGCCCAGAGTATTTGCTTCTGGTCACAATGGACCATCAAAGAAAATGTCCATGACCTACAAACATTTTCTTGCATGTGCAGACAAGAATACTTGAATTTCCAGAATCCAAAGATAAAGGAGTAAAACAAACAGCAAGGCACATAAGCATTTGCATTTTTACACTAAAATCTATTTATCTCTCTATCCTTAACAAATGGAAGTCATCAGTTAGGAAGAAAAGAATCCTAAATAGCTAAGAACACTAATAAAATTGCAGAATTTTGAAGAACAAAGAAATGATGAATTATGGACTCTTTTTGTCATGAATCACGGATAAACTGCTAAAAATTAAATAATTTCTTAGAGCTGTTTGTAAAAATTTGGGGACAAAGCCTAAGAAGTATTTATTTAGAAACTTTAAACAGCTGGCCAACAGGCATCACCTGAATTTTATTACTACAATGTCAGTAGACAAAGCAACCAAACTGAGAATAAAGGAGAATCTGATACACCAACAGATGATGATTTTGGTGGAAAGCAAAATGCAACAACAAATGGATATTGTTAAATTACTGGGAGAGGAAATTTCCGAAGCAGATCATTTCACTAGTGGTTCAGAACAGAATAAACAACAATGCCTTGAAAGAAATTGCAAATATTGTGCTTTGGACAAATGCTTAAATTGCACTCCAAGAAATAAAGGCTTTAGGATAATTTCTATTTCTTTTAAGTTGCAAGCCTCTCTTAAGGCCTTATGGAGAACCTTCATGAACTGTTGGTGTAAGCTGATGTCCATGGCATGTGGGTACACAACCAGTCGGTGATACCTTATTGAGATATTTTACTACCAAAACATTTATCCCTCTAAAACAGTGACCCCCCACCTTTCTGGCACCAGGGACCAGTTTCATGGAAGACAATTTTTCCACGGACTGGGGAGGCGGCGGGGGGATGGTTTCCGGATGAAACTGTTCCACCTCAGATCATCAGGCATTAGTTAGATTCTCATAAGGTGTGTGCAGCCTAGATCCCTCGCATGCGCAGTTCACAATAGGGTTTGCACTCCTATGAGAATGTAATGCCCCTGCTGATCTGACAGGAGGCAGAGCTCAGGCGGTAATGCTGCAATGCTTGCTTGCCTGTTAGTCACCTCCTGCTATGTGGCCCGGTTCCTAACAGGCATTAGACCAGTACAGGTCCTTGGCCTGGGGGTTGGCAACCCCGTGCTCTAAAAGGCTAACATGGTCTCCATCTTGTTACATTTTGTAGACACAGAAAACTTTTTTGGTATGTTTGTTTAATTTTACAAAAAAAAAAAAGGGATAAAACTAAACATGTTATTTTGCAACTCATTTACATAGTTTTCTGTTCTACAGATACCTTGAGTTGCTAAACCTTTCATCCATTGTTAGATTTTCAGGTTGTTTCTATATATATATTTGCACATTTCTATAGGATAAATTCTGAAAAGAGAGGTTGCCGACATCAATATGTTAGTCATATAAGTTTTGGCACAAAATAATTGAGTAATATTTGCTTTAAATACTTTAAAGATTTTGGATTTGAAATACTCTTTATTTATAAAAAAATCTGTGTTGTTATAAACACAAGTAGTTTTATTTCATTCCTACACTCTGGCTTCGATTAATAAAGAATTATATAAACTTTCTAATTATGTGCTCAGAAATATATAAAATATAAATTTTGATTTTATTTTTCTTTAAGAAGTATAAAAACAAGACTACTAAAATAGTGATGTAGATATGATTTGTCATTTGGTATTGTGCTTTTAGTCTGTTACTTTTTGTGTTTAAATATGAAAGGGAGAAATAATAGGTTTAATTACAGAAGCATTATATTAAATAATTCTCCAATGAAGAGTTATAATAAACTCTAATCATATTTCTGAATTAAAAATCTTAAACATTTTTTCTCCAACTTTAATTTGCAGAAGCAGTAACAGGTGATTCAAAAATAAGTAAATACATTCAGAAGAGATACAGATCCAGAGCTGCAGGCATTTCATGTTTAAACAAAAACTAACAATACTATTGGCTGTTTCTCATCAATAATAATGAAATTACTTTCTGTAATTAAAATGTTACCCTATAGTAAATTTGAAAAATGCCTCTATTTGTGGTTATAAAAAGATAATTTTTCTAATATACTTGAAAGCAGATTCTGAAGAAATTATGTGAGGTGGTAGGCATGTGAATGTTACAGGCAGAGTAAAAATATTCACTTGCTTAAATTAATCTTTCCTTGTACAGTAAATGTATATGTGAAATCAAGTTATTTCATTTACAGATCTCAATAAGTAAGATAGAAGGTTGAACTTTTAAATGGAAGAAATCTCATAGTAAAAGTTTTACTTTTAAAATATTCAAAACTCATGCATGCCAAAAACCATAAATAATAAAATAGTATGATATTCGTGTAGAAATAGAAAAGTTGAACCATCAGAACAGATGAGAGAGTCTAGAAACAAACCCTGTGTATATGTGAATCCAATACATTATTAAGGTGGCATTTAAATCAATGAGGAAAGAATGGATTATTTATTTGGGGAAACTGACCACTGAATGGGCAATCAATAAAATTAGGTCTTTACCTCACATCATACGCACAAATAACTTTAAATGGATTAAATATTTAAATATAAAAAAATCAGAGTGGTAGGTCAAAGCATAGGAAAGCATTTCTATAATCATGAAACAGGCAAACAATTTCTTTTTTTCTTAACTTTTAGCTTAAGTTCAGGGGTCCATGTGCAGGTTTGTTGTATGGAGAAACTCATGTCACAGGGGTTTGTTGTACAGATTATTTTTTTCACCCAGGTACAAAACCTAGTACCCAATAGCTATTTTTTCTCATCCTCTCCCTCATCCCACCCTCCATTTTCCAGCAGGCCCCAGGGTCTCTTGTTCCCCTCTTTGTATTCATGTGTTCTCATCATTTAGCTCCCACTTATAAGTGAGAACATGTGGTATTTGGTTTTCTGTTCCTACATTAGTTTGCTAAGGATAATGGCCTCCAGCTCAATCTAGGTTTCTCCAAAGGACATAAACTTGTTCTTTTTTATGATTGCATTGTATTCCATGGTGTATATGTACCATATCTTCTTTATCCAGTCTACCATTGATGGGCATTTGGTCGATTCCATGTCTTTGCTATTGTGAATAGTGTCAGGCAAGGAATGTCTAACTTAAGCCCCCAAAACCACAAACAAAAGATCTATCGATTTGATTATAATCAAACTTAAAATTTTAGCATAGCAGAAAATACACAGGTGAAGTAAAAAGACAAATCACCAACTTGTAACAACGTGTTAGCTACTATTTCCACATAGGGAAGTCAAAGCCTACTCTCATTAGTGCTTACAGCAAGCTACAAGGAGACATGCCAACTCATTCCAGATTCTATGCCACACATATTTACAGGGTGTGTGTTAGGTGCCAGCCATGCTCCAAGGCACTAATGATACACACCTTGTTAAGACATTGAGCTTTATGGTGAGAGCAGGAGGGCATTGTTAAAGCGCTTTAAGGAGTTCAGAAAAGTTCATGCTCAGATTTAAATTTTAGTTATTTTATTTTATTTTAATGAGATTGCGTTTCACTCTGTCGCCAAGGCTGGAGTACAGTGGCGCGATCTCAGCTCATTGCAACCTCAGCTTCCCAGGTTCAAGCAATTCTCATGCCTCAGCCTCCCTAGTAGCTGGGATTACAGGCACACACCACTAGGCCTGGCTAATTTTTGTATTTTTAGCAGATATGGTGTTTCACCATGTTGCTCAGGCTGGTCTCGAACTCCTGGGCTCAAACGAGCCACCCGCCTTGGCCTCCCAAAGTACTGGGATTACAGGTGTGAGTCACCATGTCCGGCCCAGATTTGAATTTTAGAACAGTTGTGCTGGCTGTGGAGCAGAGAACCATTTGGAGGGGTGGTTGGGTAAGCAGATTTGAAGGGAGAAAAACCAGGTGGGATGCTGTGGCAATAACCCTGGTGGAGATGACAGTGACCTGATCTAATTACGGGATGTGAGGATGGTGAGAGAAAGTAGACTAGACAAGACTTTGTGAATTGCATATGGGGGTCGAAGTAGATGCAGAAATAAAATACCATGCACACGTTTCTACCTTGAGCAACTGTGAGAAAATGGTGCCATTTCACTAAAATAAGGAGGCCAGGCGGAGGAGAGGAGCATAGAGGGAATAGGACATCAGGTGTTGCCATGTTGAGTTGTCAATGCCACGAAACATCCAAGTGGAGAAGTCCAGAGCATAGCTGGATGTGCAGTTTAGTAGAACAATCTGAGCTGGAGAGCTGTGTATCCCAAGTGCCTCAGGCTGCAGCATCCAAGGAGAATAGGTTTAGTCCTATTACTATTATTTCCCAAGTTTCATGTGTTCAGGCATAACATCTATATGATTATAGAAAGTCTAGTCTGCTGTACCAGCTCTCTCTCCAAGACTCCTCCTAGAATACTTATAAATGTCCAGGAATGGAATCTATCCTTTCCTTTTTAGGTTAGAACGGTTCCTGTCACTCTTACCATACATATGTTTGGCTGAGCTGGGAAAGTACAACATGAAATGCTGGTGAAACTGGGAGCACGAGGGCCATACCACTCCACTGGTCACACTCAGCCTGTGACGGGGTATTTGAGCATGTCTGTGTCAGTGTCCACAGCCCCTCTCCTGTAGCATACACTCTGGGAAGGTGATCAGATTCCGATGAGTTTCCATGTCACCTGCTGCCCTCCTCCTCCTAGACCCAGCCCTGCCCTCTGATATTAGTCACCAATGCTGATCCTAGTTCTTTTTGCCTCTGGCCCTTACGTTGAACTCTCTTCAGGGTTCCTTGATGTCTGTCCCAGCAACCTCCCTCCTCCAAGTCTTCCTCAGCCATCAGACATTTTTTATATATCTGAAGTGCAGGGACCTTTCAGCCCTTGTGGAAATAAGTAGCTGTGGATAGGTAGGGGGAGAAATGTCATTTGATCTCCTTCACCTGACTCTAGTTGTTGCTGGAACAGGACTTTGTTGTATATTCAATCCTGTAATGCCCTTGTCTAAGATGAAGCCCCAAAAGTCTCATTCAAGACCTTCTACATTCTGGCAGGGGTCTATCTTTACAAACTTCCATCAACACCAGATCACATCATCTTCCACTCTGTTGATGTGTCTGGTTATGGGAGTCCTCATCCTGCCACATCTGTTCCTCTGAGTCTTATCTGCCTCTCAGGGACTGTCTAGATGCTATGGCAGACAGCCATATGAAAAATCAAACTCTCTCATTCCAGAGACCCATCGCACTTTGAACTTTTGGTATAACCCTCTTCATTTATTCTTGCCACAAATATTCATGGAACAAAATTACTGAAAGGCAATATGAGTAATGGTGAGGAGCACTGGAGTAACACTGTCTGGATCTATCCTAGATTTGCCACTGACTAGTTGTATAAGCTCTGGCAAGTTACTTCATCTTTCTGTGCTTCGGTTTCCTGCTATATAAAAATAGCGATAATGATAGCACCTCCCTCTTAGGGTTATTAGATAATGAAGTAGATTTATTCATGCAAAGCACTTAGAATAGTGCCTGCACAAGTAAGTGCTCAATAGGTCTTGGTTATTGTTATATATTTTATTTTTAAAATATAGTAGAGCAACAGAGCTGCTTTTCGGTCAGCTTCTCTAGATCAGCATATAGGACAAATACAAAGCTTACCATCTGCCTCTGATCATACTGAACCTGACAAGTGTTCTTGAAGAATGCTTTGCCTTCACTTTTAACAATCTTTATCCAGCAGTGAATTGACCCAGAATACATGCTCTGAATACTCTTTTTGTTCTGACTGCATTGGCTTTTGCTGGCTTCAATTCTCATTGAATGATAATTATTTAGTACCCGCTATATGCTGGGGCTATGTTAGGATTAGATAAGCCATCATAAGGAAAACATATGTGATCCTGTCATCAATGCAATTTAAAGGTATATGGGCATTAAATAAATATAAAGATAAATGCCCAAATAAACATATGATACAAAACTGTGGTAAGTGCTGTGAAGAAAGGAAGAGTAAAAAGGAAACAAAACAAGAAGCACCTAATTTACATTGGGAGGTCAGTGGCATCCATTGAAAGAAGTGATGTTTAATCAGTTAGCTTGGAATAGCCACGTGAAGAGAGAAAGGAAGACCTCAGGTGTGCACAAAGGCAGGAAGGAAAGGAAGAGCTTGTTGAGATGAGGGAGATGGAAGGAGAGTACCGTGACCTCAGCCCAGGAAATGAGATGAGATAGGAAAGAGAGGCAGGACCTGGTCACCTGGGGGTTCTTAGGCCACACTAGGTATCAGAAATTCTATTCCAAGAGTACTGGGAAGCCACTAAAGGGTTTTATGCAGTGGAGTGACGAATAATTGAATTTATGTCTTTAAGACATTGCACTGGCTGCAGCGTGAGTGTGGATTGGAAAGCAGTGAAAAGGGAGGAATAATAAGCTCCCTACAACGCCAGACATGACTCCCAAAACTTAGTAGTAAGCAAAAACACCAAGTCACAGGAGAATGCATTCTCATTGATTCACATAAAGGTCAAAAAACAGGCAAAACCAAGCAAAACATTAAGAATCTCTGTGTGTGTGTGTGTGTGTGTGTATTTATTAGATAAAGAAATATAAACAAACACAAAGAAACACTAATCCCCAAATTCATGAGAGTGGTTACTCCTGGGGGGCACAGCAGAGTCTCTAGTTTGAAAAGTTGCACATGGGAGACTTCAAAAGTGATTCGAAATTTTCTATTTCTTAAGCTGAGTGGTGGGTACATGAATATTTATTCTTTAAAATGTTCATTTGCATAATATATACTCTTCTCTATGTATGCTATACACCATAATAAACATTTAGATTACCAAGCTCAAAAATTCATAAAATATTAAAATATGAAAAAGTTGGGGGGCAGATGCCTATGGGTGTATATTATATTATTCTTTATATTTTTCCAAAAATAAAAATAAATAGCAAAGGGAAAATAGATCCAAGGAGGGAGGAAGAAGGAGGAAAGCAGCAGGGCCTCCAAGCTGGGTGATTCCAAGGGCACCTTCTTAGTGTAAACTATCACTTGTAGTGATGTGCCCCAGGGGGTGCACGTACCTAGGCTGCGACATACACGTTGCCTCCTGAGGCCCCGCAGTGCCATGGCCTGGACACCAGCGGGGAAGCTCCTGCAAAAGTCCAGGCTATAGATAACTATGACTTGGACTAAGATAGTGGCAGTGGGGTTAGAGAAAAATAGACATATTCAAGCTATATTTAGGAGATAGAAGAGAGGTCTTGGTAATAGATTGGATGTCTCGCTGTATCAAAGAGATGGGCGGTACCGCTTCCCCCATGTCATTTGGCTTTTCGCAAAATCCTATGCCAAGAGCTGGGCGTCTGCTAGGTCACAGATGCCTCACAGACACTGATCATGCCTCACTGGGAGATTTCAAAACTTTAATTCTGTCAGGTTTGGCAGTTTTTCCAATGTCACCCCAAAGAACTTTAAATTCTGCTTTCATGCCAGATTTCCCAGCAGCGACTGCCAAACAGCTGCAGAGGGAGCCTGAAACAGAGAAGGGGCTCCTCTGGCCCCCCAGAAGCTAGGCTGATTTCGGAATGCCTCTAGAATCCAGCGTGCTTGCCCATCACTCATAAACTGTGAGTGTAAACCGCAGTTAAGCTCATATGCTTCAGTTCCTAAATTACAGTTGCACTTGGGGGAAATAGCTGCTGGTATTTATCACAGTGCCCTCCCCCTAGAAAGTGGCCCACACAGTCAGTTATTACTTGGTCCTGCTCCTCAACCCGGAGCAGCCTGGGTTATCACTTGGCCAAGCAGTTATTACGTGGCCAGCCTTCCTGATGCACCTGCGTCAGCAACCTGCAAAGGAGCCACCTGCTGTGCCCTGGTTATGGAGGAAGCAGAGTCCAGTGTCCCTTCTCACCAGCACAGCCTGCCCTCGAGGTATAGACATTCATGTGGTGATTGAAAAGAAGTTTATTTGGCATTGTACTCTAAGCTCATCTCATCTGGGCTGGACTGTGCAGTTCTGAATTATGTTCCTCCACCTCTAGGGCACTGTGATGTGGCTTGTAAGAACTCAGGACATCCCTGTGTTATCTGACAGAACAATAGAATGTGTGAAAGCGCCCCAATCATCTCTCCTTCTTTCAATCAAAAAGTACTTATTGAGGGCTTGTCTGATGTGAGGCACTGGGTCAGACTCGGTACAAAAAATGAATAAGGCAGTCAAAATGCTAGCTGTGAAGGCATTCATATCCACTTGTACTTTGCAAATGTGCTTCGAGTGTTTGGGGAGCTAATGTGAATCATCACTGGCTTTCCTACTCATGCACTAAATTTTTCTACCTTCCTTAAAACTTTTACTTGTGTTACAGCCTTTAATCCATTTTACTGGGAGGGTTTCTATTCAATTGGTCATTATTTTTAGCAATGGGATATTACTAAGCTGATTTTCCAAAACCAATTTGCTATTTTCTGTCCGTAAGGTATTTCTACTAGAAGCATTTTAAAGCCTATGGTCCTAAGCTGATGCTAATGATCTGATGGTATTTCTTCTGCCTTATCTTACCAAGGGTCAAAGGAATATTAATGATGTGTGTGCTTGGGGTCCTTAGGCAACTGATGAGCGGGAGACTGAGTGTGAAACACCACAGCAGCCAGAGTCCATTCAATATACCCACATGTAGTGAGCAACCTTTAGTGAGGAACATTATTATTTATATTAACACTCATACTGAAGCCTGACAAAGAAAACAAATGAAAAGAATATTATACACAAATTTCAGTAGTGAATATAGCTTGAAAAAGTAAAATGTCAGTACGACTACATTCAACAGTATGTTAAAGAATAATATATGACAAAGGAGTTTTTATTTCTGAAAGGAAAATATAGCTTATTATAAAGAAATTTATTATATTCATAAATTACAAGAGACAAAAACAATGAAATCATTTCCGAAGATGCCAAAAGGAGCATAATATAATTTAACAGGCATTTCTAATTAAATAAAGGCTATTAGAGAGTATTATGATAAAAACGATATAACAGAAATCCAAAGCAATGTTAGATTAACAGTGAAACACTAGAGGCTATTCCATTAAAGTCAGGAAGAAGACAATTTTACTCACTATCACTACTATTTAATGTTGTGCAGGAAACCAATTTAATAAACCGTGTTTTCAGAAAACCTCTAAAAATATTAGAAAAGACAAACTTTGTATTATTTTCAGATGCTATCATTGTCTTCCTAAAAATCCGTGAAAATGAATGAAAATTATTGGAAAAATAAAAGATTATAGCATGGTAACAAATTACAAGAAAAATATTCTGAAATAAATAGCTTTCTATATACCAGCAATAGTCAGTTAGAATTATGACTGAGAAGAATCCATTCACAATTGCAACAACAAAACAGTAAAATGTTCAGGAGTAAATGTAAATTGAAAATAAATGTATAAAATCTGTAAAGAAAAGTGTTCAACATTGCTGAAGGACAAAGAAGAAAACTTGATTATGGAGAGTGATATACCATATTCATTGATGAGAAAACTCAATGTTGTCAACATGTCAACTTTCCTCAAAATAGATTTTTAAATTTAAAGACAGTCCATAAAAATCTTCTACATTTGAAATTATGGAAATTTAAAATCTACATAAAAGATGAAAAATAGTGCAATAAGCACTTGTATAGCCCTCACTGCAATTTATTTGGTTGGTGCAAAAGAAATTGCAATTTTGCCATTAGTTGCACTAACCTAATATCAACTGTTAACATCCTGCTACTTTTACTTCATCTCATACACTTTTGTTTTCTGTGCTATTTGAATGTCAGTTGCAGACATCCATTGCACTTTACCCCTAACCACATCAACATGCATTTTCTAAGAATTAAGGCATTTTGACACAGTTTCACACTTGAGACAATTAACAATTGTATAATACCACAGAAAATGGTGCTTGTCAGACTTTATTAAGCATGCAAGTCACCTGAGGATCTTGTCAAAATGCAGATTCTGATTCAGTAGGTCTGTGATGAGGGCTGATGTTCTACCTTTCTAACAAGCTCCAAGGTTATGGTGATGCTGTTGGTCTGCGGACCACACTTTGAATTGCAAGAATCTGCTAAACATTCCAAATGCAGTTTTCTCAAATGAGCACTCAAATGGCTTTTGGTAGCTGTTATTTTTCAATTCAGGATCCAGTCAAGTTTGACACATCACAGTTGATTGCTGTGCATCACCAGTCTTCAGAAATCTAAAATGGTCATTCGTTTTTTTATTCTTTTAAAATTTTTTCTTATTTTTTTAAATAAACATTTTAAGACATATGCTGTTGTTGTTGTTGTTGCCCAGGCTAGAGTGCACTCACTACAGCCTCAAACTCCTGAGCTCAAATGATCCTTTCCCCTCAACCCCTTAGTAGCTAGTTCTCCCTGACTCATTTTTAATTTTTTTTTTTTTTTTTTTTTTTGTAGAAATGGGTTCTTGCTATGTTGCCCAGGCTGGTCTCAAACTCCTGAGCTCAAGCAATTCTCCCATCTCTGCCTCTCAAATTACTGGGATTACAGGCATGAGCCATCGCATCCAGCCTTTTTTTTTTTTTTTTTTTTTTTAAGAGGACAGGCCAGGTTTTAGCAGAATGACCCCTAGTTTTTATTTCTTTGATGGTTTATTAATAATTACATTCAGGTTAAATTGTTTGTCAAGAACATGACACAGTTGATGTTATGCACTGGCTACTGCAACACAGCAGGACACAAGCATGCCAGATGTTGCTCTATTGTTTTGTATTTTTTACTTTAAAAAACTATCAGATTAGATTTACATTTACAGAAAAGTTGCAGAGTGAGTACGGTGAATTTTCATATACCTCACCCTGAGTTTCACCTATTGTTAACACCTTACACTAGTATGGTAACTTTGTCACAATTGATCAACCAACACTGATACATTGTTATTAACTGAAGCCCATACTTTGGCTAATCAGATTTTCTTAGCTTTAATCTAATGTCTTTTTCTGCTCCAGAATTCCATCCACGATACCACATTATATCTCCTTAGACTCCTCCTGGCTGTGACAGTTTCTCAGACTTTCCTTGGTTTTGATGACATTGATATTTTCCAGAAGAACTTGTCGGGTATTTTGTCAAATGTCCTCAGTTGTGATTTGTTTGATGTTTTCTCACAATTAGATAATTTTCATTTGTGTATGTCACTTAAGGTTTTTTACTGGCCAATTTCTTCTCTTTTTTCTTTCTTTGTTCTAACTCTGGTTTTATTTTATTAGAGCCTCATTGCATGTAGTTTGTCCATATCAGCATGTATAATCTGTAATTCTTTCAAATCTGCAAGTAGCTTTCTTTATATTATGAAATGGTTTAAACATAAAGTACAGAAAGTGACATAACGAACAGCCAGGTACCACATCCCAGCTTAAAAAATTAAACATTACATATAGAATTGATTCCCTCTATTCTACCTTTCCAGCTTCTCCCCTTTCTTTCTCTAAAGATGAAACCCTTAACCTAAATTTGGTAGAGGTTATTCCTATGCCAGTCTTCATACCTTGTTACATATATGTATCCCTTAACTATATATAGTATTTTCCATATATTTAAACTTTATGTATGATAGCACATTGAACATATTCTTGGGCAACTTGCTATCTTTGTTCAACATTATGTGAGGTTTATTCTGTAGATACATGTAGTTCTGATCCATTTATTTTAATTTCAGTAAACATAAAAGAGAAAAAAGAGAGATGATTAAAAAACATTATGTATTAATGCCCATTTGTGAACTTAGTATTTCTATGTGGTATGCTTGGGTTTAATCTTAATTATTTTATTCACTGTGTATTTATTGAGGACCCACTATCAGCCAGATAGTGTGCAAGGCACTAGAGACACAATGATGAGCAAAACAGACTAAGTCGTCTGCTCTCAAGAAGCTTACAGTCTGGTTGTAAAGTAAGGGTCAGACATGAGTCAAGTGCTCACACTCATTTATTAATTACAAACTGTGATGATTGAGGTCTCCTCCAGTTAGGGAAGCAGACCTAAGAGTCTGGGGAGACTGGAGCAGCTAGAATTTGCAGGACAGAGGACTGGAGAGGAAGGAGCTGCAGGGAGATGTTCACAGGTTTACAGAAGGTTCCTCTCGAGTAGTCAGAAGAGTACTGATCAGCACACATATGTGAGGAAACCAACCAAGGCCAAGGAAAGAACCATAAGAAAGGTGGCAGGGTGCTCCCACAGGGCCAGGAATAGTGCCTCTTCCCACAAGCCAGACTGAAAAACCTCATAATTCATAAAGCACTGGGCTTAGTGCTCAGAGTAGTCTTCCCTTAGGAGTGGAGAATAATTATCTCTAGAATGAGCCCTGCTCTGAACCCATTTAATAGACTTTAGGCAAGGATCAAACTGTTCCCTAGTAACTTAACTGCACCCCAGAACAGAAATAAAAAATATTAATAGGAATACTAAAATATCCAGCATCTAACAAGATACAATTCACAACTTCTGGCTTCCAATTAAAAAATGTAAGGCATACAAAGGAGCAGGAAAATACAATCATAATAAGGATAAAAATAAATCAAGCAAAATGAACACAGAACTGAGATGTTTGAATTAGCAGAAAAGAACATTAAAACAGGTGTTACAGCTGTATTGCATATGCTCAAAAGTTATGTAGAGACATGAAAGATTTTTTTTTAAATCCAAATTGAGGTACTAGAAATGAAAACTGCAGTGCATAAGATAAAAAATACACTGAATGGGATTCACAACAGGTTAAACACTGCAGTAGAAAGAAAATAGTTAATTTGAAGATGTAGCAATAGAAATTATGCAAACGGAACACACACAAAAAAATTTAAGAAATGGACAAACCATCAGTGAGCTGTGGGACAACTTCAAGTAACACAATCTACATTTTATTGGAGTCCCCAGAGAATAGGAGGTAGGAGGAGAAACAGGAAAAAAAAATTCAAAGAAATCATGGCTTAGAAATTTCCAAATTTGATTAAAAAAACTATAAAGCCACATAACCAAGAAGCTCAATGAATCCCAAACACAAGAAACAAGAAGAAAACTATACCAAGGCATATTATAGTCAAATTTCTCAGCACCAATGATTAAGAGATCATCTTAAAAGAGGTTAAGAAAAAAGGACATATTACACACAGAGGAACGAAAATAAGAATGACAACACATTCTTATCAATGCAAGCAAAGCAAGCAAGAAACAGTGCAAGCAAGAAGACAGTGGGGCAATGTCTTTAAATAACTGGGAGAAACTGTCAGTCGACGATTCTATATACAATGAAAATATCTTTCAAAAACAAAGGTTTTCACTTTTTCAGACAGGGCAAGGATGCTCTTGCTCACCACTTCTATTTAATGTTGTATTTGGGGTTCTAGGCAGTGCAATAAGCCAAGAAAAAGAAACAAAATGCATCAAGATTGGGAAGGATGAAATAATCTAGATTGGAAAGAAAGCAGTAAAACCTTTTTTACTCACAGATAACATGATTGTCTAGTACAAAACCCAATGAAATCTACTCTAGCTACTAGAAGTGTTAAGTGAGTTTACTAAGGTTGCATACTGATACAAGGTTTCTAAGGTTGCATATTGATACAACATCAATATACAAAAATCAATTGCATTTCCATACACTAGCAATGAACAATCAAAAGTTAAAAATTTCTAAAAACCACTTAAAATAGCATAAAAGTATTAAGTATTTGGGAATAAATCTGACAAATATGTACAAGACTCATACACTGAAAACTCCAAAACATTACTGAGATAAACTAAATAAGACGTAAATAAATGAAAAGTATCACGTTTATGAATTGGAAGGCTCAATATCCTTAAAATATCATTTCTCCCCAAATTGGCCTATAGAGTCAATGTAGTCCAATAAAGAACCCAACTGCCTTTTTTGGTGGAAATTGAAAAGCTGATTCTAAAATCCATATGGAAATGCAAATGACTAGAATATCCAAAACAACTTTATAAATGAAGAACAAAATTGGCAGACTAACACTACCTGATTCCAAGACATACATAAAGCTACAGTAATTAATACAGTGTTGTG
Source organism: Homo sapiens (assembly GCF_000001405.40). NCBI lineage: Eukaryota > Metazoa > Chordata > Mammalia > Primates > Hominidae > Homo > Homo sapiens. The sequence goes on from NW_018654722.1 coordinate 83,528, forward strand.
TTGGTGTAAAGACAGACAAATAGATTAATGGAACATAGTAGAGTCTAGAAAGAGACTGACATATATATATATATACACACACACACATATATACACATATGTATATACACACATATATATTTATATATACATGTATATATATAAATCATGTGATATATAAATATAAACTGATTTTCTGATTTTGCCAAAGGTGTAAAGGCAACAGAGAGAAGAAAGAATTGCCTTTTCAGTAAATGTTGGGAACAACTGGCTAAGTATATGTAAAAAAAAGAAAAGAAAAACTTCAATCCACACTTTATACTATGTACAAATATCAACTCAAAATGGATCATAGGCCTAAATGTAGAACCTAATACTATATAATTCTAGGGGAAAAAATGTAAGAAAAAAATCTCTGATCTTGGGATAGACAAAGATTTCTTAGATACATGTCCCATGTGCCTACCATAAGCATCTCTTCTGAGAAGCCCTTTCATGCTTGAACAGTTTGCTTTTTTCTTTTCATTCTTCCTTAGTGCTTTATACATGATAATCATTAAATTATATTGTAAGTGTGTTTATATTTCTCTATTCCACTGAGTATCCCTGGAGTAGAAAACATGTTTTAATCCTTTTAATATTCTCCAAGTCCAATAAATGTTAATTACATGATATCTTCAACACCAAAATTAATCAGAGAGCCTCCCAGAATATTTCCCCCATGTCTCACTGGCCATAGGGTTGCCCCTACGCAAATCATTAGTAAAGATTAATGGGATTACTATTATTTCCTTGGACGAATTATGTTTTGCTCTTTGGCGATGGGCTTATTTTCTCTAAGGAGCTTTGGCTATTGGGTAGTCTGGATGCAGAGCCTGCCACGGGGAACCTAACGGAAGTGTGATGGGAAAGCTGGTGACACTAACCAGGCTGCTTAATTTTCCACTGTGAAGGTATAATTGACAAACAATCTTACCTTATGTTTAGATTTTGGAGGAATAAACTGTCAGATATCACTTTATTTGAAAATAAAAAGAATAACAGCCATACTGCAGTAGGAAGAGTGAAATCATTCATCTTAAACAGCAAGCCTTTGCACTGAGCTTTTTATAGCTTTTTAGATAATGTCTCTATAGAAAGAAACTCGGTAAGCTTTACTGCTGAATCATTTATATCAACTCACACAATTTTGAATATTCATTAATTTTCACAATAGCCACCAGTTTAGAACTTATGTTATACAAACATCTTCACAAAACTAACTCAAGCACAGATATCTTTATTGTAAATGTCAGAAACAAAAAAAAATCTAATTGGTGCTGTGGGTATTGAGAGTTTGTATTTTCTCTGTGGATGTAGGAGCTTACAGAAAATAGAGTGCAAGAAAAAAATGTGTAAATGTTGTTTCTAGCCTAACAAATCTGGCCAGCGAGCATTTCACTTCAAAAAAATTAGCTTCTTTTTTTAAAATTCATATTTTTGATATTTTGTACTTTTGTGTTTTTTTTTTTTTGTATTGCTACAGAGGATCTCTTATTTTTATCCCATGCTCTGAATCTCAGGCTCTACCTCAACCACATCAGGATATGGAAGCACTAGAAGCAACTGCTCAGGCAGAGTACACGAAGGGATAGTTCTCAGGTCTGGGGACAAGCCAACTGGGGGAAAAGGGGGAATCTGGAGCTTCATTTTCATCCCCTCATCCCAACCCTTCAATGATTTATGCCTTTAGAGGCCTGAGAAACTTTGTGGGTAATCTGCTTCAGTTGCTCTTCCCCTAATCCATTGTCAGAGGAAAATCTCCCAGCTCCAAGACCAAACTACCTAGCTACCAAGTTCCCCTTAGATGAATCTAGAAACTTCCAGAAGGGTCAAAATTGCCATCAAATCTACCCTGGCTGGTCTGTGAGGTTTGATTAGCCCTCCTTCTTTTGACTGAGAAGAGACAGTAACCAAAATTGCTAACCTTACAACAGGCTCTCTATGCAGCCCCATTTCTTAGGAACCTGTGCCCTTGGGTCTAAAGAGTAAGCAGTAGATGGGGTTCAAAGCTTCAGTTGTCACTGTGAGTTGAAAGAAGGCACAATCTCAAGAAGGGACATCATCTGAGATTTTCCAGTCTAGTGGCCATGAAGTCCAGGATAGCACCAACTGGAGCTGGAGATCGAAGGGCAAAAATGATGCTTCTGGAGCTGGAGATTGATGGGCAAAAATGATGCTTCTAAGGACCATTCCCCTTTATGGACCCCAGGTCCATGAGATACCTGGGGTTTCAGGACTCCAAGATCCTCAATCCAGAGCAGCAGAGCTTGAGGCCATAGCTCCTCAGTTATCAGTTCTGTTCACCAATTATCCAGGATTGGACAATGGTAGATGGACCATATCATATTCTCCAAGGGCTTAAAGAGCATCTTGTGACTGTATTGTCCCCCAAAGCTCTGGGGCTTGAGGATATAGTGCTATAGGATCCTGGGTGCAGGAGGGAAGATATGGGCTGGATTATAAATCTGGAAGGCCCTTGACAATGATATCAGGGCAAGTGTAGTTTATTGTAGCTGTAATCTACAGTGTAGATGTAACAAGATGCTAACTTCCTGTGGCATTCAGAGGCTCATAAAAATAATTTGCAATATTTGCATAATCCAGATGTTAAGATGAAATAACTCTGTTATTTCAGAAAAAAATAAAATTGTATTTTGACATTCCGTGGAAAAGCCACTGTCCACATCCTGCCCCCATTTCTGCAAATTTCTAGTATCTTAGGCTCATAGACACAGGCTCTGAGCTCCTGCTTTTAATTTGCTCTTGGCCCCAATCACAACTCTCTTGCTGAGACTGGTTCTTCCATTTTTCTATTTTAATGCCTTTCCAGATGCATAACTCAGTCACCACTGCTGCCAGCTAAATGCAAATGCTTCTTGTAGTCTTCTTGTCTCCTTATCTTATGGGAAGCTGAGAGAGAAAACCAGATCAATCCTGAAGGGAATTCTGAGGGTTTTCCACCAGCTCTAGGGAAATATATTGAGGTAGAGATTTGCCTTTACTCCTTTAATCTTTGTTTATTCACCCTCATTCCTCATAGGATTTTCGATGAGTATGGGTGTGGCTTTCCTTGGTGGCAATAGGAAGGTATATTAGTCCATTTTCACGCTGCTGATAAAGACATACCCAAGACTGGGTATTTATAAAGAATAAGAGGCTTAATGGACTCACAGTTCCACGCGGCTTGGGAGGCCTCACAATCATGGTGGAAGGTGAAAGGAACACCTTAAATGGCAGCAGACAAGACAGAATGAGAGCCAAGAAAAAGGGGTTTCCCCTTGTAAAACCATCAGATCTCGTGGGACTTACTCATTACCACAAGAACAGTATGGGGGAAACTGACTCCATGATTCAATTATCTCCCACCAGGTCCTCCCATAATATGTGGGAATTATGAGATCTACAATTCAATATGAGATTTGGGTGGGGACACAGCAAAGCCATATTAGGAGGACAGCAGGACTTGGTATTCACAAATCATTTTAGGCCAACAGTTTTTGCTTTCTTTTCTTGTTCACTAACTCATGGAAATTTTTAAGTAGCCTACAAGAGCAGAAAAACCCAGTCAGTAAGTGTATGTCTGAACCTTTCTGCCGTATACATAGACCAGCAATTTTTGAAACAAACATTTGTACTTTTGTTTACTGCTTCTAGGGTGGGAGCTTCATTTCTGGTAGTACTAGTTAAGGGTAGGGAATAGGTGGTATGAAGACTCTTGGGATATAAGTAAAGGAATTCCAAGAGCACAGAAAAGCTAAGGACAGGGTGATAAAGCAACCAATGAACACTTTGAAACATTATCCCACTACACAGAGCTACAAGAAATAGATGGTTTGAGGGGTTTGTTTTTGTTTTGTTTTAAGCTAAAAGAGAAAATTTTGATAATCTCTGTGCTAATACATTTACAAATCTTCATGAAATGGATAATTTTACAGAAATACAAATTTAGAAACTGAACTCAGAAGAGGAAGAGTATACTGGGTGTATTGGGAAAAGGGTCAAAGTTCTATCTCCAGAAAGGCATAAGACACATGTAATCGTGCAAAATATGAGTCAAGAAGAGCAATGGAACAGAATACAAAGCCCAGAAGAGTGTATATGTCTGTGTGTGTGTATATATATGTGACATCTAAAAGGATGAATTAAAAAATCATGTGGTACAGTTGGTTAATTATTAGAAAACAAAGAGTTTTATCTTACAATATACAGTGGAATACATTTCTTCGAGGTTAAATATTCAAATAAAGAAACAAAATCATGTTCTGGCTCCCATTAATGGTAGAATAGCTTATACCAAGCTCACCTTCCTGCTAATTATAACTATAAACTTTAGATACAATTTAAAACAACTGTTTGAAGACATTGGAGAGAGACCAAAACTAAGCAGAAACTAATGAAAATTCAAACCTTGAAAGAAGTGTCTCATGCTAAGTGAGGTCCACATTTTTGTGTGTGTTGCCTTTGAAAAATACTCTCAAGTTCAGTGGTGCACAAGGGATAGATCTTGAGCAAAAAGCAACATTAAAAAAAAACTTTTATTTTAGGTTCAGAAGTACATGTGCAACTTTGTGACATAGGTAAACTTGTGTCTCGGGCATTTGTTGCACAGATTATTTCATCAACCACATATTAAGCCCTGTACACAATAGTTATTTTTTCTGCTCCTCTCCTTCCTCCCACACTCCACCCACAAGTAGACCCCAATATCTGTTGTTTCTTTCTTTGTGTTCATGGGTTCTCATCATTTAGCTCCCACTTATAAGTGAGAACATGAGGCATTTGGTTTTCTGTTCCTGCATTAGTTTGCTAAGGATAATAGCCTCCAGCTCCATTCTGTTTCTGCAAAAGACATGATCTCATTCTTTTGTATGGCTGAAAGCAACATTTTTACTGGGCTAAGAAGCCAGAGGTTGGATTTCATGGGCTGCCAGCGTAGCTGGAAATTGAAGAGGAAAGTTGTGGAAAGTAGGAAGCTACAGAGAGGAAGCTTCTGTATCAAAACTTCCCTCAAATCCTTGGCTATTTCTAGAACTGAGCATGAGGAGACCAAGAATGTAATGAACTCAACAGATGGCAACATCTAGGGGTGGTGGCAGAAATTTCAAGTTATCTAATGCTCAGGAGAGGGGTTTTCCATTGGACTCCCAAAAGGGACATGCACTGTTGGGGTTTTAAATTTATGTACAGCTAAAATATAACATGGCAACTGCACAAAGGATAGGACTATGAGTTCAATAAAATTATGCAGTTGAAGTGTTTTTATATTACATACCTGTGGAGTGTTATAATATTAAACCAAGTTAGACAATAGTAAGCAAACACTGCATGTGGTAATCTCTATAGCAACCACTAAAGACATAATACAAAGGAAAAAGGTTTGGCTAAAAAGCCAATAGAATAGATAGAATCAAATAGTTAAAAAAACTTGATATAGGAATGGTAACTTTACTTATAAATATTCTTAAACAAACATTAATAATGTAAGAAATAAACATAAAGATTATAATTTTTCTTAAAAGATAGCTTTATTTCATGCCACTTTAGATCAAAGAAACATTTTATTTACAAAAAAGTTGTCATTTTAATGAGGCTTGAAGACTATGGTCATATGCTTTTTGTCAAAACATCAAAAATAACATCACTCTAAAATATGATTTATCTATAACACAAGTTTGTACTGTTGTCCTCATGAAAAAATTGTAACAGTGAGAAAATTATGACAGTGAAAGAGATCTGACCCAACCAACTCCATCTTGCTTCTAGCCTCCAAACTGTCCTTGTTCACTCCTGGTCATAGCCTGAACTAATTTTGGGAGGAACTTAGTTTATAGTTTAACTTTGAAAGAAAAATTATAACAGCCCTTTCCTGAAACAAACCTCCTTCTTTCTTGGGGTCTAGTCTGCATTTGTAGGACTAACAAATCAGCCATAAGATTAGAAATATGGTTTAGGAGTCAAGCAGCCAGAGGCCCAGATGATGTGAACCTCCCCAAATTGCTCCTGGGGACAACATCGCTGTTGTACAACCTGAGATCAGTTCCTGAGATATTTTGTAGATCCTGCATACCGATGCACCAGCCGAGGCCACCCAGACTGGTAATCTGGCTCAACCAATTCTGCAATCCCACCCAGGAACAGAAGGTACCAAGAGAAACTCTCTTCAACCCCCTATGATTTAATCTCTGACCCCACCAATCAGCATTCCTCACTTCCCAATCCCATACCCACACCAAGTTATTCTTTTTTTTTTTTCTTTTCTTTTCTTTTTTTTTTTTTGAGACAGATTCTTCCTCTGTCGCCCAGGCTGGAGTGCAGTGGCATGATCTTGGCTCACTGCAAACTCCGCCTCCTGGGTTCAAGCGATTCTCTTGCTTCAGCCTTCTGAGCAGCTGGGACTACAGGCATGTGCCACCACACCTGGCTAATTTTTTTTTTTTTTTTTTTTGTATTTTTAGTAGAGACAGGGTTTCACCATGTTGTCCAGGATGGCCACCAAGTTATTCTTACCAACCCCAATCCCCAAATTTGGGGGGAGACTAATTTGAGTAATAATAAAACTCTGGTCTCCCATACCACCAGCTATGCTTGAATTTAACTTTCTCTATTGCAATTCCCTTGTCTTGATAAATTGGCTCAGTCTAGGCAGTGGGCAAGGAGAACCCGTTGGGTGGTTACACTCAAAAGCAATAAAATTGCTTTTGAAATTACTGGTTTAACTTGCCTATCTAAAAGTAAGGTATTAAAAATGAAGTTAATTTTTCATTTTGTAGTGTGTGTAGCTGTTTCACCATTTTTTGGTGAGAAAATAATTAGATGTTTTGGCAAGAATGAGGTGTCTTACCATTTGAGGGTGTCTACAACTTTGTTTATTGTTTAGTGTATATTACTACAAAAGGAGTAATACATTTCCCTGGTCTAGTTCTTTAGAAAAATACCAAAAATGCTATATAGTTATATTCATTAATATTTTTCATAAATGAGTTTTAAAATTTCTCATTACATGGAAAAATGTGATATAATTTATTGATAAAGTAATTTTTGGTTAAAAAAAATACTCGACTGACCCAAGAGGAGACAGGAACAGAGGAAAGAACAGAGATGACAAATAAAAATCAAATAGCAAGAAAGTAGACTTGAAACAAATTATGTTTACATTACATTAAGTGTACATGAATTACACACTTCATTTAAAAAACAGAAATGGTCAGATGGATAAAAAAGCAAGACCCAACTATACACTGTTTATGAAAGACAGTATAAAGGTACAGATAGGTTGAAAGCAAAAGATGTATCTTGGAAATGCTAAGCATAGAAAAGCTGACACAGCAATGTTATTATCAGGCAAAATGAATATGTGACCCACAGACAATAAGAAGAAAGTTCAAGATAGCCCAAATAATAGAGTTAGCAATCAGCAATTTTAAGGTATGTGTATTAGTTACATATTGCTGCATAACAAATCACCCCAAATTTCGGGGCCTAAGAAACAATAAACATGTATTATCAGGAATTTGGGAGAGGCTTACCTGAGTAGTTCTGGTTTACAGTCTATCATGAGGTTGCAGTTAGGATGTTGACTTGATCAGGGCTGCAGAATCCGCTTCCAAGAGGCTGAAAAGTTGATGCTGTTGTGAGCAGGAAGCCTCAGTTCCTTGCCACTTGAACTTCTACACAGCATAGCTTAGGAGCCCTCATGGCATGGCATCTGACTTCTCCAAAAGCAAGTTATCCAAGGGAGAGCAAGGCAGAAGGCTCAGAGCCTGGACTAGTGTGAAGGCTGAACCTAAAATTGCTTTGTATGATAAAGTGTTGGGAATTTTGAGTTTTGCCCTGAAGAGGAAGAAAGATAAGGAATGGAGCCTGGGACCTTAAGAAGAGTGATCTCTCACATGCCTTTTTGACTTGTTGCCTGATCTGATCTGAGCAGTATTCTCTTTGTATTATCTCAATCTTCATGAAAATCTCTTACACGTAAAGATTTTGTGTTATTGTTCATTTGGGGGAATGCAACAGGCAGTCAATGCAACCTGTTTTATCAGCAAGGTCTTTATGACCTGTATCTTGTGTTGACCTCCTATCTCATCCTGTGACTTAGAATGCCTTAACTGTCTGGGAATGCAGCCCAGTTGGTCTTAGCCTTATTTTGCCCAGCTCCTGTTCAAGATGGGGTTTCTCTGGTTCACATGCCTCTGACAGTTCCCCCCTCCCTTCTATAAAAGAACCCTTAATCCTAAGGGTTGCAGAGGGACGAAGATCAATCTTTTGTAACTTCTTCAGGATGAATAGGGGCAATGATATTCCTATCTAATTATTAGGGTCTCTTACATTCAGGGTAGAGAGGAACTCAGTCAGAAAGTGTTGGTATGGCGAAGGTCGTTCATAACTGAGTTTTGACAAAAGGTGCTATATGAAAGATTAATAAATGTTCAGATTAAGAAAACATTCAGTAAGCTTATCCTGCATTCCTACACAAAGAGTACAACAGCAATATCTTCCACAAGAGTAAAACAAAATAAGAAAAAATATGCCAAATAAACTAAATTGTGAGGCTTTCCATGAACTGGGAAACTGTTGGAACCAAGCTGATAGCTGGCTCCAGTGTGCCCAAAATTAGACTACCGATCCAGATTTTTATATTATCCATCCCTCTTGTTTCTTCTAAGCAGCAGTCAGAGAGCCCTGCTTGGTTCACAGGAACAAGCAGTCTTTCAAAATTGCAGAAACAAACTTAAAAAAACTGATGAGACTAGAATTTAATAACAAGGGTACCATAGTTCTTGAAACAAAATATTTCTCTCGCCAGTTTCTCATTTCTACTAAAGACAAATCATGGTAAGACTGATTTGCTTTATTATATTTGGCCTGATTATTTGTATAAAGTGCAGCAAGGATAATTTTTCACATAATCTCTTCTTAAATTGACTCTGATGGAACTTGGTTGTATAGAAGGAATCTCAAATAAGGCTTTTTTAGAGCCGAACCCTGTCATGGGTTTGTACCCTCAAATACCTAGGAGTTGAGTAAATTTCTCTCCTTTTGAGGTCCCAAGATAACTTGGGGCTCCTGGACATGTGAGAAAGTGACATTCTTTACTTACCACAGGTCAGAAACCCTGTACAGGGACTGTGTAGGCAAGGTATGAGGCCAGTTCCCCCAGGGGCTTTTACTGGCTCTGTAAGTCTAATTGCTTAAAGGAAAGCACACCATTCCAGTTAAAGCCTTGGTAAAATAACCAATTTTTCCAATTGTGTCCTGTTACAAAAGAAAACAGATTCTTATTGAATTTATGCCATACTATATCACCATAAATTATGGCAACTCTATTGCCATAAATTAAGAATACTCAGAAATAGGATGTGAGGGTGATCTTGCTGCAACATCTGTCACCCCATTGATTGTCAGGGTTGATTCAGCTGATCTGGCTATCACTCCTTGTGTGTTCCTCCCACAGCTGTGTGCTCAGTTGAAGAGGATGACCATCCCCAGTAGAGGAGGACAGGTCTTCGGTCAAGGGTATATGAGTAGCCGCTCTCCCCTGCTAGAACCTCCAAACAAGCTCTGACGAATACTCAAAAATATTTTCCAAATTCTGGAGAAATCAGCTACAGTGAAACAAATATGCTCCAAATTTTGTTAATAGGAGTATACTTTACTCAATTGCTAAAAGCTGTAAATAGCTCAAAAAGAAAAGTTTCCTTGAGTCTGAAAAACAAAACAAAGGATCAGCCACATTTTAAGCAAAAGTTAAAAAGATTACTTCAATTTTTTATTGACTCAGTTAATTTAGTTAACTCCTGTTTGGCTTGATATTCATGAACAATTCAGTTCTCCATGAGAGTCCTGAAAGTTTTTTTTTTCTCAATTCTGATGTCACCATCTCCAAAGTCATTTTAAAAACCTGCGTTCAAGAACACCTGCTAGAGTTCTTTTTTTTTTTTTTTTTTTTTTTGAGACAGAGTCTCACTCTGTCACCCAGGCTGGAGTGCAGTGGCATGATCTTGGCTCACTGCAAGCTCCGTCTCCTAGGTTCACGCCATTCTCCTGCCTCAGCCTCCTGAGTAGCTGGGACTACAGGCGCCCACCACCATGCCCAGCTAATTTTTTGTATTTTTAGTAGAGACAGGGTTTCACCATGTTAGCCAGGATGATCTCAATCTCCTGACCTCGTGATCCACCCGCCTTGGCCTCCCAAAGTGCTGGGATTACAGGTGTGAGCCACTGCGCCCAGCCTAGAGTTCTATAGTTGATTATAACCCACTTTCTAAAGAGGATTAAAACAGACAACAATTGTTTGTGGATGACAAGAAGTCTTAGAACAGCCACTATTAAAGCCACAATTGATAAGGAAATTTCGTTACTTCTGTGGCATACAAAATTTTACAGAACAATTACAATTATTACTGATGATGTACACTAAGTCCTGTCAGAATTATAGGAGTTTCTCATGATTTTGGAATACATACCAATAACATATTTATATAAAAACAGCCTAAAGAAAACCAAACACCAAACATTTCATATTTGACAATGCTTCCTGTATGATTTTTATATGAAATAAGCCAAATTTCACTTCTACATTAGTGTACTATTAATGTTAAACCCAATTCTTAATAAAACCTTATAGACATATCTACCCAATTTTAATGTTTGACCATAAGGTAAGATTCTCATAAACCTTTTATAACCGTTCACAATTTTTTTGTTAAAGAGCAGATTAGTTAGTGCTCTAAGAAAAATCTGTTGTGCTTTTATTCCAGTGTTCGGTTTACAGAAAAAACTGAATAATACCCCTTTAATTTTAGCCAATATGTTCACACACAGAATTTATTTTACCAGATTAATTGTTCACAAACCTTCCACAAATTGTTTAAATCTTCACCTTTATTCTATCTAACTTAAAACAATTCTTTAACTCTCTAAACTTAGGCAAGAATCCACATTCCCATGAGTTTTTATAATCTTTCACCAATAGTACATTCTACTTTCCTTACATGCCTTGCATGTAGAACTATTTTTTCAGTAGTCTCAATTACATGTTACAGTGCTAACTCTTAGCGACTTTTACTTTTGGTGAAAACCTTGGTAAGTAAGTAATTTATATTATGTACCAGGTGTGGAGCCTGGCCTAGGACACACCTGGCAGAAGTGCAGATAAAGGCTGACTCTCCAGCGTAGCTAGGAGGCGTGGCTAACTCCACATGTTCCCAGGCCTTATCCAGAATCTAATGTCTACAAGGTAGGAAAATTGAACAATTTTCAAAAGTCAAAGAAGCAGTTTATGAACTTAAAGCATTTAGCAAACTTAATATCTGACCTGCATAATTTAGACCAAATGTTTACATTTTTAAAGATATTTTTATTTTACCAATGATCTTTAAAACTATCTTATTTCCCAAAGTTTACTTAAGTCACACGAACTAAAAGGCATTACACTTTTACTTTTCTGACAAAATATTTGATTTAGGCTCTTATTATTATTAAACCAATTAATTAAAGCTTTTTAATATATAAACATTACACACATAATACATATAAATACCTAGACAGACAGAAGATTCCCTAAGCCGGGAATTAAACCTTGAACCCCTGGCTACAGTTTAAGACTAGCCTCACAAATTCTTTTTCCCATTAATCAAAACTTTACAGGAGATAAACGGTGATTTTTTACCATTCATTCAACCAGTTTGCACAGGAAGAGAAAGAGGAAAGCATTGCCTGGGCAGGGTGGGGAAGGCGAGGCACTCAGAGAGGCCAGAGAAAGACCCATCCATTGCAGCAACACTGAAAAGTTCAGGCAGCAGCCTGTCAGTAGCAAAGGGATATTTTTTAGCAGTCTCATTGGCTCTTAAGTTTCCTCTTTTATGGAGGAAAAAGCTCCCCATGTCCCACGATCCTGTACATGTCTAATCCTGTCACCCACAGCCATCAGCAAAGAGTGCAAGGCAGATTGATCCAAAGAGAATAGTGGCTAACATCCCACAGTGCTGAACCCATTCTTAGCCAAAAGGGACTTTACCGAGAGGGGCCTCTAACCCCCTAAATCTTAGGAACGGACTCTAACCCTACTAAGTTGGGCCTCTAACCCAAGGTCAGTCAAGCGTCCTTGCCTTTTATTAAGAGGGGCATCTAACCCACTCTGTCTTAGGTGAGACTCTATCTGCCCTATGTTGGGCCTCTAACCCAATCCCATTCTTTACATGGGTACCCCATCACTTACCCAAAGTCATCCAATCAGTGCTGTAGTCTATTTCCTTTGGGTTGGGGGGGATCTCCTCAGTATCATCCCATCCATGGTTCACCAGAAAAATGTTATGAAATCCCATCACATATCCAAAGTTAGCCTTTGGGTTGAGGGTTTCCACACTATAATCCCTTTGTGATCACCAAAAAGATGTTACAGGATAGAGGTCCCAATCCAGATCCCAAGAGGGGGTTATAGGATATCACAAAAGAAAGAATTCAGGGCGCGTCTGTAGAATAAACTGAAAGCAAGTTTATTAGGAAAGTAAAGAAATAAAAGAATGGATACTCCATAGACAGAACAGCCCATTTTTATGGTTATTTCTTGATTATATGCTAAACAAGGGATGGATTATTTATGCCTCCCCTTTTTAGACCATATAAGCGTTAACTTCCTGATGTTGCCATGGCATTTGTAAACTGTGATGGTGCTGGTGGGAGTATAGCAGTGAGGATGACCAGAGGTCACTCTCGTCACCATCTTGGTTTTGGTGGGTTTTGGCCGGCTCTTTACTGCAATCTGTTTCATCAGCAAGGTCTTTATGACCTGTATCTTGTGCTGACCTCCTATCTCATCCTGTGACTTAGAATGACTTAACCATCTGGGAATGCAGCCCAATAGGTCTTAGCCTTATTTTACCCGGCTCCTATTCAAGATGGAGTTGCTCTGGTTCACACGCCCCTGACAGATGTGTTGATATATTATTATTTCTGGTATTATAATACTATCTACATCCTGTAATGTGGCTAAACATCTGCAACATTCACATCATGCATGCTCAGCTATTCTTCATTACTGATGGTTGAGAGTTATCCCAGATAGTAGAAATCTGGGCATACATAGTAAAAGACCCATCTAGATTTGAATCCTGTGCATAATGTATTTAATTTCTGCTGTTATCTGCCATTCTTATGTTGGCTTTCTTCTTATCAATGTATTACTCTCTTTCTTTGGAATTATTAATGCTTGATAGCACCGCTTCACACATTTTGTCCCCTCCTTCACCTTTAAAGCCCAAAAATTGCAGTGACTCTTTCTGAATTAAAGATAAATATACTTTTAGAATTTTTTTATAGAGATGGAGTCTTGCTATGTTGACCAGGCTGGTCTCGACCTCCTGGCCTTAAGCAATCCTCCCATCTGGGCCTCCCAAAGCTGGGATTACAGGTGTAAGCCACCACACCCAACCCACAATATACTTTTAATTAGATATCTCTCACTCCCTGAATCAGATGTCTTTTCTGTCTAAATATAACCCAGTTTCTAATTGGGTTTTCATCATCAAGAAATAGGGTGTGGCTGTGATTCAGTTTATGGAGGGGGCTGAGAATCTCTCTCTCTCTCTTTTTTTTTTTTTTTTTTTTTCGAGACAGTGTCTTGCTCTGTCACCCAGGCTGGATTGCAGTGGCTCGATCTTGGCTCACTGCAACCTCTGCCTCCTAGTTTCAAGCGATTCTCCTGTCTCAGCCTCCTGAGTAGCTGGGATTACAGGCGTGCACCACCATGCCTAGCTAATTTTTATATTTTTAATAGAGATGGGGTTTCACCATGTTGGTGAGGCTGGTCTTGAACTCCTGAACTCAGGTGATCTGCCTGCTTTGGCTTCCCAAAGTGCTGGGATTACAGGTGTGAGCCACCGCACCCAGCCCTCTTTTTTTTTTTTCTTTTTTTTTGAGACAGGTTCTCACAATGTCAGGCTAGTGCAGTGGTGTGACCATAGCTCACTGCAGTCTTGAACTCCTGGGCTCAAAAGATCCTCCTGCCTCAGCCTTTCAAGTAGTTGGGACTCCAGGCTTGTACCACCATGCTTGACATTTTATTTTATTTTATTATTCTATTATATTTTATTTTATTCGTAGAGACAGAATCTCACAATATCTCTATATTTATAAAGTTCCACAGGTATTCTGACATGTTCCTGCAGTTGAGAGCCACTGAACAAGAGAACTCCATATCTGCTTCTCTCTGCATCTCTGCTCCATTACTGTCTTGCTACCAAATGGACATTTGTACTGTGAAGCAGAGGATATTTCAGCTATGAAAGTGGGCAAAAGACTCACCATAACTGAGAACTACCTTGGTTCTGGAGTAAGTTGCAGACTGGATGAGAGTGTCCTTTGCAATCAAAGGGCTTAAGTAAAACAACTAGTATGCTGTGGTGATTAATTGCTGGGCCATGGCATCCAGATGTTTGGTCAAATACCAGTCTGGATATTGTTGTGAAGGTATTTTTTAGATGAGATTAACATTTAAATCAGTAGGCACTGAGTAAAACAGATTATCCTTCATAATGTGATGGGCCTCATCCAGTCAGCTGAAGGCCTTAAGAGGAAACAGAATGAGGTACCCTGAGGAAGAGGGAATTCTGTAAACAGACTGTCTTTGGATTCAGTGACATCAGTTCTTTCCTGGGTCTCCAGCCTCCTGGCCTATCTAGCAGATTTGGACTTGCCAGCCTCCACAATCATAAGAGCTAATCCTTTAAAATAAATCTCTCTGACTCTCTCTGTCTCTGTCTGTCTGTCTCTCTCTCTCTCTCTCTCTGTCTCTCTCTCTCTACACATGCATACACACATACATACAGACAGAGAGTCCCCAACTTACCATGGTTTGACTAACAATTTGTTGACTTTATGATGGTGCAAAAGCAATACACGTTCAATTAGAAACCATATCATTCTGCTTTTCACTTGCAGTACAGTATTCAATACATTACATGAGATATTCAGCACTCTACCATAAAGTAGCCTCTGTATTACATAATTTTGCCCAATAGTAGGCTAATGTAACTGTTCTGAACGTGTAAGTGTTCTGAACACGTTTAAGGCAGACTAGGATAAAGCTATGATTTTCAGTAGGTTAGGTGTATGAAATGCATTTTCAACTTGTTATATTTTCAGCTTACAATGAGGTTATATCCTTATAACCCCATTGAGGTTATAAATTGAGTTATAAATTGAGGAGCATTTGTGTGTGTGTGTGTGTGTGTGTAAGTTTCTGTTTCTCTGGAGAACTCTAATACGTGGGCATTTCTTGGTTTCCCACCGTTGTCCTTTTCACTTTGTTAATAGGTTTATCTCTGTGTTGTGATTACTTGACTTTTTTTCTTTGGATATAGCCCCGGGGGAAAATCATGAAGATCACTTTCCTGCAGAAGGTCAGATCTTGATTCCCGAGTTAGCCCAAGCCTGAGGTTATCTCCTGGGGTAAGCCTGACCCTTGGTAGTGTAGAATCATGACCCTTGGAAGAGGTGGTTGTCTTTTGAGAATATGAAGCAGACTCAGCAGAATAGGACTGCTATTCTGAACATGTCCCCCAAAATGCATGTGTTGGAAACTTAATCCCAATGCAGCAGTGTTAGGAGGTGAGGCCTAATGAGAGATGTTTAGGTCATGAGGACTCTGCCCTCATGAATAAATTAATGCCACTATAAAAAGGGCTTTCAGAAGTGAGTTTTCCCCCTTCCACCTTCTTCCATGTGAGGAGACAGTATTCCTCTTCTCTGGGGGACACAGCAACAAGGCACCACTTTGGAACCAGAAGCTAAACATATCAGCACCTTGACCTTGGACTTCCCAGCCTCCAGGACTATGAGAAATAAATTTCTGTTCTTTATAAATTGCCTGGTCTGTAGTATTCTGTTATAACAGTACAAGATAGACTAAGACGGGGACCCAAGGGCTGGAACAAATGTTGGTATTGACACTCTCGTAACTATTATGGGATTTAACACCGAGTACAATGAATAACTGAAGAGATGTGCGTAAATAAAAAGAGTACATTATCAATATAAACAGATATCTGGTTTAGTTTGCCTTTTTCCTTCATTCTTTTGTCCCTGGGAATCTTGAGAAGCAAAGTCCTCCTGACATTTGGACTTATGACTTTCAATGACAAATTTCTGATATGATTAAATTCTTTCCAACTAGCTTTCTATAGAGTTCACAACATAAGCAAAAATTTCCATGTCATTTCAGCTAAAATGTAGTACTAAAAGAAAAAAAATACTCCTTTTCACACTTTTTTCTTCAATTTTCATGAGTCTTTCTGCAAGCTCCTTTTGTTATGTGGCACAGAAATATTCCTGAAAATGTGGCAACCTGTGAATCAAAGTGAGAAAAATACTCACTTTCAGGCCAGCTATTTATCTTGGGTGCTTTTCTAAAATGCATTCGTCACTTCTGTGAGCCCATGCTTTTATTCATTCTCTCTATGCCTCTTCCAATGGTGCTTCAGTTTTCCCTAGCCTCTCCACACTCAACTAAATGCAAAAGAATAAAAACCAAATTGATAATTTCTTGAAGAATTCTCAGATAAGTCATTATTTTCCATACAAACAATTCAGATGATAGTACTTAACTTAGAAGTGAAATGTTATAAAAGTATTTTGACTCATTGGCAGTTATCTGCTTCTTTCCCTTTTTTCTTTCCTATTCTTCCTTCACTCACCCAGGAATTCAGTTAATGTAGGAATCGTTCCATTAGCTCTGCTACTCTGGCTGCAGGCTCTAATGTAACCCCAGTGATTCTCAGTGTATGGGAGACTTCCTGTCTCCAACATTCGGAAACCTATCCCAGGCTTCTCAGCCTGATGGGGAACCCTGGGAGAAAGGCTGTTTAGGGGAAGGAAGGACCCTGGATTCTCACTGTATTCTGGTTCTCACAGACCTCCCTGAAGCTCCTGTTGCCGGCAACCGCCCTTCTCCCCTACCCCAGTGATTAAGTCATCATGGAATTCCAAATCTAACTGCACAAGGGGCCTTGTCTGTCAAAGCTGCGAGGAAGACAACTACTCTACACTTTTATTTCTGCCTAAGCAGGATCATAAACTTTCCAACTTCTAGCCTTCCTAGCTAAGTACAGTGAGTTGGTGCTCTGATGATTTGGTCAGAAGCCCATTTTGACCTAAATCAAGTCAATAACAATAACATATTCTAGCACCTTCATCATCACACTTTTATAAGGAGAACCTAATATGAAAATTTGCTAGGCATGGTGGCACATGCCTATAGTCCCAGCTACTTGGTAGGCTGAGGTAGGAGGACTGCTTGAGCCTGGGAGGTCAAGGCTGCAGTGAGCCCAGATCACGCCACTGCCCTCCAGCCTGGGTGACAGAGAGAGACCCTGTCTAAAAAAAAAAAAAAAAAAAAGAAGAAGAAGAAGAACCTAACATACACTCTACTATTTTGAGGCAACAGTGAGGAAATTATGACTCAGACTAAAACAGACATCATATAACATTGAAAATGTGTACCTTTGCTCCATTCCTGGCCTCAGAATGAGCCTTTGGGAGTTCAGCTGTGTGGTCCTGTGGTGTCTGCTACATACATTACTTGAATTTTTTTTAAACCCTTTGATGGGGGGATTGGATGGGAGGTTGGAAAGCTGTGCCTTTAGGGGAAAGTAAGGATAATTGTTTAAAGAATATTGAGATGCAGCAACTCTTTCTTCCCAAGGCTCATGATGGGGTGGGTATTAACAGCAAGGGATCATGTCTTTTCAAAGAAATCTCTTCACAAGCCTCTTCAAAATGGAGTATGTCCCTTTCCATACCCTGATTCCTTTTTTATGTTCTTAAACTAGGTGGGCGGTTTTTAAAGTCATGGAACAGATTTTTAAACATTTTCTTTAAATATTTGTATATGATGATCTGGCTTTGTAATTTCACATTTATAGTATCTTATGCCTTCATCAAAACTTCAATTTTAACATCCTGTTTTATATATAAATTAAGAAATAGAATTACAGGGAAATAAAGGCAAATACATAAACATAGGAGGAGATTCTACCACATTTTTAAAAAACTGACACCAAGTAGACAACATCAATAAATACATATCAAATATTTAGAAATAAACCTAACAAAATATGCACAAATTCTTCATAGGAAAAAATTAAAATCTGTATTGAAAGATACAGAACAAAAGGCAAATGTAAACAAATGTTTATGTTTCTAGATGAGAAAACAACACTGTAAAGATGTTAGTTATCCCCCAAATTAGCCTACAAATTCAATGCAATCCCAACTGAAACTTCAGCAGGATTCTCAGGAAACTGTTCTAAAATGGCAATGGAAAAGTCAAGGCACTCAACAGCTTAAACAATTTTAAAAGCAAACACAGGTGCGTGTGTGTGAGAAAGATTTGCTTGTCCTATTAGCCAAGATGTATTGAAGGTTCTAGAATTCAAAACAATGTGACGTCATCACAGGAGAAGAGAAACAAACCATGAAACAGAGTAGAGGGCTCAGACACGGATCCATACTCATGTGGGACCCAGTGGACAGTAGAGGAGGCATCCAAGCTCAGCAAGGAAAAGATCAACTATTCAGAAGAAAGGCTGGGAAAACTGGCACACCTTTTGGAAAAAAATAGAATTAGATCATTATTATTATAATCATAGTTAAATTATATAACTAGAAAAAATAGATTTTGGATCACTGAAAGCAAATACAACTTTTAAATGATTAGAAAAGTATGTAGAAGTGTATCTCTGTGATTTGGAGATGGGTGAACTTCCTAAACAAGATATAAAAACGAAAACTGCAAAGGAAAAGATCAATATATTGGATAATATTAAAATGTAAAACTTCTGTGTGACAAAGGATACTATAAACAAGCTTAAAGGACAAGTGGCAGTCCATAATAGCACATTTGCAACAAATAACAAGTGAAGGATTGGCTTTCAAATATACAAATAGATCTTACAAACATAAAGAAAAGACAGTATAGAAATGTGGCCGAAAGAGAGGAGCAGGCAATTCACAGAAGAGGAAACCAAAACAGTAAATGAAAATATAAAAGATCCTCAAACTCCTAGTAACTATGAAGAATAAAATTAAAACTAATTTATGTCTTTTTTCACTAATTGGAATGACAATAATTTAAAACATTGTTATTACAAATGTTGGGAAAAATGGCAACTATGGACTACAAATTTATACAGTATTTTTGGAAAACAATTTGACATCAATGATAATTTTAAATGTTCCTACCCTTCAATCCTCAGCAAGAACCATCCATTCCAAAAGTTTCTATTTACTTTCTTGTCCAAACCAGGACATTCCTTGAAAAACTGCTGTCTCTGCTATCTCGATTTCTGTGACATACCTGAGGCCCATGGAACTTTCAACATTCTTCCTTACCAGTCCCCACCCTGGCCCAGGGCCTTGGAAAGCAGAGGACTGTCTCTGGACTTCCCTTATCCTACACACAAAACACTTTTGTCTGCAGGACTGCTGCACCCTAATAGCCTAGAGGCTACTCCTGTTGTTTGCTGCTTGGAAGGATAGCCTGAGTTCTCTCTCTCAGGCCCTAAACATTAAGGGGAATTATATCTGGTCGTTAGTTACCCCAGCTCTAGACTAAGCAGGAACAGGGCACTTACACCACTGCCACTCTCCATCTCCACTCCAAATTCTTCTCTCTCCCTAGCTCATAGGAATTTTCTAGTCTGTTTATTGGCTTGTATTTTTTTCTGGTTTCTTTTTGTGCGTGTATCCAAGACCTGGACCATACCTCTTGAATTTAGAGACTAAAAATGTGATACTTTATTCACTGAATTATCCCAACCGCTCTCTTACAGGTATGGTGGTTTTAAAATATCTTCATAATTTCATTGACATCCCTCTCTTCAAGTGGTAGAACCAAATTTATCTCCCTTTGAGTGTGGACTGGACTTAGTATCTTGCTTCTAATGACTAGAATAGAGTGGAAGTGACGCTATGTACTTGGGAGATGTTATAGTCTGTTTCATTCTGCTATAACAGAATACCTGAGAGTGGGTAATTCATAAAGAACAGAAATTTATTTCTTACACCTCTGGAGCCCAGGAAGATCAAGGCACTGGCAGGTTTAGTGTCTGGTAACAGCCTGGTCTCTGCTTCAAAGATGGCGCCTTGAACACTACATCTTCCAGAGAGGATGTAGTGCTATTACTCACACAGCAAAAGGGTGGAAGAGACAGAACCCATTTCCATAAGCCCTTTTTATAGCAGCATTAATTCTTTCATGAGGGTGTGGCCTTCATGACCCAAATACCTCCTAAAAGGCCCCAAATACCAACACTATTGCATTGGGAATTAAGTTTCTAACATGTGAATTTTGGAACACACTTTGAAACCATAGCAGGAAAGTAGGTCATAAAAGGTACTGTAACTTCCTGCTCACTCTCTTTTAGATCATTCATGCGCACAGGCAGGCCAGAGGCCATAATGTGAGGTCACTTAAGCAGCCTATGGTAAGGCCCAAGTAATGAGGAACTGAGGCCTACTGCCAACAGCCATGTGAGTGAGCCATCCTAGAAGCAGATGCTCCAACCTATGTCCACCCCAGCTGACACCCTGAGACTAACAACATGAGAGTCTCTGAGCCATCACTACCCAGATGAGCTCACCCACAAAAACTGTAAGCTAATAAATATTTGTTTTTTTAAGTTACTATGTTCTGGAGTAATTTGTCACACAGAAATAGACAACTGATAAACTGAGGGAATTGGCAACATCTTGTCTCATGGCCAGAATGGGGGTAATCAAAGATAGAAGAAAAGGACATCTAGATTCATCTTTGTTAGGAGCTGAGTTGTGTCCCCACAAAATTGATATGTTGAAGTCCTAACCCCCAATACCTCAGGATGCGGCTGTATTTGGAGACAGTGTCTTTAAGAGGTAATTGAGATTAAAGGAGGTCATTGGAGAGAGCCCTAGCTCAACGACTCGTGTCTTTATAAAAAGAGATTAGGATACAGACATGCATAGAAGAAAAGACCAAGGAGAGAGGCCTCACAGTGAAACCAAACCTGCCAGCACTTTGATCTTGGGCTTCTAGCCTCCAGAACTGTAAGGAAATAAATGTTGATTAAGCCACCCAGTCGGTGGTGTTTGTTATAGCAGCCCTAGCAACTAATACAGTATTCCAAATTATTATTGTATCATGTTCTTCCATTAGTGAATATTTGCCTCCTAATGCAAAAAAGCACACTCATATGGAAGTTCCAAACTCTCTTCCAAACAGGCAGAAATTAGGACTCTGTCTAAAACTGTGCTGTCCAGTACAGTAGCCACTTGCCATATGTGACTACTGAAAACTTGAAATGTGGACAATGCGACGAAGAAACTATATTTTAAATTTTAATGAAATTTAATTTTAATTTAAAATTGATGCCCAGTTCAGTTATGGGAAAACTTCTGTGTTGAAACAGCTTGGAGCTGTGAATCTATTTTTTTCAACTATAAATGTTATGAAATCTAAATATATACCAACTATTTCTGATGAAATTTAGCATTTGAATTGAGATGTGCTGTCAGTATAAAATACATATTGGATTTCAAAGCCTTCAGGGAAAAAAATAAAAAGGCCTAGGTGCGGTGGCTCACACCTGTAATCCCAGCACTTTGAGAGGTTAAGGTGGGTGGCTCACTTGGCCAGGAGTTTGAGACCAGCCTGGAAAACATGGCAAAACCCTGTCTCTACAAACAAACAAACAAACAAAAATACAAAAAAATTAGTCAGGCACGATGGCATGCACCAGTAGTCCCAGCTACCTGGGAGCCTGAGGTGAGCAGATGCCTGAGCCCAGGAGGTAAAGGCTGCAATGAGCCGTGATCATGCCACTGTACTCCAGCCTGGGTGACAGAGCAACACCCAGTCTCAAAAAATAAAATAAAATAAAATATCTCCTTAACAATTTTTATGTTGACTGTATGTTGAAATAATATTTTAGATAAATTGGGCTAAATAAAACATATTCTTTAACTTAATTTCATCTATTTTTTTCCATTTTTGAACCATACTACTAGAAAATTTAAAATTATATGTGTGGCTCATGTTATATTTCTATATTTTTCTGATTGGTCAAAGATTGCCCCACAGGGCATTCATTAATTCTTCCACATCCACACTTAGGAATTGTATTACTTGGCTCTTCTGAGCAGTGGCATAGCAGTATAGCCCTTAATGTAGCTCCAAAAGTAGAGAACAAAGCCAGGACCATGTTTAGCCAGATTCTGCAAGATACAGGCAGAGGGTCAGAAGGCAGAAATGAGGAGTCAGAGCGGAAGCTCAACATGGAGAATCTCCTGGCCTTGACTAGAACATAGGCTGAGCTGTAGACCCTGGTGTAGAAAGAGTTGAAGCTGCTCTTCAGAGTACATAGAGGAGGCGTGGTCCAGCTGCTCAACTGCTGCTGGAGAAGCCACTGACCAGCTGCAGCTCATTTACTCAGGCACTGGTGAATACCCTCCATGCAGCTGATGTGTATCCACCCAGTCTGGTACGGTAAGAAGGAAGTAGATGGAACTCTTCACTGAGCAAGAGGCCTAGGCTTGGAGATGGTACAACTGAAAGAATCTAGGAAGGGGTGGCATAACTGGATGTGGTATGTCCTGTGAACTGTCAATTTCATTTAGGGGCATACACCCTAAAGAGATCTTCATTCATATGTGTGAAAAAACATGTTCATTATAATATTGTTGGTGATAAAGAAGAGTTAAAAACATTTGTCTATCAATAGGCAAATAGGTAAATAAATTGTGGTATATTTATACAATGAATACTATCCAACAGTTCAAACAAATTAATCAAATGGAACTTTTAGAACTAAAACCTATGATAACTGATTTAAAAAAAATTAGCCAGGTATGGTGGTACATGTCTGTAGTCCCAGCTACTCAAGAGGCTGACATGGAAGTAGGAGGATCGTTTGAGACCAGGAGGTTGAAGCTGCAGCAAGCTATTATTGTGCCACTGCACTCCAGCCTGGGTGACAGAGTGAGATCCTGTCTCATGAAAAAACAAAACAAAACGAACAAACAAACAAAAAACACCTCACTGGATAGACTCAATAACAGAACAGTAATTGAATCTGAAGATAGTCCCAGAACGAGATGGGACTTAAAAAAAAAAGAAAAAAAGAAAGAATGTCTAATAACTTCCCAAATTTGACCAAAGACATAAACCTACAAATTCAAGAGAGTAAGAGAATCCTCAACAGAAAGACAAACAAATAAAACAAGCTACATTGAGGCATCATAAGCCAATTGCTGTAATCTGAAGACAAAAAATCTCAAAAGCCACCAGAAGAAAACAGCATATTACCTAGAGGGGACAACTCAAATGACTGTAGATTTCTCATCAGAAACTGTGGAGCCACAAGGAAGTGACACAGCATTTTTTAAAATTCTGAAAGAAAAGACCTGTCAACCCAGAATTCTATATTCAGTGAAAGTGTCCTTCAGGATTGAAGGTAAAATAAACATTCTCAGATAAAGGAAAACTAAGAGAATTCAGAGCCAGCATATCTGTTCCAACAGACTTGCTAAAGGAATTCCTTCAGGCAGAAGAGAAATGATACAAGAAAGAGACTTTGAACATTAGGAACAAAGTAAAGGCTACAGAAATGATTAATAGTGGTTAAATATAATAGACTATTATTCTCTTGCATTTTAAAAAATATGTTTGATGGTTGAAAGCATAAGTCATAACACTGTCTGATAGAATTTTCAATGTATGTCTTCTATGCCCATTTTTCTTCCCCTTCCCAAATTTAAATAGTCAGGTTTGGAGCCTTCTACCCTAAAGGTTATGAATCTCATCTCCTTTCCTTTCACCCGCCCTACATTATACCACTTTTTTATAATTTAATATTTTAAAAACTTTTAAATATTCCCAGGTATAACTTATATGTTAAGTATATTAAGCAGTTTCTCCACTATAATTTTTTTGAAACAAGGTCTCACTCTGTTGCCCAGGCTGGAGTGCAGTGGTATGATCATGGCACACTGCAGCTTCAACCTCCCCAGGCTCAGGTGATCCTCCCACATCAGCATCCTGAGTAGCTGGGGCTATAGGGATGCACGACCATGCCTGGTTAATTTTCATATTTTTTGTAGAGATAGGGTTTCACCAAGTAATATATGACAACTATAGCATAAAGTAGAGAGGGTAAGGGGTCCTATAAGGTGGTAAAGCTTCTATATTCCAATTAAGATGATAAAATGACTGTAAATAGATAGTGAAAAGCTATGTATTTTTTAATCCCTACAGCAACCACCAAGAAAAGTATACAAAGAAATATAATGAAAATCATGATTGATAAATGCAATATTTTAAAAATATTCAAATAACTCAAAAGAAGACAAGAAAGGAGAAACAGAAGCAAAACACAGCAGGAACACACAAAAACAAATTTACAATGTGGCACATCTAAATCCAAATATATCAGTACTATGAGTACATTATAAAGAATGAGATAAATCTACATCCACTAATATAGAAAAATCTCTATGATGTATTGTTATGTAAAAAGCAAGTTATAGAACAAAACACCCATTGTAATACCAGTTAAGTTTTTAATATATTTTTATGTGTTCATGCACATTTGATTTCTAGCTCAATGAAAATGTATTAGGAAAGGTCTGGAAGTATACTCAAAGTTAAAATTGTTCTTGAAAGGTCACTGCAATTAGGGAGAAGTAACAGAGTCAAAAAGGACTTTTTCTGTATAATTTTAATTTTTACAATGAGAATATATTTATGTCTTACTTTGTCATTAAAAATAAATGAAATGAAATTACTTTTAAAAGAACATATTGTTCACCATGTGCTGGTGATACTGCCATCTGGGAATTAGACATTTTTAGGTCTCCTGACTGAGGAGCGTACTCTTCTGTTTTCAGCAGAATTTGTCAAATGAAGTTATTAGTGTTTCGATCTATTTCCTATCTACACCATTTATCTTCTATACACATTTTTCTTCCCCTTCCCAAATTTGAATCCTCAGGTCTGGAGCCCTCTAACCCTAAAAGTTATGAATCTGATCTCCCTTTCTTTCACCCACCCTACATCATTTCACTTTTTGATAATTTAATATTTTTAAAACTTTTAAATATTCCAAGGTATAACTTATATGTTAAGTATATTAAGCAGTTTCTCTACTACCAATTTTTTTTTGAAACGGGGTCTCACTCTGTTGCCCAGGCTGGAGTGCAGTGGTGTGATCATGGCTCACTGCAGCTTTGACCACTCCAGGCTCAGGTGATCCTCTCACATCAGCCTCCTGAGTAGCTGGGACTACAGTCATGCGCCATCATGCCTGGCTAATTTTTGAATTTTCTGTAGAGAAGTGTTTTCACGATCCTGCCTCTGGGCTCAAGTAATTCACCTGCCCAGGCCTCCCAAAGTTCTGGGATTACAGGCACTAGCCACCATGCCCAGTTTCCACTACCATTTTTTAAAGTAGCTGTGGAGGACTGTTTTTCAAATTGCAGGTCTCAATCATTAGTGGGTCATAAAACTAATGTTGCAGATTTCAATTAACTTTTCAAAAAATGTGTTCCATGCATTTTAAAAAGTTTTTTTAAGAGCAGTTTTAGGTTTACAGCAAAATTAGGAGGAAGCTACAGAGATTTTCCATATATCCACTGTCCCCCTACCTGCATAGCTTCCCCTATTATCAACATTCCCCATCAAAGAAATACAATTGTTATAATTGATGATCCTACATTGACAAATCTTAATTACCCCAAGTCCATAATTTACATTAGAGTTCATTCTAGGTGTTGTATATTCTATGGGTGTTTACAAATGTATAATGACATTTATTCATCATTAAAGTACCTGCAAACCTC
Organism: Homo sapiens; assembly: GCF_000001405.40. Taxonomy (NCBI): domain Eukaryota; kingdom Metazoa; phylum Chordata; class Mammalia; order Primates; family Hominidae; genus Homo; species Homo sapiens. The sequence goes on from NW_018654722.1 coordinate 109,415, forward strand.
ATTTTGTTATTCTTCACTTTCTAGCACTTTGCAGATATTGCGTTTTTTACAAATTGAAGGTTTGTAGCAAACTTGCATCAAGCAAGTCTATTGGCACCATTTTCCCAAGAGCATGTGCTCATTTCGTGTCTTGGCATCACATTTTGGTAATTCGCACAATATTTCAAACTTTTTCATTATTATTATTATATTCGTTATGGTGATCTGTGATGTTACTATTGCAATTGTTTTGAGGTGCCACAAACTGAACCCATATAAAATGGTTAACTTAATCTATACATGTTGTGTGAGTCTTGACTTCTCCACTGAACAGCCTTGTCTTTCCCTCTCTTCAGACCTCACTATTCTCTGAGATACAACAATATTAAAATTAAGCCAACTAATAGCCCTGCAATGACCTCTAAGTGTTCAAGTGAAAGGAAGAGTCACACATCTCTCACTTTAAATCAAAAGCTGGACATGAGTAAGCTTAGTAAGGAAGGTATGTTGAAAGCCAAGATAGACTAAAAGCTAGGCCTTCCATCAAACAGTTAGCCAAGTTGTGAATGCAAAGGAGAAGTTATTGAAGGAAATTAAAAGTGCTATTTCAGTGAATACAGGAATGATAAGAAAGCAAAACAGCCTTATTGCTGATATGGAGAAAGTTCTAGTAGTCTGAATAGAAGATCAAACCAGCCACAACATTCTCTTAAGCCAAAGCCTAATCCTGAGCAAGGACCTAATTCTCTTCAATTAAAGAGAATTATGACACCTGACAGAGGTGAGGAAGCTTTAGAGGAAAAGTTTGAAGCTAGCAGAAGTTGGTCCATGAGGTTTAAGGAAAGAAGCCATCTCCAGAACACAAAAGTACAAGGTAAAGCAGCAAGTGCTGATGTAGAAGCTGCAGCAAGTTATCCAGAAGATCCAGCTAAGATCATTAATGAAGGTGGCTACACCAAACATCAGATTTTCAATGTAGACAAAACAGCCTTCTATTGGAAGAAAATGTCATCTAGGACTTTCATAGCTAGACAGAAGAAGTGAGTGCCTGGCTTCAAAGATTTGAAGGACAGGCTGGCTCTCTAATTAGGGGCTAGTGCAGCTGGTGACTTTAAGTTGAAGCCAATGCTCATTTACAATTCCAAAAATCCTAAGTTCCATAAGTATTATGCCTGTGCCCTATATAAAAGGAAAAACAAAGCCTGCATGACAGCACATCTGTTTACAGCATGGTTTACTGAATATTTTATGTCCACTATTGAAATCTGCTCCTCAGAAAAAAAAGATTCCTTTTGAAATATGACTGCTCATTAACTATCACAAGGACAGAAAACCAAACACCACAAATTCTCACTCATAGGTGGTAACTGAACAATGAGAACACTTGGACGCAGGGTAGGGAACATCACAAACCGTGGCCTGTCATGAAATGGGGCACGGGCAGAGGGATAACATTGGGAGAAATACCTAATGTAAATGATGGGTTGATGGGTGCAGTGGGCCAGCATGGCACATGTATACCCATGTAACAAGCCTGCACATTGTGCACATGTACCCTAGAACTTAAAGTATATATATAAAAAAAAGAAATAACCCAATATACAGGGATCTCCATTGCCCATCCCCTCCTCTAAGGTAATTATCTGTAGGCCATCGCCATATGTCTTCTTTGTTTCAGAAAGACAACATCTTTTGTTATCATTCATGTTAATATTATTGAAAGCAAATAAAATGGAATTTTACATTCTTTTCTTCACATGCCAAAAAAAAAAAAGAAACATGACTGCTCATTGACAATGCACCTGGTCACCCAAGATCTCTGATAGACATGTACATGGAGAGAATAATGGTGTTTTCATGCCTGCTAACACAACATCCATTCTGTGGCCCATGGATTAGGAGTAATTTTGACTTCCAAGTCTTTTTTTTTTTTTTTTTGAGACTGAGTCTCACTCTGTCTCCCAGGCTGGAGTGCAGTGGCACAAATCTCCGGTCACTGCAACCTCCGCCTCCCAGGTTCAAGAGATTCTCCCCTCTCAGCCTCCCGAGTAGCTGGGATCACAGGCATGCACCACCACACCTGGCTAATTTTTTGTATTTTTAGTAGAGACGGAGTTTCACCATGTTGACCAGGCTGGTCTTGAACTCTTGACCTCAAGTGATCCACCTGCCTCGGCCTCCAAAGTGCTGGGATTACAGGCGTGAGCCACCACGCCTGGCCTGACTTTCAAGGCTTATTACTTAATTAATATATTTTGTAAGGCTATAGCTGCCACAGACTGTGATGCCTCTAACAGATTTAGGCAAAGTTAATTGAAAACCTTCGAGAAAAGATTAACCACTGTGGTTTCCAGCTTCATCCATGAGGGGGGAGGGATAGCATTAGGAGATATACCTAATGTTAAATGACGAGTTAATGGGTGCAGCACACCAATATGGCACATGTATACATATGTAACAAACCTGCATGTTGTGCACATGTACCCTAAAACTTAAAGTATAATAATAAAAAAAAGATTAAGCATTGTGGATGTCATTAAGAATATGTGTGATCTTAGGAGGAAGTCAAAATATCAACATTAACAGGAGTTGGGAAGACATTGATTCCCAGCCCTCATGGATGACTTTGAAGGGTTAAAGACTTCAGTGAAGGAAAGCAAGTAATAGCTGATGTGGTGGAAAAAGCAAGAGAACTAGAATTAGAAGTGAAGTCTGAAGATGTGTCTGAATTGTTGCAATCTCCTGATAAAACTTGAACAAATGAGGAGTTGCTTTCTATGAATGAGCAAAGAAAGCAGTTTCTTGAGATGGAATCTACTCCTAGTGAAGATGCTGTGAACATTGCTGAAATGACAACAAAGGAATTAGAATATTACATAAGCTTAGCTGATTAAGCAACAGTAGGGTTTGAGAGTATTGACTCCAATTTTAAAAGAAGTTCTATTGTGAGTAAAATGCTATCAAACAGCATCACATGCTACAGAGGAATCTTTTGTGAAAGGAAGAGTCAATCAATGCAACAAACTTCACTGTTGTCTTAGTGGAAGAAATTGCCACAGCTACCCTAACATTTAGCAACTACCACCCTGATCAGTCAGCTGCCATCAACATTAAGGCAAGACCCTGTACCAGCAAAAAGAGTGTGACTTGATGAATGCTCAGCTGATTGTTAGCATTTTTTAGCAGTGAAGTATTTTTAAATTCAGGTATGTACATTGTTTCTTAGACATGGTGGTACCGCCCACTTACAATACAGTAGAGTGTAAACATAACTTCTGTATGCACTGAGGAACCAAAAAAATTCCCGTGACTTGCTTTATTGTAATATTTGCTTTATTGTAGTGGTCTGGAACTGAACCTACAGTATCTCTGAGGTATGCCTGTACACATACTGGGACTTTGGTTCACTGTTATTTGGTTCCATCATGCTTGCCAGAGCAATGTTTCTCTTTTCTTTTTTCTTTTCTTTTCTCTCTCTTTTTGAGGCAGGGTCTTGCTCTGTTGTCCAGGCTGGAGTGCAGTGGTGCAACTACAGCTTACTGCAGCTTACTTCAACTTCCCAGGCTCTAGCCAACCTCACACCTCAGCCTCTTGAGTAGCTGGGACTACAGGCATATGCCATCATGCCTGTCTATTTTTTTTTTTTTTTGAGATGGAGTCTCACTCTGTCACCTGCACTGGAGTGCAGTGGTGCCATCTTAGCTCACTGCAACCTCTGCCTCCAGGGTTCAAGCAATTTTCTGCCTCAGCGTCCTGAGTAGCTGGGACTACAGGCACCGCCACCGTGCCTGGCTAGGTTTTTTTTTGTTTTTTTTGTTTGTTTGTTTTGTTTTGTTTTGTTTTGTTTTTGTATTTTTAGTAGAGATGGGGTTTCACCACCTTGGCCAGGCTGGTCTTGAACTCCTGACCTCGTGATCCACCTGCCTCGGCCTCCCAAAGTGCTGGGATTACAGATGTGAGCCATCATGCCCGGCACCTGGCTAATTTTTTACTTTTATTTTTTGTAGAGATAGGGTCTCACTGTCCTGCTAGGGCTAGTCTGAAACTCCTGGCCTCAAGTGATCCTCCCACCTTGGCCTCCCAAAGTGCTGGGATTACAGGTGTGAGCCATCATGTCCAGCCAAAAGTAATGTTTCTAGTCTTTTGAAGATTTCCTTTCCATTTTGGACAATTTTGCTCTAAAGAAGTTTTATTCCTAAAGAGTCATTTGGGAGATATTATTTAGGAGTCAACTAAGAAAAGAGCAGTTTATTTCAGGAATACAGAGTATGCACAAATTTGGCAGGTTATAAATATATAGGTTCATACTTTTCTGTGGGCATAACACTGCTTAAAAGCATTATTGGTTCATTTTATTCAGTTCAAATCACTTCAACGTTCTGGCTCTTACTCTCATATAATCCTTGAGATTGCTCTGACCCTTTCCCACAAGTTCATTCTTATATTCCTCTAAAAACAGGATACCTCAATAAAGAATCAGAGACTCTCTGGTGTGGAACTGTCTTTGGATTATCTACTTAAAACCTGTCGGAGGTTCATTCCCTCTGCAACCTTACAGCAAAGTAGACCTTCCATCCTCTCTTGAAAAGCTCTCGTGACATGGGAAATTCCTATTACCCATGGCTATATTTCCTCTTTGGGGATTTGAAAACATCTTTTTTTTATTTTTTATTTTTTTATTATACTTTAAGTTCTAGGGTACATGTGCACAATGTGCAGGTTTGTTACATATGTATACATGTGCCATGTTGGTGTGCTGCACCCATTAACTCATCATTTAACATCAGGTATATCTCCTAATGCTATCCCTCCCCGCTCCCCCTACCCCACAACAGGCCCCATGAGTTCATGTCCTTTGTAGGGACATGGATGAAGCTGGAAACCATCATTCTCAGCAAACTATCACAAGGAAAATATCTTTTTAATAGGAGCAGAAACCTTTCTCCATATACAGCTTCTTCCCATTGGTATTAGATGCATCCCTTGTACTTACATCATTGAGCATTATTATTATTATTATTATTATTATTATTATTATTATTATTGAGAGAGAGTCTCTGTCACCCAGGTTGGAGTGCAGTGGTGTGATCTTGCCTCCCGGGTTCAAGTAATTCTCCTGCCGCAGCCTCCTGAGTAGCTGGGATTACAGGTGCGTGCCACCACACCCAGATAATTTTTGTATTTTTAGTAGAGACAGGGTTTCACCATGTTGGTCAGGCTGGTCTCCAACTCCTGACCTCATGATCCGCCCGCCTCGGCCTCCCAAAGTGCTGGGATTACAGGCATGACCCACCGTGCCCAGCCAACATTGAGCATTATTGAGCAAGTCAATTTTCTCTTCTCTATGACAGCCCTTCAAACCATGAAACAGGTTATGTTATCTTCACCTATCCCAGTTTTGCCTGGCCTTCTCTCTGCTAAGCATTCCCAGTTCCCTCTCAATCACTTTTGGTCATCAGACAAGAAACATCTCCCAGAGTCATTTTATTTATTTTCTCAATTTCTGTAAAGTGTCTTATAAATACAGTTTTAGGCCCCTCCACTACCATTCACCCACAGCAAGGCAGTGTGCAGCTCCCAAACTAGTCCTGATTGCAAATTCTGGAGCCACTGAGGATAGATCATCAAGACCTTTACTAGGTTCTTCATACAATTATTACTAATAAAGGTAAATTTACCTAATGCTTAATATGTCATTTAATCATCAGACACATATCATTTAATCATCAATTTATAGATGACAAAAAAATTGAGACTTTAACTTTACCAAAGTCACTCACATAGTAAGCAATAGAGAGAAGATTTGAATCCAGTCCACCAATTCCAAAGCCCATGTTCTTAATATTAAGCTATACACCAAATTGAGGCACGACTCCTGCTTTTTCCCTCCCTCTAAATTTTTTACACTTCTAGTATTCAGCATGACAGAATTGATGCTTCTTTTCTCAAAACCCAATTCCAGAGTCCACCAGACTCCACCCACTCTCAGATGGTTAACACAAACCCTCACTGTCTCGCAACCTCAGCTGGGCCAGGAAGCATCATCATCTGGAAGGAGCTGCAAGATACAACTTATTGCCATTCCAGTGAAGCTGGCTTTGACCCCTATAGAGAAACATAAGCCATGAGAGAATATAGAAGAAAATGGATAAATGAGATGGGTGGTATGTCGAAAAAAGAAGGAGAATTAAGACTCAGGACAAGAGTGTGTGGAGACCAGACCTGAAACAGGAAACATGAATTACATAGTCAGACAAAATCTCAGGGAACACCTATCCCCAAATGCTGAAACACAGAGTAGACATGCAGGAATGGATTTATTTAAAAGACCAGAGAATGCGTAAGTTGACTGTGATACAGAGGATACTCCCTTTACTAAAAGAATGAGAAATCAACTAGAAAAGGGAGACTGCATTGCTGAGAAGCTCAAGGGTCTTTTTTGTAAGCAAAGAATGACAAGGAGGAAGGCATCTGTGGAGCTCATGTCCCTTTTATCAGTATGATGAAAGAAATCTAAAACAGGAAAGGCCAATCAGTTCTAATTACTCTATTAAGCAGAAAAACTAGAATGGTAGACATGGGACTCTGAGCCACAGGGATTTATGACAATGGCTAATAGACTATGGTGTTCAGAGAAACAGAGCAGCTGAGCAGAAGAGTGACGTCAGCTGCAACAATGAAAGATCACAGTTCTTTACTCATCTTGCTCATTTCCTGCCCCTGACCTGGAATCAGGCGCATCTCTAAGAAGATGGGGTCTTTTGGTGGGAAACGATATTCTAAGACCATAATCTGAATGCCAGGGATGCAAGCGCTTTGGGTTGGTTGATGTTTCTAGGCTTTTTCTTTGGATAGAGCTAAGAAAAAAATTATCATGAGTTTAGTGACACTCCCGAGTCAAATTAGAAACCACACAAAGGCCTGAGGAATACAAAACTATTCTATTACCACTATTTTTGAAAATAGCTACAATTTTCCTTTGCAAGTGCCATCTCCAACCTCTCCTTCATTTTTACAGTTGTACTATACCTATATTATCAAATCATACAGCCATTACATACCATACTCCCTCTCTTATAACTCTCATTTAGTTTTAGTTCTATAAGTAACTGATATGGTTTGGCTGTGTCCCCACCAGAATCTCACCTTGATTTGTAATATCCCCACATGTCAAGGGCGGGCCAGGTGAAGATAATTGAATCATGGGCGTGGTTTTTCCCCTACTGTTCTCGTGGTAGTGAATAAGTCTCATGAGATCCAATGGTTTTATAAATGGCAGTTCCCATGCACAAGCTCTCTTGCCTGCCACCATGGAAGGTGTGACTTTGCTCCTCCTTTGCCTTCCACCATGACTGTAAGGCCTCCCCAGCTATGTGAAACTGTGAGTCAATTAAATCTCTTTTTCTTTGTAAATTACCCAGTCTTGGGTATGTCTTTATTAGCAGCCTAAGAACAGACTAATACAGTAACTATGTTAAGTTTTATTGTTTTGTTTTGTTTTGTTTTGTTTTGGAGGCAGAGTCTTACTCTGTTGCCCAGGCTGGAATGCAGTGGCACGATCTCAGCTTGCTGCAACCTCTGCCTCCCAGGCTCAAGTGATTCTCATGCCTCTGCCTCCCCAGTAGCTGGGTGGGAGTACAGGCACACACCACCATGCCTGGCTAATTTTTTTGTATTTTTAGTAAAGACAGGGTTTCACCATGTTGGCCAGGCTGGTCTCGAACTCCTGACCGCAAGCAATCCTCTTCCCTCAGCCTCCCAAAGGGCTAGGATTATAGGCATGAGCCACTGCACCTGGCCAATATTTAGTTTTTTTATAGTTCTGCTGTATCTATACCATCAGAGAAGAAAGCCATTATACATCACACTGCCTTCCTTTTAAACTCATTTGTTTTAGTTCTTCAAGGAACTATAGTATTCACTGTCAGTCCTTACGTCAATGTCCCTGTAGTTATTTTGGTTGTCGAAAACTTGACTTTCGGGGAATTTCTCAGGAAGGGCCGATGAGAGCAAGTCTCTAGTTTACTTACATGTTATGTTGGTTTGTGCCCCTTTATACAGGCCTATCTCTGTCCAGGAGAGAAACACGAGGGCTTGAGGTGGGGAGACTTCCGTGTATCTGGCAGTTATTCACCAAAGATGTCTTTGATCCCAATGTGGGCCAAAGGGATATGGGTGGGGCACTCAAGGTCTGGCACTGTTCCTGACTTTCAAGCAACAAGGGTTTAAATTGTATGAGAGATGATAGTTACTGCCATGGCACTTATCTGTGGAAGGCTGAATTGTGTGAATGCAGGTAGACCAGAGCCAGACTTTTAGGATAAGGATCTGAGAGAAGAATGAGGACTGCAGGGGCTGATCTTTCCTCTCAAATACAGGTTCCATGCTGATCCCTTCCTGTTGCACCAACACACTGGGTTCTGTTTCTGATCGTGGCCTAGCCATGTGCCCTCAAAGCATTTTCCTTAAATTGCTCCAAGTCATCAGGCTCACAGAGATGTTTAGGAGACAATCCACATGACAGCATCCAGCAGCATGTTCAAAATGCCTTTTTCCTTTCCTTCCTTTCAGCTCTCTCTCTCTGCCTGACTTTAGCTCCTTTCCTTAAAACTCCCAAGAACACCATTTAGTTTCTGGTGAAGCTGACATCACTCTCTCTGATTTTAATGATAGTTTCATAGCACAAGCCCTCTTGTGATATGACATCTTTCTGATGTTCTTTACTATTTCTACCTGTGACAGTTTTGAATCAAAGTGTGTATTTGGAGCATGGACCCACTGTTAACAAGGTGTTGCAGTGGGGTGGCCCAAGGACCCCCTGAAGCTCCTGCACCAGACACAAGCCCAAGCTCAGAGCTCCTGACCCTCAGAGGTGAGGGGAAATGCTGGCCACCACAATGTTGTCTCCAGTGATGTGGCCGGTGTCTGGAGAGCACAGGAAGGACACAAGCCCCACACAGTCCCCACGCCACCCCACTCTGCATGGAAAAAGGAGGTGGGGCTGAGACTAATTACACCTTCCTCATGAGCCCTGGGTTCCCATGGGATGCTGTGAAGTCAAGACCCCTGTGGGGGTGAGCAAAGGGCTGTAAGTGAAGAGATGTGGGCTTTGCAGGGACCTGCAGAGGTCATCCCAGGCCTGAGAGGACTGTCAGACCCCAGAAAGGGGAATGGGTAAGGCTGTGAGGGATAGTGTGTGATCTTTCACTCATCATGAAGGTTCTGAGGTCATGTTAATCCAGCTCTACAAGGGATACTGCCTCTCCGCAACTCACCTCTGTACTCTGAAGAGATTCTTCGTGTGATCCCTCAAGACCAGGTCCTCAAGTAGCTACAGGAAAGGTAAAAAAGTCAGTGCCACTCCTACAGATGGAGTCACATCACATAGGCTGTGCATCTTGCAGGCCTGTGTCCTTGTGAAAGAACTGTTGGGGTGGCCTCTCACAAAGAACTGATTCTGATTCTGCTGCTGATCCCAAAGGCTGTGGATATCAGAGCAAAAGTCCACAGGTCCAGGCCAGAGAGTCCAGCTCTCTGTGGCACATGGCCTGGAAGGAAAAGGTACACTACTGCTCAGGGGATAGGAACAGGAGCTACCCGTGGTCCTCACCACTGTGTTGAAGCATATGTCACAGTGAGCCACTGTGCCCGGTCCCTGGATTTTGTTTTTGTAGGAAAAACTTTGACTATACATTACATTTATTTAATGGTTATAGGACTGGTCAGGTTTTCTATCTCTTCTTGAGTCAGTTTTGGTAAGATATATAAGTTTAAAATTTTTTTCTATTTCATTATAACTTCAGCATAAACATAAGTTTGATGTAAAAATTTCTCTTTGGCATTATCATTCTTTTCATGCCTTTTTATTGTTCTCAGGATCTGTATCTTTTGTTTCTATTCCTGATATTGGCTATTTATGTCTTTCCTCTTTTTCCTTGATCAATCCCATTGGAAATTTGCCAGAAACATTCATTTTCTTAAAAAATAGGGTTTTTTTGGTTTTTTTGATCCCTATATTGTATTTTGTTTTATTTTCCATTGATTTCTGCTCTACATTTTTTTCTTTTTTCATACTGAGTGCTTTCTCTCCTGAACATTTCAGCTTTGACTTTTACTTAGCATTGACAATATAATACTTTGGTTACCATCAAGAAAGATACACTTTAATTCTGTAAAGAAGGATTAAAATGTGCATTTTAACTACAGCAGTTGAGCCGAGTACACATTGTAAATGTGCTTGAGGTTTATCTGTCCTACTTCAATTTCTTGATTGCCAGCCTTTCCTAGAACTATACATTTCCTAGAGCTGTTTCTATAAATAAATTTCTATAAACTCATTCAACAGAAATGAAAAATTTAATAAAATATGTCATTTCTGTCTAATCAGATTTAAAATTTTTGATTTAAAAATCTAGCTTGACAATCTTTATATTTTAACTGTCATCACTGATATACTAGGATTAATGTCTAGCATCCAATTTTGCACTTTTTAAATATTCCCCCAGTTCTTTGTTTTGTTTTCTGTCCCTTCTTGCTTTTTTTTAGATTATTTTTTCCATTTCCACTTCCCTCTCTATTAATTTGAAAATATACTTCATACTCCATTGCCATTCTTGTAGCTTTGCCCTATAAAGTTAAACAGGCCTGTTTTGCTTATCAAAGTTTAAGATTAATATCCTTACCCTCTCTCTAACAACATAAAAATCTTCTTACACCTTAACTCTATTTCTATCTCCTGATTTAAATATTGTTTTTGCATATTTAACTATTTGTGGAGTTAATTTTTTTAACTCCACAAAACGATTTCTTTTTACAAGAAGTGGTTTAATTTGTTCATGTTACTATGTTCTGTGTTTTTCATTCTTACTTTCATCTTAGATTTTCCGTATGAAATCATTTCTTTCCTTCTGCCTAAAGTACCATTTAAAATTTCCTTTAGTGGAACACTTTTACACTGTTGGTGGAACTGTAAACTAGTTCAACCATTGTGGAAGACAGTGTGGCGATTCCTCAGGGATCTAGAACTAGAAATACCATTTGACCCAGCCATCCCATTACTGGGTATATACCCAAAGGATTATAAATCATGCTGCTATAAAGACACATGCACACATATGTTTATTGTGGCACGATTCACAATAGCAAAGACTTTGAACCAACCCAAATGTCCAACAATGATAGACTGGATTAAGAAAATGTGGCACATATACCCCATGGAATACTATGCAGCCATAAAAAGGATGAGTTCTTGTCCTTTTTAGGGACATGACAAACTATCGCAAGGGCAAAAAACCAAACACCACATGTTCTCACTCATAGGTGGGAATTGAATAATGAGAACACTTGGACACAGGAAAGGGAACATCACACACCAGGGCCTGTTGTGGGGTGGGGGGAGGGGGAAGGGATAGCGTTAGGAGATATACCTAATGTAAATGATGAGTTAATGGGTGCAGCACACCAACATGGCACATGTATACATATGTAACAAACCTGTATGTTGTGCACATGTACCCTAGAACTTAAAGTATAATAAAAAAATTTTAAAAATAAAAAATAAAAAAATAAAATTTCCTTTAGTGAAGATCTTCTGGTAGTAAACTTTGTTTTCATTTCTCTGAAAATGTTATAAATTTGCCCTAATTTTTGAAAGATATACTTGATAGATATGGAATTCTAGGTTGATGGTTATATTCTTTTAGCATATGGGAATCGCCATTTAAATTGGGTTAGGAATAATAGGATTTTGGCAAGTAGATAAGAATAAATAGAAACAACTTAAGTGGAGCTTCCTTCATAAAGTCCTGCCTTATCCACAAGGTTGGAGAAAGCAATCTTTTACTTGCTCAGATCTCACAACTAATAGTAGTAGTAGTAGTAATAATATTAATAACGTTTATTGTAAATATTGAAACCAATTAAATTATTATTAAATGTTATTTATACTACTTATGTGATAATTTATACTGTAGTTAATATTTATTTTCTTTACTTTTTTTAACTCTTATTTTAAGTTCAGGGGTAAATGTACAGGTTTGTTACATAGGTAAACTTGTTTCATGGGGATTTGTTGTGCAGATTATTTTATCACCCAGGTATTAAACCTAGTACCCACTCGTTATTTTTCCTGATCCTCTCCCTCCTCCTACCTTCCACCCTCTGATAGGCCCCAGTCTCTGTTATTCCCCATTATGTATTCATGTGTTCTCTTCATTTAGCTCCCACTTATAAGTGAGAACATGCAGTATTTGCTTTTCTATTCCTGCATTAGTTTGCTAGGGATAATGGCCTCCATCTCCATCCATGTTCCTGCAGAGGACATGATCTCATTCTTTGTTATGGCTGCATAGTATTCCACTGTGTATATTTATCACATTTTCTTTATCCAATCTGCCATTAATGGACATTAATGGACATCAATGTATTTGCTATTGTGAATAGTGCTGCAATGGACATACGTGTGCATGTGCCTTTATAATACAATGATTTATATTCCTTTGGTTATATATCCAGTAATGGGATTGGTGGATGGAATGGTAGTTCTGTTTTTAGGTCTTTGAGGAATCACCACACTGTTTCCACAATGGTTGAACTAATTCACACTCCCACCAACAGTGTTTAAGTGTTCCTTTTTCTCTGCAACCTCACCAGCATCTGTTATGTTTTGACCTTTTAATGATAGCCATTATGACTGGTGTGAGATGGTATCTCATTGTGGTTTTGATTTGCATTTCTCTTATGATCAGTGATATTGAGATTTTTCTCATATGCTTGTTGGTCGCATCTATGTCTTCTTTTGAAAAGCATCTGGCCATGTCCTTTGCCCAGTTTTTAATGAGGTTGTTTGTTTTGTTCTTGTAAATTTGTGTTAGTTCCTTGTAGATGCTGGATATTAGACCTTCGTCAGATGCATATCTTGCAAAAATTTTCTTCCATTCTGTAGGTTGTCTGCTTACTCTGTTGATAGTTTCTTATGCTATACAAAAGCTCTTATGTTTAATTAGATCCCATTTGTCAATTTTGCTTTTGTTGCAATTACTTTGGCTTCTTTGTCATGAAACCTTTGCCCATGCCTACATCCAGAATGATATTGCCTAGGTTGTCTTCCAGTGTTTTTATAGTTTTGGGTTTTAATTTAAGTCTTTATTCTATCTTGATTTAATTTTTGTATATGGTGTAAGGAAGGCATCCTGTTTCAATCTTCTGCATATGTCTAGCCAGTTATCCCAGCACTGTTTATGGAATAGGGAGTCCTTTCCCCATTTTTTGTTTTTGTCAGCTTGGTCAAAGATCAGATGGTTGTAGGTGTGTAGCCTTGTTTCTGGGCTCTCTATTTTGTTCCATTATTCTATGTGTCTGTTTATGTACCAGTATCATGTTGTTTTGGTTACTGCAGCCCTGTAGTATAGTTCGAAGTCAGGTAGCGTGATGCCTCCAGCTTTGCTATTTTTGCTTAGGATTGCTTTGGCTATTTAAGCTCTTTTTTTGGCTCCATATGAATTTTAAAATAGTTCCTTTTCTAGTTCTGTGAAGAATGTCATTTGCAGTTTAATAGGAATAGCCTTGAATCTATACATTGCTTTAGGTAATATGGCCAATTTAACAATATGGATTCTTCTAATCCATGAGTGTGGAATGTTTTTCCATTTGTTTGTGTCATCTCTGATTTTTTTTTTAGCAATGTTTTGTAGTTCTCATTGTAGTGATCTTTCACCTCCCTGTTTAGCTGTATTCCTAGGTATTTTTTGTGGCAGTTGTGAATGGAATTGCATTCCTCATTTGGCTCTTGGATTGGCTGTTGTTGGTGTATAAGAATGCCAGTGAATTTCGTACATTAATTTTGTATCCTGAAACTTTGTTGAAGTTGTTTATCAGCTTAAGGAGCTTTTGTGCCGAGACTATGGGGTTTTCTCAATATAGGATCATATCACCTGCAAACAGAGATCGTTTGACTTCTTCTCTTCCTATTTGGATGTCCTTTATATCTTTCTCTTTCCTGATTACTCTGGCTAGGACTTCCAATACTATGTTGAATACGAATGATGAGACAGGACATCCTTGTCCTGTGCTAGTTTTCAAGGGTAATGCTTCCAGATTTTGCCCATTCAGCATGATGTTGGCTGTGAGTTTGTCATAGATGGCTCTTATTATTTTGAGGTATGTTCCTTCAATACCTAGTTTATTGAGAGTTTTTAACAGAAATGGTGTTGAATTTTATCAAAAGCCTTTTCTGAATCTATTAAGACAATCATGTGGTTTTGTCCTTAATTCTGTTTATGTGATGAATCACATTTCTCAATTTGTGTATGTTGTGCCAACCTTGCGTCCCAGGGATAAAGCCTACTTGATCATGGTGCATAAGCTTTTAGATGTGCTGCTGGATTCAGTTTGCAAGTATTTTGTTGAGGATTTTTGCATCAGTGTTCATCAAGGATATTGGCCTAACATTTTTTTTCTGTGTTTCTGACAGGGTTTGGTATTAGGATGATGCTGGCCTCATAGAATGAGTTGGGGAAGAGTTCCTCTCCCTAAATTTTTTGGAATAGTTTCAGTAGGAATGGTACCAGCTCTTCTTTGTACAGCTGGGAGAATTCAGCTGTGAATCTGTCATTCCTAGGCTTTTCTTGGTAGGCTATTTATTACTGATTTTATTTCGGAGCTCATTATTGGTCTGTTCAGGGATTCAATTTCTTCCTGGCTCAGTCTTGGGAGGGTGTATGTGTCCATGAATTTATCCTCTTCTTCTAGATTTTCTAGTTTATGTGCATAGAGGTGTTCATAATATTCTCTGATAGCTATTTGTATTCTGTGGGGTCAATGACCCCTTTTGTCACTTCTAATTTTGTTTATTTGGATTTTTTCTTCATTAGTCCAGCTAGCAGTCTATTTTATTAAGTTTTTTCAAAAAACCAACTCTTGGATTCACTGATCTTTTGAATGGTTTTTTTGTGTCTCAATCTCCTTCAGTTCACCTCTGATTTTGGTTATTTCTTGTCTTCTGCTAGCTTTGGGGTTGGTTTTCTCTTGGTTCTCTAGTTCTTTTAATTGTGATGTAAAGTTCTTTCACTTGTAAAGAACTTTAGTTTGTGACGTTCTTGTAGCTGTGAAAATGATAATATTCATTTTCCAATAATTTTTTTTGAGACAGCGTCTCACTTGATCACCTAGTTGGAAGTACAGTGGTGTGATCATAGCTCACTGCACCCTTGAACTCCTGGGCTCAAGCGACTTTTCTGCCTCAGCCTCCCAAAGTGTTGGGATTACAGATGTGAGCCTCTGCACCCGGCCAATGTTTATTATTTACTCTAGTAAATATATATAGACACAGTCTTTACTATGTGCATAATCAACATATTTTATCATGCCAATTAATGTCCACAAGAGGTCTGCCAAGCATCATTATCCCACTTAATAGGTAAGGAAACAAAGGCCCAGAGAGTTTAGTTAGCAAGCATATGTAGCTAGTGACAGAGCAGGGTTCTAAAGGTAGGTCTCTCTGACTCCAAAGCCCATGCTGTCTTCATTACATTTGTAGTTTGCAACAAGTTTTGTGAAGCCAGATTCTGCAAGAGGTGCCCAGTACCAGGAATAGGGACCAGATGGTTAAGCACCAGGCCCCTATTCCAATTTTAAGCTGGGCATTTCTGCTTTTGTCTGTTTTATATATTGGACTCCTATGGAGGTTATTCTTTGACAAAAGGTTTCTGCCATTAAAAACAATTTGAAAACCATTGTATTGTGTTCAACCACATAAATTACTGTATTTGGCCATTTTCTATCAACAAAAATGATATTTTTTGTCCCTCCCACTTCCTCTTACACTGGCCTGTCCTCCTCGACCTTTTCCCAGCCCCTGCCAGTCATTTCCCAAATTAGGAAGTCTGCTTCCTTGCTCTCTCCACAGCCCATGGTAGATGCATCACCTGTGGGATGGGCCTAGGGTTGTCTCTTCCTGTCAATTCCCCACTGTTCTCAGTGACTCGGGACCACTGAGATTCAATCTAATATCACACCATGTCTGTGTTAGCACTGGAAGGGGCCTCAGAAGTCCTCATTAGTTAGAAGTCCTGGTTGTGTTTCACAGATGATCACACAAGTCCAGAGAAGCAGCCCAGTCTATACTAGCTGCTCAGTACATGCTTGCTGAATTCAGTGGCTGCTCCAGAATGTCAATACGGGAACTGAAGGGAAGCAAAACAGTTGGGAAAAGAGTCTTAAAACTACATCTATCTGCAAAGCACTTTACCTGAGACTGAGGAAAATTCACTTTACCTCCACTGACCATTTTAAAGAAGAGAGTGAGGGCAATGCTGGTGGAGATAACTGGGTGGCCCTGACCTTCAGAGGAGGCATGGCTAAGTGAGGGGAGATGTTTAAGAGGCTGGGGCATGGCCAGAGGGATCTATTTTAGAGCAGGAATGAGACAGGCCTAAGGTGTGTTCCTAAGGTGGTCAGAAAAATGAAACCTTCTAATGATTGGGCTGAAATCCAAGAATGAAAAAGGAACTCCCAGGAGCACAGGCAGATTGTTCCAACCCTAAGACAAATGGCATGGGGAGAACATCTGGGAACATCCCGAGTCGCCAAGACCAGTGGGGAATTGACAGCGAGAGACAGCCGTAGGCCCATCCCACAGGTGATGCTTCTATCACGGGCTGTGAGGACAGCAAGGAAGCAGGCTTCCTAATTTGGGAACTGACTGGTGGGAGCTGGGAAAAGGTCGGGTAGGACAGGTGTAAGAGGAAGCAGGAGGGATAAGAGTTGAGTGGGACTGGGAAACAACTGCTCTAGTTACAGGCCGGCTATGGGGTGTCTCAGGGTCATCAGCCTGAACTCTTGTGGCCAGAGCTCCTGTAGCCCAAGGGTCTCTGATTCCAAGACTGTTGTCAGGACTCTGGGACCTTCTGTCTGTGGATCCTTCCTCCTTATTCCAGTCAAGTCCTTGCCAGACCCCCTGGGCACTCCAGATGTGAGAGATTGACACTAATGGATAGAACTTTTTTTTTTTTAGCTGACCCAGAAGCATGAAAGCCACACACTCACCATTCTTGTATGACCGGCTCAGCTAAGCCTGTTTCCCAGTAGGAATGTCTAACTCTCAAATCGGCCCCCTCTCACTCTAGTTCCCCTGCTGCCTGTTTGATATCAAGCAGCTACCTCCCTATTCCCATTTCCCACCCTCACCCCATCTTCTCCGTGTGGGGCAGCAGCTGGCTCAGCAGCAGGCTGGGGCCTTCACAGTGATGTTTAGGATCTGAAATCAGAGCAAACAGGAGATGGGGGAGTGGAGATGCAGTCAGTCCAGCAGTCTCACCATATTAGGAAATGTACCAGGTTAGGATGTGGGCATGATGGCCTCTGACACCCATAATGTGGGTGGAGTGTTGGCTTTCCTGTGCATTCATGGAAATGGGGGCATCCTGAAGATACAGGAGTAAGTGGATTAGGCTGAAGACTCTTCCAGCAGAAGACCCCAGAGTCTATGGGTTGTCTCCCCATGTTTCCAAGCACACCAGTTTCATCTGGAGCAGAGGAGGCATCAATAGCTGAGTCTGGGGAAGGCTAGATTTTGGGGTGATAGCCAGGAGGTACCCGTGTTAGGGATTAGGCTGTCATTCCCTTCTCTGTGCCCCATATTTTTTGTGACTATTTGGTTTTTGGTTGGACATTCCCTGCAGACTGGTAGCTCCTGAACAGTGGGGACCAAAACTGCCACTTAGACACTCCTACATCCATCTCACAGATGGGGAAATTGAGGCTCAGAAAGTCCAAGCCCCAGGCCTCACTCTGCATCAATGAATCTGTCATGGGAAGGTGGATGTGTGAGAGCTGAGGATCAGCTCTGGATGTGTGAGCCTAGATGGAGAGAGGGTTACATGGCAGGAAGGTGAGGATGAAGTCCGGCCTGCCCCCTCCTGGCTTCCCCAGACCTCACCTTGTCCCAGACCTGCTCACTGATCCCCAAGGCACTTCCCACCAAGGGACTGATCCCTGCCACACACACCAGGAAGTCCACACCCCCACAGTGTTCCAGGGCCTGAGAGTGAGAAAGGGACATAAAGGAATAAGGTTACGGAAGAGGAAGGTGTCTGCAGCAGTGGAAGGTGACTCCTGTTTAATGTCCCAGAGGCTGTACCTAGGTCAAGTTCAAAGCACAGGAGAGCAATATCATGTGAGGATGGAGATTATCTCTTTTCCTTTAGGAGCCAGGTACGGAGCTTCTGGATAAAAAGCGGTGGAGCATCACCCAGTACCCTTTCACATCCTCCTTCTAGTCCCAGGCACTGTTTGCTACCCGTCCCCAAACACATCTCTCACCTGCACTGTGTCTTGAAATTTCACTGTCCCCTCTCCATTTCCCTGAACACTCTACCTCTGACTGTAAGATGAGGGCTTCCTTCTGTACATCTCTGTCCCCTCAGACTCCTCCTCAGGAATCTTCCAGGAGGGCCTGGCTGGCTCCACGGAGCTGGTGGAGAAGCCAGCTTCCTCTTTCCTACCAGCATGGTCCCCACCCCAACATCTCCCTGAGTCCCAGGCCACATGCACTCCCTCTCTCCCTGAGGGAGAGAACAAACCTGGGTGGAGAAAGGACGCCCTCCCTGAACTGGTCCTTTCTGTGCCCAGGTCTGTTAACTGGAGACTGGGCCTCGTGGACAAGGCTCAAGTGACACATAGTTGACCCGATTCCTGTGATGGTGCCTTTATCCCTCTGCCCTACTGTGGGTCATAGTATCAGAATCCCTGAGCCTGTCTGCACCTCCTTCTATGCCTCTCACCATGACCACCAGCCACTCCCAGTCCTCAGCCTTCCCCGTGTGGCACAGGGTGTCTGGCACATGCTCAGCCCCTCCCCCTAGAGCGTGGCCACAGCCCAGTCCACGTTCTGCTGCTTCCCGCTGCTGATGACTACGTGGGCCCTATCGTGGGCCAGACGCTGGGCAATGGCGAAGCCGAACCTGGGGGCAGAGATGAGGAGGAGGTGACAATTTAGACTAGGACTGAGACTTTTCTTGCTGCATTTCTAGCCCTGAGGCACCAAATGAATTCTCTCCACTAACTCAGAGCAGCTAACCTCATGCTGTACTATGGATGGTCAGAGGACCAGAAGAGATAAAGAGGAAATAGGTCAGTCCACAGATGCATTGAACCTCCTATGTCCACATCAGATCTTCTTGGCCTCCCCTCCCACTAGAATCCCTACTATGAAAACTCGTTCTCAGTTCCTCAAGGCTTTGGTTTGCTTTGCAGCTGCAACCAGAGAGCTCCCTGCCTCAGGCATGTGAAACCACTGAGTGCTCACCGGCATGCAGCTTGAAAGTGTGAGGCATTAACCCACATAGGGCAACTCTTGACTGACGGAGGAATTCTCTCCTCTTCCACTGATAGATGCCTCTGAGATGCATTTCCTGCTTCCTAGAAGACCTTTGAAACCCATCACCCAGTGGCCTATAGTGGGCCGACTCCATTACACATCCTGCACTGGTTTTGTCTCCTTTTCCAGTTTCCTTTCCTTTTCCTCAATATTTCTCATTAAGATCACCTTCCCAAAAATCTACTAGCAGTTAAATCTAGTAGGCTTTGCTTTGTGGGGATGAGCCTAAGAAAATGAGGTCAACAAGACCCAAAGATACCCACAGTTCCCAAATTCCCAAAGAGTTGCTCTCACCTGTTTGTAGATCCTGTGATCATGGCAGCTTTGATGGCTAGTTTGAGCCTATAGTTGGCTCCACTGCTGGTGCTTCTCATGCAGAGTGGAGCCACGGGGGACATGAGGCCGCCCAACCCAGGGTCAGAGGTCTAAGTAAACATGGTGGTTTCTGTTTGATCTTCCTCTTGTTGAACTCAGTCCAAGGAGGGAGCCTCTAAAAAGGCAATCACAGTTCCAGTAAGCAGTTCTTGTAAGCAATAAGCAGTTTTGGGCTAGAACTGGGTGGGTCTGGGAATAGCTCCCGGAAGATCAACCTCGAGCCTGCTCCTTTAGCCTTTCCAGTGATTTTATGAACACAGAATTTCATATGTGAAATCTCTTCTCTTTAAATTAGCTTGAGTGGCTTCTGTTATCTGGTATCAAATTCTGGCATATGCACACATAGGTTTGAGAAAAGAAATAATTTTTATCTGAGGAATACAAATCTTTTTAATTATTAGGCCCAGAGAGACATTAAAAGGAGGCCACAATCCCACACCCTACTCCCCTCTTTGAGCTAAGTATTCATCTCTTGACACTGCTTGCTATTGCCACAAGTAGCTGGAAATTAACTTAATAATGCCACACCAGACACTATAACACACACTCTGTAGTTTATAAATGTGTAGCCAGTCACTAATCAATGTTCTTTGTGTAAACCAATGAGAATTTCTGACAAACAGTTTTGTAACAGTCCATTTCCTTCCCCATTTTTTGCCTTTAAAAATCCACTTGTAACTTCTGCTAATTGGAGCGTATATTCAGGGCAACTTGAATCTATGCTCCTGGGTTGCAATCCTCAGGCTTGGCCCACATAAACTCTCTGCTTGTATTAATTTTGCCTCAGCTTCATTCTCTTAGGTCAACATATCCAATAAATATTTATTCATTGAGAACCACTAGGATAATGAACATCTACTTCACAGGTTTGTTGTGAGAGGCCCAAATAAATTAAGATGTGAGAGGGCTTTGTAAACTATCAAGTGCCTAAAGTTCCACAGCTGCTTAAGAGTGATGTGTTTTATCATTTTGTCCTCCATGAGTCTCTAGCCTCAAGCTTCAAGACACATTTGACTCCCTGCTCCCAGTGCTCTCTGCTCTGCCTGCTTTTCATCCCTCAGCCTCTTCTTCTAGACTTGTCTTCATTTTCAGCACATGAGGGGAGTCTTCCTGACACCCCAAAGCTGATTCATTGTCTCCTCCATGTGACCTGATGCCCTCCTGTGCTTACTCCTCACATTCATCTTTCTAACTCTAAGTGACCGTGTTACATTTGTCACTTCTAGCAGGGTGCCCGGCACCTAGCAATGGCTTCATAGGTATTTGTTGAATGAATGAATGAATGAATGAATGAATGCAGATTTGGCTGCAGTGATGTAATGGTTTCTTAGGGGCCTCACTGGACCTACAGGTCAAATTCCTTAGTTACTGCATGTCAGACCCTTCCCCTGTGCAGTCAGTGGTGTCAGTTCAGCTCTGGTCTTAAAGCATTTATCGTAAAGTACCCATTCTTGATTTTTAAGTATTCAGGCTTTGGGGGGCATCAGGCATTGTGTACACTGTGAACTAGTGCTTTCCTGATATTTAGAATACTGAGTCTCTGTTCAAATCTTCACAAATCTGTAGCTATGAACTTATTTACATAAACCCAATTCCCTTATTTAAGTACTTCAACCTTAGTAAATCTTAGGTAAATATCAGAGCAGATAAATGCTTTTGAAGCAAACTTTAAAGATAAATTCACAATTCTTTTTTTCTCTGAAATTTGGCTCCTACAATCCCTGCTCATTCATTATGGTTCCCTACCTCCCTTGTAGCCAAGGATTCAAAACAGTGTTGGGTTTCCTTCTCTTCCTACTCAACATTTTGTTAATGTCACTCCAAACAGTTTATTTTTAAAAGCTAAGCATCTCTCTCTCTCTCTCTCTTTCTCTCTCTCTCTCTCTCTCCTTCTCTCTCTCTCTCTCTCTCCTTCTCTGCCCCAGTCATATATATATATATATATATATAATTTTGGCAAAATATACAGAATCTATGCATGCCCTAGTCTCTTCATTCATTCAGTGAGCATCTACTGGGAACCTGCTATGGGCTGGGCGGCCAGAATACAAAGATGACTCATGATTTTGGTACTCAAAGCACTCACAGCCTGAGCTGGGCCTGCAGAAAAATATGACTATAATACATTGTGGTAGGAGGAACATATGAGTCACACAATTTTATGGGAGCACAGGAGAAGGAATGGCGCCTAACTTAACCTTGGGGTGGCAGTGGTTAGATAAATAATCTGGAAAAGGTGACACCTAAGTCAATTGAGGAAAAGGAGCTTCTAATATTGCATTTGTTTGTTTTTTAGGAGGCATGCTTTTTTAATTAAAAAAGGATATATGTTCATTATAAATTGGTTTTAAAATATTTGTAAAATATTTGTAAAAATGTATAAGAAAGTTGAGGGAAAAGTTGCAAAAGACTCTAAAACAGACCTGACTTTGAAATGGACTCTGGGTATCTTCAGTGAAAAACTAGGTGTTATCTAGCTACTCTTCTAGGTGACCTGATTCTGTGGGGTCTCTGTATCTTACATTGCCTTTGAGCTATTTACAACTCAAGAGTTTTAGATAACTAATAAATATTTGCATCTATCCATAGATGCATATAAATTTCATCTGGAGGAGATTCAATTTTCCTTCTACACTGGAGGAAATCAGCTTTGCATCTATTAAACAAACTTATTTTACTCTTCCCTTTGTCCTATATATGTGTGGTTCTTTGAATTTACCTTTGAATCAGTTGTAATGGCTTTGTGGTTCCCCTCATTAATTAATGAGTTTTTTAAATGTTGACACTTGTTCATTTTACATTTGTATGGGAGTCATTATCTTACCTTCTCAAAAATTATCCAACATAAGAAAAAATTTGATATTTCACTGTTAACTATTATTATTATTTTGCCATTCTTTAAGTCACCTCTCCAAATAGCCATTGTCATATAATAGCTATGTGTTCAATTTTGCATGAATGGGACCACAGTATACATGACTTGTTTTTTTTTAAATTTTTCAGGGCTTATTCTTGAAGGAGAATGGAGTAAGGAGTTTGGAAATATAGAAGGCCATACCAAGCAAGGAAGTTAGCACGTGTAAGGGCAAGGGGGAGAAAAACAGCGCAGAGTGAGAGAAACTACCAAGAGTTTGTTATCCTTGGAACAGCAAGTATGAGATGGGGAGTGGCTGGAGATGAAGCTATAGAATTGGTCAAGGGCTGGATAGTGGTGGTTATTGCATGCCAAAACAAAAAGCTTAGACTTTACGTAGAGGGCAAATGGGAGTTACTGAAATTTAATAAGAAATGCAAAGGGGTCAGATATTGATATGGTCAGATTTTTGCCATATAGAGACAACGTTAGCATGTGTGTATATGCAGGTGCACTTATTTGATGTGGCAGCCAGGAGATTCTTGCAGCAAGAGATACTAAGGTCTTGTGCCCATCAGATACTGTCAGGAAATAGATGGCATATTTAAATTGGGTAAATTGAAGAGAGTTTCATGAAGGGGCTATTTAAGAGGCAAAGTATGGGGTAACCACAAGAGATAGTGCAGCACTGGAGCCAGGCACAGGGAGGTTTTAATACCATCCAGGCCTGAAAGTGCAAGAGGAGGAAGTGAGTTACCCCAACAAGGACAAAAACAGACGGCTGCCTGTCAGGGGCTGTGACCTTTGGTTAAGTGTCATAGTAAGCCAGAGACACCCCTGCAGAAGGAAACCATGTGAATAAATACCACAACCGCATTTCCCTCCTTTCCTCTGATCTATCGGGTTCTCTATTAGCAAAACCCTTCTGGAAGTGAGATGTCATCCACACAGCTCAGCCTCCAAGAGCATGGAACAGAGTGGAGCATGCGCCTGGAGGGGCCAGTAGAAGGTATCCAGCCAGGCCCTGAACTAGTCAGAAGTAGTATAGATGCAGAAAATAAGTTAGATTTGGGAAATCTAACTTTATTAGTTAAAATTATCAGCCCTTCGTGAGAAATTGGTCACCCTCGGAGCAAAAGGAGCTAAAAACGAGGCCCAGTTTTCCAGCTTGGGCACCTGAGTACTTAAAATGTGAATTTCATGTTAGTGCATTATATTGACGACATAATGTTAACTGGACATGATGAGCAGAAGTCAAAGGAACTCTGAATGTCTAAGTAATACATATGTGCCTCAGAGGGTGAGAGGTAAATCCTACAGAGATCCAGAAACCCATCACATGAGTGGTTTTTAGGATTCCAGTGGTTTGAGGCATATTGAGACTTTCATTCAGAGTTGAAAGACAATGAAAATTTGGTAGTGCTCTTCAGGTTTGGGGGACATTGCAAACCATTCTTGGAAATTCTGCTGCAACCTATTTATTGGGTGATTATGAAGGCTGTCAGTTTTGAGTGGGGCCCAGGGTAAGAGAAGGCTCTGTGGCAGGTGAAGATGTTGTATAACCAGCCCTGCCACTTGGGCCACAGGACCTAATGGATCTCATAGAGTCCCAGATATTTGTGCCAATAAAGCTCTATTGAGTAATCCTTGGTAAGCCCCAATAGGGAGTCTTAGCACAGAACCCTAGGGTTCTAGTGCAAGGCAATGCTAAATGCAGCACGAAACAATAAAACATTTGAAAAGTAGCAAGTAGCACCTGATCCCTGGTAGAGACTGAGTATCTGACCATGGAATTTCTTTTCTTTTTTTTTTTTTTTTTTTGAGATGGAGTCTGTCGCCCAGGCTGGAGTGCAGTGGCATGATCTCAGCTCGCTGCAACCTCTGCCTCTGGGGTTCAAGCAATTCTCCCACCTCAACTTCCCGAGTAGCTGCGATTTCAGGCTCGTGCCACCACGATCAGCTAATTTTTGTATTTTTAGAAGAGACAGAGTTTCACCATGTTGGTCAGGCTTCTGACCTCAGGTGATCCACCCACCTCGGCCTCCCAAAGTGCTGGGATTACAGGCGTGAGCCACCACGCCCAGCCTGACCATGGAATTTCAAAGGATGGTGTGACTAGAGCTACTCATCATAACCTGGGCTTTCTCAGTCTTAAAGTTAGGAGGACACAGCAGCAACCCACCATTTGAAGGAAGTGATACAATAGGGATCAGGTCTAAGTAATACCAAAGTAGTTTACACAAATCACATAAGCTGGTGCCCCGATTCCCATGCCACCCACCCCTGTTGCATGGATGCCTCCCTCTCAGCTTATATACTCTCAACTTCTAAGCCATATGTGTTACATGGTCTTAAGGCGGTGTCCCCTATGAGCAGATGGCAAAGGAGGAAATAACCTGGTCCTGGGGCCACCTGAGATTAGTGATCATGGAGGCAGATTATGGACGTCATGATGTGACTGGATGAAAGAAACTCTAACTATCTTTCTGGTTAATTCATATTGAATCTGAAGAAGTCATTTGAAATTTGATTCATGGCTTTGTCTAATATATCTTGAAAACTTTGGCAGTCACTAAACCCGTGTCACTAGGTGGTTCAGCTTCATCTTTTCACAGGTGACTTTTCTCCCCTGGCTAATAACACAACCTATGGGTGACTGTTGAGAAGAGCTGAAAAGGATTGCACACATGTAAATACCTGGAAAAGCTAGTGGCAGCACTGAATGTTGTATATCCATGCTATTATTGCTAATCTCTTGTGGAATTCTCCCCAGCTGTGTTCTTTGATAAGAGCTGAGGTATGGAAAGGTGAGGTCCTTAAAGGAAAATTGTCAACACGTCCACTGCCGCATTCTACCATATATCCGAATTCAGAACATCCCAAAGCAGGTTAAGACATTTAATTTCTAATACAAGGCTATACTCTTCACCAAATTAAGTAAAAAAGAGAAAGATAACAAGCCATAAGGCATGAGTCATTAAAGGAGACATCTCAGTAACAATATTTAGGATGGTCTTACTGTTGGCAGCTTGAAGGTTTCTTCACTCAACACTCCATTTTTACCATAGTAAAAATAAGGATAGGAAAAGAATATGACTCTCTTCCTTTTTGAGTAGGCCAACTAAAAGGGGAGCTAGCAAAGTGAATTTTACATAAGCAAGAACAGGTGCTTTCTCAGGCAAATCATATTTAGGAAAGACCACACATGGAAGTTGAAGATCTGAAAATTTATTTCTTTTTTAAGAAATAATTTTATTGACATACATTTTACATATCATAAAATTTAAGTCTGCAATTCAATGATTTTTGTAACTTTACCAAGTTGTGCAACCATCACATTCGGTGAGTTGTAGAACACTTTCATGGCTCCAGTAAAACCCCTCATGCCCTTTACAGTTGATCCCTCTTCCTAGCCCCAGGCCCAGACAACCTTTATCTATTTTGTCTCTATAAATTTTATAAATTTGCCTTTCTGAATCTTTCATACTAATGAAGAAATTGATTAAAAATATATATATATGGCTACTTACATCTTGGAAAGTCTTTGCATATATACTGTTCTATAACATTCTCTTGCCCAAGGGATGGGACACCTGTCTCAGGCCTATGGTATTTTTGGAAGAATATCTATTCATATCTCTGTATCTCTATAGATCTATTTATATAAAATATTCAACATACAATCTTCTTACCTTTATGGTGAGTCCCAGTTGCTTTGTCTAGGGCACAGAAGGAATCCCAGCAACAGGAGTAGCTCAAGATTGGGCAGGTCCTGGGGTGTCTGGGCAGCTGCTGTTCTCTCTCCTCTCTAAGTCAGGGCATCCTTTCCTTTCTCCTCCCCCTAGGACACACCAGGAGGTCTCCCTGCCCTCTTTCCAGACTTCACTTTGTTGAGTCATCAAAGCCCCAAACCAGGACCGAGACTCCTTCTGAAAGACACCAAATCACATTCTGTCCATCACGCAGGGCGTCTTTCACAGCTTTGCTTACTGCCACAGTGCACGTGGACCTCTATGAGTCACTATGGACTGTGCACATCAGCTCCCAGGAACTCTGGTCCTTTCCTTGCATTTTCTATGTTAACATATGGGCCCACTATCCATTCAGTTGTCTAAGCCAGAAACCGCAGTCAGCCAAGATCCTTCTCACTTCTTCCATACCCAATTGTCACCAAGGCCTGCTAATATGATATCTGCTAGCTTTTAGTTGATCTTCTCCTGATTCCTCAGTCACTGCATTTTGTTGGAGTGGTCATCTGTCTTGCCTGAAGTGTAGCTGTAGCTTCTGTTTTGCTCTTACTTCGAAACCAAGCTGGAGGAACCTTTCCAAGGTGAAAAGCTGATCAAGTTCATCTCATTGTGGAGATTCAACCATGGCTTTCCATTGGCTTTGATGATAAAATGTACATTTCTTGCCTTCCCACACTGGGATTTTGTTGATTTGTTCCTGATTCTTTTCCCTTTGCCTTCACAAGCTCCTTCTACTATAAACATAACAATGTTCTTGCATTTCATACTTGCATCTTCTCATTCGCTGGATTGTTCTACTCTTCCCTCAGACTCAGCAAAGGCATCCCTTCTTCAGGGAAGCCTTATAAATACATCTACTTGGTTTTACATGGCTGTCTCTCCAAACCAAATTTCAATGTTTCCCCTGCACCTCTTCCCACTGCCACCAGGCTGACAATATCTTAAGGGCAGAGTTCGTATTTTATATTTCTCCAGAGTCATTGCACATGATAGATAGCCATTCATTATTTGGAGTTTCTTAGTCTCTTAAAAAATAATCACATCTCTGTCTTAACATGTGCCTTCTGTAGATGCCTTGAGCCTCCTATGGGGTCACGAGGATTGTGTGTTGGGACCCAGGGAGACACAGTGAAGATTCAGCTGGAGAAAGGGGTTGTGCAACACAGCTTATGTTTGTTCTCTGTTAAAACCCGGCTCTTTCCTCCTAAGGAGAGTTCTAGAGCAGCTGTTTTTATTACTAATGGGTCCGTGTTTTGTAGTATGTTCTAAGTACCAAACTAAGGCACATTTGGTGTTTTTATCTTTATGCAAACCCACTGAGGTGGGTGGTGCTATCCCCCCTTGAAACGTAAGGAAGCAATCAGAGAGAGAGAAGTTAAATAACCTGCCCGGCCTATTATAATTATTATTCCTTAGCACTGAGATTTGTCTTCAAGCCGCATACTCTCAACTTCTAAGCCATATGTGTTATGAAACGGATAAAATATTGTGAACTAAAAGGCAAATAATTTTGCATCCTGGCCCAACATGCCTATTGAAGTTAGTAGAGTGTCTAAATGCAGCTATGGGTGGGAAACCAAGTGAACTACGAAACCTCTTGCCCCGTCATGTCTTCAAGTGTGCCTCCCCAGTCTCAGCCTGGGTTGCTCTGAACATATTTTCGTTCCTATCATTTTCCTGGTCTCCATTCCAAACACCTTGGTATAGAATATACCTGTTCTTTCTTTTTTTTTTTTTTTTTTTTTTTTTTTTTGAGACGGAGTCTCGCTCTGTCGCCAGGTAGGAGCACAGTAGCGCGATCTTGGCTCAAAGCAACCTCCGCCTCCTAGGTTCAAGCAATTCTCCTGCCTCAGCCTCCCAAGTAACTGGGACTACAGGCGAGTGCCACCACGCCCAGCTAAGTTTTGTACTTTTAGTAGAGACAGGGTTTCACCATGTTGGCCAGAATTGTCTGGATCTCTTGACCTCGTGATCCGCCTGCCTCGGCCTCCCAAAGTGCTGGGATTACAGGCATGAGCCACTGCGCCTGGCCTTACCTGTTCTTTTTCAAGTACTACATGTCTAAGACTTGTTAGCAAGATACAGTCTTCCATTGCCAGTTTTGGAGTCAGGCTTAGATGTGTGGAAACAATTAATCCCTCTATACCAGGCAGTTTCTTTCCAAAGTATGCCTACCTTTATCTGGTTTTCACAAGCTTTAAGTCCGCATATGCTTTTGAAATGAAAAGTGGTTTGCATCCTTGACAAAGTAATTGTCATTAGAACCTAGTCTTGCAAATTTGTTTGACTTTTTAACTTTTAAATTCAGAGCAAATAGTAATATGACTCAGGTCTTGAAGCTATAACTCAGTGTTCTTGCCCCAGGAAAGAACCAGTTGATTCTATCTTCAGGAAGAGAATTTATATACACATACACATTTATATAGTCTACATAGTCTATACATATATATGCACACACATGCATTATATATGAAAATTTTTTGATAACTGCAAATTGCTGTACGCATAATGGGTATATTACTTTGTTAATTTTGTCATTTTGTATACAGCAGCTGTCATCCCATTTGCTATATTTAAGAGTTTTATTTTTCTTAAAATTCCTTTCCTTTCCATGGCTTTTAAAGAAGCAACTTTTTTGCTTCTGTTCTCTCCCCAGTTTACTGTAAAGAGGAAAGGAAAGCATTTCTCTATGACATGCAACACTTTCAGCACTTCTGTGACCAAATGTGTGGGAGTTTTCCTGATACCAACCAATTCTCCTACTCTCTGGACACCAACTGGGCATCCTATAATTCAACCGTGACACCAACTACCTGGAGTTGGTGCAGATGCCACAGGTTAAGGGCTCAGTCCCACAAGACTGCCCCCACTTCAGATGCCAATTTCAAGTAGCGAATCCCCAGGTTACCCACACTTCTATCAGCCTTGGCTACAAATGGAGGGTTCTCACGACTCCCTCCTCAGTTTTGATGATTTGCTATGATGGCTCACAGAACTCAGGGGAAGATGTTTACCAGTTTATTATTAAGGATATTATAAAGGACACAGATAAACAGCCAGATGAAGAGATATATAGAGAGAGCTCTGGAGGGGTCCTGAATACAGAATTTCTGTCCCCATGGAGTTGGAATGCAACCCCCTCCTAGCACATAGGATGTGTTCACCAACCTGGATGCTCTCTGAATCCTGTCTTTTAGAGATTTTTTGGGGGGGCTTTGTCACATAAGCATGATCAATTATAAACTCAATCTCTAGTTCCTCTCCCCTACCTGTTGATGGGGGATGAGAGAGAGTTCCAAGTCTCTAACCATGCCTTGATCTTCCTGGTGACCAGGCTTCATTAAGGAACCCAGCAAGAGTCACCTCATTAGAACAAAATATGCTCCTAGCACCTTTATCACTTGGGAAATTACAAAGGTTTCACGAGCTCTGTCCAAGTTCTGACCAGGGAAGATGACCAAAATAATTTTTTATAAGGACTGATATTTTCCTATGGATCTATTTACTGTAGCCAATTTATCAGCCTGCTCTTTTTGTGTGGTCCCCCTACCCTCCACCCCACAAAGAATAACCCCTCTACTGCAAGTCAGTAATGTAGGTGAGAAGATCTCAGTTTTTCCTTTTAATAAATTCCTACCTGATTTTCAAAAAATCTTATCCAAATAGACTTCAAAGTTTTATTTATAGTATAAGACATGCTGATGAGGTATGGGACATGGTATATGATACATGCAAGAGTAGTTATTTCTGCTATTTAAAGCTAACAAATTTTTTAAGCCAATCTGTCTTGAATATAATCAGGTAGCTCCAAGACTGGATAACCTTTCTTGAAATTAATCTTTCCTTCTTTTTCATAAATTTAAAAAATTCTTAAGACAAACATAATACATTTCCCTTAAATAACTGTCTTAAACCAAAAGGAATTGAATTTGTGAAAGGTCATCTTGATAGATTTATTTAAATAAGTTATAAATTTATTTTAATTAATGTTATTTACTGTATAAAAAATTTTGCCAGTATTGAATAGCAAAGCAATTAATCACAAGCCAAAGCAATATAAATAAAAATATAGTGTAAGACATCTTATTAAGACTTAGAAAAAAAAGTTTCTCACTGAGTAACATGATCAGACTCAAATAAAGGTCTAGCAGTTATAAATGTATTATATACATGTATTAATTTCTTGATCTCTTTTATAGGTCCATATGTGCATAGAAAATAATATTTTTGAAGTTAAAAATAAATAATAAAATTTATGTCTTTCATCTAAAACTTATGCTTACTTTTCCTCTGTGCAAATACTGAACCCTGAATACTGAATTTGTGATAAGCATACATGAATACTATTTTCACCTGAAATGAGATAATATCCCAGTTCTTGATGGTTGTTCAAACAAGAGAAAGCTCACTCCCCTATGTGAAAAGTGGAAAACTGCAGCCAAATGCATATTTCTTTAGGAGTGGTAGAATACTGTTTCACAGAAATCCAAACTTTTCTTAGGTCAGGTCAGTGATTCTCACGTGATTTACTTCAATTCACAAAGTTCTTCATCTTCTTATCAAAGTCAGGTTCCCAGAATGAGCCAAATACTGTATCCAGAGCTAGAGTCAGGATCCTTTACTTGGCCATAAGCTTGTGTGAAAAAGGAGGAAAATACTATTAAATTGTGTTCTGTAGTTTTCCTACTTGTTTTTTAATAACACTTGAGAATTGCTACGTAGTAAAAAATTTAACCTTGTCCAAAAGATGTCTGACTGCTTTTTCCCCCCACTCTTTGCTCCTGGGAGGTGGTCTCTAAGCCCTTGGAATGTCCCACCTGGGAGTGGCTTTGTTTGCTTTGGGGTCTTGGGTGAGCCAGACAGTAACATAGTGATTTATGGTGGGGGCTTTGAGCCCCACCAACAATGTGATTTAGGGTGGGGGCTTTACTTCACACAGTAGTTGACCTCCTTGGGGACTGGAAACTGACATCAGCCACTGGGAAGTCAAGCATGCCTACATGAGTCCCAGTAAAGACTTTAGACACCAAGGATTGGATGAGCATCTCTCATTGCCGGTATTCTGTGTGTGTTGTTATGCACCCGTGCCAGGAAAGCAATGCTATCCTTACTTCATGGGGAGAAGAAGCTTCTCATATTTGGTAACTTTCCTGGATTCTGCCCTATGTATCTCTTCCCATGGCTGATTTTTATGCGTGTTATTTGCCTATAATAAATTGTAACTGTGGGTATAATAGATTTAAGTGAGTTCTGTTAGTCTTTCTAGTGAATGACTGAAGCTGAGGGTGCTCTGGGGATCTTCACACTTGCAACTGATGTCAGAAGTGAGGGGGTCTTATGATCTATTCTCCCAACTTCATAGTTAAGTAACTTTTGCAGTTGGCCTCTGGACCAGGATTCACTAGATCAACCCTGACTCACTGAACTATGTGATTTGGATAGAGAAAGGAAATAAGGGCAGGGATTGGTGAACCTTTAATTCTAGGTGGCTATCTGGTCATCCATGGTGTGGAACTATAACTGCACTGTGATCAGTTATGAGCGGCAAAAGTAATCAATGAAATTTAGAAGTGGTAGACCCGGCTCCCAAGGAGTTGGCTTACTTGATATGCAAGAAAATGCAAAATAATAAGAAATAACGGACAAATTATGCTGGGACAACAGACATCATGTCTACAACCTCTGGTCACCAGGGAGGTTGTCCAGGTGGAGGGAGGGTAAAAACAAGAAACTGCTGAAACCAGGGGATAGTGTGAAAGACTTGTCTCATTTTGTGGATCATTACCGTCAATTTTTTTGTAAAGCCTTTACTGAAATGATTGTGAAAATGACTAACATAGTGGCAGCATCCTTGACTTTGAACACTGCAGATTAGAAGAACATGTTTGGGTTGCTGTAAAATCCACAGCTCTCTTTTGAACATTGTAGATGTGTATCATCCAGACACATAGCAGGTACAGGTAGCCTGGAGGACTGGATAAAGGCTACTGTAAAATGTGTTTACATTAAGAAGGGGGATTGTTTTACTACAAAAAAAAATGCCAAATGGAATTTTCCAAATAAAGGAGCTGATATACTTCATATGCAAGCCATGTTGGATTAACATTATAATGATCAGGTTATTTATCCACTAAATATAGCCCTTACCTACGTCATGGTAAATATCAAGATTTAAGGGGGACCCTTTTGCCTGGGACCCCATATAATCTTACTGCTATAAAATCAAACAATGGTAAGAGAAACCTCATCAGATGTGTTATCTTAGCTTACCCTTATGGGCTTTACAAATGCTTAGAAAATTAGGGTGATTCACAAGAAAGTGAGGAAAGACAAATGGAAGAGTCAAGGGACATGTCCCAGCAGAGCGGAAATATTTAAATGATGAAGAAATGGAATGAATAAAGCTGACATTGATGGAGTTAAAACAAAGGTCTTAATGAAACACTGTGGAAGTTAGGTGGGCCAATGGGAAACCCTCCTGACCCCTCAATATTAAAGGACCTTAAGTAACTCTGCTCTATTTACCCCTGTTTTGAGGAATTAAAAAACAACAACAAAGGACAAAGATGACAGTGATAAACCTGAACTTGAATTACCTGTCACAATGGTCTGCCAGATTAATCAAAATGAAGATTGACTAGAAAACTAGGTCTTCTGTGGGGCAAAATGACCAGGAGTAGAGAAGACTTTTCTAGGACTCCTTGACTAGGGACCCCAATACATAGTGATTTCAAAACCTGTTAATGAAGTCTTAATGGGAGCTACAATTAGATTGGGAGGGCACAGACATGCAGTGGCTCATGGGATTAAGGTGAAAGGTCGAATATAAGTTAGAATGTTTTACATTTGTGTTGTTGAAATTGTCCAGTAGAAAAAAAAAAAGAATCGGAATGTTTGGAAGGATTTCATGTCTCCTTTATCTAAATGTGTTATTGGTATGGGTATTAGTCTGACTATGGAACACTTTCCCTATCTACTGTTGTAAAACAGAAAGCATCTAAGTCTGCCCTCAGTCAAGTCTGCCAGTCTTGATGGGACATGCTAATTGGGAACAACTAGAGCTGCTCAAGCCCTCATAGGTTTTAGTTTGAAACATTATAGGACATCCAGTGCACAAAAAGAAATCAATGATATGTTAGTAGCTGAAGTGCTGGTATACATGAATTTTTTATACAAAGCTCTGTATGGCTTGTGAAAAAAGCAGATGGCTCATCTGGACTAATAGTGGAATATTGAGGCTTGAATAAACTGGTGCCACCCATAGCACTAGTAGTCTTGATATTGCTTCAATGCCACAAAAAGTACAGCAGGCTAAAGAGTCTGGTACTTAGTGACTGATTTTGCAAATGCTTTTTTTGTTCTATGTCAATCTTAGAAAAAAACCAGTTGCAGTTTGCCCTGACATGGAAAGATTATGTTGTTATAGGATTATTTAAATTCACCAGCTTCTACAATAATTTGGTTAAAAGGGATTTGGATTAAAGCAGGTTCTAAGTGTAATAATACACTGTATTGATTATATCCTGATAATATCTGAAACTGAAAACCAGGTGAGGAATGACCTAAATGCAGCAGTGACACACATGACCAGCAGAGGCTGGCTGATAAGTCTAGCAAGGGTCAAGGCCTCTCAAAATGGTGGAATTCTTAGGAATAACCTAGGCAGGTGCCACCCATGACATTCCATAGGTAAGCACAAATAAACTGATCTCATTACTACTCCTTGAAATAAACAAAGAAGCCCAATGTTTCATTGGTCTATTTAGATTTTGGAGGATGCATATTCCACATCTAGAAATGTTACACACTGCTATCCATAAAACTACCCAAAGAGTGCTGTATTTGAATGAGGGACCAAAAAAGCAAGCCATGGCTGAATTGCAAAAAGTAGTTCCTCTCTCAATGCTTATTTTGTCCTTCCATACCATATATGATCTTGGAAGTGTCTGTAACACATGCCTATTATATGTAGACTGGAGATTACTGCAAAAGCCTGTGAGTACCACTCATAGGTGACCACTGGGATTCTGTATCAGAATATTCCTAAATGGTATAGTAAGATACACACAATTTGAGAAACAGCTACTACCTTACTATTGGACATTAATGGTAAAAGCCCCTGTGAGTGAAGGACATAAAATGCTCCTGAAACCTGAAATACTGAGATTGTCTTGTGTTATGTCAGAGAAACAATCTAATAAGGAAGACAGCATCCAGAAGAGTTCCATAATAAAGTGGAAATGGGAGAAACATGTTACTGGGTGGACACAGAGGTACCCATTGTATCTACAAGCAGGTAGACTCTTTCCCTCTAGGACTGACTTCTCGGATTGACACCTGAGGAACTACTGGGTCCTATCGCCACCTGGACAGTGCCCTGTTAATAGATCTCTATTAACCATCAAAGAGCTGCTTGGTTCATGAATGGCAGTTCCAAGGTGGATGAATAGCCTCCTGTTTGGAAGGGACCACACTAAGACTGGCAGATTGAAAGACTCTGATTGAAAAAGATAACAAATTAGTTCAACGGACTGAGTCGCATGCTGTTTTCCTGGCAGTGAAGGGGGAATTGAACAATAATAAAAGCTTTTAAGTTTGGGTTTTACTGACTTATGACAGTAGCCCATGACCTGGCTCTATAGTCAATGGAACACTGGCCTATTAAGTAGACGCCTGTATGGGGCACAACCTCATGGAAATTACTATAGGAATTTAAGGAGCACATTAAAGTGGAATATGATAATGTTCATCAGAAGAGATCCTTTCTAGGGTCAGAAGGCAATTAGAATTGGCAAGAGTATATCCTGTTGTGTTTGCTTGAGATGGCCACCTGGGTCCATGAAATGAGTAGATGTGGTACTTCAGCAATGCAGAGATGGGCTGAATCTAGACATATTCTTCTTGCAGAAAATGCCAACAAGATCTGTTCTGTGTGCCAGTGAGAAAGACAGACTGCAGATGGCTCTGGGACAGATTTCCTGAGGGGAAAAGCCCTTAACACAGCTGGCAAGTCAGTTTCATTGGCTCAGTGTGGGTAGACTTGGGAGCAATTAATGGGTCCTGACAGGAATAGACACTTACTCTGGATTGGGTTTTGCATAACCAGTGGTAGATGAAATATTAAAAATACTATAAAAAGACTGAGAAAAGAATATTATACCAATATGAACCAAGACACATTTCTTCAGACCAAACAACATAGTCTCATCCTTAGAGTTAGGGTTTGATAGAGAATTCAAATGGTCAGTTGAAAATTTGTTATCTAAAACGGAGGAAAATAAAGGCATAAAAGGCTGGCTTACACACCTTCACAAATGTGTGCTCAAATTATACATGGGAGGGGCTACTGAGGGTCCCCACTAGATAGATTCCTCTATTGTTCTAGGGGATCTGAATAAGAGGAGAGAGAGCATAATGACATGACTATAGAAACCTTACCATGGGGAAGGATGTTGGTGTGAGCAGACAATTCTCCCCTGCATCACCTTGACTTTATTTTTCCTACCTGATGCAGTGATCCCAGGACCAGGGCTGCAACTATAGATAATGGAGGCAGGGATGATCCCTAAGTAAGAAAATGTACTGTATTTTGAAACTTTTAGATCAGAATTCCTAAGATCTTGATAAGGTAGATTGTGCCTTCACCCCATCTGCTAAAATTGGGATTGACAGTGAATGCACCAGCCGGTATTCCTCCTCTCTCCAATAATCAATAATCCTTTCTGACCTTTGAAGAGATGTGGGTTTCAGCCACTGTCCTGGTCCAGATGTCCAGAAGCAAGACTAGTGTAGTGGGTGTCTCACCCTCAGTTCACTTTTGTTGACATAGGATAGGGTTACAGAGGTATAGATATCATAGAGAGGTATAGATATCATACAGAGGTATAGATATCAATGGGATATCATTATCATAGGAAATGTTTTCTTTAGACTGCTCTCTCTGTGTTCATTATTTAGGTTGGCATAAATGGTGTCACAACTGGGATCTGAAGAAAAATCACTATTGGAAGGAATCAGTGATTCTTGGAACTGGTGTGCAGTACGCCAGTGTGCAGAACTGATGTGTTAACCCTTTGAGCTCTCCACTTTTACGGCTCACCTTTTCTGCTCTGGTGAGACTTCTCTCAGGCTGAGCCTCCCTCCTTTTGGTAGTAGCTTTTCACTTTATTTGGGATTTGATTTTGTTATAAGGCCCCCTTAAATAAAGGAGCTTACATCCCTCTGGAGGGATAAAAGACTGTATTTTCTAGCAATTCTTTTCTGCTATAAGTACAAATATCCTTCTAGTTTGAGTATTCTGGCTTCCCTAGAATTTTCATTTTGTCTGCAGGACATATCTTTTTTTATTTTCTTTTTTCTTTTCTTCTTTTTTCTTTTTAATTGTCTTTCTTTTTCCTTTTTAGTTTTCTCATTTTATTTTATCTTATTTTTTTTCTTTTATTTTAGGTTCACAAGTACATGAGAAGGTTTGTTATATGGGTAAACTCACAGGGATTTGTTGTACAGATTACTTTCTCACCCAGGTACTAACCCCAGTACCCAGTAGTTATTTTTTAGATCCTCTTTCTTCTCCTACTCTCCACCCTCAAGTAGGCCCCAGCGTGTGTTATTCCCCTCAATGTGTCCATATGTTCTCATCATCTAGCTCTCACTTACAAGATAGGATATACACTTTTTGGTCTTCTGTTCCTGAATTCATTTGCTAAGGATAATGGCCTTCAGCTCCATCCATGTTCCCACAAAGGACATGATATCATTCTTTTTATGTCTGCATAGTATTCCATGGTGTATATGTACCACATTTTCTTTATCCAGCCTGCCATTAATGGGTATTTAAGTTGATTCCATGTCTTTGCTTTGTGAATAGTGCTGCAATAAGCATACACATACATGTGTCCTTATGGTAGAACAATTTATGTTCCTTTGGGTATATACTCAGTAATGAGATTGCTGGATCAAATGGTAGTTCTGTTTTTAGGTCTTTGAGGAATCACCACACTGCTTTCCACAATACTTGAACTAATTTACACTCCCACCAATAGAATATGAGTGTTCCCTTTTCTTCACAACATCGCCAGCATCTGTTATTTTTTGACTTTTTAATGATAGCCATTATAACTGGTGTGAGATGGTATCTCATTGTGGTTTTGATTTGCATTTCTCTAATGATCAGTGATATTGAGCTTTTTCTCATATGCTTGTTGGCCACATGTGTGTCTTCTTTTGAAAAGTGTCTGTTCGTGTCCCTTGCCCACTTTTTAATGGGGTTGTTTTTGTTTTTGTTTTTGTTTTTTCTTGCAGATTTGTTTAAGTTCCTTATAGATGCTGGATATTAGACCTTCATCAAATGCATAGTTTGCAAAAATTTTTTCCCATTCTATAGGTTATGTTTACTCTGTTGATAGTT
Source organism: Homo sapiens (assembly GCF_000001405.40). NCBI lineage: Eukaryota > Metazoa > Chordata > Mammalia > Primates > Hominidae > Homo > Homo sapiens. Next base: position 147,154 of record NW_018654722.1, read on the forward strand.
TCTTTTGCTGTGCAGAGGCTCTTAAGTTTAATTAGATCCAATTTGTCAATGTTTGCATTTGTTGCAATTGCTCTTGGTGTCTTTTTTTGTGAAATCTTTGCCCCCTCCTATGTCCAGAATGGTATTGCCTTGGTTGTCTTCCAAGGTTTTTATAGTTTTGGGTGTTACGTTTAAGTCTTTAATCTGTACTGAATTGATTTTTGTATGTGGTGTAAGCAAGGTGTCCAGTTTCAATCTTCTGCATATGGCTAGCCAGTTATCCTGGCACCAGTTATTTGAATAGGGAGTCCTTTCCCCATTGCTTATTTTTGTCAGCTTTGTCGAAGGTCAGATCGTTGCAGGTGTGTTGCCTCATTTCTGCCCTCTCTATTTTGTCCCATTGTTCTATGTGTCTGTTTTTGCACCAGTACCACACTGCTTTGGTTATTGTAGCCCTGTAGTACAGTTTGAAGTCAGGCAGCATGATGCCTCCAGCTTTGTTCTTTTTGCTTAGGATTGCCTTGGCTCTTTGGGCTCCTTTCTGATTCTATATGAATTTTAAAATAGTTTTTTTCCTAGTTCTGTGAAGAATGTCATTTGTAGTTTAGTAGAAATAGCATTGAATCTATACATTGCTTTGGGACATATGGCCATTTTAACAATATGGATCCTTCTTTTCCATGAGCATGGAATGTTTTCCCATTTATGTCATCTCTGATTTCTTTGAACAGTGTTTTGTAATTCTCTATGTAGATATCTTTCGCCTCCCTGGTTAGCTGTATTCCTAGGTATATTTTATGTGTGTGGTCATTGTGAATGGAATTGCATTCTTCATTTGGCTCTTGGCTTGACTGTTGCTGATATATAGGAATGCCAGTGATTTTTGTACATTGATTTTGTATCCTGAAACTTTGCCGAAGTTGTTTATCGCTAAATAAACTTTTGTGCCATGACTGTGGGGTTTTCTCAATATAGAATTATGGCATTTGCAACAGGGATCATTTGACTTTTCTCTTCCTATTTGGATGGCTCTTATATCATTCTCTTGCCTGATTACTCTGGCCAGAACTTCTAGTACTATGTTGAATAGGAGTGGTGAGAGAGGGCATCCTTGTGCCAGTCTTCAAGGGCAATACTTCCAGCTCTTGCCCATTCGATATGATGTTGGCTGTGGGTTTGTCACAGATGGCTGTTATCATTTTGAGGTGTGTTCTTTCAATACCTAGTTTATTGAGAGTTTTTAACATGAAGGGACATTGAATTTTATCAAAAGCCTTTTCTGCATCCATTGAGGTAATCATGTGGTTTTTGTCTTTAGTTCTGTTTATGTAATGAATCCCATTTATTGATTTGCATATGTTGAACCAACCTCACATCCCAGGGATAAAGCCTACTTGATTGTGTTGGATTAGTTTTTAGATGTGCTGCTGGATTCAGTTAGCCAGTATTTTGTTGAGGATTTTTGCATCAATGTTCATCAAGGATATTGGCCAGAAGTTTTCTTTTTTGTGTGTGTCTCTGCCAGGTTTTGATATCAGGATGATACTGGCCTCATAGAATGAGTTGGGGAGGAGTTGCTCCTCCTCAATTTTTGGAATAGTTTCAATAGGAATGGTCCCAGCTCTTCTTTGTACATCTGGTAGAATTCAGCTGTGAATATGTCTGGTCCTGGACTTTTTTTGGTTGGTAGGCTATTTATTACTGATCCAATTTTGGAGCTCATTGTTGGTCTGTTCAGGGATTCAATTTCTTCCTGGTTTAGTTTTGGGATGGTGTATGTGTCCAGGAATTTATCCATCTCTTCTAGATTTTCTAGATTGTTTGCTTAGAGGTGTTCATAGCAGTCTTTGGTGGTTGTATTTCTGAGGGGTCAGTGGTAACATCCCCTTTGTCATTTCTAATTGTATTTATTTGTGTCTTCTCTCTTTTCTTCTTTATTAATCCAGCTAGCATCTAGACTAATTAAAAAAACTTACTTTAAAAAAAAAGTCCTGGATTTATTGATCTTTTGAATAGTTTATCATGCCTTAATCTTCAGTTCAGCTCTGATTTGGGTTATTTCTTGTCTTCTACTAGCTTTGGGATTGGTTTGCTCTTGCTTCTCTATTTCTTTTAATTGTGATGTTAGGTTTCTAATTTGAGATCTTTCTAACCTTCGATGTGGGTGTTTACTGCTATAAATTTCCCTCTTAACACTGCCTTAGCTGTGTCCCAGAGATTCTGGTATGTTGTATCTTTGTTCTCATTAATTTCAAAGAACTTCTTGATTTCTGCCTTAATTTCATTATTTACACAAAAAGGTTATTCAGGATTGGATTGTTTGATTTCCATGTAATTGCATGGTTTTGAGCAATTTGTTTAGTCTTCATTTGTATTTTTATTGTGCTGTGGTCCAAGAGTGTATTTGGTATGATCTCAGTTCTTTTGCATTTGCTAAGCATTGTTTTATGTACAGTTGTGTGGCCAATTTTAGAGTATGTGCCATGTGGCAATGAGAAGAATGTATACTCTGTTGGTTTGATGTGGAGAGTTCTGTAAAGGTCTATCAAATCTATTTGGTCCAATGTTGAGTACAGCTCCTGAGTACCTTTGTTAATTTTCTGCCTTGATAATCCATCTACTACTGTCAATGAAGTGTTAAAGTCTCCTACTATTATTGTGTGGGAGTCTAAGTCTCTTTGTGGGTTTCTAATAACTTGCTTTAGGAATCTGGGTGCTCCTGTGTTGAGTGAATATATATTAATGATACTTAAGTCTTCTTGTTGAATTGAACCCTTTACCACCATGTAAAGGGTCTTTTTTGATCTTTGCTGGTTTAAAGTCTGTTTTGTCTGAAATTAGGATTCCAACCCCTGCTTTTTTCGATTTCCATTTGCTTGGTAGATTTCCCTCCATCCCTTTATTTTGAGCCTAAGGGTATCACTACGTGTGAGATGGGTCTCTTGAAAACAGCATACCATTGGTTATTACAAGGCTTATCTTTTCTGATAAATTTACTTTTTGTCCTTTTTGCAAGCCTAATTCAATATTTTGTTTGATCTGCATGCCTGGGTTAAAAGTTTTGTGAACACTCTTATCTTGGTTCCATTTTGGCTTGGTTATGCCCATCTGTAAATGATTTGGCCCTTTTCCCTTGCTTGTTTCTAAAAATCATCCAAGAGCAAAAATAAACATTCTAGATGGTGTATGCAAGATAGCTAATTGAAAGCCACTAGTGTGGTCCCCATCATCTAAAACACTGGTCCAAATTCTTGATATTTTATGAAAGAATTTATAGCATTTTCTTTGTTTTTGAGAAATTAATAAGAAACAGAATTTTCAAACATTAAAGCATGCCAAGTTTTCTGGGACTCCCACTGTCCACATATTATGGCCTATTCTCATGTGCAATTTAAAAATTGATGGGCAAATTACATCAAGAAAAATTCAGAGCCCAAATTATCATTACTCAAGCTGTTTTTTAAAAAACCTTGCAACTATAGAGTTAACATGTAGAGCCTTCTAACCTCCCTATCTCTATTTCTTTTCTGCCGACTTTTAATTTGTCAACTTTTCTACTGATGTTGAGATAAAACTCATTGCTTGTGGCATTTCAGCCAAGGTTTTAAAAGAGTCTCACAGGACTTTCCGTTTAATGGCTTTACTAATTAAAATAGCTCCATGGTAACCAACAACCTAGACACCTTTTGGAAATGCATATTTAGGTTTGCTTGACTAGCAGTTGTTTATGGTGATGGAACAGTTCATCCAAGGATTGATAGTCTGAAAGGGAAGAACTAGACAAATGTTTTTGAAAGTTATACTCTCAGATCAAACAGGTCAAATTCTTGAGCTCAGTGCAATAATATAAGGTGTCTTTGTCGGGCGTAAATTTTGCATTGTCTGCTATGCAGAGGCCAAAAAGAAAAGAAGCAAAGAAAACCTGCTAAAATGTTTCTCCACCTGCATCAACTGTCAAGCAAACCAAACCAGCAAACAAAATATAGGTTTGTTGCTAAAAAGACTATTTGGAGATTTGGGGGTTTTTTTCTTATAAAATTCAGCCAGTCCTAGCTAAAAAGTAAACATTGAAAATTTAACCCTAAACTCATTTGAAACCTTAAAAAATAGAAAAAAAGAAAGAGGGTTGTTTTTTTTTTTAACCACATTGCTTCACCCACAGTTTTGGTCTGCAGCCTTATTAGATTACCTATAAGGGCAAATAAAGTTTAGCCATATGAACAGATCCCATCTTGCCAAAAATATAATTTTGACCCAACTGTCAAAACTGGCGAATCTGTAAGTTTTGTGTCTCATGCCTAAAATTCTAAAGTGAAAGCTATAAGATCTCTGTGTGTATGTATATATGTCTAGGTGTATCTACCCATATGTGCATATATTATGTTATATGCTATATTTACATGTTATAATCTGGCATACTCATCCAGAAATCCCTTAAGGAATTATATTCAGATTGACTTTAATAAATGAGCACTCATATAAAATATGTAGCAATTAACCCAAATACCTTTTAGTTTATATGACTTAAGCAAATCTTTGATAAGTAAGCTGGTTTTTTAAATGTTGGTTAAAATGAAAAATAGAAATGCCTTAAAATTTTTCAGCATACATTTTTGCCTGTGTTTACTGGTCAGACAGCTTTATAGTCATCTCTACCAAAAGTTTTAAGGTGTTAGAGTTTGACATAAAGATTATAAAACTGTAAACTGAGCTTAAAACAAAATGATCTTTGTGCAATTCTTTGATATGTAAGACTAATATTATTGGTTTAATAAAAACAGCTGTAACTTCTGAGTTATTGGCAAAATACCATATATTTAACTTTAAGGTTATTACTTAGGTGAACACATGATATTCACAGGTTATAAAATGGCTAGCAGAAAAATAACAAGATGATGACTAGCTTTGTCTAACTTAGTTTTCATGATTAATCTAGACACAATTGTTAGAAATAAATACATTTGGTAAATGTAAATGGGATACATTTCATAAATGACCTATTTATGTGATTTGAAATCTTAAAGTTATGTTAAATCAAGTAATAGAGACTCATTGAATTTGGATTATAATCCCAAAACACACAATCTGGAATGCCATAATTCCAAATGTCAAAATCCCAAAAAATCAAAATCCCTGAAGTCTAAATCCCTAATGTCTAAAATCCTGAAAATCACAATTACAGGAAAATTGCATCATGTTAGATGGAAGTATTACCTTGTTGTTGTCTTTATGTGGAAGAAAATGGATTTCATTTGAATCCCCAAACCACAATAATATATTTGGAATTAGGTACAATCAAGGCTTCTAAAAGCAAATTTGAAGGTGTTACCAACAAAGTTTTGTTTTTTCCACTCAGCCCAATGCATTTGGCATAAAATTCAGATGATTGAGTTGGCCACAGAATATGGCAACAACAAAAACTTTAGTTTAAAATTGCCTGATTTGCTCACATTAGTATTCTATCCAGCTGATGTTATTTGAGGAGCTTTTAATAAATTAAAGTCACATTTGCCTGAAGAAGCCAGCAAAGTTACTGACTGGTTCAAAAATAATTATGTTCCTGGTAGAATGAGAAGACACTCGCACAACGGTGTTGCTGTTTGGTCACCATTATTGTTTCTGCCAAATTTGTGGTCTGTATATTAGCACATGAAGAATGGATTTCTGCACACCTGAAACAACATAGAACTATGGCACAGAAGATGGGAAAATTTAACAGGGGATGCTCAAGTCAGTGTACATCAAATAACAGAATTTCAAACAGAGCAGTGCCATGTAGAAATGAACATGAACATAATCTCTGAGGAGAGCCATGTCCTAAAAGAAAAGAAAAACAGTTATTCCTCGAGATGTAAAACTTTTAAACATAGTTAATAATCATGAAAGTTGGCCAGCTCTGATGGACTATTTCCAAGCAACTGCCCATAGTCTATGCCTGTGCACTTTTTCATATATTGAATTTTTTTGTTTTATTCTTTTTAAGGTTTTTTGTTTTACTATTTTAAATTATCAGCATTATTTTTTGTAATTCACTATGAGATGTATTTTATCTTCACATCACTTCCAGTACTGGAGATATAAATAAATTAAGGAGTTTTAGAGAGTTCTAATTCATTTTGTGCATTTTTCGCAAATGTGACTCCATGAAAGTGCATTAACACAACAGTGGCTTTGTGTGTAAGCATTGTGCTTGTACACAAAAACATTGAAATGTCCTCAGTAATGAAGAGATGTTCTTTTTTGTACATTTGCATTTGTGAAAGATAAAATTTCTGGAGATCTTGGCTTTTTGGGTTACTGGTGCGGTGATGATACGGCGGTGACACATCTCAGGTTTTTAATCACTCTCATCAAAGGACTTAGACTTCCCTTCACAGTATTTCAGATGACTGCAGTTATACAGCTGGGTGTACACAATTACCAACCATAGTGATATGCATTTATACCTTTCACTTTTTGGCCTATTTCTTTTTGAATATGGTTTTTCTGCTGATAAATGTTATGCCCCTGTGATTGTCATTAGTATACCTGAGTGTTTATGCTTGCAAAAATATGTATGTTATTATTGCCTATTTTATTGTGTAAAGTGGCCTATAAAGTGTTCTGTCAAGTTTTTGTATGTTTCTCAAATAAATCCCCTTTTGGAAATGTAAATAAATATCTTTTAATTTTTAATTGTTTTTTTCCAGAATTATTGTTTGAGGATTTGATCTTTTGGGATTTCAACATTCAGGATCATGGCATTCTGGATTATGTTTTTTGGGATTATGATTGGCTCTCATACTCATTAAATGTCTGAGTCATTCCCACATAAGAAAAAAAAACTGAAAAAAATCGCTGAACATAAATGTACATTTCTCCTTGGCTTCTTAAAGTTTATAGAGACTGAATATTTTTGGGTCTATTAATACACATAAAAAATTATGTTATGGGAAAATATGATCCTAAAAATTATAAAATCATTCTCATCTATAAAATACTGATGTGACACAGTTCAAAATTGCTTGCTAAAAATTAAGGTTACTAAGGGATAAAATTCTAATATATATATAGTTCTGTATGTAAAATGTATTTCAAAAATAAGATGTTTTATTTTTAAAAATTATAAGAAAGACATAAAAATGTATTTAAAAATAATTTTTAATTCAAAGGTGATTTAAAGGTTGTTCCAAAAAGTAAATTTTAAAAGGAAATAAAAAAGAACAGTAAATAGGAGAAAAAGACATAAAAACAGTTATGCGTATGAGAATAAATTTCAGTAAAGAAGGTTTAAAAGAAAAGAGAATAATTTTGTATGAGTAAGAATCTTGCATGGCAAATTTTTGTCCTAAAGTAAAATGACTGGGTATTTAAGGAAGAGGAAGTTTAAAACAAAGCAGAAAATTTAAGTATGTTGTCAAAGACCTGAGTAAGTTGTGATAAGGTTTGTGAAGGATAAATTTATGAAGGGAATTTTGTGTGAGCAAGTTGGCCATAATTAGAAAGGAATTATCTATAAGTCTTTCTAAAGATTGAGCTTTGATATTTAAAAATACACTAATATAAGCCTGGGCATCATGGCTCACACCTATAATCCTAGCACTTTGGGAGGCCAAGGTGGGAGGATCACTTCAGGCCAGGATGAGTTCAAGACCAACCTGGGCAACATAGTGAGACCCCAACTGCACAAAAAAAATTGTTTTAAAAATTAGTCAGGTGTGGTGGTGCACACCTGTAGTCCCAGATACTTGGGAGGCAAAGGCAGGAAGATCAGTTGAGCCCAGGAATTTGAGGTTACAGTGAGCTATTATGCCACTGCGTTCCAGCCAGGGTGACAGAGGAATGCCCTGTCTCCAAAAAAAAAAAAAATACGCTAACAGAAAACTAAAGGTTTGGTACTCTATATTAAAACAACAAGGTGTTTGCTTGTTTGTTGTGTATTGATCTGCTCTTAGTAAAATTTACAAGATGTTTTTATTTTTAATTATCTGCTGCTTTTTTTAATAGAAGTAATTTAATTTCCCTATTTTCAGGTTAGAAATATGTCTTTTTCATTCAGAATGGTAATTTTATTTCTTGAGGTAGAGTTTTCCTCTTGAAGCTTCTCATATTCATATCTTCAAACTTCAACTTCTGATGTATTTCACAGCACATGATTTGCAGGTCATGCATCATTGCCTGCAACTCTTTCTCCCTTTGAAAAAGCCTGGGATGATAACAATCTCTCTTTCAACTTTTTCATCAGCTACTGTAATTTATTCTCTCCAGTTCTAACTCTGCTTTTGTGACCTGTTGCTGAAATGTTTATCTTGAAGACCTAAAAAAGTGATGTTTTCCTCCAGTATAACTTTATCCTGTACTCTTGGCTTCTCTTGATGTATCTGAATTGTTCCACATAACCAGGAAACTTCCCATGCTATTGCTAAGAGTACTATATTCCCCTACTCAAGATACTAGTTTTCTTATTTACCTTCCTCTATAATATGGTATACACACATTCTTCCTGTGACTGATTAGATTCAGATACCTTTTAAATTAGGTTCAATTTCCAGGGTATCCAAATGGGCTGCCCATGAGGAGAAGCAAGCACACTGCATGAGGTTTTCTTTACCTTTTTGGGCACTGACCTAAAGAAAAAAAAGAGAGGGAGAGAGAACTTATGTTTTATCAAGATAACTTTCTGTGTTGTCTTTACTAGGTTTCTGATTACTTAGGAAAACTGAGCTTTGAAAGTGTTAAGGTTTTTAAAAATCCATATAACTTTCTGTATTGCTTTTGAAGTTGTTTATCACTCTGGTTAAATGCATGGCTATTAATTTACAGTGACCCATGATCCTGTTTTGATCAACTGTTTCAAAACTGTTTTCCGTCTTTGGCTTGCTTCCCCAGGATCAAAATTCTAAATTAAATCATTTTGACCTAGATTTCACTTTGGAATTTTCCAGTTGAGCCCCTGGAGAGTCTCAAAGGATATACTTCTCATCTTGTAGAGATATTAAATGATTAGGCTTATTTGGTAAATTTTATAGGGAACACTGTCAAATGATGAGTGATGCTAGATCTTCTTTCAGTTGCATTCATGAGTGTGTTTTTGATATGAATGTTCTGAAACTTAATAAGACTCTTAGAAATCTGTCATCAGTCATAATTCTGGATATAATGTTGTATGCAACAAAAATAACTGAATTTCCTTGTCAATTGCTGATTACAATGAACTTTCATCAGATTTTTAATCATGACTAGTCTAAGTTTGGGTCATCCACAGTTATTGTTTTGATTTTTCTCTAAAAGCACTTGAAATAAGCTACACTCCAAAATTACTTTTCATAGAAAAGACTCTAGAAGTACTCTTAAATACAGGTTTTTAATAACTTTAAGATCAATGGACTAGATTAAAATTTCCCAGAACTCTAGTAAAGAAACTGATGAGTTCATGAACTTGCTAATCAAGATCAAGCAAGACAAAAATTAATTATGTGAGACTGAATAACTGACAAAGATAATGCTTTTGTGTTCTTTATTTAAATCATTTTTGGCCAGGCACAGTGGCTCACGCCTGTAATCCCAGCATTTTGGGAGGCTGAGGTGGGCAGATCACGAGGTCAAGAGATCGAGACCATCCTGGCCAACATGGTGAAACCCCATCTCTACTAAAAATACAAAAATTAGCTGGGCATGGTGGCGCGTGCCTGTAGTCCCAGCTACTCGGGAGGCTGAGGCAGGAGAATTGCTTGAACCTGGGAGGTGGAGGTTGCAGTGAGCCGAGATTGCACCACTCTACTCCAGCCTGATGACAGAGTGAGACTCCATTTCAAAAAAAAAGCAAAAAAAAAAAAAAACTACAAAACAATAAAACATTTTTGATCCTTTACTTGAATGTTTTGTTTTTCAGATTTAAAGAAATTTTCTCTCTCAAGCTATCTGTAGCTTACAGCAACTTGGTAAAGTATACTTTTGTGAATAAAGATGGATGCATTTGCCTTTTCTCTCCACTTGATTCCTCCAAAATTTGGAAACTATTCATAAGTATTCCTATGGCAATGTGGTTATTTGCATAAGTCCAGTGAAAATCTGCTCTCTCTTTACAGCAGGATACAATTAGAAACATTGGCTATATTGTCAAAGCTTTGATGGAAATGTCATTTTGAGAATGTGCATGGAATGCCTGGCTTCCCAGGCATTCTGGTTTCCAGCCTTACCATGAGTAGATAAAAACGATCACTTCTTGGAATACTCAGGAACCCTAATAGTTTAAATTTTAGATTTAGATTTTAATTTAGATTTTACTAAAATCTAAAGTCTGCCTTGGTTTGGCTTTCTAACGTCAAGAGGTTTTTAAATCTGAGATTCTTACGTGATCTATGTGGAGAGAAAAAGTTATGTTTCCAACAAAAAGCTAAAACATCTGTTATTGGGTTGTAGCGCTGCACTTTTTCAAGTTCTTGCTATCTGCCTATAGACTACACTAGACCCTGAATTTGTCTAGATTCCTCCAGTCCAACTTTCTTCCATGAAATTACTAAAAACAGTAACTTCTCTGTTTCTAAAGCCCTATAAGCTGAAACTTGACAAATTTTTAAAAACGAGTCCTGTGCCTAATGTATATGCCACACAGAAAGTTCACCAAACTACCCAGTGCTATATCCAGAGACATTCAAACTGCAAATCAGGATGAGAAAAGTTAACTTTTTCTTTTTCTTTTCTTTTTCTTTTTCTTCTTTTTTTTTTTTTTTTTTTGAGACAGTCTTGCTCTGTTCTCCAGGCTAGAGTGCAGTGGCATGATCTTGGCTCACTACGACCTCTGCCTCCCAGGTTCAAGTGATTCTCCTGTCTCAGCTTCCTGAGTAGCTGGGATTACAGGCGTGTGCTACCACACCTGGCTAATTTTTGTATTTTTAGTAGAGATGGGGTTTCACCATTTTGGCCAGGCTTGTCTCAATCTTCTGACCTCAAGTGATCCGCCTGCCTCAGCCTCCCAAAGTGCTGGGATCACAGGTGTGAGCCACCACACCTGGCCAAAAAGTTGACTTTTTCATATTGTTAACAGCTTTTCCCAAGACATCAGAATAAGACTCTATATTGTAATGAGACTCTCACCCTCTTAATGCCTACCTTTTTCATTTGACAGGATAATGGTCATTTGATTTATTCAATTGGTTACTTAGGTTCATGGCTCAAAGCCATTATGCAAACTGGTATTGTCATACTACCATTAATTTTACTTTGTATTTTTCTTTTTAAACTTTGCATCTGTTATTGCTAAATTTTGCAGAAGTGCAATTCCTGACAGAATAATGCTGGCTTAGCGCTTTAAAATGATAACAAATGCCTATGAAACACAAAAATAAACTTAACAATGGACTCCAGGTATACTCAGCCTGAGAGCCACTCCCTTCAAACCTCTTTTGTTGCTCAAATTTTGGCTAAAAGGGTTTTAACACTGACTTCTCACTGTCATTCGCTTTCTCCAACATGGAACCGTCTAGACCAGCAACCAAGGACAGGTTTATCTCAGCACCAAAGAGTATCAAAACCTCATTACAGGATGACTTATTAGTGATGCTTTTGGAGAAAGATCTTGATCAAATGGGGAAAATGTGAAATTTGTCAGAATCAAAATGGAATCACTTATGTTTAAACACAAAAAAACAAAAACAAAATTTGACAAATAGAGCTAGAGAAAGCAATGAAGAGAGAGTTTTGCTGGGCATGGCAGCTCACACCTGTAATCCCAGCACTTTGGGAGGCCAAGGTGAGCGGACTGCTTGAACTCAGGAGTTTGAGACCAGCCTGGGCAACACAGTGAAACTCTGTCTCTACAAAAAATTAGCTGGGTGTGGTGGCACACACTTGTAGTCCCAGCCACTCAGGAGGCTGAGGTGGGAGGATCCCTTGAGCCCAGGAGGCAGAGGTTGCAGTGAGCTGAGATAATACCACTGCACTCCAGCCTGGGCGACAAAGCCAGAACCTGTCTCCAAAAAAAAAAAGAAGAAAGAAAGGGTTCTTATGCATCAATGCCTAATAACAAAAACTATCACAAAAGATTCTGTAGAAACTGCAGTCTTGCACAAAGGCCATTGAAATCTTACAAAAAAAAAAATACATCTGCAAGAAAATCTGCCCAGCAACTGCCTATACAACCTTGGACTGGCATCACTCTTATTATTGATCCTTGTAACAAAGGATAATTATCTTAAAGCAATTATGAAATCATCCTCATTTTTTCTTTAAAAATCTTTGTCTTCCTTTGTCTCCCTGAATATGCATGTAGTTTACTATGGCATGCATATTTCCATTGCAATGCCCTATTCTAAAAAATGTATAATTTTTTAAAGCCTCTCTCACTGTGTTTATTATTTAGGTTGACAGCAGGAATCATGTTCTTAACATCCTACATTTTCAAATATTTGGATTTATATTAGATAATAATTATATTTAGTTGCCAAATGTCCTAAAGCTCATCTCAGTGCAAGGACTTGGTGTCTTTTGGAGTTAACTGGTTCAGCGTTCAATGCATTGGTCAATATCCCACATTAGAACACTCCATGGCACCATTTTCTTTTCTTTGGTGGGAAAGGATATGAGAGTGGAACACATACTCACACATGCAATTAACTAGTAATAGCATAGGCCTGCCAAGGGGCATGACACCTGAATTTGGCAGGAAAGTTGTTGAGCAGTAGCTAATCTCTTCTTAAATTGGTGATTGGTTCATAGGTTTTGACTATGGCCTAAAGGTGATCCCAGTGACAGGAGTTATTCTTAAGGTTGGATAGGTCCTTGGGTGTCTGGGCAGCTGTTGCTCTCTCTGCTCTTAAAGGCAGGCTATCCTTCCCTTTCTCCTCCTCCCAGGACAAACCCATGACGTCTCCCTGCCCTCTTTCCAGACTTCACTTGGTTGAATTATCAAGAGCCCACATCACCTCCTCTGGAAGTGATTACTTCTGAGAGAAAGCTTTCCTTGCTTGTCTGTCCTTTCAACCACACTCTGTATCTTCAGCATCTAGCCCAGTACATAGTCTAAAAACAGATGCTCAATAAATGTCTGCTGAACTAACAAATGAATACCACTCATTTGAACCTCATCTACTGCTTTGTCTTGTTCATTTCCCCCAATTTTTTTTCTGAATTTGACTACAAATGCATTAAGGATAAGATGTTAAAATTTGTTGCTTTCCTAAAGAGTCCATATTTGCAGTTTTGGTTAGCCATTATATGTTTGCGAGTTCCTTGAATCCTTCTCCAAAGCACAAATCTTTTGCTTAAGAGAGGTCATTTTTAGGAGAACCCAGTCTTATATTACATCATAATGAATTGTGTGTAGGGCCTAGAGAGAAGAAAGACATATGAAGAGATGCCTTGGATGGGCCTCAGATCCATTAACTCATTTTTTCATTTCATTTTCATACTAACCTCACTGGATTAGTAAGGTTGGTGGCACTAATCCACTAGGTTGGTTGATTATCTTTAAAGCCCATGTTCATAACATCTATGTCACTCCTAGGAGTTCAATTATGAGTAGATGAAATATGGTGAATTCAAATTTAATCCATGTTGAATACTGAACCCTCAAGCACCTATAGAAGCAGGAGGATATCTATGTGCAGGCAGAGGCCGCATAGGACTTAATCAAATCCTAGCTGGTCTTATCTTAATTGGGCCTCCCCAACCCGTTGTCCACATTCTGAGCTGCTTTTGAGATTGGGCAATTAGTATTTACCCTAGTGTGAATTAGAAAAGAGTCCTGTCTGGGCAAAGTACTAGGGATGCACAGCTTGTTGACTGGGTGGCACTGTTGTTCAAATTAGGAAAAGCATCTCCTCTGGGTGGACAGCTGAGAAGATTTGAGTCTGAGCAGGATTCCAGGCTCCCCCTCCATTTTCTGGGCTCCCTCTCCATTTCCGACAGTCCTGATGACTCTGCTCTCTACCTTCTCAAATCCTTGGGGTCTCAGCCATTCATATTTGCAGTAAGCCATCCCTCTACAGGAACCTGTAAACCACCACTGGCCCTAATCCTTATCTCTATAAAGATCCCATATACAGAGTTACTGTCTTCTCATAGTCCGTGCATATGGAAAAGATAAGAGTCCTTTCCAGGTTTTTAATTTACTTTGGCCCCATTTAAATTAATCACTCAAATGTTATGAGACACACAAGGTAATTGGCACATGCAAGCCCTTGGGATTACCATCACATCTTCTCACAGTCACCTGAAAACATATTTCAGTTTATATGAATGTGGTCCCTAAAACAAAAATAAGAGGTTTAGAGTGGTTTTCTCTTTCCCAACCCTTCTTGCTGCATTCAGTCTGTACAACTATCACTATTCTTATCCCTGCAGAGCCAGCGAGATGATTATTCTCTGATAAGAAGCAGTTGTACCTCTGTCTGACAGGAGAGCCATGTGAGGGGGAAAAAGAGAGGGTGTGTGGTAGCTGTGAACTGCTGGCCTTCCCTTCTGTTGCCTTCCCCACCCATAACCTGAACTCTCCTTTCCCCTCTACTCTTCTCCCTGTCAAATACTAACAAGGAAGATTTCAGCTTCTTAGAGTAGAAGGTATCTTGGCTGTGCCCAGATAAGATGGATGAGCATCAGCATTGACTGTGAGTTTGAGTTCCTGTAGGGCCTTGAGCTTCTTTTGATGGAATATAATTCCACTCAGTCATCTTCCAGCCTCTCCAGGAAATTCATCCTGTCCTAGCTTTTACTGGAGCAGAGACCTTTTGTGTTTCCTGCTTCCACCCCATGCCCAAATTAGTGGTTCAGGCCCCTGGATGAAAACTCACAACCTTGCGAACCCTGCTGTCCTAATCTTCAGTCCCAACCTCAGGACAGAACTCATGAAGAATGGGCCTGAGGCTTCCACAGTGTCAGCAATGGTGATGTGGAAAGGGGAGCCCTGAGATTCACAGCGGGTTGTCCAGGCTTTTTTCCTCTTCATAAGTACAACATAATGAAATAAAGTATCTCCAAGGGAGAAGCCATAAATACTTGGGGCCCAGATTCTCGTTGGGGCTGGGATTCCTGGAGTATCTCACTTTAGTAGGGTAACCACCAGTCTGAAGTTTTCCTTTAGCTTGGCATGTTCATATCTTCACTGTCATCTTATTCATGAGTGATCAGACCACTGGAAAATGCCTCCAGCTTATAACCTTATTGAAACAGATTTGTGTCAGGACATTCTATTCCCATAAATTTATCAACTGAAGGGTTAATGATGTCATGTCAGCCAGTCAGAGCCTCTTTCCCCAGGAGAGTAATCTGACTGGAGAACACAATTCTTATCAAAAATTTGCTTGGAAAATATGGGTTCAGTAAATAGAACTGTACTATTTTAGGAGACACTTTGTTCAAGTCGATAACCAATTTGTCGTTCATTTCAACTAAGATTCTCTAAGGAGACTGTGTTAGTCCATTTTGCACTGTTATAAAGGAATACTTGAGACTGGGTAATTTATAAAGAAAAAAGATTTATTTGGCTCACAGTTCTGCAGGCTGTACAAGCATGGCACCAGCATCTGCTCAGCTCCTGGTGAGGTCCCAGGAAGCTTTTATTCATGGTGAAAGGCAAGGAGGAAGCAGGGATGTGACATGGTGAAAGAGGGAACAAGAGAGAAAGAAGGAGGTGCTAGCCTCCTTTAAACAACCAGCTCTTGCATGAACTAATAGAGTGAGAACTCGCTTATCTCCAAGGGCATGGCACCAAGCCAATAGTGAGGGATCCACCCACCATGACCCAAACACCTCCCACCAGGCCCCACCTCCAAGATTAGGGATCACATTTCAACATGGTATTCGGAGGGGACAAATATCTAGACTATATCAGGCACCAAGTATTTGCATTGTCTTTCTCCTTACAGCTTGCTTAAGAATCTTTTGCATTTTTTACTGTGAACCATGTCCTGCAACAACACTTTGTAACTTGTGATGACTTTCAAGTTTGTGTATAAAACTTTGGATTGCACTGAGATTTACCAGGTCGTGGTGATATGTAGAATGACCCCTTAATCTTCACAGGAAGGTAATTCAGTTTATTCCACATTACACATTTTTCTACTAGACTGTTAACACTTTTCATTTGCCTCTACTTCCACACACTAAAGGATTTAGTCTTTTTATCATATATGTTGCAAAAAATATTTCTCAATTTGTCTTGCCATTTACCAACTACAAGTTTTAAATTTTTTCATAATAAAATTGATCATTCTTTTGTGGCTTGGAAAATTAGATTGTCAGTCTTAAAAGAGTATTGATTAAAATGCCTGAAATGAAGGGAGAAAAGGGAAGTTGAGGCAGTTGCTCCTCAAGGGCTGAACAAATTACAATAAATACAGAGATTATATATATATATACATATTTTACCTATGTATCTCTTATCTACCTTATAATCCACCCATTCATCTATCTACCACGGTACTAATAGAATGTGCCTTGAAGGTCTACAATAACAGGGAATGTAATTAAGCAGAGGCTCCGACTGCTGCACTCTGAAATCCACCTGGGCATTTCCTGGGGATCTATGCCCTCCCTCTGCCCCACTCTCCCACCCCACCTACTTCCTGGCTACTCCTAGCCAATGACTGATCACAGCAGGGACACTAAGGCAGGCTTATTCCTGGGAGATGCAGAGCTCCTCTGACAGCAGACTTGGGCCTGAGGACTCCTAGCAGCCTTGCTGAACTTTCCTAGACTGTACAGCAGTATAGAACAATTCCACCTAGCTTTCCTTTTCTCTCTTTTTTTATTCAGAGTCAAACATACATGGCAGTCTGATGCTCTCCCAGCACTCTGGATCCTTCCTCATTTTCTCTTACAAGTATTTGTCCTAATAAGGTCCTTGCACCCTTAATCTTATTTTGGTATCTGCTTCGTAGAAGACTCTGGCTAACATATTACGATGCTCTCTCATTTCTTAATTGTGTGGCAGCTGCCTAGCTCCTCATGGTAATTTGAGGTCAATTTCCTCTCTTATGTCGTGATTCCTTTCTTTTCCTATTGACCCATTGCCATGAGGAGCCCAGAATGATGAGGTGGTACTCACAGCTTTGAGTACAGAGGACCCTTACTGACTCCTCCTGTGAAAGTGTCCCCCTGGTGCCACTGTCCAGGAGCTAGCACTTCTGATTCAGCAGTGCCTGAGGTTATGGGATCAGGAAGTGTGCAGTCCACAGTGGGTCAATGGGCTTGATCATAAGAGAGGCTGCTACTACTTCTACTCATCAGTTTGCAGATCCATGTATTCTAGATATTGGTGTATATCATATATATACCATATATAATGAGTGTACATACTGACTGAGGACAGTTCCAATCCTACAGTGTCTTATCCACAGCTAGTGACTTAGATTAGCCTTTGAAGGCCTTTCCATTGTTCTAGCAGATGGAAGGCTTCCAGTGTATGGTAGGACCAGTGGATCCTATGGTAATATCTCTGTGACCATACCTCTTTTGCCATTAAATGAGTCCCTTGATTTGAAGCAATGTTGTGCAGAATCTAGTGCTGACAATTCAGTCATTCTGTAAACCCTAAGATAGCAGTGCTGGAAGAACCATGAAAGTAAGAAGGCAGAACATATTAAGGAAGGAGAAATCACTGCCTCCTCCAGGGTAGGAGTCCAGTGCAATCAACCTGTGCCCAGGAGGCTGGCTGCTCTCCTTGAAGAATGGTTTTATACTGAGGGTATACAGGGCCAGTCTCTGCTTCTGGGAAGTTGGGAATTCAGTAGTGCAGATAGCTAGATCAGTGTTAATGAAAGGGAGTACATGCTGTTGGGTTCATGCACAGCCTCCATCCCTGGCTATCACTGGCCATTGCATGAGCACTTGAGTAATCAAAGGGAGTTGTTCTGTTTATTTTGTTTCTGCATGCCTTCTCTATGGTGGTTGCTCTCTTGTGGGCACTGATGTAGACACAAACATCTGCACAATTTGTCCCCACTGCCACAGATCCACCCACCTGTGTTTTTCCCAGATCTCCTACTCTCTGACCAATTGGGGGGTGGGGTGTCACACACTTTTAAACAACCAGAACTCAAAGCAAGAATTCACTCATTATCGTAAGGAGGGCACAAAGCCATTGATGAGGGATCTGTCTCCATGACCCGAACACCTTTCATTCAGGCCCCACAACTAACATTGGGGATTACATTTCAACATGAGATCTGAAAAGGACAAACATCTAAACCATATGTCTTGTATGGTGAATTAGGGTTGTAGGTTTTTTGTAGCGACATGGGGCCGTAGGTTCAGGCCATAGCCATTTGGTTACCAAAAGCAGATGGCCATGGATTTTTTGTATGAGTCATCAGGGAGGCTCTGGGCCCTGCAAAGGGCTGCCCCAGGAAGGACTTAGACATGGAAAAGAGGAAGCTCCTGCCCTTTCTGGACCTCACTCTGTTGGATCTGGGCTTTGAAGAGTCTATTTATGCTTGAGGGCACTACCAAGCTGCAAGGGAAAGATAGACTATGCCACATGAGAATTATGTGTGTGTCAGAGTCACATTTGAGACTTCTAGGCAGTCTGAGATTTGAGAAGGAAATAGATGCTGGCTGAATTATTGAGCCATGACATCTGCCCAGGCTTAATTTACCCTAAGGATTCTGCTAATAGCATCCATAAGACACTTTACTAATACACAAGGGGTCACAGGACTTTGATAGTATCCTGTGTACCTTCCACCCTTGACATAAGTATTTGGTTTAATTTGCTTATACCAGATTGTCTTTGTCAATTAGACATCATCCCTACCCTTTCTGCATTCTCCTCTGCATTGCAGGGAGGTCTGGAACATCATTTCCCAGTGTCACTTTCCTGTATGGCCTTGGGTTAGAGTCTGCCAATTAAAGGCACTCACGAGGCATTTGGAAAGCAGAAGAGAAGTCAGTATCCCTGTTGTCAGCTGTGAACAGATGCTTGGACATATGACAGGCATACGATTTGCTCCAACTTCCGGGCAACCTCCTGAGAATCACCTGCTTTGGTATTGTAGACAGCTGGGGTTATTTTTAGCAGCTTTACTGGAATCCAGCCCTTCTTAATTTCATGAAGGTAGCAGCAGTTTCCATATTGCTTCCCCAACCCCTCTAATCATTGTGTAAGCTTCTGATTTCCTATTTTAAAACCCTTTCTCCTTGCAATGCAGATGTGCTTCTCTTTCACTGAGAGAACCCTGACTGATAGAACAGTGCTGCAGCCTCCCATCTCCCGTCACTTCATGATGATCATAGTGGTGGTTGGGGGCAACCTTTAGGAGTAAGAACTCCTAGCAAATGTTTCAGTATAGCAGAGCAGGCAGCTTCTAGATAATTCCTCCATCTCTGTGACCAGAGACCCCTTCTGTACAATAGCGGTCACCCCTGGTGGTGCAGAACAAATAGGATTAGATTTTATTTCTCCTCTTGTGGCCTTCCATTGGCTAGAGTTCAGCATGACTAAGGTACTTCACTTAAGAGGACCTAGCTGGCTAATGCATGATCTGGCTGCAGTCTAAGATATTTGCAGTGAATTATGCAGAATTAAAGGGATAGATATCCACTCTTAGACTCTAAGCCATACGGGGAGTGCTTCCTCAAGCAAACAGATATGAGTGTATGTGTCACACAAGGAATTTGTCCATTATCACAGATCTCATATTTCCTTTGTTTTTAACACAAATATGCCCTTAGGGAAGTTGATTGTCAGGGATAGAGGAAACTAAGGATGACGTGGGGATGTGGATGTCTCAGTGTATGCCAGCCTTGTTATATGATGAGGACCACTGCAGCAGACACTGCTGGTGCCCCAACTATTTTCCCTTTCTGCATTCGACATTCCCACAGACGGCAGCTGAAGGTAAGTACCTGTGGCTATGCTCGAGGGCTTTGGCTGGCCAAAGGACATTCAGCTTGGGAGCAGGGGAGGCCAGAAATGCCAGGGGATTGGCCTGGCATTTCTCATATCTCAACTAATCATATGCTCAACTAATGATTGGAGCAGGTAGATAAATAATCCCATCGTCTTTGCCCACCACTGGGACAAATCTGGGGCCTGCTTTGTCTCTGAGTCAAATTCCATGAAAGTTTCTCTGGGGAGACTGAGCCCCAGTAGCTAGGGTTGCCAGATTTAGCAAACAAAAATACAGGACACCCACTCAAATGTGAAGTTCAGATGAATGATGAATAATGTTTAGTATAATTATGTCCATCGTAATACTCAGGACATACACATATTAAAAAATTATTTGATGTTTGTTTGAAATACGAATTTAACCAGGAGTCCTGTATTTTATCTGCCAAACCTACCAGGAGTCCAAAGCAGTCACTTGCTCATTAGAGCTCCCTGTACTGGCTTCCTGCCCTTCTGTGTTCCACGTGCCCCAGCTCCTTGCTGGAGCTTCCTGGGGTCGCCTCTGAAATAGACTGCTTGCCCTCCATCTCACTCTTAAGAGTCTGATCAAACAGCTCCTCTCAACTACTGCTGTGGCACTGGGAGGTCCTCAGAAACGAAAGCCCTGAGGATGCCTTGAATTGACTACGGATAACTTTCTGGAAGCTATCAGAACAGTGGCTCAAAATAAAACTTAAGCTTCGTTACAAGAGAATAAAGCTACATTTCTCGAACAGCTGAGTTTGTTGCCTGAGCTTTGTACGTGCAGTCCATGTCTTAAATCTTCACAAAGACGCTATGGGCTAGGGACTATTATTCCACACGTAACCATGGCCATTTCAGGATGCCAAGTGATTTCCCCAAAGTCATAGCTAGTAAGTGGCAGAGCCAGGATTCAAACCCAGACCGTCTGCCTCCAGAGCCTGTGGTCTCATCCACATGATACACTGGGAGCCATGTGGGGAAAAATTAGGTTTTAGTTGTGCCACCAAAAGATGGTTAGGGTCTAGGCTAAAGCAGTGGCAGCAGGGATCCAGGGGAGGTTGCTCTGATTGCACCTGTGGGTTCTGGTGGCTGGTTGGTTGTGAGAGTCGTGAGAGCACCCCCTCAGTTTTATCTCTTGCCATATACCCTGCCCCACATTCCAGCAGCACTGGCCTTCTTTCTGGTTCTCATAAATATTCATGTCTACACCCAAGACAGGAGTATGCTTTTCCTTGTGCCTAGAAGTCTGTTTCTGGCCCTCTTCCTTGTCTATCTCACACTCATCTTTCAAGCCTTGGCTTATTTTTTTTATTATGGTACAATATACATGGCATAAAATTTACTCACCATTGTAACCATTTGTAAGTGTTCAGTTCAGAGGCATTAAGTACATTCACACGGTTGTGCAACTGTCACCACTATCCATCTCCAGAATATTTTCATCTCGTCAAACTGAAACTCTAAACCCATTAAACAGTAACTCTCCATTCTGTCCTCCTCCAAGCCTATTGTAACCACCATTCTACTTTGTCTCTATGAATTTGACCACTCTAACTACTTCATAAAATGGACTCATACAGTATTTCTCATTTTGTGACTGGCTTAGTTCACTTAGCATAATGTCCTCAATGTTCATCCATGTTATAGTATATTGCAGAATTCCCTTCCTTCCTTTTTAAGGCTGATTAATATTCCATTGTATGTACGTATCACATTTGGCCTATCCATTCATCCATTCACAGACTGGGGTGCTCCCACATTTTAGCTACTACAAAAAATGCTGCTGTCAACATGGGTGTACATGTCTCTTTGAGTCCCTGCTTTCAAGTCTTTGGGATATACACCCAGAAATGAAATTGTTGGATCGTATGGTAATTCTGTTTTTAGCTTTTTGTGGAAATGCCATACTGTTTTCCACGGTGGCTGCACCATTTTACATTCCCACAAGAATTCCATTGTCTCCATATTCTCAGCACCTCGGCTTATTTGTAGTTTTTTCAAGGAAGCCTCTTCTGACCCTTTTTACTAAGCTTACTCCCGCCCTGCTCCTCGCCACATCTTCATTGAGCTTATCATAGTTGAAATTTAAATGTTTATTTTTATGATTTTTTGCTTAACGTTTGGCTCCCCACTGGACTGCAAGATCTATGTGAGCAGGGACCATGGCTACCTTGATTATAGTAGCTTTGTTCCCAGTAACCAGCTCAGTGTCTAGCACATCATATGTTCTTGATGTTTCTTCTGGATAAATGAACGAATGATACTTCTATTTTGGGAGAATGGGTGGAAGGTGATGGGTTCGTACGATAAAAATGCAAAGTGAGTTAAGTAGTATGGAGTGGTCATCACAATTCCCTAACTGGCTGGCTGGGTCCCTGTCCCTCCTCGGACCTGTTGTTCCAAATCCCCACCAGCTGTCTCGGTGTCTGACCTAGGATAGGACAGATGAGTTTTTATGACAACTGAAGAGAGTCTGTAGAGAATGGCTATTTTAAATGGCCTCAAAAGTACCTTCCTAGAAACAAATCTCTGGGAAGTCAAAGAGAGCAGCAACTTGGGGGCCTGTCATTCCTCCAGACACAAGGATTTTCCATCTGGTGGCCACATTCATGCTTACTAAAGAGCCCCTCAGTCTTCTAAGGACAAGAGAAGAGCAGTGTTACAGTGTATGGTCCAATTAGTCCTTAATGGTTTTTTAATTGTTATTCAGCACTCAAGACAACCCACCTGGATTTAAATCATTTATATGTTTCTCTGACTATATATATTATACATTATATATTATTTTATATGTTTTAATATATTAATGTATTATATATAATATGTAAATATTATATAATACTATATATAAAATACATAAATATGTATCCCTAGTCAATCAAGTGCATCTGGCCATCAAAAAAAACTTTGATGCTGGAAGAGGTCTTGGAGACCATCTTGTTCAACCTGTAAATTTTCCAGGTTAAATCTCCAGGCTCAGTGAGATGAATTTTGTCCATAGTCCCTGTAATTTAGGAGCAGAGGAAGAACCTTGATTCAGCTTTCTACTCTAAGTTCAAGTGGATTTTTTCCTGACTAGATAATGGCTATGTCAAAACAAAAATTGTACCAAAGTTAAATAGGCAAAGGAGGCTTTATTCAAGGTTGTCGCAATAGGAGATAGAGGCCAGAACTCAGTCTGAACACAATTCTGCTGAAACAAAAGGAGTTTTTAAGAGATGGGGTAGGGAGGAGTATTATAGGCCATCTATGTTTGCTAACCAACTTTACCCAAACAAAAAGCAAACTTTCTCATATCTTCATGACAGGAGGTTAGTTTTACAACTTGGAGCAAGGCACCCATTGAAGTGAGGCTCCCACTCCCTCCCACTCCCCACAGAAACTGGAAGATAGGGCACTATCTCCCTTGATGCTTACATTTCAAAGAGATGGCTCCAAGGTCCTTGAGAAGGCCATTCCTGAGTTATAAAATTAGCAAGAGGCTTAAAAAAAAAATACTTACCTCTCAAAGGGGCAGAGAAGGTATTTACAATTACAGGTTTTCAAAAGTAAGTGCTCCAAGAAAAGGGAGGTCAAGGGGCTCCAGAGTCAGGAAGAAGCCTGTCCAAAATTTAGTGAAGCTGAGGGGAATGTTAAGGCCATCTTGGTCAGATACCACAATATCTACAACTTATTCTCATTCCGAGATTGTCCCTTTTCCAGAACTTTCAACTCAGCTATAAACTGGCATATTTTTCCAAGTTTCCAGTGGTTCACTTTAAATCACTACCAATGAATGACAGTGGCATGGCACAGACTGTCCTTCAGTGATGACTCTTCCACATCCCTGCCAATGTCACCTTCCATATGGATTCCCTCCTTTCCCTCCCTCTCTCACTTCCTTCACCATTCATTCCTTTTCAAAAATTAACTTTCCAAATGAAAATCGTCACTGTTTCCCACCCCCTAACACATTTTGAGTCCGTTATATAAGCAAAACCAAGCCTATCCAGGTGGAGAGAATATTTTCTGACCCCAGAAGGTTCACGTCCCCACCAAGGGGCAGTGGGTGGGAACTGCTGAGATGGAACTGTGGTACCATCATGGCAGCCTGTTCTGGTCTTGCAATCCAACCCAGCAACCCACTCTGCCCAAGTCAGAGACAGTGCCTTGATAAATATGCTTGATTGTTCCCTGTTTTCTCATGTTGGCATCTTTCTGTTCATTATTATTATAAACCAGTTTAAATCCCTGTGCAAATATCTTGTTTAATTTTATTAATCCATTCAAAAGAGATTAGTTGAGGTTTTTTCCCTGAAATTTCCAAATTCTTTCACTGAAGTCTAATCCACAATAGATGCTAAATAAATATTGGCTTAATGAGTGATCGAAGGTCATTGTTTATAAAAAATTGTTTCTTAATATTTGTATTCCTACATGATTAAGAATCTGCCAGTTAGTCACTAAACAAGACTTGTGTAAGTATCAGAAAGAAAGAAGGTAAATTGCATCAAGTTCTGTGCAATGTTTTCACTTAAGCAGTGTTTTCCAACTTTTCCTTTCCTCCTTCTCCTACCTCTTCCTTTACTTCAACCAATAGAAAGAAGTACATTTTCTATTGCAATCTGCTACACACACACACACACACACACACACACACACACACATGAATAAAACAAAAATTTCATAAAGAAATTTTCACTTTCACTATAGTTTCAAAGCACTGTGATATTTTCCATTCCATTCCATTACTGGGTATACACCCAAAGGATTATAAATCATCCTACTATAAAGACACATGCACACGTATGTTTATTGCAGCACTGTTCACAATAGCAAAGACTTGGAACCAACTCAAATGTCCATCAATGATAGACTGGATAAAGAAAATGTTGCACATATACACCATGGAATATTATGCAGCCACAAAAAAGGATGAGCTCATGTCCTCTGCAGGGACATGGATGATGCTGGAAACCATCATTCTCAGCAAACTAACACAAGAACAGAAAATCAAACACCGCACATTCTCACTCATAAGTGGGAATTGAACAATGAGAACACATAGACACAGGGAGGGGAACATCACACACCAGGGCCTGTCAGGTGTGGGGGGCTAGGGGAGGGATAACATTAAGAGAAATACCTAATGTAGATGATGAGCTGATGGGTGCAGCAAACCACCATGATACATGTATACTTACGTAACAAACCTGCACGTTCTGCCCATGTACCCTAGAACTTAAAGTATAAAAAAAAATTAAATGTGTCAAGATAATGAGAAGATAATCCAGAAACTGGGAGAAAATATTTACAATATACATATCTAATAAAGGATTTGTATTTTTAGATACAAATGTATTTTCTTATTGTTGAGTTTTAAGAGTTCTTTTTATACTAAAATATAAAAAGAACTCTTAAAACTCAACAATAAGAAAATAAATAACCTGATTAAAACATGAGCCAAAGACCTTAACAGACACCTCACCAAAGACGATATACTGATGGCAAATAAGCCTATAAAAAGATGCTCCATGTCATATGTCATCAGGAATATTCAAATTAAAACAAAAAGGTATTACCACTACACACCTATTAGAATGACCAAAATCCAGAACACAGACAACATCAAATGCTGGTGAGGCTGTAGTGCAACAGGAACTCTCATTCATTACTGGTGAGAATGCAAAATGGTACAGCCTCTTTGGAAAACAGTTGGGTAGTTTTTCACAAAACATAAACACTCTTATTACACAATCTAGCAATAACTGTTCTTGATATTTATCCAAAGGCGCTGAAAACTTATGTCCACTCAAAAACCTACACTTGGGCGTTTATTCATAACTGCCAAAATTTTAAAGTAGCCAAGATGTTCTTTAGGAGGTGAATTGATAAATAAACTGTGATATACAGTTTCCAGGCAATGGAATATTATTTAGTATTGAAAAGAAATGAGCTACAAAGCCACAAAAAAAAAAAATGGAGGAATCTTAAATGCATATTACTAAGTGAAAGAAGCCAATCTGAAAAGCTACCTACTGTATGATTCCAACTATATGACATCCTGGAAAAGGCAAAACAACATAGACAGTGAAAAGATCAGTGGTTGCCAGAGGTTTTAGGGGAGAGAGGAGCAAATAGGCAGAGAGCAGAGGATTTTTAGGACAGGAAGAAATATTCTGTGTGATACAGGCATACCTCAGAGATATGCGGGTTTGGTTCCAGAACAACATAATAAAGCTAATATCTCAGTCAAGGAAGTCACACAAATGTATTAGTTTCCTAGTGCATATAAAAGTTATGTTAATAGTATACTGTAGCCTATTAAGTGTGCAATAGCATTATGTCTTTTTAAAAAGTACATACCTGAATGTAAAAATACTTTAGTTCTAAAAAATGTTAACAAACATCTCAGCCTTCCATAAGTCATACTCTTTTTGCTGATGAAGGGAGGGTCTTCCCTTGATGTTGATGGCTGCTGACTGATCAGGGTGGTGGTTGCTGAACGTTGGGGTGCCTGTGGCAATTTCTTCAAACAAGTCAACAGTGAAGTTTGCCGCATCAGTGACCCTTCCTTTAACTAAATATTTCTCTGTAGCATGCAATGCTGTTTGATAGCATTTTACCTACAGGAACTTCTTTCAAAGTTGGAGTCATTGCTCTCAAATCCTGCTGCTGCTTTATCCACTAAGTTTACATAATATTCAAAATCCTTTCTTGTCAGCTGGGCACGGTACCTCACATCTGTAATCCCAGCACTTTGGGAGCCGATGCGGGTGGATCACCTGAGGTCAGGAGTTCGAGACCAGCCTGGCCAACATGGTGAAACCCCATCTCTACCAAAAATACAAAAATTAGCAGGGTGTAGTGGTGCACACCTGTAATTCCACCTACATGGGAGGCTGAGGCAGGAGAATTGCTTGAACCCAGGAGGCAGAGGTTGCAGTGAGCCAGGATCATGCCACTGCACTCCAGCCTAGGCAACAGAGCAAGACTCAAAAAAAATTATTTCTTGTCATTTCAAAGCATATTCACCCAAGGAATATGTTTCATCTCCAGAAACCATTTTCTTGGCTCATCCATAAGAAGCAACTCCTCATACATTCAAGTCTGATCATGAGATTGTGGCAATTTAATCATATCTTTGGGCTCCGCATATAATTCTAGTTCTCTTGCAATTTCTGCCACATCTGCTGTTCCTTCTTCCACTGAACTCTTGAACCCCTCCAAGTCATCCATGAGGGTTGAAATCAACTTCTTCCAAACTTCTGTTAATGTTGATATTTTGACCTCCTCCTGTGAATCACGAATGTTCTGAATGGCATCTAGAATAGTAAGTCCTTTCCAGGTTTTCAATTTACTTTGCCCAGATCCACCAGAGAAATCACTATTTTGGCAGCTGCAGCCTTATGAAATGTAATTTCTTAAATAATGAGACTTGAAAATTGAAATTACTTGTTGATCCATGTGCTGCAGTATGGATATTGTGCTAGCAAGCATGAAAACAACATTAACCTCCTTGTACATCTCCATCAGAGCTCTTGGGTGACCAGGTACATTGTCAATGAGCAGTAATATTTTGAAAAGAACCTTTTTTACTAAGCAGTAGATCTCAACATTGGGCTTAAAATATTCAGTAGGCCATGCTGTAAACAGATGTGCTGTGAACCAGGCTTTGTTATTCCATTTATAGAGCACAGGCAGAGTAGATTTAGGGTAGTTCTTAAGGGTCCTAGGATTTTGGGAATGGTCAGTGAGCACTGGCTTCAACTTAAAGTCACCAGCTGCATTAGCCCCTAACAAGAGAGTCAGCCTGTCCTTTCAAGCTTTGTAGCCAGGCCTTGACTTCTCTCTAGCTATGAAAGTCCTAGATGGCACCTTTTTTCAATAGAAGGCTGGCTTGTCTATCTTGAAATTCTGTTGTTTAGTGTAGTCACTGTCACCAATTCTCTTAACTAGATCTACATAACTTGCTGCTGCTTCTACATCAACACTTGCTGCTTCACCTCCCACTTCTTTTTTTTTTTTTTTTTTTTTTTTTGAGATGGGGTTTTGCTCTCATTGCCCAGGCTGGAGTGCAATGGTGCAATCTTGGCTCACCACAACCTCCACCACCCAGGTTCAAGCAATTCTCCTGCCTCAGCCTCCTAAGTAGCTGGGATTACAGGCATGTGCCTGGCTAATTTTGTATTTTCAGTAGAGACAGGGTTTCTCCATGTTGGTCAGGCTGGTCTCAAACTGCCAACCTCAGGTGATCCACCCGCCTTGGCCTCCCAAAGTGCTGAGATTACAGGTGTGAGCCGCTGCACCCTCACTTGCACTTTTGTTATAGAGATGGCTTCTTTCCTTGAACCTCATGAACCAACCTCTGCTAGCTTCAAACTTTTCTTCTGGAGCTTCCTCACCACTATCAGCCTTCACAGAATTGAAGAGAGGACCTTTCTCTGGATTAGGCTTTGGCTTAAGGGAATATTGTGGCTGGTTTGATCTCCTATCCAGACCACTAGAACTTTTTGCATATCAGCAATAAGTCTGTTTTGCTTTCTTACCATTCGTGTGTTCACTGAAGTAGCACTTTTAATTTCCTTCAAGAATTTTTCCTTTGTGTTTACAACTTGGCTGTTTGGCGCAAGAGGCCTAGCTTTCAGTCTATCTTGGCTTTCGACATGTTTTCCTCACTAAGCTTAATTATTTCTAGCTTTTGATTTAAAGTAAGAACATGCAATTCTTGCTTTCACTTGAACACTTAGAGGTCACTGTAAGGTTATTAATTGGCTTAATTTCAATATTGTTTTGTCTCAGAGATTGGGGTGGCCTGAGGAAAGGGAGAGAGACAAGAGAACAGCCAGTGACTGGAGCAGTCTGAATGTACACTTTATCAATTAAGTTTGCTGTATTACCGCATGTTCTCACTTCTAAGTGGGAGCTAAATGATGAGAACACATGGATACATAAAGGGAAACAACACGTGCTGGGGCCTTTCTGAGAGTAGAGGGTGGGAGGAGGGAGAGGATCATGAAAAATAACTAATGGGTACTAGGCTTAATACCTGGGTGATGAAATAATCTGTATAACAAACCACCATGACACAAGTTTACCTATGTAACAAACCTGAACTTGTACCCCTGAACTTACCATTTAAAATTTTTTTAAGTTTGCTGTATTACATGAGTGCAGTTTGTGGATCCCCAGGACAATTTCAACAGGACCAAAGATCACTGATCAGAGATCACCATAATAGATGTAATAAATAATGAAAAAGTTTGAAATATTGTGACAATTACCAAAATACAACAGAGATATGAAATGAGTACACGTTGTTGGGAAAATGGCTCCGACAGACTTGCTAGATGCAGGGTTGCCACAAACCTTCCATTTGTGAAAAACACAGTATCTGTGAAAAACAATAAAGTGAAGCATGACTACTTGAAAGTCAGTATCACTGGATATGAAACCCTTTGTTCACATTTTCTTTCTTTGTGTAAATGAAGCATAACTATATGTGGGGATGTTATTCTCCCCCACATATCTTTTTGGATAATAACTATATTTTTTTACTTTTAGATTCAGGAGGTACACGTGCAGGTTTGTTAGAAGGGTATGTTGTGTGATGCTGTGACGTTTGGGCTTCTATTGATCCTGTTGCTCAAAGAGTGAACACAGTACCCAAAAGGAAGTTTGTCAGCAATTCTCCCCCCTCCTGTCGTCACCTCTTTTAGAGTCACCAATGTCTATTGTTTCCATCTTTATGTCCATACGTACCCAATGTTTAGTTTCCACTTATAAGTAAGAACACGCAATACTTGGTTTTCTGTTTCTGCATTAATTCCCTTAGGATAATGGCCTCCAGCTGCATCCACATTGCTGCAAACAACATGATTTAATTCCTTTTTATGGTTACATTGTATTCCATGGCGTATGTGTATCACATTTTCTTTATGTTTTTGAATAATAACTTTAAATGACATTTGACTGTGATCTTTTCCTATACTAATTTTATGTGAATTTTGTTTTCCTGAATTTTTAGAAGGAAACATCGTTCATGATAAACTGTATAAGTTCAAACTGCCCCATAGTCCATGGTTTTATGCATTATTTAAAAATAAAATAGTCCCTTAAAATGTCCCGGCTCTATTCTCATTGCCCTACTTTTACCTGGCCCTCTCTTTCTTCATCCATGTTGCCCCCGCCCGGCTCAATTTTGCCTCCACTCCTGGCAATCTCTCCTCAATGTGGGACTCTGCCCTAGAAACAAACCTGTGCAGGTCCTTTTCAAAGTTCACAGGGTCTGGACAATGCCAGCCCCTTCATAGTCTACCAGGCACTCCTCGCAGTCACCCAACACTGGGCTGAACAAAGCCCCTCCCAGTTTCATCAGCTGTTTCCAAAGATGTCCACTGTGCTTGCCGGTGAACTATTGTCAGCTCTTTGGAATTCTCTCTTCTCAGATCCTTCATTGACACTGCCCCATTACTTCTGTCTTCTTTTCACACAGATGTTACTACCATGCAGGTCTTGTAGCTGTTGGGGATTTGTCACCAGTTCTATTTCGGGGTTTGTGGAGATGGCTTGTCATGGAGGTTTATAAATGTTTTCCATGGGCTTGAGGCTTTGCTATCCAGCTGCTCTGTTTTAAAGACAGAATTTGGGTTGACATCTTAGTGTGTTGGTTACATTGTTTAGAGCATGAGCTCATGAAACTTGACATGACAGTTGTATAAACCTATAAGGGCTCTTTGTCAGGATAAGAATGTGCCTGGGGCTTGTGTGCTTGGTTTCCAAGCCCTCGGCACTCCACAGAGCTACTGAGAGCGAAGCCCATGCTCCCAACATAGCAGATCTGCTATGGCCAGGCATGGTGGTTCATGAATGTAATCCCAGCACTTTGGAAGGCTAAGGCAGGAGAGAATTGCCTGAGGTCAGGAGTTCAATACCAGCCTGGGCAACATAGCAAGACCCCACCCCTGAAAAAAAATTTCAGTGGCCCATGCCTGTAGTCCTAGCCACTCAGGAGTCTGAGTTCTAGCTACTCAGGAGGATTGCTTGAGCCCAGAGGTTTGATATTACCATGAGCTATGATCATGTCACTGCACTCAGCCTGGGCAACACAGTGAAATCCGATCTAAAAAACAAACAAAAAAACATATTTGCTATTACTATGGGAGGAGTGGGAAACTCCTGCCCAAGACCAACCTTAGATCTAAATCTGAGTTTGGTTGCCACAAGGAAGAACAGCAATGCTGAGAAAGCCCCATCATTAAGGCCCAAGCACACAGAGAGGGCGTACCCAAGACTGAAACAGAACCAGGACAACAGATAATTTCCCCTGCCCTCACCACAAGCGTAGCACAAAATAATAAACTGTAGTAGTCTGCCACTAGGAAAGGGGAAAGAGAATGAAAAGAAAACCCTCTTTTGCACGAGCATATAGGGATGGCTAAATGCTGAAGGTGAAGTATGGAAACCGAGAAAAATCCTCTGACCTCAGCTTCAACCTTAAGCAGAAGGCAACAAAAGCACAGCACTAGAGGGATTTAACTCAGTGGTATAAAAAAAGTAAAGAGAGCAACAATAAAACCCAAGCTTAACTAGCTAGGTGTTGTGATGTTCATCTGTAATCCCAGCTACTCCGGAGGCTAAGGCACAAAAATCACTTGAACCCAGAGGTGGAGGTTGCAGTGAGCCAAGACCACGCCACTGCAGTCCAGCCTGTGAGACAGAGTGAGATTCTGTCTCAAAACAAAACAAAAACCCAAGCCTACCTCCATTTCTGACGAGATTGACTCAACCTCCCACACTGTCTAACAGAAGAAAAGGCATGTCTATTTCCATACATAAATACTATTTAACTTAGTGTCTACTGTTCTACACATTATGTTCACCATGCAATCAAGAACTATGAGACACACATATGTCAATTTAAATAATTCATTGCAAGGAGATAAAGCAATCAACAGAACCAAACTCAGAGATGACCTAGATGTTGAAACTATGAGACAAGTGCTTCAAAATAACTGTGACTAATACTTTTTTAAGGCCTATTGGAAAAAGTAGCTAGCATGCATGAGTAGATGGGGAATTTCAGCAGAGAGATGGAAACTATCCTCAAGAGTCCAGTAGAAATGTTAGAAATGAAAACATGACATCAAAGATGAAGAATTCATGCTAGGCGCAGTGGCTCACACCTGTAATCCTAGCACTTTGGTAGGCCAAGGTGGGTGGGTCATCTGAGGTCAGGAGTTTGAGACCAGCCTGGCCAACATGATGAAACCCCATCTCTACTAAAAATACAAAAATTATCCAGGCGTGGTGGCGTGTGCCTGTAATCCCAGCTACTTGGAAGGCTGAGGCAGAATCACTTGAACCCAGGAGGTGGAGGTTGCAGTGAGCCAAGATCACACCACTGCACCCTAGCCTGGGAGACAGAGTGAGACTCTGTCTCAAAAAAAGAAAAAAAAAAAAAGAACAGAACATCCACAAGTAGTGGGACAATATAATCTGTCTAACATATGTGTAATTGGCCAAAATGAGAAGACAGACAATAGAGCAGAAGAGAAATAGTTAACGCATAACAGCCAAGAAGTTTTTGAAATCAATAAAGATATCAAACCAGAGGTACAAGAAACTTAGAGAACCTCAAGCAAAATAAAAACAAATAAAACCACACACACACACACACACACACACACACACACACACTTACCCCTAGATAGATGACATTCAAACTTCTGTGTATCAAAGATAATAAGGAAATCATGGAGGCAGTCAGAGCTAAAAGAAATATTACATACAAAGGTTTTTAAAGAGAATTATAGTATATTCGCATTAGAAACAATTCAACAAACCTGTTAGTATTGCATTGAATCTGTAGACAAACTTAAGGAAAATGTATATAATACTGAGTCATCCAACCACAGACATAATACCTCCCTCCATTAAGTAAGATTTGTAATTTAAATAGACTTCTGCACAAAAGGCTTGCACATGTTGTGCTTTATTTATTCTTAATTATTTAATATTTTATGCTATTATTAATAGCATCTTTCTTTTTATTTTGTTTTCTACCTCTTTGCTGCTAATATATAATAATGTAAATTATTTTCAAATATGAAGTTTGTTCTGTCAACTTGTTAAATGTATTAATTTTGATAATTTATCTATAGAGTCTTTCGGATTTTCTAAATATCCAATCATCAGATGATCCATGAATGATAACACCTTATTTCTTCCTTTCCAATATTTATGCCTTTTACTCATTCTCTTGAATTACTACACTGGGTAGGATTTCCAGTATAACACTGAAAAGGTGTAGTATTTGTGGGCATTTTTGTCTTGTTCCTGAACTCAAAGGCAAACTTTTCAATGTTTCTTCAATTCCATGTGTTGGCACAGAATGTGAAGCAATGAGAACTCTTATATGCTGATGATAGAAGTATAAATTCATACAGCTATTTTATAAATAAAGTCATTAACTATTAAAGGTAAAGATATAATACTCTATGAGCTAAAAATTCCAATTCGGCCGGAAACTATAAAACTACTAGAAGAAAACATTGGGGAAATTGTCCAAGACATTGGTCTGGGCAAAGGCTTCTTGAGTAAGACCTGAAAACCACAGGCAACCAAAGTAAGAATGGGCAAACGGGATCACATCAAACTAAAAAGCTTCTTCACAGCAAAGGAAACGAATAGCAAAGTGAAGAAACAACTTATAGAATGGGAAAAAAATTGCAAACTATTCAACTGGCAAGGGATTAATAACCAGAATATATAGGGAACTCAAACCACTCAACAGCAAGAAAACAAGTAATCCAATTTTTTTAATGGGCAAAAGATGTGAACAGACCTTTCTTGAAAGAAGATATACAAATGGCCAACAGGTATGTGAAGAAAATGTGCAACATCATTAATCATCAGAGAAATGCAAACCAAAACCACAGTGATATATCATCTAAACCCAGTTAAAATGACTTTTATCAAAAAGACAATAAAACAACAGGTGCCAGTGAGGATGTGGGGAAAGGGGAATGCTCATACGCTATTGGTAGGAATATAAATTAGTACAGCCATTTCGGAAAACAATATGGGGGTTCCTCAAAAAACTAAAAATTAAGCTACCATATGATCCAGCAAATCCCACTGATGGCTATATATCCAAAAAAAAAAAAAAGGGAAATCAGTGTATCAAAGAGATATCTGCACTTCCATGTTTATTCACAAATAGCAAAGATATGGAATCAACCTAAGTAACCATCATTGGACGAATGGTGGTACACATACAACAATGAAATATTATTCAGCCATAAAAAGTAATGAAATCCTGTCATTTGCAACAACATGGATGGAACTGGAGGACATTATATTAAGTGAAATAAGCCAGACACAGGAAGACAAATATCACATGTTCTCACTCATATATGGGAGCTAAAGAGTCGATCTAATGGAAATAGAGAGTAGGTTGATGGTTACCAGGAGCTGGGAACTGTGGAGGTGATTAGAGGATGAAGAGGGGTTGGCTAACAGGTACAAAAATACAGTTAGATAGAAGGAGTAAGATCCAGTGGTAACACAATAGGGCAACTATAGTTAATAGTAATTTTTGTATATTTTGAAATAACTAGAGGAGTGAAATTGGAATGTTCCTAACACAAATAAATGATAAATGCTTGAGGTGATGGACACCCCAATTACCCTGATTTGATCATTATACAATGTATGTTTGTATCAAAATATCAAACCCCATAAATATGTAAAACTATTATGTAGCTATAAAAAATTTTTTGGCCCAGCGCGGTGGCTCACGCCTGTAATCCCAGCACTTTGGGAGGCTGAGGCAGGTGGATCACAAGGTCAGTAGATTGAAACCATCCTGGCTAACACAGTGAAACCTCATCTCTACTAAAAATACAAAAAATAAGCTGGGTGTGGTGGCAGGTGCCTGTAGTCCCAGCTACTTGGGAGGCTGAGACAGGAGAATGGCGTGAACCCAGGAGGTGGAGCTTGCAGTGAGCCGAGATGGTGCCGCTGCACTCCAGCCTGGGCGACAGAGCGAGACTCCATCTCAAAAAAAAAAAAAAAAAAATTTAGGAAATTTCAATTCTGGATATATGCCCAATAGAACTGCATGCACATATGCCCTAGGAGGCATGATAAGAATGTTTTATAGCAGCACAATTTATAGAAGTGCAATTTATATAACTGGAACAAGTTACATTTCTATCAACAGTAGAATGGATCAATTGTGGTACAGACATCAATGAAATATGTATTGGTTGTCTATCATACTACCCCAAAACTTAGTGACTTTTCATTGAGTTCACAATTTTATGGATCAGCAATTTAGACTGAATTCAGCTGGGGAGTTCTGGTCTCAACTGAGCTGCCTCATGCATCTGTGAGATTCTTTTAATTTCTGAGGGCTTAGCCCACACAACCAAGCTTACTCAGCTGTGTTCCACATACATCATTCTCCAGCAGTCTAGCCCAGCCTTTTTCATGTGGCTGAGGCAGGAGTCCTGAAATACAGAGCAGAAGCACACAGGCTGCTGGAGGCCTATGCTCAGAATAGGCGTGTGGTCACCCTGACCATATTCTATTGGCCAAAGGAAGCCACAATGCCAGCCCAGATTCCAGGGAAGAGAACTAGACCCCATTTCTTCATGGGAGGAGCTCTAAAGTCACATTGCAAAAGGCATGGGTATTGGAAAGAGTGAAGGACTGTGAGTGTTTCTTTAATCTACCACTGAAAACTGGGATTGAAGTGAAAAACAATAACCTGCTACTACACATAACAACATGGATGAATCTCATCAATAATGTTGAGTGAAATAAGCCAGGCTACACAGAATGCATACTGTATAATTCCTTTTATATAAAGTTCAAAAACAGGCAGAACTAAAGTGTAGGGTTTATAAATATATGCTTAATAAAGTATTTTTAAGTGGGAAATTAATCATCATAAATGTCAGGGTGCTAGTTACTTTGGGAGGATGATTGCCTTAAGATAATGGAAAGGCATCAGAAATTGAGCAACACACAGGGGCTTCTGGGTTCTTGGCAGTGTGCTTTCTTAACCTGAGTGGTAATGAGCTAGGCGCTCATTTTGAATCACTAAGTGGGAGATTTATGTTTTGTGCATTTTTCTTTGTCTTATATCTCATGATAAAAAATTAAATAATGTATGATACTGGCACAAGGACAAAACATGGACAATGGAATATAACAAAGAACTGAGAAAAAGTTTGTACCCATAATAAGAACTTGATATACAGTAAATCTTGCATCACAGTTGATTGACAAAAGGACAAATTGTTTACGAGATGATGTTGGAAAAACTGTCTCATTAGAGGTAAAAAATCAAACTGGATCCCTACTTACCAGAGTATATATACAAGGAAATCTCTAGAAGGATTAAAGACTTCAAGGCAAAAGATTATAAGTCAATGGTAAATATTGTGGGTTAATATCTTCCTAACAATACCAGGCAGGGAAGGACTTCTAAAGAACAGCAGAAGAACAAATCATAAGGCCAAAGCTGATTAAGTCA
Organism: Homo sapiens; assembly: GCF_000001405.40. Taxonomy (NCBI): domain Eukaryota; kingdom Metazoa; phylum Chordata; class Mammalia; order Primates; family Hominidae; genus Homo; species Homo sapiens. Next base: position 183,489 of record NW_018654722.1, read on the forward strand.
ATTGCATCAAACTAAGAAAATTTATTCAAGGAAGTACAACATGATCAAAGTTAACAAACAGGTGACAAATTTTGTGTTATTTGCTATCCCTAATGTTTTTTAAAAACTAACACAGTATCTAAGATATACAAGAAGCTATTAAAATTAAGATTAAAAAGCAGAAAATCCAAAAGAAAAATGAACAAAGGAAATAAACAATTTGCAAAAAGAGGAAATCAAATAGGCTGGCAAGTATATAAGGAGAGGCCCAAACTGGCTATGAGAATAATTCAACTTTTTAAAATAACACGACATTACTTTATTATGCTGGCAAAAATTATAAAGCTGAACAATGCCAAGTATTAGCAGAAATGTGAGGACAGAAGTGTCCTCTTATGTTACTGGTGGGCATGTAGACAGGCGCAGCCACCCTAAAGAGCAATCTGACAGTTCTTAGTTCTATATCATTGTGCTTCATGACCATCAAGATCCACTTTTGGATGTGTACTGGAAAAAAAAAAAAAAAAAAAAACCTCACACTGTAGCTTACTTGAGTACCTGTATGAGGATGTTTATTCACACTGTGATGGAGAGGAACTGAAAGTGACCCAGATATCTATCTAGAATAAAGCAGATAGGAAAAATGTGGAGTACCATCAGCAGTTAGAAGCAACGACTACACACACCCAGAGTGTCATGCATTATGCTGAGTGAAAAAATAGGATCCATCGCACATATCAGTTATAAAAATGAATACAACATACCAAACAGACAATACACATTTTACAAGAATACATGCAAGTAATACCACATACATTAAACAGAAGGGTTTTCTTTAAAGGAGAAGGAGGCAAATGAAAGTGGAGAATGAGGCCTGTCATTCTCTAAGGGGCCTGTCTAAACCAATGACGGGGCATGCCATGAACTGAAGACTGTGTTTAACCCAACCCTGTATGTCCAAAAGAAGAAAAAGCTCAAATAAAATATTCCTCCATGGCTTTTTTCTCCATGGCAACTGCTGTTAATGTGTGTGTGTGTGTGTGTGTGTGTGTGTGTGTGTGTGTTGTACATTTCCTAGAAAAATGCTGAATGCATCTACTAGCATGTCTTTATGGCCATGTAATTCTCATTTACATCATATTACTCTGTACCCTGTTCTTTATGTTTCATAATATACTTTGGACATCTTTCCCTTTCAGCACTTACAAATCTACCTCACTTTTAAACAGCTGTATTATTTTTATATACTCCAATTTAATTTTCCTATCAATAGATACTTAAGCTTGGCTTTTTAAGTTGCTTGCTATTAAACGAGTTTGCTTTTTAAATTGTTCGCTGTTGCCATTCAAAAGACCACCACGATGGTTAAATAGCAGAAAGGAGAGCTTTATTGGTGATATTGGTTTGTAAGTTGGGAAGAGAAACCAGCAAACCAGCACGGACTGACGGTGGTCTCTCTTTGTAGGGGGAGGGAACAGCTTGGGTTTTACTCCTCATGGGTCTGTGTTACACAATAGAGCCATACATATTCAGCAGGTTTGGGGAAAAGCTATACATATTTATGAGGGGAGCTGAGCAAATGAGCAACGAGTAAACACACGTTACATACATCTCAAGTTTACTTTGAAACAGGGTTTTAGCACTGAAATGAGGTGGAATTTGGCTCTTTACATCAAAAGGTTAACCGTACGGCACAAAGACCGTTTGTCCACAGCCTCTATAAGCTGACTGAAACTGGCTTAATGTTTACAGTAGCTTATCAGAAAAGAGTGTTTGTAAGGCCAGTCCTCTGTCCAATCAGAATTACAGTAGTCTGGGTTATAAATCAGATTTAGGAGAGGTCCAATGGCTGCTATTGTTAGGAAGTTTAGAGTCCTGGGAATTTAGAAATTTGCCGTGCCAGCTGGGCTCTGAATGCTCCACTCGTAGGTAACTTTGTTTCCTTAACCTTAGAGTCTATCTTAGTTGATAAAGGGGCATTTATTTTGGGCTCTCAGATCACACTATTAAACCGTAGGGACCAAGGGAAAACTTCCCCTTTGCCCTCTGAAGGTTCACTGAAAATCAACTGACAAAAGGCAGACTTAAGGGAGGAAGGGCATACAAAATGTATTAACATGCGCATGTATTCACAGGAGTCATACAAAATATAAAACTCAAAGAGCCAGATTGTTGATGCTTTTATACCATCTTGAGGTTACAGAAAGAAAAGAGCTTGGAGCACCGCAATACAGGTTATGGGAGGTAGAGAAGAGGAAAGGCATGGCTACCAAAGGCAGTCTTATTAGGTAGATGAAACCTCGCAGGTAGCAGCTCTCAGAAAGAGTAGACGGTAGCCTGCGCTTGAGTTAATATTTCCTAGATCTGGACTAAAAAAGGGTGCCTCAGAGAAAGCCTAGCTTTATTTCACTAATGTAGATTTTTCTCTACAGATGAAATCTCCTCCAGAAAAGGCAGCTTTTCTGGGCTATTCTTGTCTGCAGGCCCTCTGAATAACCATCTTAAAATACATCTAAAATGTATATTTGGGAATAACATTTTTGTTTCCTTTAAAACAATGCCTCTGCAAATATTCTTGCACATACACTAATAGGAAATTTTATCAAGCATATTCACAATGTAAATCCCAAGCAATGAAATTTCTCAGTCAAAACAGTCAAAATACACATACACTTAAATATTTGATAGATGTTACCAAATTGCCTTCCCAAAGGTTGCAACAATACAAAATCTCATCAAAAAATCTGAAAGTACCTATTGCTCCATACTTTTTCCAGCTCTAGATAGTATAAAGGTTTTTTAAATTTTTTACCAATCTATAAGTTGAAAGATTCTATCTTACTGATGTTTTTATCTCCATATTTTAAATACGTGCAAGACTAAGTATATTTCCATAATTTTACAGGCCATTTATATTTTTCCTGTGAACTGTCTGTTCTTATAACATGTCTATTTTCTTCTGAGTTGTTTTACTTTCTCATTCATTTGCATGAGTTATTTTGCAAATTAAGGCAATTAGCCATTTTATCATATGTTCTGCAATTACATTTTCAGTCTGTCTTGTCTTTTGCCAAACAGAAGTTTTAAATTTTAACACAGTTAAATTTATCAATCTGCTCCTTTATGGCTTCTAGAGAATAAATATTTTAAATTTTATTTTGTGACTTGGAAGCTTAAGTGCTTTTCTGAGAGGATTGATTAGACTGAGGTGAAGCGGGAGGAGGAGAGTAATTGAGACAGTTGCAACTTAAAGGCAGAACGAAGACTTTAAATGAAGAGCTGGCAGAAGTGCTGGTGGCAACAGCCATAGCAGCCCAGCTGAGGCAACTTCCAGGGCAGTGGCATTCTGGTAGGGCCTGTTGGATCCTTCCACATCAAGGAAGTTCTTAGTGATACTGGTGAGCAGCCCAGGCTGGTCCTGAGCCTTGAGGTAACTATCAAGTGCTTTCTGGACATATCAGGGAAGGGAACTCCTCAGGGGAAGTAGACTTCATAATTATTTGGGTTTTGGAGAATACTGGAGAAATAATAGCTTTCTTTATTAAGTTGGCAAAACTGGTTACACTTGTAATATTAATCTCGCAGTCTGGTTTTCTCTACCATGGTTGTGAGAGAGATTAAGATTTTTTTTAATTATATTTATTTAAGTTCTCTTTTTTTCTTCTGTTTTCTATTTCACTTATTTCTGCTTTAATATTTATTATTTCCTTCCTTCTGCTAACTTTGGGCTTCATTTGTTCTACTTTTTTTAGTTCTTTGAGATGTAAAGTTGGATTGCTTATATGAGATATTTCTTTTTTCTTAATGTAAGCATTTATAGCTATAAATTTCCCTTTTAGAACTGCTTTTGCTACATCCCAAAAGTTTTGGCATGTTTTGTTTCCATTTTCATTTCTCTCAAGATTTTTTTGATTTTCCATTTTATTTCTTCTTTGACCTATTGGTCAGGAGTTGCATTGTTTAATTTCCACATATTTGTAAATTTTCCAATTTTCCTTCTGTTGGATAATCTAAAAGAAATGGATAGATTCCTAGCATTATATAATCTACCAAGAATGAATCATGAAGAATTTAAAAATCTGAATAGAGCAGGAACAAGTAAGTAATAAATAAATAAAGGAGACTAAATTAATAATTTTTTGTTTTGTTTGAGATGGAGTCTCACTCTGTTGCTTAGGCTGGAGTGCAGTGGCACGATCTGGGCTCACTGCAACCTCTGCCTCCCAGGTTAAAGCAATTCTCCTGTCTCAGCCTCCCAAGTAGCTGGGATTACAGGCATGCACCACCACGCCCAGCTAATTTTTGTATTTTTAGTAGAGACGGGGTTTCGCCATGTTGACCAGGCTGGTCTTGAACTCCTGACCTCAGGTAATCTGCCCACCTCAGCCTCCCAAAGTACTAGGATTACAGACGTGAGCCACTGTGCCCAGCCTGAATTAATAATTTTTAATAAAACCTCCCAACATGAGATTTAAGCTTACTTCTTGAAAAAAAAAAAATCTCCCAACAAACAGAATTCCAGGACCAGCTAGTGTCACAGGTGAATTCTACCAAACATTAAAAGAAGAATTAATGCCAATCCTACTCAAAATTGTCCAAAAAATTGAAGAGGAAAAAACTCTTCCAAACTCATTTTATAAGACCAGCAATACTCTGACACCAAAGCCAGATAAAAACACTGTAAGAAAATAAAATTTCAGACCCATATCCCTGATGAACATAGATGTAAAAATACTCAACAAAATGCTAGCAAACCACATTGAACAGCCTACTAAAATGATCATTTACCATGATCAAGAAGGATTTATCCTTGGGATGTGAGAATGGTTCAACACATACAATCAACAAATGTGATACACTATGTTAATAGAATGAAAACTAAAAATCATATGATCACATCAATAAATGCAAAAAAAATGCATTTGATGAAACACAACATCCTTTCATGGTAAAAACTATTAACAAATTAGGTATAGAGGGAATGTGCCTCAACATACCAAAGGCCATATATGACAAGCCCACAGCTAGTATCATACTCAACAGTGAAAAGTCAAAAGCTTTTCTGCTAAGATTAGGAATAAGACAAAGATGCCCACTCTCATCATTTCCATTCAACGTAGTACTGTAAGTCCTAGCCAAGCAATGAAGAAGGAAGGAAGGAAGGAAGGAAGGAAGGAAGGAAGGAAGGAAGGAGATAGAAAGGAAGAAAGAAAGAAAAGGAAGAGGAGGAGGAGGAAAGGGAGGAGGAGGAGGAAATGAAGGAAGGAAGGAAGGAATCAAAATAGGAAAGGAAGAAGTAAAATTGTCTCTGTTTGAAGATGACATGATTTTATATAAGAAAACTCTAAAGACTCCACCAATAAACTATTAAGACTAATCAACAAATTCAGTAAAATTGCAGCTACAGAATCAACACCAAAAAAATTAGTTGCATTTCTATACACTAACAATGAAATATCTGAAAAAGAAATAAAGAAAATAATTCCATTTATAATAGCATCGAAAACAATAAAATACCTAGGAATAAATTTAACCAAGGAGGTGAAAGACTTGTACACTGGAAACTATAAGATACTGATGAAAGAAATTGAAGAATATACAAATAAATGGAAAGATATTCCATGTTCATGGATTGGAAAAATTAGTATTGTGAAAATATTCACGCTACCCAAAGCAATCTACAAATTCAATCAAATTCCTGTCAAAATTCCAATTGCATTCTTCACAGAAATAGAAAGGACAATTTTAAAATTCGTATGGAACTACAAAAGACCCCAAATAGCTACAGTAATCTTGAGAAAGAAGAGCAAAGCTATAGGCATCACATTTCCTGATTTCAAAGTATATTACAAAAGCATTGTAATCAAAACAGTATGGTACTGACATAAAAACAGATAAATAGATCAATAGAACAGAATCAAGACCCCAGAAATAAACCCACACATATACAATCAGTTAATATTTGACAAAGGTACTAAGAACACACAATGGGGAAAGGATCATCTCTTCAATAAATGGTGCTGGGAAAACTGAATGTCCACATGCAAAAGAATAAAATTGGGCCTTTATCTTACACCACTCACAAAAATTAACTTGATTTGAATTAAAGACTTTTAAATGTAAGATCTGAAACCATAACAATTCTAGAAAAAAATAGAAAAAAAAGTTGCTTGGCATTAGTCATTGCAATTACTTTTTGGATATGACACCAAAAGCAAAAGTAACCAAAGCAAAATAAATAAGTAACTACATCAAGCTAAAAAGTTTCTGCACAAAAAAAAGAACAATAAAACAAAAAGGCAACTTACCGAATGGGTGAAAATGTTTGTAAGCCATATATCTGATAAGGGATTAATATCTAAAATATACAAAGAAGTCATACAACCTAATAACAAAAACTTATAATCCAATTTTAAAATGGGCAAAGAACCTGAATAGATATTTCTCCAAATAATGCATACAAGTGGCTAACAGCTACATGAACAGGTGCTCAACATCTCTAATCACCAAGGAAATGTAAATAAAAACCACAATGAGATGTCACCTCTCATGTCAGGATGACTGTTATCAAAATAGACAAAAGATATATGTTAGTAAGGATGGAGAGAAACAGGTACACTATTAGTGGAAATGTAAATTGATATGGCCATTATGGAAAACAGTATGGAGTTTCCTCAAAAATTAAAGCTAGAATAACCATATGATCTAGCAATCTCACTTCTGAGTATATATGCAATGGAAACGAAATCAGTAGCTCGATGAAATACCCGCCCTCCCATGTTCATTTCAGCATTACTCACAATAGCCAAGACTTGGAAACTACTAAGTGTCAATCGATGGATAAATGCATAAAGAAATTGTGGTGTGTGTTTATATATATGTGAGTGTGTGTGTATGACAAATATTCAGCCATTAAAAAAGGAAACACTACCATTTGTGACAACATGAATCAACCTGAAGGACAACATGTTTAATGAAATAAATGATACAGAAAGACATATACTGTATGATCTCACTTATATGTGGAGTCTAAAAGAGTTGAACTTATAGAAACAGAGAGTAGAATAATGGTTGCCAGCGATGGGGGTTAAGGAGACATAGGGAGATGTTGATCGAAGAGGACAAACCTTCAGTCATAAGATAAACAAGTTCTGGAGAGTTAAAATACAGCATGGGTGGTGACAGATGTGTTAATTTGATTTTGATAATTATTACACAATGCATTTATATATAAAATCGTCACATTGTACACTTCGAATGTGAGATACACAATCTAAATTGTCAATTAAATATTTGAAAATAAGAGAAGAAAAAATGATTGAAAAAAATCAGCTGTTGAACTTTGCAGTTTGGGTGATACTGAGGTTTTCCAGTGAAGGGCAGTGACAGAGCAGCCACGTTGGCAATTTTTTTAGAAAGCTTTCTGTCCTGTGCGGCAGTGAGATGCAGAACTGTGGTCATTTGGTTGCATCCGTTCTCAATATTTAATGTAAGATAAAAGAGGGTATTGATAAATGGCAAGCACTGCATTGCACAAAAGGAGGGAGGGTAGGCTGCCGATGTCAGTATATCCCCCTGGATTTTCCTCCCTAACCTTCCCTGATAAACAACTGACTCCCTGACAGTAGTGAACATGCTCGACAGGGGCAATAGAAAATCAGGAGCAAACTTTCATGCCCAGCAGCTGCCCCACAAGAGCTTTACTCTTCTAAATGTTAAAAAAATTTGAATTATGTAAGCTAGAAGTGAATGTACTGTGAACTTCTTTCAATTTCTTGTAATTCTCTCGCTGACAAGATTTATGGGAAAGAACTGCAGTCATCTAGATCACTTCAGTGCACTAATACAAAAAGTTGTGCTAGGAACTAAATTTTGTGTGCCCCCAAAATTCATATGTGAAAGCTCTAATCCCCAATGTGATGGTATTTAGAGGTGGGACCTTTGGGAGATAATTAAGTCATGAAGGTGGAGCTCTCATGAATGGGATTACTGCCCTTATAAGAAAAGACACAAGCTGGCTGGGTGCAGTGGCTCATGCCTGTAATCCTAGCACTTTGGGAGGCCGAGGCAGGAGGATCACTTGAGCTCAGGGGCTCAAGACCAGCCTGGGCAACATAGTGAGACCCTATTTCTATTTAATTTTTTATGAAAGAAAGAAAAGAAAGATAAGAAGAAGAAAGAAAGAAAGAGAGAGAGAGAAAGGAGGGAAGGAAGGAAGGAAGGAAAAGAAGAAGAAGGAAAGAAAGAGAGAGGGAAGGAGGGAAAGAAGGAAGGGAGAGAGGAAGGAAGGAAGGGATAAAGAGAGAGAAAGAAAGATGAAAGAAAGAGAGAGAGAGAAAGAAAGAAAGAAAGAAAGAAAGAAAGAAAGAAAGAAAAGAGAAAGAAAGAAACAAAGAAAGAAAGAGAGAGAAAGAAAGAAAAAGAAAGAAACAAAGAAAGAGAAAGAAAGAAAGAAAGAGAGAAAGAGAGAAAGAAAGAGAAAGAGAGAAAGAAAGAGAGAAAGAGAGAAAGAGAGAAAGAGAGAAAGAAAGAAAGAAAGAAAGAAAGAAAGAAAGAAAGAAAGAAAGAAAGAAAGAAAGAAAGAGAAAGGAGAAAGGCAGGCACAGGAGAGATGACTGCTCTTCCTCACCATCATACAAGGATACAAGCAAGAAGGTGTCCTTCTACAAATCAGGAAGAGGACCCTCACAAACTACAGTTTATTATAGAAGCTGAAGGCAAAGGACAGGCATTTGAGGGGCAAGATTACATCCCTTAATATACCGGCCACTCCCTGGTCTCTGACCAAGTCTCTCTTAGAGCAAAACAAATATAACCTTAATATTTGGAGGAGCCAGTAAGGGATAGAAATATATTACAAGAAACAGTTAATCCATCCTATAAAGCCATTGCATACAATTGATATATTAATACTGATTTGGTTACATTTCCCCCCTTCATCTACCACTATTTGTATCTTGTGATAAATTTGTGCAGAACTATTTAACATAAAAATTAGCTTATGATTAGCTAACTCCAGTTCTTCCACAAGGCAGTCATTTTCCATCAACATTACATTCTAAGGAGCTTTAACCCCATTTCCCAATGAGAGGTGACAGCGTGCTGGCAGTCCTCAGAGCCCTCGCTTGCTCTCGGCACCTCCTCTGCCTGGGCTCCCACTTTGGCGGCACTTGAGGAGCCCTTCAGCCCACCACTGCACTGTGGGAGCCCCTTTCTGGGCTGGCCAAGGCTGGAGCCCACTCCCTCAGCTTGCAGGGAGGTGTGGAGGGAGAGGCGTGAGCGGGAACCGGGGCTGCGTGCGGCACTTGCGGGCCAGCTGGAGTTCCGGGTAGGCGTGGGCTTGGCGGGCCCCGCACTTGGAGCAGCGGGCCAGCCCTGCTGGCCCTGGGCAATGAGGGACTTAGCACCCGGGCCAGCGGCTGCGGAGGGTGTACTGGGTCCCCCAGCAGTGCCAACCCACCGGCGCTGCCCTCGATTTCTCACCCAGCCTTAGCTGCCTTCCCGTGGGGGCAGGGCTCGGGACCTGCAGCCCGCCATGCCTGAGCCTCCTACCCACTCCAAGGGCTCCTGTGCGGCCCGAGCCTCCCCGACGAGCACCACCCCCTGCTCCACGGCGCCCAGTCCCATCAACCACTCAAGGGCTGAGGAGTAGGAGCACACGGCGCGGGACTGGCAGGCAGCTCCACCTGCAGCCCTGGTGGGGGATCCACTAGGTGAAGCCAGCTGGGCTCCTGAGTCTGGTGGGGATGTGGAGAGTCTTTATGTCTAGCTCAGGGATTGTAAACACACCAATCAGCACCCTGTGTTTGCTCAAGGTTTGTGAATGCACCAGTCGACACTCTGTATCTAGCTGCTCTGGTGGGGCCTTGGTGAATCTTTATGTCTAGCTCAGGGATTGTAAATACACCAATTGGCACTCTGTATCTAGCTCAAGGTTTGTAAACACACCAATCAGCACCCTGTGTTTAGCTCAAGGTTTGTGAATGCACCAGTCAACACTCTGTGTCTAGCTGCTCTAGTGGGGCCTTGGAGAACCTTTGTGTCTATACTCTGTATCTAACTAGTCTGATGGGGACTTGGAGAACCTTTATATCTAGCTCAGGGATTGTAAACGCACCAATCAGCACCCTGTCAAAACAGACCACTTGGCTCTACCAATCAGCGGGATGTGGGTGGGGCCAGATAAGAGAATAAAAGCAGGCTGCCCCAGCCAGCAGTGGCAACCCACTCGGGTCCCCTTCCACACTGTGGAAGCTTTGTTCTTTCGCTTTTTGCAATAAATCTTGCTACTGCTCACTCTTTGGGTCCACGCTGCTTTTATGAGCTGTAACACTCACCTCGAAGATCTGCAGCTTCACTCCTGAACCCAGCGAGACCACGAGCCCAACGGGACAAACGAACAACTCCAGACGCGCTGCCTTAAGAGCTGTAACACTCACCGCGAAGGTCTGCAGCTTCACTCCTGAGCCAGCGAGACCACGAACCCACCAGAAGGAAGAAACTCAGAACACATCTGAACATCAGAAGGAACAAACTCCAGACGCGCCACCTTAAGAGCTGTAACACTCACCGCGAGGGTCCGTGGCTTCATTCTTGAAGTCAATGAGACCAAGAACCCACCAATTCCAGACACACCAATACATTGATCATCAGTATCAGTTTACAACCTTACCAGCAATACCAGTGTCATACTGTTTTTGCAGAATGGTAGATTACCAGAATCTCACTCAGTCATTAACAGTTGATTCAGTTTATCATTAATTCATATGCCCAAAATGTCTCCCAGAGCAATGCCACTCAGGTTTGCAGGCTTCTATTCTAGTTTGTCAGGTTCCAAAAGCAGAAGTGGTCTTGGCAACAAATGGCCTCACCCTTTCAGACATCTGATATGATTGAGCTAAGAGAGACAATATCATCTCTTGCTTTGAGCCTCTCTTGAGGTACAAATGTAATAGTGGATTTTCCTCATTACATAGCTCATTTATTCATTCATCTTCAACTGCTATTCCTCCTCTCTCCCTTTATCTTTTGACCCATCCTTTGCCACCTCTGAGAGACGTGAGGTTCAGCCACTGTCCTGATCCAGATGTCCAGCAACAAGATTAGTCCAGCAGGTGTCACACCCTCGGCTCACTCTTGCTGACATAGGGTAGGGTTAGACAGGCACAGAACTAGTGGGGCATCATTACCACTAGGCAATATTGTTGCAGTCACTGTCAACCCCAATTCTGCAGGATGGGGTGAAGGCACAATTCATTTCATCAGGATCTTAGGAATTCTGATCTAAAAGTTTCAAAGTACAGTTACAGTTTCCTGCTTAGGGATCATCCCTGACTCCTGAATCTGCAGTCACAGCTCTGGTGCTGGGATCACTACATCAAGTAGGAAAAAAGAAAATTGAAATGATACAGAAAAAAAAAAAATGAGGTGATCTGGAGAAGAATTGTAATCAACTTGTCAGCTATGGGAGGACCCTCTCCCAGGAAATCTGTCCCATAGCCATCTGCAGTCTTTGTCTCTTTTATTGGCACACAGACCAGACCAGATCTTGTTGGCAATTTCTGCAAGAGGAAAATGGCTGGATTCAGTCCATCTCTGCATTGCTGTAATACTTCCACATCCTTTCATTTCAGGGACCCAAGTAGCCACATCAAGCAGCAAACCAGGATATATTTTTGTCAATTCTAATTACCTTCTGACCCTAGAAAGGAGCTCTTCTTGTGGGCATCAACATGTCCTATTTTAATGCACTCCTTAAATACTCAGGGGTATATTTTAATATACTGGCCACCCCCTGGTCTCTGACCAAGTCTTTCTTAGAGGAGACTTGCCTAATTTCCATAAGGTCATGCCCTATGTGAGCATCCATTTAATAGACCAGTGTTCCATTGCCCATCTACTTGACCATATAGCCACGCCACTGGCCACTGCCCATGAGTCAGTAAAAACCCAAACCTAAAGGCTTTTTTATTGTTGTTCAATTCTCCCATCACTGCCAGGAAAACAGCATGTAATTAAGTCTGTTGAGTTAATTTGTTACCTTCTTCAAACAGAGCCTTTCAATCTGCCAGTCTTAGTGTGGTGGCCTTCCAGACAGGATGCCATTCATCCATCTTGGAACTGTCATCTGCAAACCAAGCAGCTCTTTGGTTAATACAGATCTGTATTTGTTGGTTAACGCAGATCTGTTAACAGGGCACTGTCCAGGTGGTGATCGGATCCAGCAGCCTCTCAGGTGGTTCTGAGGCAGGATAAGTAAGGTTAGAAGGCCATACTGACTTGTCCTCCTGTGTGAAGCCCTGTGGGCTTTTTTCACAGCAGACTCTGCATCCCTTGCAAACTCGTGCATCAGCACCTAATATATTGTGCAAGATAAGCAGTCCTCCAGGATACCAGCAGCTGCCAGATAGTTACAAGTTCCTGATATCCAGTACAGCCTGGGAAAGAGAACAAAAGCCCCTTATTCCTGATGTAGCTTCCCCAATCTCCAGCCAATCAAATTTCTGCCTTAGGGGAAATAGGCACTTCTCAAGGGTCCTGCATGAGCAGCTAGGCTCAGGTTTAGTTTATAATGGCTTTTTCCTCATTTTGATAGTAAAAAACACACCCCTAGGTGGAGATTTTATATGCTAATGATACATGTGATCCATGTTAGAGCATGTAGATACTGAGCACACATGCCAATCGCAGGTCCACCTTTGCATATTTGCCCTCACCAGTACTTTATGAATACTCATGGTGTACTTTCACTTTGCAATAAACTTATTTGCCTACTTACTTTGGACTCATTCTGAAATTCTTTTGTGTGGCAAAGTCAAGAACCTGAACCAGCCCACTGACAACAGTTCCAAAGTCAGTGGTAGAGGGAAAGAGCCTACCTGCTTGTAGATACAATGAGTCCCTCTGCATTCCCCCAGTAACATGTTCCTATAGAACCCATTTCCATTTTATCATGGAACACTTCCAGACACTGCCTTCTTTATTAGAGTGTTTCTCTGACATCACCCAAGACATTACGGATATTTCAGGTTTCAGGAGTATTTTACATCCTTCAGTCATAGAGGCAGTCTCCATTAATTCCCAATAGCAAACTAGAAGTTGTTTCCCTCCTGGCATATATCTTACCACGCCATCCAAGAATGTTCTAGTACAAAATTCCATTGGCCCCCTCTGGGTGGCACTCATAAGCTTTTACAGTAACCTCCAGTCCACGTAAGTATGTTACAGAGACTTCCAAAATCATGTATGAGTGTGGAACATAAGGGCCCAAAAGCATCTGGAGAGAAAATACTTTTCACACTTCTGACATGGCCTGATTTTGTTTGGGTCCCCATTCAAGTATGGCCCTCTTTGGGGGTAGTTGTATGGACAAAAGCTAGCAATATACCCAATGTAGAATATGCATCCTTCAAAACTCAAAGCTACCACACAAAAGTTGGACTAGATTATAACTAACATTCTTAGTTAGATCTAGGAATAGATATTGACAGCAGTTTGTAGTCACCTGTATAATGTCATGGGTGGCTCCTACCCAGGTTATTCCTAAGAATTTCACCAATTGAGCAGGCTCTTTGACTTTTGCAGGAGTTATCAACAATCCTGTGCTGGTCAAGTGTGTCATCCCCCATTTAGGTCAGTCCATCCTGGTCTTCAGTTTCAGACATTATCATGATATCATCAACATAGTGTAATATTACACTCAGAACCTGCATCAATCCAAACCTCCTCTCACCAGTTTATGACAGTACCTATAGCAATTCGGTAAATGTAAATTGGAATCATTCTCACAGAAAGGCAAACTCCAATTTATTCCTTTTAGGATTGAGACAGAAAAAGCATTTGTAAGATCAATTAAAAAGCCACTCCTACCAGACAGGACATTCTAAGGGCTTAGAGACCACCTCCCAGAAGCTGAGAGCAAAGGGGAAAAAAAAAAGGTGGTCAGACATCTTTTTGGATAAAGTTAAATTATTTATTATACAGAAAGTCTCAAGCCTTATTGAAAACCATCAGGAAAACTGCAGAACAAAATTTAACAGTATTTTCCTTCCTTTCCACACAAGCATATTGCAGGATAAGGATCCTGTCTCCGAATCTATGTATTCTGCTCATCCCAAGAATTTGACTTTGAGAAAGAGGAAGAACTTTGTGAAGTAAACCACGTGAGATTTCCTGATCTGCCCTAGAAAAGTTTTGTATTTCTGTAAGAGGATCCTACCACTCATAAGAAAACAATGAACAATCTGCTGAAGTTTTTAATTTCTTACACGTGTAAGCAAGCTTTCTTTTGTTTAACAACCATCAAGAACTGGGACAGATGTCGCCTCGTTTCAGGTGAAAATGATATCCATGTGTGCTTATCACGAGTTTGGCCCAGAATTCAGTATGTATTTATGCAGTAAAAAGTAAGGATATGTTTTAGATAAAAGATGTGAATTTCATTCTATATTTTTAACCTCAGAAAAACACTTTGTATGCACATATAAGCCTATAAAGGAAATCAAGAAACTAATATATGTGCATAATAATTTTGCATCTGCTAGACCTTTATTTGACCTTTATCATGTCACTCAGTGAAAAAAACTTCAAATCTTTAATAAAATAATGTCTTAAACTATATTCTTACTCATTTTGCTTTGGCTTGTGATTAATTGCTTTACTATTCAATACTTGCAAAAATTTTTATATAGTAAATAACAGTAATTAAAATAAATTTATAATCCTTATTTAAAGAAGTCTACCAAGCTGACTTTTCAAAATTCATTTGCTTTTTGGTTTAAGCCAGCTATTTTTTTTTTCAGAACAATATGTTTAATACAATCCAACATATGTAATAAAAACATAAAAGATTCATAGCACCTATATGTGTAAATAGATACAGATATATAGAAAAAGTCTGGAAGGGTCCACTGTGAACAGCTAATCATTGCTTCCCATAGAAAGTATGATGTGCTTATGAACGTGACATGTTTTCAGAAAAAAAAAAGTATGTTGTGGTGAGTCTCAACCCTATCGGGCCTGAGGAGAGATGAACTGAGATTTTGACTTTTGTACCCTGTATACCTCTGTACTGTTAGAATCTGTTAGAATTTTTAGACAATAAATGTACATTTGTTGTATAAAAAATTAATTATAAAAAGAGAGAAATGTAATTCATATAATGTATAGAGCATTGTTGTTTTTCTTTTTTTTTCTGGTAGTTTTTTTTTTAATTTTTTTAGTATTTATTGATCATTCTTCGGTGTTTCTCGGAGAGCGGGATTTGGTAGGGTCATAGGACAATAGTGGAGAGAAGGTCAGCAGATAAACATGTGAAAAAAGGTCTCTGGTTTTCCCAGGCAGAGGACCCTGCGGCCTTCCTCAGTGTTTGTGTCCCTGGGTACTTGAGATTAGGGAGTGGTGATGACTCTTAACGAGCATGCTGCCTTCAAGCATCTGTTTAACAAAGCACATCTTGCACCGCCCTTAATCCATTTAACCCTGAGTTGACACAGCATATGTTTCAGAGAGCACGGGGTTGGGGGTAAGGTTATAGATTAACAGCATCCCAAGGCAGAAGAATTTTTCTTAGTACAGAACAAAATGGAGTCTCCTATGTCTACTTCCCTCTACACAGACACAGGAACAATCCGATCTCTCTTTCTTTTCCCCACATTTCCCGCTTTTCTATTCGACAAAACCGCCATGGTCATCACGGCCTGTTCTCAATGAGCTGTTGGGTACACCTCCCAGACGGGGTGGCAGCCAGGCAGAGGGGCTCCTCACTTCCCAGACGTGGTGGCAGGGCAGAGGGGCCCCCCCCACCCCCCAGACGTGGCGCCCCCCCACCTCCCAGACGGGGTGGCTGCCGGGCGGGGGCGCCCCCCACCTCCCAGATGGGGCAGCCGGTCGGAGGCACTCCTCACTTCCCAGACTGGGCAGCTGCCAGGCGGAGACACTCCTCACTTCTCAGACGGGGCGGCTGCTGGGCGGAGGGGCTCCTCACTTCCCAGATGGGGCAGCTGCCGGGCGGAGGGGCTCCTCACTTCTCAGATGGGGTGGCTGCCGGTCGGAGGGGCTCCTCACTTCCCAGATGGGGTGGCGGCCGGGCAGAGGCGCTCCTCACCTCCCAGACTGGGTGGCGGCCGGGCAGAGGTGCTCCCCACATCCCAGACAATGGGCGGCCAGGCAGAGACGATCCTCACTTCCTAGACAGGATGACGGCCGGGAAGAGGTGCTCCTCACTTCCCAAACTGGGTGGCCGGTCAGAGGGGCTCCTCACATCCCAGACGATGGGTGGCCAGGCAGAGACGCTCCTCACTTCCTAGAGGGGGTGGCGGCCGGGCAGAGGCTGCAATCTCAGCACTTTGGGAGGCCAAGGCAGGCGGCTGGGAGGTGGAGGTTGTAGCGAGCCAAGATCACGCCACTGCACTCCAGCCTGGGCAACATTGAGCACTGAGTGAGCGAGACTCCATCTGCAATCCTGGCACCTCGGGAGGCCGAGGCGGGCAGATCACTCGAGGTCAGGAGCTGGAGACCCGCCCGGCCAACAGGGCGAAACCCCGTCTCCACCAAAAAATACAAAAACCAGTCAGGCGTGGCAGCGCGTGCCTGCAATCCCAGGCACTCGGCAGGCTGAGGCAGGAGAATCAGGCAGGGAGGTTGCAGTGAGCCGAGATCGTGGCAGTACAGTCCAGCCTCGGCAACAGAGGGAGACCGTGGAAAGCGGGAGACGGAGAAGAGCAAGAGGGGGAGACCATGGAAACCGGGAGATGGAGACGAGGGAGAGGGAGAGGGATGTTTTTCTTTTTTTTTTTTTTTTTTTTTTTGAGAGCTAAGCCAGTTATTTAGAAGAAATATATTATGTTTATCTTAAGGGTTTTTAAAATTTATGAAAAAGAAAGAGATGGATTTTTCAAAGTTATCCAGTCGTTAGCTACCTGATTTTATTCAACACAGGTTGGTTAAAAAAAAGTTAGCTTTAAATAGGAGAAATAATTACTCTTGCATATATCATATACCATGTCCCATACCTCATTAGTGTGTCTTATACTATGAATGTGTGATAAAACTTTGAAGCCTACTTGGATAAAATTTTTCAAAAATCAGGTAGGAATTTATTAAAAGAAGAAACTGAAGTCTCCTCACCTACATTACTGACTTGCAGTAGAAGGGATATCCTTTGTGGGGCAGAGGGGAGGGGGAACACACAAAAAGAGGAGGCTGATAGATTGGCTACAGTAAATAGATCCACTGAAAAATATCAGTCCCTATAAAAAATAACACTGACAAATAATAGTAGGTTATTACATCCATAGCTCACTCTCATAACAATGACCCATAGCTTTAGATGTAATTATATTTATGCAGGGATTCCCGGAGACCTGAAAATTAACTCAAGCATTTCTTCAAAGTAGAAAGATTGAGAATGGACTAGAACCTACTACCACTGTGTCAGTGTGACTTGGGTTTCTGTGCCTTCTCGTTTGCTCATGTTCTGATTCCCGAGGACTCTGAAGAGCAAAGGTCTACTGACCACTGACCCCAGGCCACTCAAAAGGCAGGATCTGTTATGACATCGTTTTGCACAAGTAGAGCACTAGTGCCCAGTCGGGCGTCAGCTCCACTGCAGGATTGAAACATGGCTGCTAGTCTCCCCGTATTCTTATGAGTGCCTTCCGTCAAAAAGTGCAGAATTGCTCTTCAATGAGGTAAATATACCATGTGCTGATTCAAAAATATATCTGAGACACATTAACATGAAAAAGACAAGTTAACAAATGATGTGTAGCATGTAAATACATTTATGTAAACGTACCAAATGATGTAATTATATGAGTTCCTGTCTGATTGTATGTTCAGAGACACAGAGGGGAAACTAAAAGTTGTGATATTATGACATAAGAAATTTACATTTTGATCTTCTTTCCCAGCTATTGGCCATAGCTCCTAAAACCTTTGTAATTGTCTAAGCCATAAAGGTGCTAGGAGTGTCTTTTGTTCTAATATTTGATTTTTGACCCCAGTTTCAGACACAGAGATCCTAAATGCCTTGGAATTTCCTGTGTAATAGGAGCATCTTTTCTTCTAATGAGGTGACTCTTGCTGGGCTCCTTAATGAGGGCTGGTCTCCAGGAAGACCAAGCCGTGGTTAGAAGCTTGGAACTTTCAGCTCCACTCCCATCCTTAGGGAGGGGAGAAGAGATAGAGTTTGAGTTAATAATTGATCACGCCTACATGAAGCCTCCATAAAAATCCCTAAAAGACAGAGTTCAGAGACCTCCTGTGTTGGTGAACACACCCATGTGCCCAGAGGGCAGTGCACCCCAACTCCACGGGGACTGAGCCCCTGCATTCAGGACCCTTGCTGACCTTGCTCTATATATGTTTTCATTTGGCTATTCATATGTATCCTCTATCATATCCTTAATAATAAACCAGCAAAAGTGTTTCCCTGAGTCCTGAGAGCCAACACAACAAATTGTCAAACTTGAAGAGGAGGTCCTGGGTTTTGTAGCGAAGGCTGACAGAAGTGCGGGTAACTTGGGGATTCAGCACTTGCAACTGGCTTCTGGAGCAGGGACAGTCTTGTGGGACTGAGCCCTTAACCTATACTAACACTAACTCCAGGTAGTTGGTGTCACAATTGAACTATAGGATGCCCAGCTGGCATCCAAAGAATGGGAGAATTGGTTGGTGTGGGGGAGTGTTGGGGGAAGCCACTCGTTTGGTCACGGAAGTGTTGAAAGTGCTGATTGTCATAAAGAAAATTTTTTGTTTTCCTCTTTAGGGCAAATTGTGGGGATGGGGCATGTCAGGGAAAGAACAGAAGGGAAAAAATGCCTCATTAAGAGCTTTGAAAAGGCAAGGAATTTTAAGAAAAATAAAACCGCTAAATACAGCAAATAGTATGAGAGCTGCTATATACAAAATGACAAAATTAACAAAGTTACATACCCAGCATCTGTATAGCAATTTACAGTTGCCAAAACATTTTCACATATATATTCATGTATACATACATGTATGTGTATATTCATGTATATGTGTATATATATAATTTTATGTGGTATTCCTAGAACTTCTCTACCTAAAGAGGAGCACACTTCTTCCCTCCTGGTGCAGGAACACTGAGTTATACGTTCAAGACCTGAGTCACATTACAATTTGTTCTGAATTTTAAAAATCAAAAAGCCAAACAAACACTGACGAGACTAGGTTCTAATGCCAACTACTTTGTCAAGGATGCAAACCACTTTTCTACTCAAAAGAATTTATAGATTCACAACTATGAAAGCCAGAAGAAGTTAAGCATACTTTGGAAAGAAATTGCCTGACATAGAGGCATTTTCCACATATTTAAGCCTGACTCCAAAACTGTCAATGGAAGCCTGTATCTTGCTGACAAGTCCAAGAAAACCTGTTCAGAGCAGCCCAGGCTGAGACTGGGAAGGTGCACTTGAAGGCAGGACCAGGCAAGAGGCTCTGTAGTTAACTTGGTTTCCCACCCTCAGCCAGCATTTAGGCACCCCACTAACTTCAATGTTCATGTTGGGTTAGAATACAAAATTGCTTGAATTTTAGTTCACAACACGTATCCAATTCATAACTGAATTCATAAAACATTATGGCTTAGAAGTTAAGAGCATGGGAGCCTGGCCATCATGGTGAAACCCTGTCTCTAAAAAAAAAAAAAACTATAAAAATTAGCCTGGCATGGTGGTGCATGCCTGTAGTCCCAGCTACTCAGGAGGCTGAGGTGGGAGAATCGCTTGAACCCGGGAGGCGGAGGCTGCAATGAGCCAAGATGGCATCACTGCACTCCAGCCTGGGCAACAGAGTGAGATCCTGTCTCAAAAAAAAAAAAAAAAAGTTAAGAGCATGGGGTTTAAAGACAAATCTATGTGTTAATGAATAATGATTATATTTGTTGGGCAAGTTATTTAACTTGTATATGACTCAGTTTCCTATGTGTCAAGCAGGGATAGTACCACCCACTTCAGTGGGCTTGCATGAAGATGAAAACACCAAATGAACCTCAGTTAGGCACATAGAATATACGCCAAAAAAATGGACTAATAGTAGAAATAACTGCTCTAGAACTCACCTTAGGAGAAAAGAGCCTGATTTCCACAGAGAACAAACATCAGCTGTGCTACAGCCTGCTTTATCCAGCTGAATCTCAGCTTTGTCTGCCGGGATCCCAGCACACAATCCTCATGATCCCATAAGAGGCTCAAGGCATCTACAGAGGACAGACATTAAGACAGAGATGTGACTTTTTTTCTAGGTTCAGGAGTACATGTGCAGGTTTGTTATGTAGGTACATTGCATGTCACAGGAGTAGTTTTTCCAGCCTCACCCTCTTCCCATCCTCCGCCCTCAAGTAGACTCTGATGTCTGTTGTTCCCTTCTTTGTATCCATATGTACTCAATGTTTAGCTCCCACTTATAAGGGAAAACATTAAGTATTTGGTTTTCTACTCCTGCATTAGTTTTCTTAGGATAATTGTCTCTAGCTCCATGCATGTTGCTGCAAAGGACACGATTTTGTTCTTTTTACTGCGGCATAGTATTCCATGATGTATACATACCACATTTTCTTTATCCAGGCTACCTTTTTTTTTTTTTTTTTGAGACAGAATCTCACCCTGTTGCCCAGGCTGAAGTGCAATGGCGTGATCTTGGCTCACTGCAACCTCCGCCTCCAGGGTTCAAACGATTCTCCTGCCTCAGCCTCCCAAGTAGCTGGGATTGCAGGCGGCCACCACTATGCCCAGTAATTTTTTTTGTATTTTTTGTAGAGACAGGGTTTCACCATGTTGGCCAGGCTGCTCTCTCCAGCCTACCATTGATAGGCATTTAGGTTGATTCCATGTCCTTGCTATCATAAATTGTCCTGTGATAAACATACGTGTGCATGTGTCTTTATAGTAGAATGATTTATATTCCTTTGGGTATATACCTAGTAATAAGGTTGCTGAGTTGAATCGTGATTCTGTTTTTTAAGTTCTTTCAGAAATCACCAAACCACTTTCCACATTGGCCAAATTAATTTATATTCCAAGCAGCAGTGTACATGTTTCCCTTTCTCCAAAAAAAGGTGTGTTTTTTTAAGAGACTAAGAAACTCCAAATATTGAATGACGTCTATCACGTGCAATGACTCTGGAGAAGTATAAAATACGAACTCTGCCCTTAAGATATTGTCAGCCTGGTGGCAGTGGGAGGAGGGGCAGGGGAAACACTGAAAGTTGGGTTGGAGAGACAGCCATGTAAAACCAAGTAGATGTATTTATAAGGCTTCCCTGAAGTAGGGATGCCTTTGCTGAGTCTGAGGGAAGAGTAGGAACAATCCAGGGAATGAGAAGATGCAAGCATGAAATGCAAGAACATTGTTATGTTTATAGTAGAAGGAGCTTGTGAAGGCAAGGGAGAGGAGTCAGGGACAAATCAACAAAATCCCAGTGTAGGAAGCCAAGAAATGTACATTTTATCATCAAAGCCATTGAATCTCCACAATGAGATGAACTTGATCAGCTTTTCACCTTGGAAAGACTCCTCCAGCTTAGTTTGGAAGTAAGAGCAGAACAGGAGCTACAGCTACACTCCAGGAAAGACAGATGACCACTCCAACAAAATGCAGTGACTGAGGAATCAGGAGAAGATCAACTAAAAGCTAGCAGATATCATATTAGCAGGCCTTGGTGACAATTGCATATGGAAGAAGTGAGAAGGATCTTGGCTGACTGCGGTTTCTGGCTTAGACAACTGAATGGATAGTGGGCCCATATGTTAACATAGAAAATGCAAGGAAAGGACCAGAGTTCCTGGGAGCTGATGTGCACAGTCCATAGAGATTCAGACGGGTCCCTGTGCACTGTGGCGGTAAGCAAATCTGTGAAAGAGGCCCTGCATGATGGACAGAATGTGATTTGGTGTCTTTCAGTATAAGCCTCCATCCTGGTTTGGGGCTTTGAGGACTCAACAAAGTGAAGTCTGGAAAGAGGGCAGGGAGACCTCCTGGTGTGTCCTAGGGGGAGGAGAAAGGAAAGGATGCCCTGACTTAGAGAGGAGAGAGAACAGTAGCTGCCCAGACACCCCAGGACCTGCCCAATCTTGAGCTACTCCTGTTGCTGGGATTCCCTCTGTGCCCTAGACAAAGCAACTGGGACTCATCATAAAGGTAAGAAGATTGTATATTGAATATTTTATATAAATAGATCTATAGAGATACAGAGATATGAATAGATATTCTTCCAAAAATACCATAGACCTGAGACAGGGGTCCCATCCCTTGGGCAAGAGAATGCTATAGAACAGTATATATGCAACGACTTTCCGAGAGGTAAGTAGGCATATATATGTTTTAAAACTCAATTTCTTCATTGGTATGAAAGATTCAGAAAAGCAAATTTATAAAATTTATAGAGACAAAATAGATAAAGGTTGCCTGGGTCTGGGGCTTGAAACAGAGATCAACTGTAAAGGGCATGAGGGGTCTCATTTGAGCAATGAAAATGCTCTACAACTCACCAAATGTGATGGTTGCACCTCTTGGTAAAGTTACAAAAATCATTGAATTGTAGACTTAAATTTTATGATACGCTTCAATAAAGTTGTTTCTTAAAACAAGAAATCAGTTTTCAGATCTTCAATTTCCACGTGTGGTCTTTCCTAATAACCTGCCTGAGAAAGCACCTGTGTTCAAGGTGATGTAAAATTCACTTTACTACCTCCCCTTTTAATTGGCCAAGCTCAAAAAGGAGGAGAGTCTTATTCTGCTCCTATCCTTATTTTACTATGGTGTGTGAACTCGAGTGAAGAAACCTCCAAGTTGCCAACGGAAAGGCCATTATAAATATTGGTTACTGGGATGCCTTTTTTAATGATTAATGCCTTAGGGCTTCTTATCTTTCCCTATCTTAATTTGGTTAAGAGTGTAGCTTGGTATTAGAAATTAAGTGTTTTAATCTGTGTTGAGATGTTCTGAATTTGGATATATGGTGGAATGTGGCAGTGGATGTGTTGACAATTATCCTTTAAGGACCTCACCTTTCCACACCTCAACTCTTATCAAGGAACACAGATGGGGAAAGTTCTACAAGAGATGAGCAATGATAGCATGGATACACAACATTTAGTGCTGCAACTAGCTTTTCCAGGTATTTAAATGTGTGCAATCCTTTTCAGCTCTTCTCAACGCTCACTGATAAGTTATGTTATTAACCGGGGGAAAAATCACCTTTGGACAGATGAAGCTCAACTGCTTAGTGACACTTTCACAGTTTTCAAGATATGTTGGATAAAGGCCAAGAATAAAACTTTTACCTGACTTCTTCAGAGCCAATATAGACCAGTCAGCAAGGTAGTGAAAGTATATTTTACCCATTCACATCATGAAATCCATAATCCAACTCCACAATCCCTAACTTTGGGTGGCCCATTGATGCTGCCCAGCTTCACACTTTATCTGCATTCATACTCCCATTCCCTTGACAACTGTGTGATTCATCCATGGATGCTGAAGTCCCCTGTATAAAATGGTATGTTATTTGCATATAGCCTATGTGCATCCTCCCATGTCTCCTCAAGCCTCTAGCTCCTCACTCTCCGCTGATGACCTCTCCTCCTATTTCTCTGAGAAAATTGGGCAATTAGAAGAGAACTTCCAAGCTCTCACCACATATCTCTCCACCCAAACACATCTCTTCCCATTCACTCTCTCTTCTCTCCACTGACTCTAGGTAGATTCTAGGTGCTCCTGGCTAAAAGTACCCCCACCCTGTATTCTGGTCCTATCTCCTTCTGCCTATCCCAGGAAGCTCCTCACTGGTCTACCCTTGCACCCCTGCATTGACCAGCTCACCCTCTATCCTGGATCACTGGGATCCTCCTCATTGGCCTATTCTCCCCCAACTCCCACATTTTTTAAAACAACACAACTCTTTGAAAGGGTTGTCTACATCTACTGTCTCTTATTTGTTTCCTCCCCATTTTCAAGTTCAGTCAAGTTTTGTGCCCCTCCCACTCCACTGAAACCTATCTTGTCAAGGTCGCCAATAAATTTCACACCACAAAAACCAAGAGTCAATACTCAATCCTCATTTTACTTCAACTATCAGCAGCATCTGACACAGCTGATAACTCTCCTCCTTGGAAACTATCTTCACTTGGCTTTGAGAATGCCAAATGCCTGATTTTCCTCCCACCTCTCACCTCTGCAAACAAATACTGAAAGGTCATGTTCTCTAAACATTGGTGTGACCCAGACCTCAAGTCTTCTTTTTGTAACTTATACTCACCTACTAGGTAGACTCATCTATTCTATATGATGATGACTCCTAAATATATGCTTCTAACCTGGACCTCTCCCAACTCCAGAATTGTGTATCCAATTGCTTACTCTACATCTCCACTTGTATAGTCTCTTAGCACCTCAAATTTAATGTAACAAGGCTTGCTTGCCCTAGGAGGTGACCAGACCTTTAACCTGGATGAATCAGAGCCCTTGCTTTCCTTTGTCAGGCCACCATCCCTGCAATTGTCTGTTCATGGTTAATACAAGGCATGGGACCACCAACAGATGCCCAAATGGATCCCTTGAATTTCAGATATATTGTTCTGTGTCACCGTTTAGTATCAGGTATCCAACTTCTTTATGGTGATCAGAGGCAATTATATCTCTGTTGTTCTACTAGTATGAGATTTCCAAAATAATCAAAGGGTAATCATACCTTTAGATTCAGGGTAACCTTTATTGTGTTTTCTGGTGGGAGCATTTCCTCCTAACAGATAACCAAGTGCTCCAGACTCACTATCTTAGTCCATTTTCTTTGCTATAACAGAACATCAAAAATTAGGTAATCTATAAAGAAGAGAAATTTATTTCTTACATTTCTCGGGGGGTTCCAAGGTTGAGAGGCTGCTGGTGGTGAGGGCCTTCTCACTATGTCATAACATGGCAGAGGACATCACATGGTGAGAGGGAAGTGTGTATGCCAGCTCAGGTCTCTCTTCTGCTTCTTATGAAACCACCAGTCTTATCATGGGGGCCCCACCCTGATGATCTTTTCTAATCTTAATTACCTCCCAAAGGCTCCACCTCCAAATGTTATTAACCTCCTGCAAATGCCAAAATCTCATATAACCTAAGCACAATCTCCCATATACTTTAAATCATCTATGTATTACTTACAATACCTAATACAATGTAAGTGCTATGTAAATGGTTGTTGTACTGTATTGTTTAGGGAATCATGACAAGAAAAAAAGTCTGTACATATTAAGTACAGATGCAAGTTTTAACAAAACATTTTCAACCTGCCATTGGTCAAATCCATGGGGTGCAGAACCCATGGATACAGATGACTAGCTGTACATCCATAAAGTAGATTTCTGTGTCAAGGACTTATATCAATGTATACCTGAAGAGATTCCCCATATTGCCTTCTCAATGTGTTCCTTCCTGACCCCACTTAATGACAAGGGTCATTCAGTCCTGTGAGGATGAGAATTCTCTATTTCCCTGCTGTTCTTTGTCACAAGAAGCTCAAAATAACCAAATGGCAGCCATAGATTATAGCTGAATAAGGCTTTTGCTTATTCCCAAATAAAAGCATTCCCCTTTGAGATCTAAGACCTCTAAATTAACAGAGTCCACAGATGTAGGAATGCAGCAGGGTACGGGGTGGGGGATGTCCCCAAGTTGGCCACTGGGCATGATGGTAAACAGAGCCACTTCTGCTTCTACCCCTTGGTTCCCAGGGAAACTGGAAAGTCAAGATCTGGGGGCATCAACTCTGATATGTGTCAGGGTCCCACTTCTTCCCACCCAGATCCCCTGTCCTTGGCATAGCAGACCCACCTTATGTGGGAGTTTAACCTCCTTTGGAGCTCCTCTACTCTTTTTTAAAAGGTCCTCCAGCTTTGACAGTTTTTTTTTTTTTCTTTAGCGATGTCTCGCTCTGTCACCCAGGCTTGAGTGCAGTGGTGCAATCTCAGCTCACTGCAACCTCCACCTCCTGGGTTCAAGCAATTCTTCTGCCTCAGCCTCCCCAGTAGCTGGGATTACAGGTGCCTGCCACCATGCCGGGCTAATTTTTGTTTTTAGTAGATACAGGGTTTCTTCATGTTGCCCAGGCTGGTCTCGAACTCCTAACCGCAAGTGATCCACACCACCCCCCAACGCCTCAGCTTCCCAAAGTGCTAGGATTACAGGTGTGAGCCACCATGCCCAGCCAACACTTAGCTTGTAATACCTGATTAATTACTTTCAGCTTTTTATTATCCTTTTCCTGAGTGTCAGTATAGTTACCACACCCCCCATATTTCTCAAATGCCTAATACCTTGTTCCAGTTAATGCACTCCCTTCCACAAGTATACCATCGCAGCTCATCACCAGTGAGCGACTGCACCACCACCTTCTGCTACTAGCTATCGATGCCCCATCTACCACCAGTGATGCCAGCTGGGTGGCTGGTAATCCCACTCTAAGACACTGTCTCCTCATCTGCTTTCCAAGAACATCCCTGGAACAACACACTGTCCCTGTTTAGGTTTCCAGGAAGCAGACTCTGAGATGGAGGTTAGCATGCAGGAGGCTCACTGGGGAGTGCTTTGAGTATCAACACCTGTGAAAGGGAAGGGAGGGACGTGGGAATGGGCAGATGATGAAGTTCAGCTGCAATGCAGTCTCAATGAATGCCTCAGCCAATCCTGCAGAGAGTTCCGAAGATGGGGTGGCCATCAGAGCTCTCCTGAGTTGGGGTGTAAGAGCTGGGCTCTATACCACTCATTAGTCAATCCTGGATGTGGGCTACTGGGAAGGGGCATGACCCTGGGCATGATGGCTCTCTTCAGTTTAGGAAATCACAGAGGAGGTTGATGGGTGAGGGCTCTCTGCCAGCAGCACTGCCAGCAGCTGGGATAATAAATCCTCTAACCCTGAAGGGCGATTGGGTAGCAAATATCAGCAACCACCACAAAACCCAAGTTACTGAAAATAGACATACCTGTTATATACACCCTTAGGTACTGTGTGTCAATATAAAAATGTGCCTGGGGATTGTGTGCTCTGTCCTCTGCTCATTTTCCTGTACCTGGGAATCCCGAATTTCAGAGTATCTCTGACATCTGGGAGCCTATGCCCTCACAGGTGGCAGAATCCATTACAATAATCTCTTTATGGATCACTCATGTGGCTGTTGGCGGGAGGCCTCAGTTCCTCAACACACAGCACTCTCCTTGGGTTGGCTTGAGTGTCCTCACAACATGGTAGCTGGCTTCCCCCAGGACAAGGGGTTGGAGAGAACAAGACAGGAAGCCTCAACACCACTTACATCCTAGTCTCAGACATCATAAATCATCACTCCTGCCACATTCTATGCTTTAAATGTGAGTCACTAAGTCCGTCCTGCACTTAAGGTGAGGGGAGTGGGTTCCACCTTTTGAAAGAAGTCATATCAAATAGTTGTGGACATATTTTTAAAACACTATCTATAGAGAGAAAGATATTCTCCAAATCAACAGTGATAGATACTTCTGAGGCAGGGTGTAGATGGGAGGAGTAAAGTAAAAGGAGGCTTTTGTTTTTTCTCTGTTTTTTATAAGAAGAATTTACTTTTGTAAATAAAAAATAAGAATATTCTTGATTGTTGAAAACATGGCAACCAGTGAAACTGGGTGGGAAAAGAGATGCTTATCTATGGAGCAGATTGTGATTTACTGTTCTCCTCTACCATGGTTTATCCTGCCTGACCCCATCCAACTAAACACAAAAGAATGAGAAACTAAATGATCATTACCAGCAGCTTCTCCGAGGAGTCATCATTTTCCTAGCACGTGAACAAGGAGTCTGATGACTGCACTATATTGAGATGTGAAAGGTTGGGGAAAAACATTAGAGCCATTAGTCTGTTCCTGCATCCCTATCCTTCATCCACAATTTCATTTAATGCAGAAATTATCTTATTAGCTTTGATGGCTTGATCACAGGCTCTGGCTGGGGCACAGACATCCCAGGAATATCCAAGAGGGCAGAGCTACTCGGTGGGAGATTCTACACCCTCGTGGCCCCTTCCATCCAGGCCCTTGGGTGCACTCCCTCTCCTGAATCCCACATAGACTGCCATTCTCCGACATCTAGGGCCAGCCCAAGTATCTCCAGGCAGGTAGGGAACGCTGTGGGAGGATCTGTCAATGTCCAGGCAGAGAAATCACACAGTTGCTGGATAGGAGCTGTCTGTCTCCTGGGATTTTTTTTCCCTCCTGGGAGTCAAGATGTCTCCACCCTATCTGGGCCTTTGCTGGCCCCTTCAGGCAAGGGAAGGAACTTCAGCTTTGTCCGCAATCACAGAGCTCATTCCCATCTCCCCAGGCTCCCACACCTCCTTCACCTGGTCCTTTGCATTAGAAAGACAGAGTCCCCAGATGCTAAACTATATGGAGGAAACCTGGCCTGTCAGAGCAACAATAGGAACAAATAAGACCTTCTCCCCTGCCTATAGGAAAGTACTCTGTAAATGTGGGCTATCCCTGTCAATTTACAGATCAAGAACCATCCTGTGAGCCTCGAAGGCATTGCGAGAGATACCCAAAGCTCAACCACTAGCTATCCCCAGTCTCTATTTGTCTTGCATTTGTCATTTGTTTATGACTCTCTCCCTTTTGAAGGAGATCACACTGAAGAATTCCCGGTCTTGGAGACATTTCTGGATTGGGCAAGGCTGCTTCCACAAATTGGGCCTACTGTCGGTGTGGGCCAGACTGCAGACAAGAGGCAGCCACTCTAGAGAGTGTAGGCAGTCACAGTGTCACTCCAATTCCATCTGCTACCCCTGCAGGACTTAAGAGGAAAATCTCCCTCTGACCCCGTTCCCTATCATAATACACCCTATCTCTAGACACCCTGCTTTTCTGAGAATGTTCACCAGGGTCAAGGTCTGGGGTCAACAAAGCTCAAGGGTCTACCCTACTTTAGGAATGAGAGTATCACCTCAGCGGCTTCCGTAGAAGTAGCTCCACACATAGGCCCTGATGTTTGCTTTCAGCAATCAGGTGGTGAGGATTTTCCCAGCATCTCCCTGGTCAGACCACAGATATGATTAAAGATGAGTTAACAAAGGGCAGACTGACGCCTTCGAGCTAAGGATTAGCTTTGCACAAAATCGTAACAATCATCTAAAGGGTCATCCTTCCCCCAGCTGCCTAAGCCCTTTATTCAAGAAAAAGCATGGCCCATGTGAGAAAGGGCTTAACATGTTTAGGCTGCTATACTGGGGATGCCTTATAATCCCATACAGGAAGTGGATGACTTCTGCCCAGTGAGCTTTTTCATATAGTATCCAACCTGGAAGTTGTTCCGCTCTCTTCAAGAGCCAACACTACGTATAAATACCTCAGGGCAAAGCAGAAGGAGATAAGCCTTTCCTAGATACTAAGCAATATGCATTTTCACAGAGCGAACAATATACCATCTACAGTAGACCGAATAATGGCCCCAAATATATCCACATTAATCCCCAGAGCTTGCAAATGTTTTCTTATGTGGCGGAAAGGACTTTGCAGGTGTGATTAAGTTGAGGATCTGGAGATGGGGAGATTATCCTGGGCTGAGTGGGCACTAAATGTAATCACAATGTAGTTATAATAAATGTACTTGCAAGAGGGAGAAGAGAAGAGGAGGTGATCTTACCACAGAGGAAAGAAGGTGATGTGATGCAGAGATTGAAGTAACTCAGTTTGAAGATGAGGAAGAGGCCACAGAGAAGGAAAAGAGGTGGCAAGCAGATGTTGAACAATACAATAGATTCTCCCCTAAGATGCTGCAGAAGAGATTGGCCCTTCCCACACCTTGACTTGAGTCCAGTGAGACGATCTTGGTTGGACCTTTGACCTGCAGAACTGTGAGAGAATACACTTGCATTGTTTTAAGCCACTAAGTGTGTGGTAATTTGTTACAGCAGCAACAGGAAAGTAATATACCATCTTTAAACCCACCATTTTGTGTATTTTTAACAGCTTTATTGAGGTGTAACTGACATATTTAAATGAGCTGCACATATTTAAACTGCACAATTTGATAAGTTTTGACATATGTATACATGCGTGAAACAATCATCATAGTCAAGATAGTGAACATATTCATTATCTTCAAAAGTTAACTTACACACCTCGTAATCTGTAACTCTTGGTCCTCCCTGAGCCCTTGCCTTCCAGGTAACAGCTGATCTGTTTTCTGTCACTATAAATTAGTTGCTTTTATGTATAAATAGAGTCATATAGTATGTACTCTTTTTTGTCTGGCTTCTTTTGCGCAGCCTAGTTATCAAGACCCAACCGTGCTGTTGCGTATATCAATATTTCATTCCATTTTGTTGCTAAGTAGTATTCCATTGCTTAGATATATTTTAAGCACTCACCTGTTAGTAGACTTTTGGATTATTTCCATTTTTTGGCTCTTTAAAATAAAGCTGCTACGAACATTCATGTAAAAGTCCTCATATGCTTTCAATTTTCTTTGATAAATACCTATGAATGGAATGGTTGGATTGCATGGTCGATGTGTATTTTACTTTTTAAGAAACTGTCAAACTGTTTTCCAAAATGGTTGTACCATTTTACAGTCCCAGCAGCCACCATATCTTGTTTTTATGTTATTCAAATTATTTTTTTTTCGTTAATTGAAGCTCATCTCCATCCCTAAATAAGGTAAATAAATGCAGTATTACTTTTTGTTTGTCTGTTTGGTTTTGGTTTTGGTTTTTGGTTTTTGTTTTTGTTTGTTTGTTTGTTTGGAGATGAAGTCTTGCTCTGTTGCCCAGCCTGGAGTGCAGTGGCATGATCTCTGCTCACTGCAAGCTCTGCCTCCTGGGTTCACACCATTCTCCTGCCTCAGCCTCCCCAGTAGCTGGGACTACAGGCGCCCGCCACCATGCCTGGCTAATTTTTTTTTTGTATTTTTAGTAGAGACGGGGTTTCACCATGTTAGCCAGGATGGTCTCAATCTCCTGACCTCATGATCTGCCTGCCTTGGCCTCCCAAAGTGCTGGGATTACAGGCGTGAGCCACCGCACCCAGCTGTATTACTTTAATAGTAATACTTTAAAACAACAGAGAAAAAATTGAGTATCAGATGGAGGAGACAGGGATAGAAAGAAAAAATGGTAGACACGGAGAGGAAATTGGAGGAGAGGAGTGAGACAAAGGAGAATAAGAGAACAAAAAAGAAAGAGGGAGAAAAAGTGAGAGAGAAACACAACAAAGTACTATCAATTAGAGTCCCCACAAGAAACTGATGGCTTGTGCACAGACTAGTTGAGGAATTTTTAATAAAGGGACTATGACAAATATGTAGGAAGAACTTCTGAAACCAACAACGTGTCATGTAGTTCCTTGGTTACCATCTCTAAGCATGAAGGCTGTCAGGGAAGAGAGATTTTGGGCACCCTGAGAGAGCAGCTACTGAAAAGGACCACCCACCAGAAGTGGGATGAGCTAACCCTCTTGAACTGGAAGGGAGTGAGCTGCAGTAATAAACTCCCCAACTCACTCTGCACGCCACCTCCCAGTGCCTGCTGATGACTTCCTTTAGCCAAACCCAGCTAGAAGCCAGAAAGCATAAGTCTGTTGATGATGTTCATTTGGGCCAGCCTCTCTCCCTGGCCTGGAGTGGACAGGTAAAATGTGGATCTAGAAAGGAAAGAGAAGACACCTAGTACAGGAGCCAACAGAGGAAAGGGACAAGGAGCTGAACTGCTTTAACATCTTCCTCCATTTGTGACAGGAAAAGGTTGACAAAACAACATGTAAGTATTGAGAAACATGCCTGGGGGTGCAGTGCCTTGTGATGCACAGGGCTGCTTACTCTGTGCACCAGAATTCTGACTACAGTTGTCAGCATGGGCCATTCCATTTTGAGATCCGTTTTGAAAGGTTATTAACTTGGGCTTTACAAACAAACAAGTCTAATCGTATCCTCCTTAGAAAGGGAAACCCTCTTCTAAATCATGAAACAGTGTCGTGGCTTTGTGTGAAGTGTGGACTATGGAAGCAGGGTCTACAGCAGGAAGGCCCGGGACTCATAACACTGGAGACGCTTTATGGGGAAGACAAAAAATGTCCTTAAACCTTGGAGGAGATAGATGCACACATTTTAGAAGGACAGGTCATCTCATCGGGTGTTTATTCTTCCAATTTATCAGATGACCTGCCTGTCCGGGGTTAATCATCTCCATTTTATCCATTTTAACACAAGGACTGCAGGCAAAAAACAAGATGATCAAAAGCAGAATTCAAGCACCTGTCAGATCCACTGGAAGAGCTGAAAACTTTCTTTCTCTGCAACCTTTTTATCTTTTATGTTTTACTTTATTTATTTATTCGTTTATGAGGCAGGGTCTGGCTCTGTCACTCAGGCTGGGGTGCAGTGGTGCAATCTCAGCTCACTGCACCCTCCACCTCCCGAGCTCAAGTGATCCTCCCACCTCAGCCTCCTGAGTAACTGGGCCTACAGGTGCACGCCAACACTCCCAGCTAATTTTTGTATTCTTTGTAGAGATGAGGTTTTTCCATGTTGCCCAGGCTGGTCTCTAACTTCTAGGCTCAAGGGATCCGCCCACCTCAACCTCCCAAAGTGTTGGGATTACAGGCGTGAGCCACTGCGCCCGGCCCTTTTTTATTTTTTAATCTCATAAAACTCTAAAATTTATCTCCTTTAAATTATATCTACATTTCATCTTTTATGAATCTTTGTGATGACCATAAACAAGCCATTCATAATCAGATTTTTAAAATTTTATTGTTTTATACATTTTTTATTTTATTTTATTTATTTATTTATTTATTTATTTATTTATTTATTTATTTATTTTGAGATGGAGTCTCGCTCTGTCACCCAGGCTGGAGTGCCGTGGCATGATCTCGGCTCACTGCAAGCTCTGCCTCTGGGGCTCATGCCATTCTCCTGCCTCAGCCTCCCAAGTAGCTGGGACCACAGGCACCCACCACCACGCCTGGCTAATTTTTTGTATTTTTAGTAGAGACAGGGTTTCACTGTGTTAGCCAGGATGGTCTCGATCTCCCAACTTCGTGATCCACCCGCTTCGGCCTCCCAAAGTGCTGGGACTACAGGTGTGAGCCACTGTGCCCCGCCAAATTTTTTTTAAAATTTAATACTTCTATAAAGACAGGGTCTCCCTGTGTTGGCTAGGCAGGTCTCAAACTCCTGGGCTCAAGTAATCCTACTGCCTTGACCTCCCAAAGTGCTGGGATTATAGGCATGAGTCACCATGCCCAGCCAACAAGATATTTTTAGAACACTTTCTTATCTCAGGTGGGAATACCGAGGTGTTTTCTTCTCATCTATTCTATGAACATATCAGTGGCTAATATTAATACATTTTCCATCCATTTTTTACAACATAGACACTGAAGGGAAACCTGGAGGGTTGGTAGTAATTTTAACAAATGGATATGCAGTCAAGTTCCCTTTAATTGGAGCTTTTTGTGATCTGAGTTCCTTGTTCTCTTTGTTCAGAACATCTGAAGGGGAAAGTTGAGAAAAGTCGAGCTTACTGCTATTAATTGCTTCTCCCAGTTTCTGCAGTCCAAGAATCACATGAGGTGATACGATATGGATTCCAAGTAGCTTGGTATGGTTCCAAACATTTTGATAAGTGGAAAGATAGTCAACAAAATTTCCTATTCACAAATGTGAGCCAATTCACAAATGTGAGCCAATTCACAAATGTAAGCCAATTCAGGGTGGAGTGGAAAGAACAGCTAGATATGAGGTCAGGAGTTTGGCATTCTAATTCCAGTTATTCTGCTAACTAGCTGTATGTTCTCAAGTAACGTTAACTTAATTCCTCTGTGTCTGTTTCCTATATCCTTCTAGCAGAATTATTATACTTACCAAGACTAATATACCTGAAAGTGGGCATCAAGCCATTCAACAGAAACAACCTTACAGGCGGGTACTGCCCAGGAGAGGCTTAATGGTGTTAAACAGGAAAAACGAAGGTAAGGAATGACCTAGAACAGCACAGCAGTTAAAAGACCAGGCTAGGATGTGGTACAAAGAAAGCAGGCTTTTTAAAAAGGCTTGAAGCAGAGCAGCAGCACAGGCAGAATCCCCACACCACGGAGAGCCAGAAGCCTTCCCCAGATGAGTAACTTAGTAGCAGGGATTTTGTAAAACATATTAGAGTCTCCTCGGGATTACAACCGATTACGACTCTGGAGAGGCAAACTTTGAGCAAGTGCATAAGCAAAGGCCCTGACATCAGATGGAGCCCTGTACAGAATGACATGGGGCAAAAATAATAAGAGACACCAAGAATAAAAATAAGCAGAACATGAAAACACAAGAACAAGGGAAGTCCCGGCAGAGCAAACAGTATTCTCTCAGCCCTGGGTAAGGGTTTTTGCCAATCCTGTGAGGGTGAATCCACTTCATTAATTCATTCAACAAAAGTATGTGGAGCATCCTCTCTGTACTAGGAACTTACCAGTTTGGGGGCAGGGATACAACCATGAGCACAAACAGCTGACCTTGGAGCTTACAGCTAATAGGGAAGACAGAGCAAGGACCATGAAGGAAAGCAGCCAAAGTGCTGTAGGAACACATAGACCAAAAGGCTAGGGAGACGACAGATCCAAGCACAGAACAGCAAGGGGAGAGGCCCAGACAAGACAGCAAGTGCATTCAAGAAACTGAAGGGCTAGCCCATGAGAGCAAGGAGCAAGGGCTGTGTCAGATGAGGCCAGACAGGAGAGGAGCTGGGCCATGCAGGACCCAGAAGGCCTGGTTAGGGATTTTACTCTTTGCCCTGAGAATAGGGGGAGGCCACTGAAAGGTTTCAAGCACACATGTGTTTTGGTAAGACCACCCTGGCCCATTTGGAAAACAAATCAGAACCCCCTGTACATCATTTAAAGTTCATTCTCTGAAAGCATGACCACATTACCTGTATTCCTGTGGTGTTGTTTAATAAAGAATTTGTCTGGTCTTAGTCCAGGGTTCCTGGCATGGAGCTTCTAGAACCCTTGGAATTTCCCAAGCGACAGAAGTGTCTTCATTATTCATGAGCCAGCTGAGTTCATGCTAATGAGAAAACCCATGGTAGCCCCCTAGATAGCTTCAGGATGGGGCTGTTCACCAGAAAGACTCAGCAGAAAGACCAACCACATGATTAGAGGGTTGGGACTCTGAGCAATGTGATGTTAGCTCAGCCTGACCTCTGGAGAGGAAAGGAGGGTGGAGATTGACTTCAATCAGTTGGCCACTGATTTAATGAACTATGCCTACATAATGAAACCCCAATAAAAACTCTGGACACCAAATATTAGTGTAGCTTCCTGGATGGTGAACACATTGATGTGTCAGAAGGGTGACAGCATCCTGATTCCACAGGAGAGGGCACAGAAGCTCCACACTCTGGACTCTCCCAGAACTCACCCTGTGTATCCCTTCCTTTGGCTGCTCCTGATCTGTATCCTTTATAATAAAATTGTAATTATTTTTTTAAAAGTGTTTTCTCAAGCTCTGTGAGACATACTAGTGAATTTTTTAACCTGATGGGGTTGTGAGAACTCCCAAATTTGTAGCCACTTGGTCAAAAGTGCAGGTGGCTTAGGGGCCTCTGAATTGCAGCTGGCAGCTAAAGTGAAGGAAGTCTTATGGAGGACTGAGCCTGTAACTGATGGGGTCTGCACTAGCTCCAGGGGGTTACCACCAGAACTGAATTGTAGTATGCCAGGTGGTGTCAGACCAGCTGGGGTTGAAACAGAATGCATGCTAAATTTTATTTTAGTCATTCTTAATTTCAAATCCAAGAATCCTTTGTTTAAGGAAGAAACAAACAAAATTCTCGTCCCAAAACTAAGAAATGGGAAGATTTGTCTAAATTGGAGAAAAAACACTGGCTTTGGACAGCTCAAAACTCAGACCTTGTTGCCTAGCACCAAGCAGTGAGCCCCCAGTGGGTTCAATACGATTGATGCTTTCTTGTTACTAGCCCTAAAATAACTTGGGGGGTAAAATCTTGTTATTCCCACACTTCAGCCTCTTCTCATTTGTTTTTGAGAAGTGTTTTCCCATGGCCTGAGTGTGCACCCCTGCCACCTCAGACGGTCCTGCCGTGGGCTCCCCTCCCAACAGCTGATGTGGACTCCATGTTTTGGTAACCTTTGAAATGGAACTCTAAACTTTCATACCTTTAAAAAACTAGCTGCCCACTTGATCATGGTGGATAAGCTTTTTGATGTGCTGCTGGATTCGGTCTGCCAGTATTTTATTGAGGATTTTTGCATCAATGTTCATCAAGGATATTGGTCTAAAATTCTCTTTTTTGGTTGTGTCTCTGCCCGGCTTTGGTATCAGAATGATGCTGGCCTCACAAAATGAGTTAGGGAGGATTCCCTCTTTTTCTATTGATTGGAATAGTTTCAGAAGGAATGGTACCAGTTCCTCCTTGTACCTCTGGTAGAATTCGGCTGTGAATCCATCTGGTCCTGGACTCTTTTTGGTTGTTAAACTATTGATTATTGCCACAATTTCAGCTCCTGTTATTGGTCTATTCAGAGATTCAACTTCTTCCTGGTTTAGTCTTGGGAGAGTGTATGTATCGAGGAATTTATCCATGTCTTCTAGATTTTCTAGTTTATTTGCGTAGAGGTGTTTGTAGTATTCTCTCATGGTAGCTTGTATTTCTGTGGGATCGGTGGTGATATCCCCTTTATCATTTTTTATTGTGTCTATTTGATTCTTCTCTCTTTTTTTCTTTATTAGTCTTGCTAGCGGTCTATCAATTTTGTTGATCCTTTCAAAAAACCAGCCCCTGGATTCACTGATTTTTTGAAGGGTTTTTTGTGTCTCTATTTCCTTCAGTTCTGCTCTGATTTTAGTTATTTCTTGCCTTCTGCTAGCTTTTGAATGTGTTTGCTCTTGCTTTTCTAGTTCTTTTAATTGTGATGTTAGGGTGTCAATTTTGGATCTTTCCTGGGATGCAAGGCTGGTTCAATATACGCAGATCAATAAATGTAATCCAGCATATAAACAGAGCCAAAGACAAAAACCACATGATTATCTCAATAGATGCAGAAAAAGCCTTTGACAAAATTCAACAACCCTTCATGCTAAAAACTCTCAATAAATTAGGTATTGATGGGACGTATCTCAAAATAATAAGAGCTATCTATGACAAACCCACAGCCAATATCATACTGAATGGGCAAAAACTGGAAGCATTCCCTTTGAAAACTGGCACAAGACAGGGGTGCCCTCTCTCACCACTCCTATTCAACATAGTGTTAGAAGTTCTGGCCAGGGCAATTAGGCAGGAGAAGGAAATAAAGGGTATTCAATTAGGAAAAGAGGAAGTCAAATTGTCCCTGTTTGCAGATGACATGATTGTATATCTAGAAAACCCCATTGTCTCAGCCCAAAATCTCCTTAAGCTGATAAGCAACTTCAGCAAAGTCTCAGGATACAAAATCGATGTACAAAAATCACAAGCATTCTTATACACCAACAACAGACAAACAGAGAGCCAAATCATGAGTGAACTCCCATTCACAATTGCTTCAAAGAGAATAAAACACCTAGGAATCCAACTTACAAGGGATGTGAAGGACCTCTTCAAGGAGATCTACAAACCACTGCTCAAGGAAATAAAAGAGGATACAAACAAATGGAAGAACATTCCATGCTCATGGGTAGGAAGAATCAATATCGTGAAAATGGCCATACTGCCCAAGGTAATTTACAGATTCAATGCCATCCCCATCAAGCTACCAATGACTTTCTTCACAGAATTGGAAAAAACTACTTTAAAGTTCATATGGAACCAAAAAAGAGCCCGCATTGCCAAGTCAATCCTAAGCCAAAAGAGCAAAGCTGGAGGCATCACACTACCTGACTTCAAACTATACTACAAGGCTACAGTAACCAAAACAGCATGGTACTGGTACCAAAACAGAGATATAGATCAATGGAACAGAACAGAGCCCTCAGAAATAATGCCGCATACCTACAACTATCTGATCTTTGACAAACCTGAGAAAAACAAGCAATGGGGAAAGGATTCCCTATTTAATAAATGGTGCTGGGAAAACTGGATAGCCATATGTAGGAAGCTGAAACTGGATCCCTTCCTTACACCTTATACAAAAATCAATTCAAGATGGATTAAAGATTTAAACGTTAGACCTAAAACCATAAAAACCCTAGAAGAAAACCTAGGCATTACCATTCAGGACATAGGCATGGGCAAGGACTTCATGTCCAAAACACCAAAAGCAATGGCAACAAAAGCCAAAATTGACAAATGGGATCTAATTAAACTAAAGAGCTTCTGCACAGCAAAAGAAATTACCATCAGAGTGAACAGGCAACCTACAAAATGGGAGAAAATTTTCGCAACCTACTCATCTGACAAAGGGCTAATATCCAGAATCTACGATGAACTCAAACAAATTTACAAGAAAAAAACAAACAACCCCATCAAAAAGTGGGCGAAGGACATGAACAGACACTTCTCAAAAGAAGACATTTATGCAGCCAAAAAACACATGAAAAAATGCTCATCATCACTGGCCATCAGAGAAATGCAAATCAAAACCACTATGAGATACCATCTCACACCAGTTAGAATGGCAATCATTAAAAAGTCAGGAAACAACAGGTGCTGGAGAGGATGTGGAGAAATAGGAACACTTTTACACTGTTGGTGGGACTGTAAACTAGTTCAACCATTGTGGAAGTCAGTGTGGCGATTCCTCAGGGATCTAGAACTAGAAATACCATTTGACCCAGCCATCCCATTACTGGGTATATACCCAAATGACTATAAATCGTGCTGCTATAAAGACACATGCACACGTATGTTTATTGCGGCATTATTCACAATAGCAAAGACTTGGAACCAACCCAAATGTCCAACAATGATAGACTGGATTAAGAAAATGTGGCACATATACACCATGGAATACTATGCAGCCATAAAAAATGATGAGTTCATGTCCTTTGTAGGGACATGGATGAAATTGGAAATCATCATTCTCAGTAAACTATCGCAAGAACAAAAAACCAAACACCGCATATTCTCACTCATAGGTGGGAATAGAACAATGAGATCACATGGACACAGGAAGGGGAATATCACACTCTGGGGACTGTTGTGGGGTGGGGGAGGGGGGAGGGATAGCATTGGGAGATATACGTAATGCTAGATGACGAGTTAGTGGGTGCAGTGCACCAGCATGGCACATGTATACATATGTATCTAACCTGCACAATGTGCACATGTACCCTAAAACTTAAAGTATAATAAATAAAAGAAAAAGAAACTGAACTGACCCTCTAAAAGAATGACGATATAAAAAAAAAAAAAAAACTAGCTGCCTACATAAGCATCATTTGTCAACTCCACAATTCCTCATTTTCATACCCTTTCTGGATGAGCAGACTCATTAGTTATCTTCTTAACAAATTAACAAGCATTGAATTGGGCTTGAGAGCAATTCATCTAAAAATTTTTATTGAACATTTCCTAGGAATGACTATAGTAAAAATTCAAATTAGTAGTGGGCAGGAAGTACCAAAACCAGGGAATAAAATACCTCTTACAGAATGGGGTCTTAATAAGGCATTTCAGTCCAGATAGATTATATTAATAGGCTATACACTTGATATGCCCCAAACAAGGCACATTAATTAGCAAGATACTGGTATTTATAATTAACACATCATTTTAAAAATTCTGTCACGAGTGGTCTTTAGGTTTTTATAATCATTTGTATTATAAATTTGTTTATCAAATTTTTCCTAATTTGAAGTAACATCTCATTATAAGTGATTCTCAATAATCCTTCTATTCCATGTTGTCCAAAGTGGCAATACTTCTGGTCCCAGCAGTAATCTGTGTCATAATCATTGTCCAGAAGGAAAACACCTAGTTGTTCATTCTCTTTATCATAGATGGAGCTGGAAGAACACAACGAACCTTGGAGTAATTCAATTTTTTTCCCACTCTTTTACAGCAAATGCCATTTTACCGCTTTCTTCTCCCCTCATGTCCTTGGATATTCCAATCATTCCTTCCAGAAAAACACATACTGAAAAAATGTTTTTTAATGTTTAGAAGTTGGAGATAGAAGGAAATGAGCTAGCTAGTATTGTCTTCCTTGTCTTATTGGGTGTAGAGCTCTTAACTAACTCACTTCACAGTCTCCAGGCTTCCTTCTGATTCATCTCCAGAGTCTACACCCTTAGTTACTGCTGTTATCTACTGGTTTTACAAGGACCACATAGAACCACAGGGCAGAGAAGTAGCTAGTGGACTCTACCCACAGTTTCCTGGGCTAGTCCTCCCTTATTTTATGCCACCAAAACTAACACAAAACTTAACTACAGTTTCTTACTTTGGGTCGACTTTATCAAGATTTCTAGGGGATCACTAAAAATATGTAATTACCTATTGCGTTCCTGAATATAAAGAAGAGAATTATAATATTCTCTATTTCAGAGTAGAAGAAAGAAAGTATAAGGCATATAAAAATGTGTGTGTGTGTGTGTGTGTGTGTATGAACACACACTCTTTATTTATATTTTGGCTCTGTTTTGTTTCTATGCGACTTGTGATTCTGTACTTCTTCACCCAGCTTTTCACTTTTTTCAAAACATTTTCCCTAAGAGACTATATTCAGAGATACTTTCAGGTATCTCTGATGCAGGTAGCAGTTACCAGTATCGAGTGTATCCTGACTAATTAGAAAGTCAAAGTGCTGTAGGCTGGGCACAGTAGTCCACACCTGTAATCCCAGCATTTTGGGAGGCCAAGGTGGGCAGATGGCTTTGAGCTCAGGGGCTCGAGACCAGCTTGGGCAACATAGTGACACCCCTC
Source organism: Homo sapiens (assembly GCF_000001405.40). Taxonomy (NCBI): domain Eukaryota; kingdom Metazoa; phylum Chordata; class Mammalia; order Primates; family Hominidae; genus Homo; species Homo sapiens. The sequence continues at coordinate 224,354 of NW_018654722.1, forward strand.
CCCTGCCATCTCCACAAAAAATATAAAAATTAGCTGGGTGTGGTGGCACACACCTGTAGTCTCAGCTACTCAAGTGTCCGAGGTCGGGGGATGGCTTGAGTCCTGGAAAGGGGAGGTTGCAGTGAGCCAAGATCATGCCACAGCACCCCAGCCTGGGTGCTCAAAAAAATAATAATAAAACAACAACAAAAAATCTGGTAATGTCATTGATGAGGTTTTTGTTATTTTTTAATCCTTGACTACATGACAGAGCCAGCTAAGATTTTTAAGTGTTATTTTCATTCCCATTAAGAGATAAAACATTCTTGGTCACAGCAAGAACCCGGACAACTATTTCACCTCTCTTTGCATGAATTTCACCTCAAACACACACATACAAAAATCTACTTCAAACAAACCATTATCATTAACTTTAAAAAATCCATAAACTCAGCAGAAGAGAGCCTTTCTCCATGCCATGACAGAGAAAAATACACCACTATTATTCAAGAGACCTGGGGAAAAAGGTTTGAAATTTTTTCCCCTTGAAAATAATAAGAAAAGCAAATAACAGTCTTTTAGATTCTGTGAATAAGGCAATATAGCTGAAATTTATTATACAAGATCTTCATAAAATCCTCATGCTACTTCAAATTTCATTTTAGGGCTTTGTTAAATCTGATGGCAGAAATAATTAAAACACATGCGTTAAGAAATGAAACAATAAATTTTCCTCTGCTAAGTGATAAGTTAGCAGAGGAAAGTTCTGTGGAACTTCTCATCCACAGAAATCAGTTGTTATTCCCCAGGATCTAAAACAAGACTGCACTGGTATTTGTGTAAAGGGCTCAGGGTAGACACCAACCAGCATCATCTGGTGCAGCTGGAACTCATGAGAGCAGGATCAGCCCAGCTAGGTCCCTGCCCTCCCAGCCTCCTGTTGAAAAGTGTGCTTGGGCCAAATGGATAAATGTGCCATGGGGATGCCAGCACGGAAACTCCACCCCTTGATATTCTTCCATTTAATGAGGTATGTATAAAGGTAGTCTTGCGTGGGGGAATAAACATGTTAGATAACACACCAAGCAGTTTCAACCTGACATGTCTACTGTGTAGGAAAAGTCTCTCAGATGTCACTGCATCCAGAACTTGGAGACCTTGGGAGCCCTCCATCCCAAGGGACATTGAGTCTGAGAGCTGGCTCACTGTCAGGCAACTTAGAGGCCCCAGGGAAAGGGTCAGATAGTGCTGCTTGTCTCCACAACTTCCAGCAGTATAGAGTTGGGTATACACACACAACGTATACAAGTATATAGCTGTGTGTTTGTAACATTTGAATTTAGACAAATTTGCTTATACGTGCCTTTTCAAACATGTCTCATAACATATGTAACCTAACATATATGGGTGAAAACTGTTCACATGATTTTTTTTACAGATCCCACCTTGAAACTGCAATTATTGGTCCCCTCAAAGATTCAAGAGAGCTCATCAGAAGTGTTAGCAATGACAGCCTTGCTTACAGGCAAATTATTAAGAGAAAAAACTCATTGACATCCACTGGGTACTTCACATTGCATTGTTGTCCTAAACTTAAGCACACTGGTCTTCCTCCTCTTTTCCTTTCATTTTTAGTAGTTTTGCCATCACCCTAGCTAAAAATATAAAGTCATCTTTGCTTTAACTTCATCCATCTCCCCCATCAGTCACCAAATACTGTGACCCTCCTTCCCAAGTTGGAGGGGAGTGTGACCTTCCCCCAGCACCTCCTGCTGCCTCTGTCCACACTCTCATTGCTCCCACCTAGGCTAGTGCAACAGGCCCTGGGTTGTCTCCCTGATGCCCCTCTGGCCTCCATAGTCTCCGGCGTTGTCTTTCACTCATTTCACAAATGCTCATTGATTTCTTACTATGAGTCAAAAGATGGGTGACTTACTGATGACACAAGGATGAACAAGACCCCCGCCCCCGCCCCGCTGTCAAGGACCTCGAAATCTAAAACACAAATTCCATCCCCGCCCCCGCCCCGCTGTCAAGGACCTTGAAATCTAAAACACAAATTCCATTTTGTCGCTCACCTGCCTAAAATTCTCCAGGGGACCACCATGGCCTATAGGATGAAATCAGAATGTATTAGCACAGCACAAACTGTTATTGCCCATACTCAAGGGATCTGGCCCCAATCTGCTCTGTCTCATCTCCCACCATTCTGCCCCATGTGCCCAGGTTGCAGCCACCCCAGCTACCTATAGCCTGTTCACCCTTCCAAGACTCAAGCAAACCACACCCTCTACCTGGAATGCCCTTCCTCTAGCAAACTTCTAGGCAGCAGCACCCTGAGCAGGTTCACAGAGTCTACCGTGGATGAATCAGAATGCCAAGTCAGCGATTTTCCATAAACCCCACAAACGTGTGTACGGCACCTACCAGGCCAGGCACTGAGGGCCCTTACATGATTTATCATTATTCCTCACAAGGAACAGGAAGCTACTCTTAGTATCCCATTTTACAGATGAGGAAACTGATACAAAGAACATCATATAATTTGCCCAAGGTCACCGATAGGAAGTGGCAGAGCCAGAATCTCAACCTGGTTCCAAAATCAGTGCTTTTAACTACTTTGGTAAACAATGAGAATTTCTGGAGGACAGAAAGTTCTATCCCTGAGGGGCAGGCTACAAGGGAAGCCAAATAACGCTATGAGAGGTTACGTGGTAACCATGCAATCGGAAAAGCGTTACTGTAACTCAAGTGTTTGATGGGGGTCAGGGTAGCATAAAACATCCTTTTCCACAAAAACACAATGCCTGTTTCTGGACCCAGAGACACCATGGCCTTGGGCTGGGCACTTCACCTGAGCGGGGCATAGACTAGCATGTATGCCTGCCTCTCCTCCTCCTGGGGTCTGTGGGTCTTTAGCTCTTGTTCTAATTAACAAAATACCTTCATTCAGGCCTGGGAGTCACTCCACCTCCTTAATGTGACTGGGCCCCTCTCTGCTCTGATGAGTTATGCTGGTTTTACAGTTTACAGCTCAGAGAGCGCTTATGTCTGCTATTTCTTGCAGATGTTTTCACTCTTGCCTCCACGAGGCGGCTAATATTACCCATTTTGAGGATGACAAAATAGTGAGGAAGGTCACAGAGCTGGTCCTCAAAGCGGGACTTGAACCTCGGCCTTCTGACTGCCAATCCTGTTCTTTCCATGCTACTCGTTGTTTAAGAGAAGAAGCCTTCAAGATCTGCAGCTAACCCAACCCCACTGGCTCCGCAACCCTGGGCCCAGCCTGTGCGTCTGCTTCCTCCCCAACTCGCACTGGTCTCAGCAGCCATCCCAGGAGGCGCCCCGGCTCCACGCTTCCCTGGTGCCTCAACTTTATGCACCCAGCATGTCTGGCCACAGCAGCCACCCACTGCATGCACCATACCTCAGTGTCTGTCCACACTACACCACAGTGAGCGGTCCTGGCCTGCCTTGGCGCCACCCTGCGGCTCCTCTCCTTGCCATCCACTCACACTCTTCCTCTGCCGTCTGTGCCACCATCTTTGCAGTTTTCTGCTCCCTTGGCCACAGCTCCAAGATTCTACCTGGTCTCCACTGCTCCATCTGGACTCCTAGGCAGGCTCACTCCCACCTATTGTTCTCTTTTTAGCCTTGGCATTGTCTCCACTCTCTGCCTTTCCATTTATATGGCACAGTAACTAAATGTTTTGCATTTTCCAACACCACACTGACTTCAACTCTTCTGTCCCACCATCAGACCGTTGGGGAAATTTTACAGGTCAGAAATATGTAGATTTATTGTGCCTAGACATCATGTTTTCATTGGCACCACACGCAAAGAATACAAAATCCAAAAGGCACCAACGAATATAGCACATATAGTAAAATTAAGTCACTTCCTAGCCCTCTTCCCCAGGCCCACAAGCCCCCGCTTCCCCTACTCAGGGGCAGCAACTGTAAGCAGTTTCTTATGCTTCCAGACATAGTCCGTGAACCTCTGACTTGGGCGGGATTGCCAGTGTTTCAGCAGCAGCATTGGCAACTTTCTAACCATTTGTAAATGTAATAGTATATAAAGATTTTTTAAAATTCAGCTTCGATTCCACCACCCTAAATTAACTCATGTCATTTCTCTACATTGCATCCCAATTTTTATCTACATACACACATTTTTCATTGTTTTAATCATAGTATGGTTAAAAGTTTAGTTCTACTTCCATTGCTAATTTCTTACACATATTTCATCTTCATTATTTTTAACAGCTACATAATATTCATTTGGGGTAAAACTCAGTTCTTCAGTTTTTATTCCAAGTTTTCACAATTGTAAATATCAGTATAACAATCTATAATTTTTTCTTCTTTGAATTATTGCTTTAGGACAAGTTCCCGGAGTGGTAGTATTGAATCTAAGGAATGTTTCATGTCACATTTAGCCAAATAACTCTCTTAGAAAGGTCAGAGCAGTTGTAATTCCTCATACAGGTATAAGGACACATCTTACTTTTGTTCCATCAAATACAATAATTATACTTATCAACAAAAAATGCTTCCTCATGATGTTCTGTTTATATATTTCTGTAATAAATAAATAACTCAGGTCAATGTCTTCTCTTTAGGTTTCTGTGTTTAATGCAGACTTCTGTTAGAAGCAGTCCTCAGAGCCTGTTGGAATAATGTGAGTGAGTGACTGGTTGGATTTCTAGGACCTCAAAGAGCTTTTAGTTCTTTGTCGCGCCCCACATGAAAGGCAGTTTGGCAAGGTCAAGTATGGTGGGGATGCATTCTCTCTCTCTCTCTCTCTCTCTCTCTCTCTCTCTCTCTCTCTCTCTCTCTCATCCTTGGTAACATTGTTTCATATCCACTGAGCTCTTTTTATGTTACTAGAAAATCCAATCGTGTTTCCAATGTATATTCTTTTAAGAGATCTTCTCTTTTTGCATGTCATCAAAGATGTATTTCCCTTATTATTTAAAATATATATAAGACCCCTCCCACTTTGGAGAGCAGGACCTGGACTTGAACTTGGACTCTTCACTTACTAGTTATATCCCTTGGGCAAATCACTCAGTTTCTTGGAGGTTAATTTCTATCTGTAAGATGGGAGATTAATAATATCTGTCTACCTCACATTGTTGTAAAAATCAAATGAAAAGATGTATAAGTGTGAGAACTGTTTCCTAAATGTTCGTAACTATTCTGTTAGACCATGTAACTCTTCTCTATTTCAAGTCTAATCTCTTATTGATTCTGGAATAAAGTATTCCTGCATCTTTAGTTATTGATTTAGGACCTTTTCTTTCTTTGGCTTACTCAGGAAGTCTAACTATTCAGAAATTGCAATACTCAGATCTATTCCCCAGATCTGCCCTCCTGAAGTGTTTCATTTCTTAATTTAGTTTCTTTAAATTCTGGATCTATTGCTCAGGTTTCTTTACTGATTTAAGTGCCATTTCTGCTTTGTGCAGTTTAAACATGATTTTCAATGTGTCTTTTGCAATAATCATTACTTTCATTCTTTTTTATTCTGACTTTCACTAGGGAGGATGTAATGTCCACTTGATTTCTTTGAAAAGAGGCTCCAGCCATTTTCTGAATTCTGTGTATGGTTCCCTGTGGTTGTTTCTTTCTTTGGGATTAATTAAAATAAAGTTTTTTGTGTGGGCTCATTGGGTGTTTTTTGAAACTTTTTTAGAAAACCCACATTGATTTTTTTTCAGTTTAGTGCATTCTCCCTTAAGTTACTTCAGTGACTGGTCTTTGCTGTACTGCTGAAAATTCTTTAGTAACATTTTTCAATTAATTTTAAGAGAATTTGCAATTAGGAGTTTGACTGGTTTTCTACTCACTCCAATATTTTCCCGGATAATTTTTTTCTACCATGTCAGGCCTTTCTATCTTCTGATTCAATGGAGTCTGGAAAGAATCCAAAGTCTAATTATGGGATTAGAACAAGAAAGCCAAGTACTTTCAATGGAAAACTGAAAAATGCCTTTTTGTGCTTTGTTGCTGCTGTTAAGGCTCAGGCTGAGTCTAAGAAAAGGGAAGAAAGATTGGAATACTGAAATAAAATCTTACCAAAAACGCTTTAATAACCTTACATATTAGCTGCATTCCTAAAGGCTCTGAACCTTCCAGGCATCTCGCAAGCGGCAAGGGCCGCATTCATTTCTTTGGCTATAAATGAAGGGATGCTAAATTATTTCCAAGGTCACTTTTCCATCTCTGAATTTCTACAACATTAAATAATGTTTAAGCTGCGAGTTCAGGCATGAATTAATGTAACCAGAATTATTCCCACTTCTTGCTACCCTGCCCACAAAATGCACACACACACACCCCCACTTTGATTTCCCGATTTTTAAATTGTTCAAATCAATTGTTATGAAACATAAAATGAAGCCGGGAGAGAGAAAATGAGGGAACCGAATACAAAATTCCTCCCTTCTGGAATCAGGGCAGCCTCTGCACCCCCAGATCTCCTCCAACACATGAGGTACTTAAGAGGAGACCCCTCAAGGCAGCACCCTGCCAAGGCATGGTTGAGTCACCAAATCTCAGCCGTTTGGACTGTGAGGGGAGACCCTGCAGCCCTCTGGTGGACAAAAGTGGCATTACAGCCTTCTCTGCATCCAAAAGGTCACAGCCCATCTGAGATGGAAGCGTGATGGATCTATCTGCAAGCGTGACCTGAAATCCTAACCAAGGGCCAACCTGCCCAGGACAGGCTGGATCTTTGCCTCAGAAATGGTGCTTTTGTCATTTTGAGAAACATTATCCCTGCAGATTTCAGATTTGAAACTCAAGAAGGCTATGGTGGATTTCAAATAGGGTAATGTTAAATGGCCTACATTTTTACTAGTATTGTGGGCACTCCTACCAGAAGAAAAATTTTTTAATTCCATATAATTCAGAATGAAGTTAATCAGAATGAAGTTGTTCCCCACTCCTTTCTTGTGTCCTTCCAGCCCTCAGGATGGTAGCAGCTTCCGCTGCCACTAATATGTGGTTGTTTCACCAGCCCATTTGGCTTCTCAGCCCAGTCCAACGTGTAACCAATTTCCTGTTTTAAATTCCCTCTTTGAAATGCCTACAATGATTTTGTTGTGCTTGGCAATAGGAATATGGCAGTGACCAAGACAGACTTCGTTCCAGATCTTATGGAGCTCATAGTCTAGCTCAGGAAAATAAATATTAAATAAGCACTCATTCAGTTAATAATTATTTCAAAAAGGAAGTACATGAGAATGCATAGCAGAGGAACTTAACCTGGAATAAGGATAAATTTTGTAGTTCCACAGGTGACACTAGAAGCTAGAAACTCTAGGCCAGCAGGACTTTACACAGAGACAGTCCCACAGCTATGATGGAAGCACAGAAAGTTGTGATGTTGCCTCTCCTCCTCCCTGGGTCCAGCAGGGAAGAAAGGAAGGGTTCCTAGCCAAAGGCGGAAGTGGAGGATTTCAGGCAGGATTCAGTGCACAGTAGTGACAGAGAAGCAAGGATGGAGTTCTTCTGACAGCCTGCAGGCACCCAAGAAAACTTGGCTCTGCTAGATCTGGCCAGGAAAGAAACCAAAATCTTGAAGGAATGTGTCATCGCCCTGGCAACCTCCAAGCCACGGGAGTCAGACAATGTCCAGACCAAGCCTGACTCAAAAAATGCTTTCCCAAAGATTTAACCTATAATATCACAATATTTCCCCAGTCTCCTCCTGACCAGCATCATATGATAGGGTACGAGGATGGGAGAACCAGCCTGCTGCTGTGCTCTCTTGTCCCAACAGGTGTCTGCTCCTGTCTTGATGAGCTCAAAACATCCTTATCTTCTCTACCTGTCAATACTGATGAACACCAGATTACTCAACACCCTGATGCGCCATGCCAAATCCTAACAACTCTCAATTTATATCAGATGGGATAGGCATACTTTATTCAGCTTTGCTATTTAGATCAGGGGTCCCCAATCCCTGGGCTACAGACCAGACAAGTCCATGACCTGTTAGGAACCAGGCTGCACAGCAGGAGGTGAGTGGTGGGCGACCAAGGGAAGCTTCATCTGTATTTACAGCCACTCCCCATCACTCGCATTACCGCCTGAGCCCTACCTCCTATCAGATCAGCAGAGGCATTAGATTCTCATAGGTGCATGAACCCTATTGTGAACTTCATATGCAAAGGATCTAGGTTTCACACTCCTTATGAGAATCTAATGCCTGATGATCTGTCACTGTCTCCCATCACCCCGATGGGGCCATCTAGTTGCAGGAAAACAAGCTCAGGGGTCCCACTGATTCTACATCATGGTGAGTTGTACAATTACATATATATATATATATATATATATATATATACATATATATATATATGTATATAATATATAATGTAATAATAATAGAAATAAAGTGCACGATAAATGTAATGAGCTTGAATCATCCCAAAATTATCCACCCGCAAACCCCACAGTCCATGGAAAAACTCTTCTACGAAACCAGTCCCTGGTGCCAAAAGATTGGGGACTGCTGATTTAGATCACTGTTTACAAGATCTAAAGTTTTTTGAACAGAGAACTTCTACTCCCTTACCACAGAGGGAAGTCATTACTCGCCGTCCTGCCTTACAGAGTCCCCGATAAGGAATGAGGGAGAGAGCAAAGTTTCAAGTCTTCTCTCTCCAAGTTCACTGCCTATTCTAAGTTAATATTAGATGACCTTAGAATGCCTAAACAATTATAACTCCACATATTACCCCCCACAGGGCCTTGGTCTGTCCTTTGAACTCCAATTACATTTAGTGTACACTGTCAAACTCATGACTCAAGAAGTCATTATGGGTTAGTTGCAGCAACTGAGGCAGGCCAAGAAAAGGAGGGAGCTCTGATGTTGCTTGAGACCCTTGGATGAGGGCCCAGAGCAGCCCTTCTCAATCTGGGCTACATGAGCAAACTAAGCCCTAATGCCCAAAGGCATCTATTTTATGTAATGAATTAACTTATATTTCTCGTTCTTCTAGAATGGAACTAATTATGTCACATCCTAGAGAAACTGAGAAGACAGTCACTCAAATAATGTTCTGTAGACCTTAATTCTTTCCTGGAAATCCTGTTGAGAAAGGCTGGCCTAATAGCAAAAGTAGGTTCCAGTAATACTTTTGTCACTCTCTTGAACCTGTCTAATTCAGAGGACCGTACACAAATGATGACAGTCACACAAGCATCAGCACAACGAGGGAGAAATGTATATTGAAAGGACATGGGTATAAAGACATAGCGAGAAAACATGGAAAAGCTACTAGGCAACCAGAAGAGCCCCAAGAAGGCCACACCCAGGTCTCCCGATGGCCTTTTATCTTCCTTCTGCACAAATGAGATACAGCAGATGCTTATCAATTTAACAAGAGATATCTGACCCCTCCAACTAACCAGACCCATTCCATTTTAGCAGAAGACAACCGAAGAAATTAAACCTATTTTTATCTAGCATGATCGCCTTTGCAGTGTCCATTTTCTGGATATATCCACACAAAACCAGCTTCTCCCCTCATCACCCTCACACTCTCCCACCCTCAGTCCACTGAGCCCTGTGGGAAGGAGTGAAGGGGTGCAGAGGAACTAGTTACCAACAGTGACTATGTTCCATGGGATAAAGAAAGAGTGGGACACTGGAGGGAAGATTCATATGATCTGCCTCGTGGTCCCAGAGTTCTGCCGACTGGGGCAAGGTTGAGCCACTCTGTGGGAGAGATGCAGTGGAAGGGTGGAAAAGAGGTGCTGATGAATCCCACTTAGTTTAGTGCTTTTTTTGGCAGTTGTTTTCTAGGTGTTTCACTGATGCGTCCTATTTCCTCAGCTAGCTTGTAAATTCCTTCAGTGCAAAGATGAAGTTTATGCTGTAAATCTTTAATTTTCTACAGTGTTTAGCACACTGCTTCTCCTGCAGATGCTTGATCAGCATATTGTTGATTAATTAGAATCTGCTTGGGAGGAAAATGGTGTATCCTTGCAACAATTACAGTTAAGGTTTATGTTGAAGTACTGTATGAATATCATGTAGCTTAAAATATTTAATACTTGTGCACTATGAGCCAAAGCTCTCCCCCACATCCTGCCCTGCTATGCTTCATGGGAACCACCCACCTTGAAAATTGGACAGAAACAGAATACTGAGTGGGGAGGGGGCCTCCTCACTGCTGGAATTTAGCAGAGCTCCTCCTGGAAACAGCCCAAAAGTCTCTTTCTCATCTAACTCTTCGGGAACAGCAGGCAAACCAGAAACTGACCGCCCATCTCCTTTCCACCCCTGCTGCCCCCTCCAGTCAGAGGTTTGTCTCATGCTACCCCCATGTGAAAGCAACGCTTTGCTGCTGAACTCTAGAGTCCCAGCAACACTCACCTCTTGCTACTCGCAGTGAGCAATCAGCTTGCATAGCCCATCCCCAGGGCCTTCAGGTCAGCCTCCGGACCACCTCTGGTGGGGTCCTAGTGCTCCTCTGTGGTCTGAAGCCTGTGAAATCTGACTGCCAGTTTCAGGCTGGGGATCACAGGGCCCTGACCCCTGCTGTGGCTCCCAGATCAGCCAGGAGCTTGGATATCAAGACCTTGGAGGGAGTTTGATGCTGAAAACTGACACCAAACTCCCTCCAAGGTCTTGATATCCAAGCTCCTGGCTGACTGGTTCAGAGACTTTAGGAATGCAGCTAAGTAACCTAAACACACATAAAATTGACTGATTCTCAAAACCCAGTGGAGTGGCCTGATGCCTGTAATCCCAGCACTTTGGGAGGCCAAGGCAGGTGGATCACTTGAAGTCAGGAGCTCAAGACCAGTCTGGCCAACATGGTGAAACCCTGTCTCCACTAAAAATATAAAAATTAGCCAGGCATGGTGGTGCGTGCCTGTAGTCCAAGCTACTTGGGAGGCTGAGGCAGGAGAATCTCTTGAACCCCGGAGGCAGAGGTTGCAGTGAGCCGAGATTGCACCAGTGCACTCCAGTCTGGGCAACAAAGCCAGACGCTGTCTCAAAAACAAAAATAAACAAATAAACAAACAAACAAAAAACAGTGGATTCAGTTTCAGTGGGGAACATGCCCTTCCAGTGATGAGAAAAGTTGTTGTCCATCATCCATCCCTCCAACCTGGAGTAATAATTAGAAAGTAGCAGAGTGAACATGGAACCAGGAGAGAGAGTTGGCTGGTACTGAAGGATCTTTCAACCAGACAGGAGGACAAGCCTGCAAATAGCCTTGGCTGACCCTCCTTTGCTTGCAATTCTTGGGCAGAATGTACAGAGAATGCAACATTCTGAGATAGGAGGAAATGCCCAGAATAGCCCAGGCTTTGTCTCCGTCATTCCTAGAACAGCCTGCAATGCTTGGCTCACCAATCCAAGTGGCCTCTGAGGTATAAAACCAGAGCAGAATGCTTTCAGGGTCCCTCAGTAGTGGTGCTATATCAGTCCATTTTGTTTTGCTGTAAAGGAATATCTGGGCAATTTATACAAAAAAGAAGTTCATTTGTCTTACGGCTTTGCAGTCTCTACAAGAAGCCTAGCACCAGCATCTCCTCAGCTTCTGGTGAGGTCCTCAGGAAGCTCCCACTCATGGTGGAAGGCAAAGAGGGAGGCAGCATGTCACATGGCATGAGAGGGGGCAAAAGAGAAAGGAGAAGGTGCCAGGTTCTTTAAAACAACCAGATCTCACATGAAGTAATAGCTGAGAGCTCGCTCATTACCACGGGGAGGACACGAAGCCATTCATGGGGGATCAACCCCTCTGACCCAAACACCTCCCTCCAGGCCCCACCTCCACACTGGGGATCACATTTCAACATGAGATTTGGAGGGGACAAATATCCAAACTATATCAGATGTATAGTGGAGCACATACAGATAAGACTGCATCCACCCTGGGCAGCCTCCCTAAGCCTTGGGGGACCAGCACATCATGGATCCTAGACTTCTGTTGGCCCTTGCTCCCTGCCTGGGAGTACTAAACTTGCTTTGCCTGACATGTTGCACAAGTGCTCTGTCTCACCAAACTCATACACTGGCAGCTGGGTTTGGGCAAAACCTCCTGCCAGATCTAGAAACCTGCCAGATCTAGGAACCTTAGTAGAAGCTGGCAAGGTGTTTAGAGTTCTCCTCTGGGATTCTTAATAGTCGCACAGAATTCCCCACCAGGGATTAATACCCATGCACAGTATTCTGCTTAACAGAGGTGCTGGTGATGCTGATGTGCACCCACTCTCCACGCTGCATCACACCTTCGGGATGTCCAGAATATTCATGCCTACCAGAACATATGGATCTTCTTTGGGACAATATTAAACTCTAAAAATTCCACTTTTTTTAGAGACAGGATCTCACCCTGTCACCCAGGCTGGAATGCAGTGGCACAATCATAGCTCACTACAGCCTCCAACTCCTGAACTCAAGTCATCCTGCCTCCTCAGCCCGCTGAGTAGCTGGTAATACAGGTGCACGCAACCATGATCAGCTAATTTTTTATTTCTTGTAGAGATAAGAGTCTCACTATATGGCCCAGACTGGTCTCAAACTCCTTGCCTCAAGTGATCCTCCCATCTCTGCTTCCCAAAGTGCTGGGATTCCAGGCGTGAACCACTGTGCCCAACTCCCTATAAATTCTTAACTCACAGCCATCTTCATCCTAAATTTGATGAGTTTAGATCTCCCTCCTTGTGTCTTAATCATTCCATCAGATTTTTGAACATATTTTTGCTCTTTTCTAAACGTGTAGACAATGTTACGTCATGCACTGACAAATAAGGGTCATCAGCGGACATATGTGATGGCAGGGATCCCACGACTTCCCTGAGAAGATGAGTCTCCTGCCCTTTCCTTTGCACTACCTTCCAGATTTCATTTCCACTGTACTTAGAAATGATGTCCTCAGCCCTCCACTCATGGCCTCCGGTGGATTCTGGCAGTCAGGACTGCCCCAGGATCCCCACAAATCTGACAAGGATTTGTGTGACGCCTTTGCTAGGTCTCATTGGTTGGTAGTGAGTATGTGGTGTGTTATCTTCCCTTCTTTTAACTACCTTGTCTTTGGGGGTAAATGCAAAGCAATTCTGTACACCTTGCCTCTCTCCATCTAAGCCAAGCTGAGGGTCAGAGTCCTGGCATGACTATCCTGCCCTGTGGTCAGGCACACCTTCTGGCTCTGCTACAAGGCAAACCTGGTCTTCTCGTTTCTGCTAGTCTGCAAAAAAATTAACACTCAACTAACATGACCTTTACACCACACTTATCAACTTTGGCAAAGGGAAGCCTGAACTTTGGAAACTGTTTAGTAGGGTTGGCTGCCCAAGAAGTCAAAGACCAGCCTAGCCAATAGTATCAAAATTGACTGTGTTCTTTACAGCCATAACTAACACTTGTTGTTGTTGTTGTTGTTTGTTGTTGTTGTTGTTGTTTTTGAGATGGAGCCTTGCTCTGTCACCCAGGCTGGACTGTAGCGGCCCGATCTCAGCTCACGGCAACCTCTGCCTCCCAGGTCCAAGCTATTCTCCTGCCTCAGCCTCCTGAGTAGCTGGGACTACAAGCACATGCCAGCAGACCCAGCTAATTTTTTTGTATTTTTTTTTTTTTGGTAGAGATGGGGTTTTGCCACATTGGTCAACCTAGTCTCAAACTCCTGACCTCAAGTGACCCACCCACCTTGGCCTCCCAAAGTCCTGGGATTACAGATGTAAGCCACCGTGTCCAGCCTAGATTTTTATTAACGTATTTTAAGTCACTGTACTCAAATAAGCAATAAGATTTGGAATCTGATCTGCAGTGCTTATTTGGGGGCATCAAGAAGAATTTCCAGCTCAGTGAACTATACCCAAACAGGCAGTTTAATGTAGTATAGAACAGCCAGTATAGAGCTTTCAAACTGGCTCCACACTAAGAAATACATGTTAAATGATAACGGAATGCATGCGCACACACACACACACACACACACACACACTCTCTCTCTCTCTCTCTCTCTCTCTCTCCTACATCACTACAACAGAAGCTTCTTAAAGCAGTGCTGCCCTAGAGGAAGATGAACATGAAAGTGATTTATTAGGAACTATTCCCAGAGAAAAGACATATGGGAGAAAGTAGGAGTAGAAAGGGGCCAAGTAAGGGTACAACATCAAGCCAAGTCCCATGGAAGGCAATTTTGATACATTCCCTCAGAGGGCTTGGGGAACATCATAGGTCACACCTCAGTCATCCAGTGAGAGGGCAAAAGAGCTAGAGTATGTCTATCCCCACCCCCATCAGTCATTGGTTAAAGGCATGAGGGGAGGGAAGGGACATAAATTCCCAGGCACTTCTGGCTCTCTTGTACCTTCCAACAGTATGCTGGCTTTTGGGAAAGAATGCACACTGGGATTCAACTGGTCTACACAGAGATAGCAGAGGGATCCCAGGTGACGTAGGTGGAGCAGGAACAGCTTCTGCTACAAACACCCTAACCATAGGTGATGAATTGTGGTATTTTCTATTCTGATTTTTTAAATTGCTGGTCATCCATTTTAATCTCAATCCAGCCACTTTTAGGTGTTATTTAAACTGCCTGAGGCATTTTCCTCATTTCTAAAATGGGAATATCAACTTTGCTCATTGTGGTGAAAATTAAAAATGACATAGATACCCCTATGTCTATGGGATAACAGTAGGTATTCAACGTGTAGCCATTATGATTAATAAATGTGTCCTCAAAATGCCTCAAAAGAGTAACATGAAAATTTCTTTATCCTCTTAACTGTGCTCAAGACACGCATGCATAAAAACACCAGTGGTGGAGCATGAGTTCCTTCGCAGAGACACGATGCAAATGTGCACAAATATTTACCACCTCCATGACTTTGTTCTTTATTCCCTTTGCCCAACGTAGTGCTCGTCATTCAAGCTTCACCTTAAATGTCCCTCTTTCATGAAGCTTTTTCAGACCCCAACTAAAAATACTCTCTCCCACCTCTGAACTGCCATACTCTTCTATTTGAAGTTATTTTATGGCAATTTTAGCACTTTCTTTTTCCTCTTTGCAATATCTATTAAAATCCTGACTTGGGAACAGACAGACAAATCAATAAAATGAACTAGAGTCCAGAAATAGGCTCAAATACATATGGTAATGATAAAGAAACCAAGGCATGGAAGAGTTACTCAGACAGTGCTGAGACAACTGGTTAACCATTTGGGAAAAAAACTAACCCGGATTTCTATCTCACTTCCCACACAAGCACAAATATCAGATGGCCAAAAGATTTAAACATACATACACACACATTGAATAACTACAGGAAATCTTATAATTGAATATCTTATACTTTTGGAGTAAGAAAGGCCTTTCTAATCATGACACAAAACTCAGAAGCCATAAACAAAAAACTAAATAAATTTATTCCATAAAGATTTTAAACTTCTACAATTCATTAAAAAGACATAAATTCAAAAGTCAAAATGGTAAAAATATTCACAACATATGACAATCAAATGGTTAATTTCCTTTTATAAAGAGTTTATAGGAATAAATGAGAAAGAAGTAAACCCAAATAAAAGTAGACAAAGGTCATGAGCAGTTCATTTAAAAAGAAATACAAATATCTATAAACATACGAAAAGATAATCACCTTAATATCATTAATAATTAATATTTTCTCCCACATCAGCAAAAATCTGCATGTTTGTTAAAGCTGAGTGTTTTAAGGGTGTGATGAAATGGACACCATTACACAGGACTGCCTTTCAGGAAGGTTCTCTGCCACTGGAAAAGGGTACAGCTTTTCTAGAGGGCAATAGGTGATTTCTATTAAAATATCAAAGACACACTCCTTGCCCTTGTACTTCAACTATTTATCTGGGCTTAGTACAAGTTCTCCTAGCTACATGTACAAGGATGCTACTGCAACATCATGCCTTAGAGAAAAAGGCATAGTATATTTGGTATTGTACCAATGTCAATTTCCCAGAATTGATATTATACTACAGTTGTCACCACTGGGGGAAGAGTACTCAGGGACTCTATGTACTACTTTTGCAACTTCCTATGAGACTATAATTACTTCAAAATAAAAAGTGTTTCTTTAAAAAAATCATGGTGCATAAGTATTTATGGTTTCTTACAAAGTATGAAAAGGTAAGGGCAATCCTTGTTTAATTAAATTCAAAATGAGTGAGCAGAACATATGTAACCAGAAGGACAAATCCACCCTTCCCTTTTGTCAAGCACATCTGTGTGAAGAGACCACCAACAGGCTTTGTGTGAGCAACAAGGCTGTTTATTCACTTGAGTGCAAGTGGGCTGAGTCTGAAAACAGAGTCAGTGAAGGGAGATGGGGAAGGGGTTGCTTTATAGGAGTTGGGTAGGTAATGGAAAATTACAGTAAAAAGTGGTTATCTATTGTTAGCAGAGGAGGGGGTCACAAGGTACATGGTGGGGAGATGATAAGACCCATTGTCCAGAAGAAGACTGTCACAAGGTCGATTGATCAGTTAAGGTAGGACAGGGACAGGTCACAATGGTGGAATGTTGTAATGTTGGTTAATCAGTTAAGGCAGGAACTGGCTGTTTTACTTCTTGTGTGGTTTTTCAGCTGCCCCAGACTTCTTGGCTCCTGCAGGCCATCTGGACATATATGTGCAGGTCACAGGGGTTACAATGGCTGAGCTTCGGCTCAGAGGCCTGACACCTCTTACTTCTGAGGGATTGCTCAAGGTAGAAGGTTAATAAATTCTTAAACTACCCCCCACTTTCACTACAGAGATTAAGAGTACAGTTCTGTCCAAGGATTTGATCTGGCCCAACAAAGAGCCTTCTTCAGAAGTGGATTAGTTTTGTCCTTTGGTGAGGCTTGTGATGGGCCTTATTTATTCGTATTGTAGGCCTCTTATACTATTCCAAAAACAAGACAAGGGAACTGAAACCACTTTGCATAATAATGTCACCTATTATCTCCAGTGAGGCTAGTCTGGTCACCTCTGGATCAATAGTACTCTTTTTTTTTTTTTGAGATGGAGTTTTGCTCTTCTTGCCCAGGCTGGAGTGCAATGGCGCGATCTTGGCTCACTGCAACCTCTGCCTCCCGGGTTTAAGTGATTCTCCTGCCTCAGCCTCCCGAGTATTTGGGATTACAGGCGCCTGCCACCATGCCCGGCTAATTTTGCATTTTTAGTAGAAACGGGGTTTCTCCATGTTGGTCAGGTTGGTCTCTAACTCCTGACCTCAGGTGATCCATCCGCCTCAGCCTCCCAAAGTTCTGGGATTACAGGCGTGAGCCACCACACCTGGCCATAGTTGTCTTTCTTATTGTGGATTTAATCTGCATTGTCCCTAAGAACTCAGAATTACTGTTGATGCTTCAAAAGGGTGTGTGTGTGTGTGTGTGTGTTCAGTTAATCCAGAAATTCCTCCCAGGAAAATAGAAGACCCCAGGAGGAGTGGGGCAACAACTCTTTATCTGCTACGGGCAGACAGATCTTCATGAAAACACACATGAACCTCCAGAACTCGATGTGCTCCACCAGCCGGCCTTAGCTTGTCAAAGCCAACCTTGGAATTTCCTGCTGAAGCCCCCATGGAATAGCTCAGCTAGCAGGAACTGTAGAATAGAGGATCCTTACTTCAGTGCATCTTGATGTTCTGAGTGAAGGAACAGCACAGACCCTCTGGGAGACCATCCCTGTGTGTTAGTGAGGTCTTGCATTGTAAAGATCTTGAAGAAAGGAGACTGTGTCTGTGAGTCCTCAACAAAGCAGACACCTGATTGGAGTTAGGAGTCCAAAGGGTTTATCCGAAGTGGCACCTGTGAAAGGAAAAGGAAGGAAGCAGGATTGAGAAGAAAGTGTTAGACCATGAGATGCAGGTCTGACAAATGCCTGAGAGCTCCAAAGCAAAGAGGACCTTTAGAGAAGCCACATGTTGGGCAGAAATAGTGAGGTCCTTGACCACACTGTCCTGCTCAGTAAATGGCCAGAGCCGCCCTGAGAAGAACGTAACCTCCTTCCAGAAGCTGAAGTAGACCAGAAGGAGTTAACAGCTGGACACTCACAGCTAATCAGGCTCTCAGCAGCTGGGCCATGAGTCCTGTCTAGAAGGAAAACCTGAGCTTTGACCTGCGTCTCCACATCTGCCACAGGGACTATCTCTGGAGGACAGAGGAAACCTCAGTTTTGAAAGCAGGGCTAGGAATTTGCTGGTGCCAATAAAAGACCCAATGGGAACTTATATTAGGCATGCTATGCCTGGTGGATTTGTCCCTCTGTATTGTGATTCATTCTGCCCCCAAATCTTCAGTGAATTTCTTAGTGCCACGGCATTGTGAGGAATAAAGAATAGGCAGCTGGGGAAGTGTGTGAGTCCATGTTACATTGCTATAAAGGAATACCTGAGACTGGGTAATTCATATTGAAACAGGGTTTATTTGGCTCACAGTTCTGCAGGCTGTACAAGCACAGTACCAGCATGGAGGAGGTCCCAGGCTCCTTTTAACAACCAACTCCCACATGCACTAAAAGAGAGAGAACTCACTCATCACCAAGGGGAGGGCACCAAGCCATTCATGAGGGATCCACCCCCATGAACCAAACACCTCCCACCAAGCTCACCTCCAATATTGGGAATCACATTTCAGCATGAGATTTGGAGGGGACAAACATCCAAACTGTATCAGGAAGTATGGTATTCCCCATCTCATCCCTGCCCCAAAGCCTGCATCTCAGCATCCATGTAGAAATAATGTAAGGGCCATAATCTTGGAGTTCCCAGAAGTGGCCAGCCCCAGAGAGTGCTGAGGCCCAAGATGGAGCCACCTGCTATTTGAAAATAGACTGTGGAACTGCACAGACAAACCCCCTTCCCATACCACCCCTTCCCAAATACAGCAGAAGAAAGCAATCCTAGGCATGAGGGGAAAGAGAAGCCCATACTTGTTTTATAAGAATATTCTGCCTGCTAGGACCATGCAAATACTGGGATATTTCCAACCAGTATTCACAAACAACTGCTTAAATACTTGGCACTCAGTGAAAAAAACTGAAAAACCAAAAATTTGAGTAAGCTACACAACAGAGTTACAAAATTCTAGGAGTCGCTTCCAAGATGGCTGAATAGGAACAGCTCTGGTCTACAGCTCCCAGCATGATTGACACAGAAGACAGGTGATTTCTGCATTTCCAACTGAGGTGCGTGGTTCATGTCACTGAGATTGTTTGAACAGTGGGTGCAGCCCAAAAAGGGTGAGCTGAAGCAGGGCAGGGCGTCACCTCACCTGGGAAGAGCAAGGATTCAGGGGATTTCCCCTTCCCAGCCAAGGGAAGCCATGAGTGACTGTACCTGGAGAAATGGTACACTCCTGCACAAATACCGCACTTTTCCCATGGTCTTCGCAATCAGCAGACCGGGAGATTCCCTCCCGTGCCTGGCTCAGCAGGTCCCATGCCCACAGAGGCTTACTCACTGCAAGTGCAGCAGTTTGAGATTAACCTGGGATGGTGGAACTTGGTGGGGGAGGGGCGTCCACCATTGCTAAGGCTTGAGTAGGTGGTTCTATGATCACAGTGTAAACAAAGCGGCAAAAAAGCTCAAACTGGGCAGAGCCCACCACAGCTCAGTAAGGCCTACTGCCTCTCTAGATTCCACCTCAGGGGGCAGGGCGTACCTGAATAAAAGGAAGTAGACAGCTTCTGCAGACTTCAACATCATTGCCTGACACCTCAGAAGAGACCAGTGGTTCTCCCAGCATGGCATTTGAGCTCTGATAATGGACAGACTTCCTCCTCAAGTGGGTCCCTGACCCCTGTGTAACCTGATTGGGAGACACCTCCCAGTAGGGGCCGACAGACACCTCCTACAGGTGGGTGCCCCTCTGGGACAAAGCTTCCAGAAGAAGGATCAGGCAGCAATATTTGCTGTTCTGCAGCCTCCGCTAGTGATACCCAGGCAAACAGAGTCTGGAGTGGACCTCCAGCAAACTCCAAAAGACCTGCAGCTGAGAGGCCTGTCTGTTAGAAGGAAAACTAACAAACAGAAAGGAATAGCATCAACATCAACAAAAAGGACATCCACGCCAAAACCCCATCTGTATGTCACCAACACCAAAGACCAAAGGTAGATAAAACCACAAAGATGGGAGAAACCAGAGCAGAACAGCCAAAACATCCAAAAACCAGAACAACTCTTCTCCTCCAAAGGAATACAAGTCCTGGCCATACAGGGAACAAAATTAGACAGAGAGTTGACAGAAGTAGGCTTCAGAAAGTCAGTAATAACAAACTTCTCCGAGCTAAAGGAGCATGTTCTAACCCATCGTAAGGAAGCTAAAAACCTTGAAAAAAGGTTAGACAAATGGCTAACTAGAATAACCAGTGTAGAGAAGAGCTTAAATGACCTGATGGGGCTGAAAACCACAGTAGGAGAACTTCATGAAGGATACACAAGCTTCAATAGCTGATTTGATCAAGCAGAAGAAAGGATATCAGTGATTGAAGATCAAATTAATGAAGTTAAGTGAGAAGACAAGATTAGAGACAAAAAGAGTAAAAAGGAACATTCATTCAGGAAATACAGAGAACACCACAAACATACTCCTCAAAAAGAGCAACCCCAAGACACATAATTGTCAAATTCACCAAGGTAAAGGGAAGCCAGAGAGAAAGGTTGGGTTACTGACAAAGGGAAGCCCATCAGACTAACAGGGGACATTTCAGCAGAAACCCTACTATTGCGGGATCTGGCCAGCAGCCCGCAATGCAACAGGGCTCTCTCTTAGTTCCCAGGTGGATCAGCAGGTTGAGAAATAATAGACACACACAAGACAGTGAAAGCTGGGTCCAGGGGGTCACCGCCTTTTGGTCCCGTGGTGCCAACAACGCACTGGATATACCAGCATCTATTATTAAGTTTAGTGAGGATGGGGGTAGGTTAGTGAGGGATTTAGGGTCATTTGATTATGATGTGAGATGGTCACATGGTGATGAAGTAATTCTTTAACATAACATCTGTATGCAGAAGTACAGTATACAGGGATAAGGATTTACAATATAGTGTGTACATCAGTAATTTCTAACAGAGCCTTAAAACAGAAACACAGTCTTTTCATAACCCATGATTAGCAAGATATTAATCAGCAGTAACAGTTGCAGCAAAAGATGGTTACGAACAATCCATAGAAACAGGACCTGAAGCTAGACAACCGGTTAGACCAGAAATTTTCAGAAGGGAGTATGCCTTAACCCTAAAGAGGCCTAGAAGAGCCATGGCAAGATGAGGGCATTTATAGCCCTATCTTATCTATATGGACAGGTGCCCCCCATGCATCCATTTATAGGCTCTCCACAAGGGCCGCATTCCATTCCCAGAGCTATGAACATCTGCTTTTCTGGGATAGGAATCTTGGTGATGTGAAACCTCCCTGACTGCATGTCCATTCATAGGCTCTCTGCAGAGGGAAGCACATCACGTGCTGTTGGTTCATTCTGGCAGTCCAACCTGGCATTGTCTTTAGACAATCCTGCATGCAATTTTGTATTTACAATAATCAGGAGCATTTCATCTTTTATTCCATAGCAATAGTTTCAGGGGGTCTTCCTACACCCTACAAGCCAGAAGAGAGTCAGGACCAATATTCAACATTCTTAAATAAAAGAATTTTCAAAACAGAATTTCATATCCAGCCAAACTAAGCTTCATAAGTGAAGGAGAAATAAAATCCTTTACAGACAAGCAGATGCTGAGAGACTTTGTTGTCACCAGGCCTGACTTAGAAGAGCTCCTGAAGGTAGCACTTTACATGGAAAGGAAGAACCTTTTTGTTTTGCCACTGCAAAAAACATACCAAATTGTAAAGACCATTGATGCTATGAAGACACTGTATCAATTAATGGGTGAAATAACCAGCTAACATCATAATGACAGGATCCAATTCACATATAGCAATATCAACTTTAAATGTAAATGGGATAAATGCCCCAATTAAAAGACATAGACTGGCAAATTGGATAAAGAGTCAAGACTCGGCCGGGTGCAGTGGCACATGCCTGTAATCCCAGCACTTTGGGAGGCCAAGGCGGGCGGATCATGAGGTCAGGAGATTGAGACCATCCTGGCTAACATGGTGAAACCCCGTCTCTACTAAAAATACAAAAACTTAGCCAGGCATAGTGGCACCAGCCTGTAGTCCCAGCTACTTGGGAGGCTGAGGCAGGAGAATGGCATGAACCCAGTAGGTGGAGCATGTAGTGAGCCGACATTGTGCCACTACGCTCCAGCCTGGGTGACAGAGCGAGACTCTGTCTCAAAAAAAAAAAAAAAAAAGGAAAAAAAAAGAGTCAAGACCCATCAGTGTGCTGTATTCAGGAGGCCCATCACACATGCAAAGACACACATAGGCTCAAAATGAAGGGATGAAGGAAGATCTACCAAACAAATAAAAAGTGAAAAAAAGCAGGGGTTGCAATCCTAGTCTCGGATAAAACAGAATTTAAACCAACAAAGATCAAAAGACACAAAGAAGGCCATCACATAATGGTAAAAGAATCAATTCAACAAGAAGAGCTAACTATCCTAAATATATATATGCACCCAATACAGGAGCACCCAGGTTCATAAAGAAAGTTCAAACAGACCTACAAAGAGGCTTACACTCCCACACAATAATAATGGGAAACTATAAACCCCACTTTTAATATTAGACAGACAAAAAGACAGAAAATTAACAAGGATATCCAGGATTTGAACTCAGCTCTAGACCAAGCAGACCTAACACACATCTACAGAACTTTCCATTACAAATCAACAGAATATACATTCTTCTCAGCACCTCATCATGCTTATTCTAAAATTGACCACACAATTGGAAGTAAAACACTCCTTAGCAAATGTCAAAGAACAGAAATCACAACAAAATGTCTCTCAGACCACAGTGCAATCAAATTAGAACTCAGGATTAAGAAACTCACTCAAAACTGCACAACTGCATGGAAACTGAACAACCTGCTCCTGAATGACTACTGGGTAAATAACAAAATTAAAGCAGAAATAAAGATGTTCCTTGAAATCAATGAAAACAAAGACACAATGTACCAGAATCTCTGGGACACATTTAAAACAGTGTATAGAGGGAAATTTATAGCACTAAATGCCCACAAGAGAAAGCAGAAAAGATCTAAAATGAACTCCATAACATCACAACTAAAAGAACTAGAGAAGCAAGAGCAAACAAATTCAAAAGCTAGCAGAAGACAAGAAATAACTAAGATCACGGCAGAACTGAAGGAGATAGAGACACAAAAGAAACCTTCAAAAAACCAATGAATCCAGGAGCTGGTTATTTGAAAATATCAACAAAATAGATAGACCGCTGGCAAGACTAATAAGGCAGAAAAGAGAGAAAAATGAAATGGACACAATAAAAAATGAAAAAGGGGATATCACCTCCCATCCCACAGAAATACAAACTACCATCAGAGAACACCTCTACACAAATAATCGAGAAAATCTAGAAGAAATGGATAAATTCCTGGACACATAGACCCTTCCAAGAGAAAATCAGGAAGAAGTTGAATCTTTGAATAGACCAATATCAGGTTCTAAAATTGAGATAATAATTAATAGCCTACCAACCAAAAAAAGTCCAGGACCAGATGGATTCACAGCTGAATTCTACCAGAGGTACAAAGAGGAGCTGGTACCATTCCTTCTAAAACTATTCCAATCAATAGATAAAGAGGGAGTCCTCCCTAACTCATTTTATTAGGTCAGTATCATCCTGAAAACAAAGCCTGGCAGAGACACAACAAAAAAAAGAGAATTTTAGGCCAATATCCCAGATGAAAATCAATGCAAAAACCCTCAATAAAATACTGGCAAAACGAATCCAGCAGCACATCAAAAAGGTTATCCACCATGATCAAGCCGACTTCATCCCTGAGATGCAAGGCTTGTTCAACATATGCAAATCAATAAACGTAATCAATCACATAAACAGAACCAATGATAAAAACCACATGATTAATTATTTAGATACAGAAAGGCCTTCGATAAAATTGAACACCCCTTCATGCTAAAAACTCTCAATAAACTAGGTATTGATGGGATGTATCTCTAAATAATAAGAGCTATTTATGACAAAGCCACAGCCAGTATCATACTGCATGGGCAAAAACTGGAAGCATTCCCTTTGAAAAAAGGCACGAGACAAGGATGCCCTCTCACAACTACAACTCCTATTCAACATAGTATTGGAAGTTCTGGCTAGGGCAATCAGGAAAGAGAAAGAAATAAAAGGTATTCAAACAGGAAGAGAGGAAGTAAAATTGTCTCTGTTTGCAGATGACATGATTGTATATTTAGAAAACCTTATCGTCTCAGCCCAAAATCTCCTTAAGCTGATAAGCAACTTCAGCAAAGTCTCAGGATACAAAATCAATGTGCAAAAATGACAAGCATTCCTATACGCCAATAACAGACAATAGAGAGCCAAATCATGAGTGAACTCCCATTCACAATTGCTACAAAGAGAATAAAATACCTAGGAATCCAACTTACAAGGGATGTGAAGGACCTCTTCAAGGAGAAATACAGACACTGCTCGAGGAAATAAGTGAGGACACAAACAAATGGAAAAACATTCCATGCCCATGGATAGGAAGAATCAATATCGTGAAAATGGCCATACTGCCCAAAGTAATTTATAGATTCAATGCTATCCCCATCAAGCTACCATTGACTTTCTTCACAGAATTGGAAAAAACTACTTTGAATTTTATATGGAACCAAAAAAGAGCCAATATAATGAAGACAATCCTAAGCAAAAAGAACAAAGCTGGACGCATGATGCTACCTCACTTCAAACTATACGGCAAGGCTACAGTAACCAAAACAGCATGGTACTGGTACCAAAACAGATATCTAGACCAATGGAACAGAACAGAGGCCTCAGAAACAACACCACACATCTACAACCATCTGATCTTTGACAAACCTAACAAAAACAAGCAATAAGGAAAAGATTTCCTATTTAATAAATGGTGTTGGGAAAACTGGCTAGCCATATGCAGAAAACTGAAACTGGACCCCTTCCTTACACCTTATAAAAAAATTAACTCAAGATGGATTAAAGACTTAAACATAAGACCTAAAACCATAAAAACCCTAGAGGAAAACCTAGGACATACCATTCAGGACATAGGCATGAGCAAAGACTTCACGACTAAAATACCCAAAGCAACAGCAAAAAAAGCCAGAATAGACAAATGGGACTTAATTAAACTAAAGAGCTTCTGTACACCAAAAGAAACTATAATTAGAGTGAACAGAGAACCTACAGAATGTGAGAAAATTTTTGCAATCTATCTATCTGACAAAGGGCTAATATCCAGAATGTACAAAAAACTTAAATTTACAAGAAAAAAAAACCATCAAAAAGTGGGCTAAGAATGTGAACAGATACTTCTCAAAAGAAAACATTTATGCAGCCAAGAAACATGAAAAAATGCTCATCATCACTGCTCATTAGAAAAATGCAAATCAAAACCACAATGAGATACCATCTCACACCAGTTAGAATGGCAATCATTAAAATGTCAGGAAACAACAGATGCTGGAGAGGATGTGGAGAAATAGGAACGCTTTTATACTGTTGGTGGGAGTGTAAATTAGTTCAACCATTGTGGAAGACAGTGTGGCCATTCCACAAGGATCTAGAACTACAAATACCATTTGACCCAGCAATCCCATTACAGGGTATATATCCAAAGGATTATAAATCATTCTACTATAAAGACACATGCATATATATGTTTATTGCAGCACTGTTCACAATAGAAAAACCTTGGACCAACCCAAATGCCCATCAATGATAGACTGGAAAAAGAAAATGTGGCACATATACACCATGGAATATTATGCAGCCATAAAAAATGATGAGTTCATGTCCTTTGCAAAGACCTGGATGAAGCTGGAAACCGTCATTCTCAGCAAACTAATGAAAGAACAGAAAACCAAACACTGCACGTTCTCACTCATAAGTGGAAGTTGAACAATGAGAACACATGGACACAGGGAGGGCAATATCACACACCATGGCCTTTTCAGGGGGGTGGGGGGCTAGGGGAGGGATAGCATTAGGAGAAATACTTAATGTAGATGATGGGTTGATGGGTGCAGAAAACCACCATGGCACATGTACACTTGTGTAACAAACCTGCACATTCTGCAAGTGTATCTCAGAACTTAAAGTATAATTATTTAAAAAAAGAAATTAAAAAGTGGGGATTGGAGCATAGAAGAAAGAAAAGAAAAGAAATTTGAAGGACAGTATGTATAGTGTCATTTCAATTGTGGAAAAAATTTTTAAAAGAAAAATGCATGTAAATGTACAGGAAACTTCTGGAAGGATACACAAAGCCAAGAGCTATATGGGAAGAAGGTAAAAGAACCATAGGGAAGAGTTACCTTTTACTTTTCAAATAATTTTCTGTCCCTTTTTAAAATAATGTGTTATTTATATAATTTAATGAGTAGATGTGTTGATTTGAAAAACACACTGATCCTGAAAGTTTAAATTCCAGTTGAGAGAAAATTGATTTCTATGAAAACTATGGATTGCCCAACAATGCCAGAAAACTGAAGTGTAACTATGCAACACACACAGTGGTCAAGGTTGTCATCAGTCACTCTGATTTCACATAGAGAATTTAAAACACCTAATTGGGTGCAGTGGCTCACGCCTGCTATCCCAGCACTTTTGGAGGCCAAGGCAGGAAGATCACTAGGTCAAGGGATCGAGATCATCCTGGCCAACATGGTGACACCCCGTCTCTACTAAAAATACAAAAATTAGCTGGGTGAGGTGGTATGCACCTGTGGTCCCAGCTACTTGGGAGGCTGAGGCAGGAGAATCACTTGAACCCAGGAGGCAGAGGTTGCAGTGAGCTGAGATTGTGCCACTGCACTCCAGCCTGGCGACAGAGCAAAACTCTGTCACAAAGTAAAAAAAAAAAAAGAAGAAGAAGTTAAAATGCCACAGTCCTTGGTGGACTTAACAAAAGAAGATGAATGTGGGAATAAAGACAAAGACAAAAGAGTATTTTGGAAGAAGGGGTCAGGAGGCTCCTTGCTTCTAGTGAAGAAGGGCCCTGAGCTTCTATAGCCCTTTGTATTTATTGAGTAAAGGAGATAGGGAGAAGGGGGTAGTTGTCAGTCAGCTGCTTGGCTTAGTGCAGGCTTGCATGACTGCATTCTTTGAACAGTAGTCTCCAGATGTTCCTGTAGATAACCTCAAGGAGCACAGCACCAGGGAGTCATTGCCCTCAGCAAACCTTCTGGTAGCAGGCGCAGAAGTGAGTTTGCCCACATTCTGCATTCATGATAAACAGTTTGCTGTTAGATCATACAGCCTTCAGTGGAATGCTGAGTTGGTCACGACCCTCAGGCCTTTGGCTCCCTACATTAAAACACCCATTTCACCAGACTAAAAATATTCAATAAAATTTATAAAAAGCACTTAACGCTTGCCAGCATTTAGTAAGGAAGTGCTCAATAAATACTGTTAACACTCTTACTATTACTTTCTCTGCTTGGTAGTTGTCCTAACCCCACACCAGCCCTCCCACATTGCCTAATTCTGACTTGTGTCAGTGATGCAGGACTCGACTCAATCTAGGACAGCTATTGCAAAACGCAAGACTTAAATTCCACCCCAGGTGAAATCTCTTCTGGACCGCAGGCAGCCCTTGAAAAGGATGGGAGTAGTGCCCTCACTCATGAAGGCATTTGTCCCTCAAGATAGGCAGATGTTACCACCTCCATGTAAGAACAATCCCATTGCCTGTTACAGTTCCCATTTCAAAGAGATACTCCCACATATGCATGTATTTCCCTGAAAGATTTCCCGTTATTTATTTATTTATTTATTTATTTATTTATTTATTTATTTAGATGGAGTCTTTCATTCTGCTGCCCAGGCTGGAGTGCAATGGCATGATTTTGGCTCACTGCAACCTCTGCCTCCCACGTTCAAGCAATTCTCCTGCCACAGCCTCCTGAGTAGCTGGGATTACAGGCACATGCCACCAGGCCCGGCTGGTTTTTGTATTTTTAGTAGAGATGAGGTTTCACCATGTTGGCCAGGCTGATCTCGAACTTCTGACCACGCCCAGCTAATTTTCGTATTGTTAGTAAAGAGGATTACAGGTGTGAGCCACCATGCCCAGCCCAAGATTTCCTGTTCTTATCTCCAATAAGCGAGCTTGATGAGGAGTAGTGCTAGAGAGTCCCATACTTCTTGACTTCCTTCCATCCTTTTCTGCTCACAGGCCCCCTCCCTAATGTCCCCTGTGCTCTCCACAAAAGAAATAGTGCTAGAGGCCAAATAGCAACCCTGCCCACACAAGGAAGGGCCATGTAATGTTCACCAAGCACCCAAGCCACAATTCTCTCTTCCCAGAATCCTTTGCTCTTTGAAGTGTAGTCTTCCTCACCTTCCTGCCAACCTCAGCCCCTGAGTCCACCTGTCTACCTCTGAAGAGAAGGGAAAGAGAGATCAAACGCCCCCTGCAGGCCTGTCCCTTTGAACCAAGCCCTGAGAACCCCCGCAGCCGTCCTCCTGTGTACCCTCCCCCAGCCGCACACACAGATGGAGAGCCCTGGGAAGGGTTCCCACAGTGCGTTAGCTCCAAACAGTGCAAGAGGACAAGCAGTGTGGCGCTTCCAGCCTCTGTCAATAATTCATGAGGCTCAGACTGAGGAGCACCAGTCAGAGTCAGCCTTCCCTGGACATGGGGAAAATTATACTGAAGCTCTCCTGTCTCATCGGGATCTGCTGAGTAGCAAAGCAGAGTATTGCAGCTGTAACTTCTTGGCTGAGGAAAACACTAGAATTCCAGTGCAGGCCGTTCTATTACTTGCTCACCATACACCCCCTTTTGAATGTTGAAACCCTTTTTCAGCTGCTCAGCTTACCTGCACATATACTAAATGAATCTTGAGCAAACATGAATTCTATTCAAAAGTCATGCCTAGAACTGGATTTCACAAACCAGGATTCTTTCCCCTTTAATTGTAGGGACTGGCATAAGGCTGCCAAACTGGTGATTTCACCAATAACACATCTCTAAACCTACCCATCTGCTTTCATCATCTTTTCTAAAAGAAAACACTAACACACACACACACACACAAAAAGAAGCAAACGTATACTCCACAATAAAGGACTGTTAAATAAGCTTAGCTTTATGAAACTCACTGTAATTGTTTCCTTTTCTCATTTTGCCTTGAACTAGTGAAAACGCTGCCATGAACCAGCACTGCTTCTCAGTCTGGCTTTGGAGGCCAGTGGGTTAAACCAATTCAGATGCTTGCATTTGGGTCTGTTGGGGCCTTTCTACACTGTACCATAAGCCATCCAGATTTCTTCATTCTCCCGGAAACCCAGGAGGGAGATCATTTCAGCCCACTTGGCAGAAGTGCAGACTGAAGTCTTGGACACAGAATTTATAGCTGGCAAGGACTTTATTCATCATCCATACCCTCAGTAATTTACAGATGAAGAGTCTGGCCCAGGGCACCAATAATAATCACTACATGGTGGCAGTAACTACTATGTGCTTAGTAGCTTACAGTTCATAAAGAGATTTTGCATTCAACAAATATTTATTGAACTAAGATGGCGGCTAAGACCTGGGGACAGAGTGGTTAGGGAGAACTTGAGTGCCCCGAGTTCTTTGCATTTCCACCACTGCTTGAGGGACTGTCCAGCCTCCTCGCTACCACTTAGCCCCTGTAAAGGAGGAAGTCCCTTTGTCAACGGACATGAGAATGCTGTTTGGCCAATGACCATAGTCTGCCCTCCAGGGCCCGTGAAGATGGAAGAGACCTTGGGCAGAGTGAAGGGCAGTGCCAGGCCTGGCGCAGCTACTCCCTATCACGTCTCTCTCCCAGGCTCTTCCAGCCTCACCTGGTGGACTCCATGGCGACCACAGGCCTCACCTCCATGGGCAGTCTCAAAACATTTGCCCTCCTGTGGGCTGTCACACACATAGACCCAGACTTTCTTGGAGAAGGAATTCTGAAGAAGCAAAAGCAACCAACTCAAAACCCCCACTTCCCAGAGAAGAAAAGGTGGGCAAGCAGATGCAGAAAGGCAGCAGCCAAAGCCTGCGGGTTCCTGCAAGGGCCAGGGGAGGGGCGAGCCCTACAGGCAACTTGAACGGAGAGCTCACCCGCCAGCCCGGAAAGGCAAGCCCCAGTCAGGCGGAAGGTAGATGGTGGAGGGGCGCCGCGGCGGATGGAGGTGCCCAGGGCCACAGACCGCTCACAGCGGTACCGGGGCGGGGAGCAGGGCGGGCAGGGAATCGGCCCGCCCTTCGTCCTGCCCCTCGCCCTACTCTGTCACCGCCCCTGGGAAGAGTGGAACCCATACTTGCTGGTCTGATCCATGCACAAGGCGGGGCTGCTAGGCCTCTGTGCCCGGGCTTGGAATTCGGTGCGGATGGCCAGCTCCGGGATGACCCGCCGGGACCCGCTCGCAAATAAGGTGGCCCTGGTAACGGCCTCCACCGACGGGTGAGTGCTCCGGCCGGAGTTTCTGAGGCCCTGGCTGCCTGGAAACAGGCACTGGCCTCTCATCCTCGGCCTCCGGTGCCCCTGTCCTCAGACCTTACACGCTGCCAAAGTCTGGCCCTGGAAAAAAGGTAGCCACGTGGTCCGCCTGAAGCCACTCCGAATCCCCTAGCCCTGGACCCTCCCTTGCCAGCCCTCCTGTCCCTGCTACCTCTGGCACAACTGTGCCACCTCTGTGCAGCCCTATCGATCTAGTCTCCCCAGTGTTCTGGGCTGCCCCAGTCAACCAGCGCCACCTAGCGTCTGGGAAGACCAGAAACTGGAAATCCAAGGAAATCTGGATTTCAAAATACTATCCCACGGCCTCCAGCACTTTGAAAATGTACCAGACATTCTATTTGGGCACCGGAAAGTCCCCCGGAACCCCTCCCCCTTACCTAGATGGGACACCAGAGCCATATGTCGAGATTTTTGTTTAGGTCGGTACATCTGGGCCGACCTTGCCCAGCCTGTTTCTCACCCACCATTCTTGTCTATCCTGGTCCTCATTTCTACAGGACTTTGCTAGATGCCAGCTCTTCACAAAACTAAAATACAAATGTAGGTAAAATGCTAATAGCTGACAAATGCAAAATGTGTAACTCTTCCTCCCAAGGCAATATTTACATTTTTGACCGGAGACCATCTTTTCACATGCACCCCAAAAAATAACTAAGGATAGAATTTTGAGAATGATGTAGACGAGTAAGAAAGAAACCTGGGGGCAGGGCTGTTCTGAGTGAGACCCTCAAATCACGGAAGTGGCTGCTGCTGCAAACCCAGCTCATTTCTCACCTCTCAGTCCCAAGAGGGGATGAAGCCTGTCACCCATGGTGGGAACTGTAGAAAGTGATGTCAGTTCTTGGGAACTGAGGCTGTGGTCCAGGTCATAATAAAAACAAGTAAAGGAATGCCAAAAATGGCCATGCCATTAAGCCTGTTTTACACATAGTAGGCACACGTAGGGGTTATATAGAGAAAGAGCCAGAATTCAAACCCGGGCAGTCTTAACTTCAGAGCTCATACTGTCGACCTCTTCCCCTGCACAGGCCTTAGCAGTCTTTGTCTCTTTCTGCTCACAGGATCGGCTTCGCCATCGCCCGGCGTTTGGCCCAGGACGGGGCCCATGTGGTCGTCAGCAGCCGGAAGCAGCAGAATGTGGACCAGGCGGTGGCCACGCTGCAGGGGGAGGGGCTGAGCGTGACGGGCACCGTGTGCCATGTGGGGAAGGCGGAGGACCGGGAGCGGCTGGTGGCCACGGTGAGCTGCAGGGAAATGGGCACAGAGCCAGGAGGTGGAAAACGGAGCCAGCCTGAGCCTCCTTCCCTGCTTTCCTAGACAGCAGCACATTTTTACTGTGTGCCTTTCTATTATGTCCATATACTAACGTCAGAGAATCATCCCATCTCAGTCAGAGAATTTTAAAACATTCTAATGCTTCAACCCTGCATCATCCCTTGAGTACCCCAAAGAAACAGCTGGTACTGGTTCTGCAGTAATTTTCAATCTAATTGAACAGATGTGAAGGGTAAATACAATCACAAAATACATGTTCCCACCCATGAGTTAATAAACATTCCCCTCTTCTTCAGCTTATAGAGTCAAGTCCCTGGGAACCTCAGGAAGCAGCCCACCATGTTTCAGCCACTTACTATGTGCCATTTCCTGTGTTCAGAGCCTTACACAGGTTATCTCTAGACCTGACAACAACCCAAGCAAGGCAAGGACTATTCTCTCAGTCTGCAGACCCTGGCTCAGATAGCTGGAGCAACTTCCCAAGGTCCCACAGCCAGTAAGGAAAGACCCAGACCTCCCAGGCTCCCTTCCTTTATTGGCTGCCTGTGGACTACCGGGTACTGGACTTTAGTCTCAAAGAAAGTATATAAGTCGATGTCAGAATTAGTAGTGGACACCAGCCTTGCAGCTGCTGAAGCAAATATGAAGCATTCACAAAGGAAGCTCCTCTTCCCTTGAGGCTCACGGCATACACTTTATTTCCCAGAGTGGAAGGGAGAATCTACCCAAAAATGGAAAGTACAGGATTCTGCTAACAGATTGGAAGGTTGGCAGAAATAATTTGCATAATCTTAGAAGAGGAGGATCTTAAGCAATAGTAGACAGTAGTATGGTAGACAGAATAGGGTAATTCCATTTTTAAGGAACTGTCTGGCAAATGCTCAAATGTGCATTGGAAAGAGCCAAATATGAGTCCAAGAAAGTCACAAATGTGAGTCCAAAAAAGCTTGGCTTAGGCTGATGGACAGACCCCAAGATTGGGGCCTTGATCCTGATGGTGGAAGGAGCCGTTTGGGAGTCTGGATCAATTAGCACTAACCATATGACATGTAGCAATGTAATGTGAAAATCCTCCCGGAAAAACATCCTGTGGCCCCCACCAGGTTCACTTAACATGGCCTACAGGCCTGGCCCAGAGGTGGTACTTGAGCTAAACCTTAAGGAATGGATGGGAATGGACAGATGGAATAGTGATGAGGTTCCAGATAACTCTGCAAAATGAGCAGACAGCCAAGGAGGAACTGAAGGAAACAGAGGAGCACTGTCAGGCCACAGTGGAGAGCACAGGCTCAGGAGTACTGCTGGGGAAGGGGCTGCATTGGAAAGATAGAGGCCATGGGCCTCCATATCCTTTTTTTTTTTTTTTTTTTTTTGAGACAGAGTTTCATTCTTGTTGCCCAGGCTGAAGTGATATGGCACAATCTCAGCTCACTGCAACCTCCGCCTCCAGGTTCAAGCAATTCTCATGCCTCAGCCTCCCGAGCAGCTAGGATTACAGGCATCCACCACCACGTCCAGCTAATTTTTGTATTTTTGGTAGAGACAGGGTTTCACCATGTTGGCCAGGCTGGTCTTGAACTCCTGACCTCAGGTGATCCACCCCCTCGGCCTCCCAATGTGCTGGGATTACAGGCGTGAGCCACTGTGCCCGGCCATAGCTTCTTAAAAGGATACGTTAAGGACCTTAAAAGGATATGGCCTCTTAAAAGGATATGTTTACACACCCTTGTAGCAAATAAGAAGCCATGTGAGGTTTTGAGCAAGAGAAAGATGGTTATTAGGAAAGCTAATCTGGCTCTGGTAGGAAGGATATACAGAGGAGACACCGAATCCAGGGCATCAGTGAGGAAGCTGTTGCTGTCCTCCAGGTTTAGAGCAGTGGCGGTGGGACTGGAATAGATGTGCCCAAGAGACATTCAGTGGAAACGAACCAAGATTTTCCAACCCCATGTCAAAAAGTGGGAAATAGAGAAGTCAAAAATGACTCTCAAGTAGTTTGTATGACCATTGTCAGAGAGGAGAATGATAGAATACTTGTCAGCAATTTGAAATGTCTTCTGCCAGTTGCCACATGTTACCCTGCAATGAGAAAAGCCACTTTCCTGAGAATGGATACTACCCAGTGGCCTCCTCATCTGGACACCACGAAGCTTCTCACTGGTGTTGTAAGTGGAAACCAGAGTAGCTGCCTATCTCCTTGATTATATTTTTTCTTAAAAATGTATAACTATCAGAACACAGAACAAACAGCTCCTAACCGCTTTGGTGTAGTGATCACACAATTTAGAATAAGACTTAGAAGACTTTCCTTTTTTTTTTTTTTCCAGAGACAGGGCCTCCTTCTGTTGCCCAGGCTGCAGTGCAGTGACATGATCATAGCTCACTGTAACCTCGAAGTCCTGAACTCAAGCAATCCTCCCACCTCAGCCTCCCAAGTGGCTAAAACTATAGGCATGCACCACCACACCAGTTCATTTTTTAAATTTTTTGTAGAGTTGGGGCTGTATTTCCCAGGCTGTTTTGAACTCCTGGCCTCAAGTGGTCCTCCCCACTGGGCCTACCAAAGTGCTAGGATTATAGGTGTGAGCCACCACACCCAGCCTCATTCATCTTTTATGGTTTGCTGTCTCTGTTCAATCAAAACCCAGCCTCCTCCCATCTCTGTGCTGACAGACCTGGAAGGAGAGGAGTATGGGGTATACAGCAGAGTAGAAAATGTCTCCAGGTGATTCTAGAGCAATCCATTGTCTCCTCCCAGCCCAAACACATGTGTACTGAGCACGGCGCACATCACTTATTAACTTACTCTGCACCTCCCTAGTAACAAGTCCATTGGTGAGACTTACACAGAGCCAAGGCAGGTGACTTGGCTTTGTGCCAGGATACCAAAATTTAAAGGGTGCAAGAAAGTATTAATACTGGTTTTAAAAGATTATGTGACTGTAAATTTTGTTAGATTTACACATTGACAGCCCAGCATTCCTTCAACTGTCTAGAAACAACTGAGCTTAGCACCTAGTTAACAAGAATAATTAGTTAAAACGGGAAGCTAGCAGATGGTGTACATTGTTAGTAACACCCCTCTGTGTGCCAAATCCGGAGCACAAAGTTGACCGAGGGCCCGTGTACTGCAACTTGCCCAAGGCATCAAAATTGCCAGTTCCGGGCAAACGGAAAGTCTGGTTTCAGGGTGGCTTTGTACTGAAAACCCTTGTTGGCAGATTCTGCTTGGCCATTCATTACTCTAGCACAGGCCTCACTATCTACTTATAACTTATTAAGGAGGTGAGATGTTGCCTTTCTTCGCCTTCTCAATTTAAATTTCAGTTTCTGCCTTGAATCTTTCATGCCTCCAGGTCAAAAGAGAGAGACAGAGACAGGGAAAATGACATCATAACCAAATATGGAATTGCTTTAAATTCAGGCTGGTATCTTCTCCCATCACGGCTCTCCTGGGCAACCAGTTTCCTGATGACCCCAACTCACTTTCAGAGGGCTCTTATGAATTAGCTCTGTGCTACAAAGTGGGAGACTGACCTCAGTTCTTCCACCACTAACTAGCTTTGTGCCCTGAAAACATCACTTCACCCCTCCCAAACACAGAATAAGCAGGCCTCCTGTTCTTACCTAGCCCCAGTGTGCCACTACTGAACTATAAGATCTTGAGAAAATTCTCTGAACCTATTTCATCATCTCCACCTTAAGGACACTGGAATAGATGATCTCAAAGGCCCCTCCAGGGTAACTTTCTACAGCTCTATTTAAGCCAGTTTTTCCATTCAGGTAAGTGTGGACAGATTGACTTTGAGATAATGGTAACTTATTCAAGGAGAACTGGACAGTAAGCACTTGGAGAAATGTGGGTGGAACTCAGTGTGAAAGGAAGAGGAGGGGTCTGGAAATAGATTTTGGGGTGAGACTTGAAATCATGAGAATGAAGGAGCTTCCCAAAGGGGAAGTGTAAAGAAAAGAGCGTCAGAGACAGCCTTGGAAGAATAGGAGGTGGGAAGAAAACACTGCAAAAGAAATAGGGCCAACTTCCTGGTGGGTCGCGCCTGTAACACTTTAGGATACTGAGGCAGGTGGATGGCTTGAGCCCAGGAGTTCCAGACCAGCCTGGGCAACATGGCAAGACCCTGTCTCTATAAAAAATACAAAAATTGCCCGGGTGTGGTGGCACGCACTTGTAGTCCCAACTACTTGGGGGGCTGAGCCAAGAGGATGGCTTGAACCCAGTAGGTCAAGGCTGCAGTGAGCTGAGAACATGCCACTGTGCTCCAGTCTGGATGACAGAGCAAGACTCCGTCTAAAAAAGAAAGAAGCCAACCTTAAATGGTTAGCGGCAGATCTTAGGGTAGTTTTCAAAAAAGATGTTTTAAGAAATAGAAGTTATTTTGACGATAGTTCCTAAGTAGGAAGATTTTGTTGTCATTGTTGTTGTTGTTTTTAATATAAAGATAAGGTCTCGCTGCATGGCCCAGGCTTCTCTCAAACTCCTCAGCTCAAGTGAGCCTCCCACCTTGGCCTCCCAAAGTGCCATGATTACAGGCATGAGCCACAGCTCCTTGCCCAGAAGGAAGTTTTTATCAACATGGGTAAATGCACCTCCCTTACTTACTGCAGCCCTGGTCCAGAACTTACCCCTCTCTCTAGGCTGTGAAGCTTCATGGAGGTATCGATATCCTAGTCTCCAATGCTGCTGTCAACCCTTTCTTTGGAAGCATAATGGATGTCACTGAGGAGGTGTGGGACAAGGTGAGAGGGGATTAAAGCAGGGGGGCCGGGGGGGGCGCCTTGGAACACATTCAGCACAAACTCCATCTGCTTTTAGAATGCATTTCTCAAGGGCAGTGTAAATGTGAGGACTCTTTGCCACGTGCCACACACCTGGAGCACACCTTGCAAAGGGCGGGTGGGGGTGGCTCTATCCCTGCCCTTCTCATTCGTTTCTGCTACTCCTAGTTCTCTCTGCTTCTATCTGCTCTTCACTAGCCACAGTCTGCTCCTCTCCCCAGGCTTTTTCCCTGGCATGCTCTTCTGCCTTGTTGATTTCCAACAGAGACGTAGGCAGCTAATATGCCAACAACTACAACACTTAATTTACACACCCACCTGTCCCCTTTTCAGCTGACAAAAAGTAATTATTTTTTACGAGTTGGGAAATATTAAATGCTGCTCCTTATTTAAAATACTAATTCTGGTGAAATGACCAGTTGCCACTTTATAACATACATCCTTTAAAAAAATAAAATAAAAACCTATATTATTTTCTTCTTAACTGCAATGTCAAGAAAATCTGAGATCCAGATGTCTAAATTCAAGTGGTAGAATATTGGGTTTTATGTGAAAGTGTATAATTACATTATATTCGTAATATATTTCACACACACTCTTTAATTACAAAGCTTTAATTAAAATATTTGTCTTTGTTTATTAAGGTTAATATTCCCACATGATTGGGAAATGCTAATTTTTATGATCTCCCATGGTTCTGCGTTTTACACTGATGTTGTATTAGTCTGTTTTGCATTGCTATAAAGGAATATCTGAGCTGGGCAATTTATAAAGAAAAGAAGTTTGTTTTGGCTTACGATACTGCAGACTGTACAAGAAGCATGGTGCCAGTATCTGCTTCTGATGAGGCCTCAGGAAGCTTACAATCATGGCAGAAGGAAAAAGGGAGCAAGTGTGTCACATGGCAAGACAGGAAGCAAGAGAGAGATACCAGTCTCTTTTAAACAACTAGTTCTGGCATGAAGTAATAGAGTGAGAACTCACTCACTGCCACAGGGAGGGCACCAAGCCATTCATAAGGGATCCACCCTCATGACCCAAACACCTCACACCAGGCCCCACCTGGAACACTGGTGATCACATTTCAACATGGGACTTAGAGGGGACAAACTTACCAACTATATCAGATGTCATCAAAATTTCTCAACACTAAAGTATCAGGTTGCCAAAATACTATGATTTATTTACCAGTGTTTCATACACATAAAGACCAAACTGCCAAAATGTTCTTCAGTGAGCTAGTTTTTGATTCTAGTTTGAGCTAGTTTGAGAGAAGGCTGGGCAACACAGCGAGACCTTTTCTCTATATTAAAAACAACAACAACAACAATGACAACAAAACCTTCCTTCTTAGGAACTATCATCAAAATAACTTCTCTTTCTTAAACCGTCTTTTCTTCAAAACTACCCAGAGATTTGCTGCTAACCATTTAAGTTTGGCTTCTTTCTTTCTTTTTTTAGACAGACTCTTGCTCTGTCTTTTTTCCTTTTTTTTTTTTTTTCCCTCGCTGTGTCATTGAGGCTAGAGGGCTGTGGTGTGATCTCAGCTCACTGCAACCTCAGCCTCCCAGGTTCAAGCGATTCTTGTGCCTCAGCCTCCCAAGTACCTGGGACTACAGGCATGTGCCATCATGCCTGGCTAATTTTTTGTATTGAGATGCGGTTTCACTGTGTTGCTCAGGCTGGTCTCAAATTCCTGGCCTCAACTGATCCCCACACCTCAGCCCCCCAAAATATTGGGATTGCAGGCATGAGCCACCACACACAGCCAGATTCTGATAGTCTTTAAAATAGAGGAGCATCATTCATGAACAGTCTGAATAGAGACCATATGAAAGTCAGTTTTAAACTAAGTACAGGCACGCCTCAGAGATATTGTGGGTCTGGTTCCAGGCCACCACACAATAAAGTGAATATTATAATAAAGTGAGTCACATGAATTTTTTGGTTTCCCAGTGCATATAAAAGTTAGGTTTACATTATAATGATCATCTAATGGAAGTCTATTAACTGAGCAATAGCATTATGTTTTAAAATATATATACGTATCTTAATTTTAAAATACTTTATTGCTAAAAAAATGCTGACAATCATCTGAGCCTTTACAACTTGTAATCTTTTTGCTGGTGGAGGATCTTGCCTCAACATTGATGGTGGCTGACTTAGGGTGGTGTTGCTGAAGGCTGGGGTGGCTGTGGCAGTTTTTTCAAATAAGACAGCAGTGAAGTTTGCCACATCAGTTGACTCTTCCTTTCACAAGAGATTTCTCTGTAGCATGCAATCCTGTTTGATAGCATTTACCCACAGTAGAACTTCTTTCAAAATTGGAGTCAATCCTATCAAACTCTACCACTGCTTACTCTACTAAGTACCTATAATATTCTGAATCCCGTGTTGTGATTTCAACAATATTCATGGCATCTTCACCAGAAATAGATTCCATCCCAAGAAACCACTTTCTTTGCTTATCCGTAAGAACCAGCTCCTCAGCCATCTACATTTTATCGTGAGATTGTAGCAATTCAGTCCCATCTTCCAGCTCCGCTTCTAGTTCTCTTGCTATTTCCACCACATCTGCAGTTCCTTCCTCTGATGCAGTCTTGAACCCTTCCACGTCATCCATGAGGGTTGGAATCAACTTCTTCCAGACTCCTGTTAATGTAGATATTTTGACCTCCTCCCATGAATCACAAATATTCTTAATGGCATCTAAAATGGTGCATCCTTTACAGAAGGTTTTCAGTTAACTTTGCCGAGATCCATCAGAGGAATCACTATCCATGGCAGCTATAGCCTTACAAAATGTATTTCTTAAATAATAAGTCTTGGAAGTCAGAATTACCCCCGATCCATGGGCTGCAGAATGGATGTTGTGTTAGCAGGCATGAAAACAACATTAATCTCCTTGTACATCTCCATCAGAGCTTTTGAGTGACCAGGTGCATTGTCAATGAGCAGTAACAGTTTGAAAGGAATCTTTTTCTGAGCAGTAGCTATCAACGGTGAGCTTAAAATATTCAGTAAACCATGCTATAAACAGATGTGCTGTTATTCAGGCTTTGTTGTTCCATTTGCAGAGCACAGGCAGAGTAGATTTAGCGTAAATCTGAGGGCCCTAGAATTTTCAGAATGGTAAATGAGCATTGGCTTCAACTTAAAGTCACTGGCTGCATTAGCCCCTAACAAGAGAATAAGCCTGTCCTTTGAAGTTTTGAAGCCAGGCATTGACTTCTCCTCTCTAGCTATTAAAGCCCTACATGGCATCTTCTTCCACTAGAAGGTTGTTTCATCTACATTGAAAATCTGTTGTTTGCTGTAGCCACCTTCATCAATGATCTTAGCTAGATCTTCTGGATAACTGGCTGCAGCTTCTACATCAGCACTCGCTGCTTCATCTTGCACTTTTATGTTACAGAGGTGGCTTCTTAAACCTCATGAACCAACCACTGCTAGCTTCCAACTTTTCCGGAGCTTCTTCACCTCTCTCAGCCTTCAAAGAATTAAAAATTAGGGCCTTTTACTGATTAGGCTTTGGCTTAAGGGAATGTTGTGGCTAGTTTGATCTTCTGTCCAGAACATAAGAACTTTCTCTCCATATTAACAATAAACCTCTTTTGCTTTCTTATCATTTATATGTTCAGAGAAGTAGCACTTTTAATTTCCTTCAAGAATTTTTCCTTTGCATTCACAATTTGGCTAACTGGTGCACATGGTCTAACTTTCAGCCTGCCTCAGCTTTCAACATGCCTTCCTCACTAAGCTTAATTGTTTCTAGCTTTTGATTTAAAGTGAAAGATGTGTGACTCTTCCTTTTGCTTAAACACTTACAAGCCATTGTAGGGTTAATAGTTGGCCTAATTTCAATGTAAATGTGTCTCAGGGAATATGGAGGCCCACAGAGAGGGAGAGAGATGAGAGAAGGGCAGAGCAGTCAGAACACACAACATTTTTCGATTAAGTTGACCTTCTTTTCTGGGTGTGGTTTGTGGTACCCCAAAACAATTATAATAAAACCATGAAAGATCACTCATCACAGATCACCGTAACAGATACAATAATAATGGAAAGGTCTGAAATATTCCAAGAATTACCAAAATGTGACCCAGAGACAAAGTGAGCACATGCAATTGGAAAAATGGCTCGAATTAATGCAGGGTTGCCACGAAACTGCAATTTGTAAAAAAAAAAAAAAAAAAAAAAAAAAAAAAAAACACAATATCTGCAAAGCATAAGAAAATATGTGTCTATAACTTTTCTTTTAATTTGTATATTTTTTAAACTATCACAGTATGACAAATCCAAACATAATGGCTGATCCTTGATTGAACTCTGGACTTTAAAAAACACACACACACATTTGGGGGATAATTGAGGCCAATATGTTAGATAAAATTATCATCATTGTCAAACTCTTGGTTGTGATAACAGATTATGGTTGTGTAAAAGAAAATCCTTACTCTTTGGAAATGTATGCTAAGTATTTGGGGATAGAACATTGTACTATCTGCAACTGAGTTTACTTATTTTATTTTAGGTTATTTATTTATTTTTGTGATGGAGCCTCACTCTGTTACCCAGGCTGGAGTGCAGTGGTGCTATCTCAGCTCACTGCAACCTCCACCTCCCGGGTTCAAGCTATTCTGCTGTCTCATCCTCCTGAGTAGCTTGGATTACAAACACATGCCACCACGTCTGGCTAATTTTTGTATTTTTAGTACAGACGAGGTTTGCCATGTTGCCCAGGCTGTTCTCGAACTCCTGACCTAAAAGTGATCCACCCATCTTGGCCTCCCGAAGTGCAGGGATTGCAGGCATGAGCCACCATGCCCAGCCCTGAGTTTGTTTTTTTTTTTTAATTTACATTTTTTTATTTTTGTTCTTTGTAATTTTTGATTTTATTATATAAAATCTTTCAGAAAACTTGCAACTGAGTTTCAATGGTTCATTTAAAAAACTGTACAGATCTACAGAGAGGACAAATAGGACAAAATGTGAACAATTGGTGAATCTAAGTGAAGGATATCTAGACATTCATTGTACTTCTATCTCCAATTTTTCTGTAAGATTGAAATATTTTAATATAAGCAGTTGTCTAGAACAGTGTAAACAGGGTCATACATTTGTTTTAGATTATGGATGTGGGGATTCTGATTGTAGCCTGTCCCCCAGCTTCCCCAGAAGGTGACTCCTCATGATCCCACTTTCTAACCATGCCTAGCCAGACAGTCCTTCCTAGAGGGCCAAGAACATCTCACTCCCTAAGCCCAGAAGCCAGAGAAGTGCTAGAACAACCCCACATATCCAAGGTCAGGCCACATTTTCCCTGAGAAGCATGGCCTACTCTAGGGCAGGTAGTCTAGGGCAGGTCCAGGAGGCTGACAATTCCAGGCTCTACCTACTTGGAAGAAACAGAGAAAACACAGCTCAAATCCAAAGGCCCCTTCTGGCCCAAATCATACTTGGCTGATTATGAAACAAGATGAACCAGGCTCCATTTTTGCTCACCTGAACCTAATGTATCAATATCTAGCTGAGCAGCTGGTGAGAGCTACTTCTCCCTGAACCTCAGTTCCTTCATGTGTAAGATGCAGGTATATCATCCTAAGATCTTCGTCAGCTCTGACAAACATCCTAGGAACCCACTCTAACTCCTCATTTTTTCATGCCTCCTCCAGTGCTCTTCACTCATGCTGTTTCCCCTTCTTCTCTTGGCTTCAGACTCTGGACATTAATGTGAAGGCCCCAGCCCTGATGACAAAGGCAGTGGTGCCAGAAATGGAGAAACGAGGGTACAGAGAGTGAGAGAGAGCCTGGGTGAGAGGGGACACCACACGGGCTGAGGGCACTGGTCCACAATGGGAAGATGGTCAGCTCTCTTCTTTTTCCAGAGGCGGCTCAGTGGTGATCGTGTCTTCCATAGCAGCCTTCAGTCCATCTCCTGTAAGAACCCTTTTGTCTACCTCTTCCATCCCACCCTCCACTCCACATCTTTCCACCCCTCCTATTACCCAAGGAAGTTTGTGTCCCCTTGTAGAATCACACCACCAAGTCCCTGCCCACAAAATAGATGCCTTGCCTCCACAAACCACAACCTAGGGGAGGTTTAGCCACAAGACAGTTCCCTAACTCTGCCCCTCCCTTACAGGAGATCCCTATTGAGCACTGCCCTCTATGTCTAGTTATTAGAACCAAGAATGACCTGGAAACTATGAGTCTAACACATTCTCTTCTTTCTCCAGGGCTTCAGTCCTTACAATGTCAGTAAAACAGCCTTGCTGGGCCTGACCAAGACCCTGGCCATAGAGCTGGCCCCAAGGAACATTAGGGTGAACTGCCTAGCACCTGGACTTATCAAGACTAGCTTCAGCAGGATGGTGAGGAAGGGGAGCTTTGCATTTGACTGGGACCCCTTGAAAGGCATCCATCTTCTTGGACAGGGAAGCCCACTACCTGAGTCCTGAGCTCTCAGCCACTCCA
Organism: Homo sapiens; assembly: GCF_000001405.40. NCBI lineage: Eukaryota > Metazoa > Chordata > Mammalia > Primates > Hominidae > Homo > Homo sapiens. The sequence goes on from NW_018654722.1 coordinate 267,499, forward strand.
TTCTCCTTCCCTGGACTTTCCCATATTCCCTCTCTGTACCACCTGCCCTATACAAGCCACACTCTTATCACACCTTTTCTGAGGTATAGGCTGGAGACTGAGGTATTCAGACTGTACTCACACTGTTTCCTCCCTCCTTACATGGATGAGAATTGGAGAGACGCAGCAAAATGCATCACTAGAACCTGAAACAAATGAAACAGATGAGGGCAGTGGGGAGAGCTGGGAGCTAGAAAAAAATAGGAAGTGAAAGAGGGAAGTCTCTCTCCCCATCCCTCCTCTCAGTTACCATGAGGATGGGCAGTTTCTTCCCTTTCCGTTCTTCACTTTCCTCTTCTTAAACATAAAGAGATTTCTGGGTGGGGTGGCTCATGCCTGTAATCCCAGCACATTGGGAGGCCGAGGCGGGCAGATCACGAGGTCAGGAGGTCGAGACCATCTTGGCTAACACGGTGAAACCCCGTCTCTACTAAAAATACAAAAAATTAGCCGGGCGCAGTGGCGAGCGCCTGTAATCCCAGCTACTCGGGAGGCTGAGGCAGGAGAATGGCATAACCCGGGAGGCGGAGTTTGCAGTGAGCCAAGATAGCGCCACTACAGTCCGGCCTGGGCAAAAGAGCAAGACTCCGTCTCTAAAAAGAAAAAGAAAAAGAAAAAAAAAACATAAAGAGATTTCCCTTCTTCCTGCAGCTCTGGATGGACAAGGAAAAAGAGGAAAGCATGAAAGAAACCCTGCGGATAAGAAGGTAAACTGTCATGAGGGCAAGGGCACTAAGAGACATGAAGATGGGAAGGTCTGGTCCCTAGCAGCCCACAGCCCGCTGTCTCAGTCCCACAGATAACACAGGCAGGCTCTCTTCTGCCTCACAGACCACGAATTCATAAACACTATCACTACAGTGACCTGAGCAAGAAGTCAGCTTCCCTTTCAAAAGGTAAACACAGAGACATCGGGGTTTCAGCAGTGCAGAGCTCTGGGAGAAGCCCTGAGTCCTCTCTCCACCTGGGGGATTGCCTCCACCTCTGAGCATCCATGGAGACCAGGGACCATAACCAAAACCATGCTTTGTTAGTCCCCTTGAATAATGACACATGTTTACAAAACTCAGGTTGATGATCTACAATCCAAATGAAAAGAATGAAGAGTTTTACTAAGCCCCAAACTCCCCTTGCCTAAGGAGTTACTTTCTTCCCCAGTGAGCTGGGTGAACTGTTCAAGCACCTTTGTCGGGCTCCCTTTCCTCTAAGTTCCCTGCCTCTCTCTACCTTCTGGCTTCAAGGACAAATGCCAGTAATGCCTAACTCTGTACTCGTCCAGACATCCCAAATCTTCCCAAAGCCATTCTGATGTGAGACATGAGCTGCAGGCCTGGTTCATAACTCATTAATAAGTGAGGGGATTGTCAACCTAGAGCACCAATGAATGATCTAGCCCATGTAGCTCAATACTGGATTCACATTAGAATCACCTGGGGAGCTTTTTAAACTGCAGGTGCTCAGGCCCCACCCACTCCCAGAGATTCTTTTTAATTGGTCCAAGGTAGGACTTGACCATCTGGGCTTTTGTTTTTCTTTGTCTTTTCTTTTCTTTTCTTTTTTGGTTTAAGCCTCTCAAATGATTGCAAGATACAAGTAGAATGGAGAAGCATTAATTCAGCCCTTCTAGGTTTGAGTTACTCACTCTGCCCACCTCTAGAGCATTCTATGGCAGGGAGATTAAAGTGTCTCCTAACTATGCAGTCACTGATAAAATAAGAATTAGCACATTCTCACTAAATGAACATGACTTTAAGGCACAAGTATAGATTCCTGAAAAAGTTCTAAGCTGAACCTGTACAAATGGAATCATTTTAAACACACCATTTACTGTCACACAGACTCCCTGATACTTTAGTGTGTGCACATGTGAAACCATTTTTTTGAAGTATGAAATAATTAATTGCTCACCATTTTATCTATATAACTTTGGATTTTGGTGTCCTGAGCTCTCTAAAAACCGGTGTGTTTCTATAGTATTTGAATATTATGGGTAATAGTTTTGCAGAGTACAGTATGCTTATACTAAATTATAACAGCATATCCTCGTGGTAACCCTATTTGATAGGCAGAAAGCTTGTACACTGATCCTGAAAAGTCATCTGATAATTCTTGATTAAGCAAATTTAACTCCCCGTGTCCCAGGTGAGGGAGGCAGACCCGTTTGATTTTTACCTCCTTCCTTGCTTCCCTTATTCCCCAGGTTAGGCGAGCCAGAGGATTGTGCTGGCATCGTGTCTTTCCTGTGCTCTGAAGATGCCAGCTACATCACTGGGGAAACAGTGGTGGTGGGTGGAGGAACCCCGTCCCGCCTCTGAGGACCGGGAGACAGCCCACAGGCCAGAGTTGGGCTCTAGCTCCTGGTGCTGTTCCTGCATTCACCCACTGGCCTTTCCCACCTCTGCTCACCTTACTGTTCACCTCATCAAATCAGTTCTGCCCTGTGAAAAGATCCAGCCTTCCCTGCCGTCAAGGTGGCGTCTTACTCGGGATTCCTGCTGTTGTTGTGGCCTTGGGTAAAGGCCTCCCCTGAGAACACAGGACAGGCCTGCTGACAAGGCTGAGTCTACCTTGGCAAAGACCAAGATATTTTTTCCTGGGCCACTGGGGAATCTGAGGGGTGATGGGAGAGAAGGAACCTGGAGTGGAAGGAGCAGAGTTGCAAATTAACAACTTGCAAATGAGGTGCAAATAAAATGCAGATGATTGCGCGGCTTTGAATCCAATTGACCTGTTCATTTCTCAGTGTTGGGTGCTTAGCTGAGCAGAGAGCAGAAGTCTATTCAGGCTGGATCTCTGGATCCCCCAGCCCTCCTCCCTGTCTCCAGAACTTGAGCGTGATGTTCACGGGTGGAGGTGTCTGCAGAGCTGCCAGCTGGAAGGAAGGTGGCACGGGAACTCCCAGGACGCCACGGGAATCCCCGAGGCAGCGCGAGCCCGGAGAGAGTGGGGAAGGATGAACTCTCTAACACCTCCCCGCCCCTTGCCTCCCAGATCAGGCCAGGTCCTCTCCCCGCATGGCCCTACGTCCCGAGTTCCCTCCCGAGTCAGCAAGTACAAGCTGGATGGGTCCTGAGCCGGTGGGGAATAGAGAAAGGCCCTGCAAGGTACCCAGGCCCACAAACAAAAGAAATGGGTTCTGCCCACGGGCCCGAGGATTCAGTAGAAGGAAAGTGGGGACGCTGTCCCCCGCCCCAAAGGCACTGACACTGGGCGACACACGCTGAGCCTCTCACACCGACGGGCCTCTCACGCCGGAGCCGGCAAGAAAGGTCGGCGCCAGCCCGCGGGCTCTCAGGAGGCTCGGCAGCGCGACGCGCATGCTCAGTCGGGCAGCTCTCCGGGCCGGCGTGGGAGCCCGCGCTCCAAAGCCCGGTGGGGGGAGGGGCGCTCACGCAACCGCCACTGTCTGGAGCGGGCTCGCCTCTGCGGCGGCACTCACCGCCCGGGCTTTACTGAAGCGGAGTCTAGCATGTGCGGCTGCTCCACAGCGGTGTGGGTGGCGGCGGCTCCTCTGCAGCAGCCTCGGCAGTAGGGGTCACGGTGGCCAAGCCCACCGTGGAGCTCATCTGAGAGTTGTAAGGTACGGGACTGCCTCGGTCTTTGGGACGCCCCGTCTGGTAGCATCCCAGATCCAGCACGTTCCTTCCGGCCCTGCACCCCGGCCCGGTGCCTCACACCCCGCTACCCCATGCATCCAGACTCTAAGGCAGCCCCTGCATCTCAGTCCTGACATCGCTGTCCCTGGAGCATCCTCCGCTGGAGCTGGAGCTTGACAGGTAGGGTGGAGAGGGCCGTGGGGGGGGTGCGGAAACTGCATCAATTAACGGGGCCGTGGGGGAGGGAAGTCCTCCATTGCTAAGGCTTCAGTAGGCGTTCTATGATCACAGTGTAAACAAAGCTGCAGGGAAGCTCTAACTGGGCGGAACCCACCGCAGCTCAGCAAGGCCTACTGCCTCTCCAGATTCCACCTCAGGGGCCAGGGCATATCTGAGCAAAAGGCAGCAGACAGCTTCTGCAGACTTCAGTGTCCTTGCCTGACATCTCTAAAGACAGCAGTGGTTCTCCCAGCACGGAGTTCGTGCTCCGATAACGGACAGACTGCCTCCCCAAGTGGGTCCCTGACCCCCATGTAGCTTGACTGAAAAACACCGCCCAGTAGGGGCAGAGAGACACCTCATACAGGTGGGTGCCCCTGTGGAACAAAGCTTCCAGAAGAAGGATCAGGCAGCAATATTTGCTGTTCTGCAGCCTCCTCTACTGATACCCAAGAAAATAAGGTCTGGAATGGACTTCCAGCAAACCCCCAAAGACCTGCAGCTGAGGGGCCTGTTAGAAGGAAAACTAACAAACAGAAAGGAATAGCATCAACATCAGCAAAGGACAGCATCAACATCAGAACAGGAAAGGACATCCACACTAAAACCCCATCCATAGGTCACCAACATCAAAGACCAAAGGTAGATAAAACCACAAAGATGGAGAGAAACCAGAGCAAAAAGGCTGAAACTTCCAGAAATCAGAACGTCTCTTCTCTTCCAAAGGAATACAAGTCCTCACCAGCAAGGGAACAAAACTGGATGGAGAATAAGTTTGATGACTTGACAGACGTAAGCTTCAGAAGGTCAGTAATAACAAACTACACCCAGCTAAAGGAGCATGTTCTAACCCATTGCAAGGAAGCTAAAAACCTTGACAAAATGTTAAACGAATGGCTAACTAGAATGAAGAATCTAGAGAAGAGCTTAAATGACCTGATGGAGCTGATAACCACAGTACAAGAACTTCATGAAGGATACACAAGCTTCAATAGCTGATTCAATCAAGTGGAAGAAAGGATATCAGTGATTGAATATAAAATTAATGAAATAAAGTGAGAACACAAGATTAGAGACAAGAAAAGAAAAAAGAAACATTCAAATTCAGGAAATACAGAGAACATCACAAAGACACTCCTTGAGAAGAGCAACCCCAAGACACATAATTGTCAGATTCAGCAAGGTTAAGGGCAGCCAGAGAGAAAGGTTGGGTTACCAACAAAGGGAAGCCCATCAGACTAACAGCAGATCTCTCAGCAGAAACCATACAAACCAGAAGAGAGTCGGGACCAATATTCAACATTCTGAAAGAAAAGATTTTTGGAACTAGAATTTCATATCCAGCCAAACTAAGCTTCGTAAGTGAAGGAGAAATAAAATCCTTTACAGACAAGCAGATGCTGAGAGAGTTTGTCACCACCAGGCCTGCCTTACAATAAGAGCTCCTGAAGGAAGCACTAAACATGGAAAGGAACAACCAGTACCAGCCACTGCAAAAACATACGAAATTGTAAAGACCATTGATGCTATGAAGAAACTGCATCAATTAATGGGCAAAATAACCAGCTAACGTCATGACAGGATCAAATTCACATATAACAATACTAACCTTCAATGTAAATGGGATAAATGCCCCAATTAAAAGACACTGACTGGCAAATTGGATAAAGAATCAAGACCCATATGGTGTGCTGTATTCAGGAGACCCAATCTCACGTGCAAAGACACACATAGGCTCAAAATGAAGGTGTGTCTGGAATTGGTGGGTTCTTGGTCTCACTGACTTCAAGAATGAAGCCACGGACCCTCGCAGTGAGTGTTACAGTCCTTAAAGGCAGCGTGTCCGGAGTTTGTTCCTTCTGATGTTCAGACACGTTCAGAGTTTTTTCCTTCTGGTGGGTTCGTGGTCTCGCTGGCTTCAGGAGTGAAGCTGCGGACCTTCACAGTGAGTGTTACAGCTCTTAAGGCGGCATGTCTGGAGTTGTTCGTTCCTCCCATCCGGAGTTGTTCATTCCTCCCACTGGGTTCGTGGCCTCACTGGCCTCAGGAGTGAAGCTGCAGACCTTCACGATGAGTGTTACAGCTCATAAAGGCCGTGTGGACCCAAAGAGTGAGGGGCAGCAAGATTTATTGCAAAGAGCGAAAGAACAAAGCTTCCACAGTGTGGAAGGGGACCCAAGCAGGTTGCTACTGTTTGAAGGGGTGGCTTGCCCCTCCACACCTGTGGGTATTTCTAGTCAGGTGGGACGAGAGACTGAGAAAGAGAAATAAGACACAGAGACAAAGTATAGAGAAACAACAGTGAGCCCAGGGGACCGGCGCTCAGCATACCAAGGACTTGCACCGGCACCGGTCTCTGAGTTCCCTCAGTTTTTATTGATTATTATCGTCATTATTTCAGTAAAAAGGAATGTAGTAGGAGGGCAGGGTGATAATAAGGAGAAGGTCAGCAACAAACGTGAGCAATAGAATCTAATAATTCAGTTCAAGGGAAGGTACTATGACTGGACATGCACGTAAGCCAGATTTATGTTTCTCTCCACCCAAACATCTCGGTGGAGTAAAGAATAACGAGGCAGCATTGCTGCAAACATGTCTCGCCTCCCACCATAGGGCGGTTTTTCTCTCATCTCAGAACTGAACAAATGTACAATCGGGATTTATACCGAGACTTTTAGTTCCCAGGAGCAGGCAGGAGACAGTGGCCTTCCTCTATCTCAACTGCAAGAGGCCTTCCTTTTTTACTAACCCACCGCAGCACAGACCCTTTATGGGTGTCGGGCTGGGGGACAGTCAGGTCTTTCTCATCCCAGGAGGCCATATTTCAGACTATCACATGGGGAGAAACCTTGGACAATACCCTGCTTTCAAGGGCAGAGGTCCCTGCGGCTTTCTGCAGTGCACTGTGCCCCTGGTTTATTGAGACTAGAGAATGGCGATGACTTTTACCAAGTATACTGCTTGTAAACATTTTGTTAACAAGGCACGTCCTACACAGTCCTAGATCCCTTAAACCTTGATTTCATACAACACATGTTCTTGTGAGCTCCAGGTTGGGTCAAAGTGGTTGGGTCAAAGTGGCTGGGGCAAAGCTAAAAATTAACAACATCTCAGAAAAGCAATTATTTAAAGTACAGGTCTTTTTCAAAATGTAGTCTCTTATGTCTTCCCTTTCTACATAGACACGGTAACAGTCTGATCTCTCTTTCTTTTCCCTACATATCCCCCTTTTCTTTTTGACAAAACTGTCATTGTCACCATGGCCTGTTTTTGCTGGTCACTGTCTTTCTGGAACTGCTGGATACACCTGTAGACTAACAATAGAGAGGGCAGACATACAAGGATTAATACAAAATTTGCAATAGTGGAATTTCCAATGGTTTTAACCCAAGTGATGGGGGCAAGAGGACAGTGTGGGTGCTCCGGCACCCAGGCAGTCTCCCTTCTCCTTTGTCTCTTAGTTGTTGTTTCTCATAGTTTTCAATCTTTCTCCTCACCTGCTCACTCGCACTTTTTGTTTCATTGTCTCCCTTCTCTTATGGTCTCTCTCTCTTTTTCTCTTTTTCTTCCTTTTACACTATTTCTTTTCCCAGTCTCACTTTCTGTGTCTCTCTCTGATCTCTGTCTTTCTCTTTTACATTATTTTTTTCCCCAGTCTCACCTTCTGTGTCTTTCTCTGATCTCTGTCTTTTCCAGTCTCTCTCTTACTCATTTTCTCCCTCTCTTTCTCTCTCTCTCTCTCTCTCTCTGTCTGTCATCCCGTGTCCTCTCTCCTTCACACTCAGTCTCTTTTTCTTTTTCTTTTTCTCCCTGGCTCTCCACATCTGCCGTTTTCTCTCCTTTCTCTTTCTGATTTCTCTTCTCACTTTCTCTCTTCCTTTCTTTCCCAGTTTCTCTTTTTTCTCTGTTGGTCTTTCCCAAATAATGAAAAGGAGTGGAGGTCTGAATGTTATCAGATGCTATTGTCAGGCCTGCGTTTGCAACCTCTGTCTGCAGAAATGTGTAACAGTCAATTAATTTGTCTCTCGTTTCTGCAGCACTCAAAATATCATCAACATAATGAATAATATAACAGTCTGAAAACTTGTCTCTAACTGGTTGAAGAACTTGAGCTACAAAAGTCTGACAAATAGTTGGACTATTAAGCATTCCCTGAGGCAACACTTTCCGCTGAAATCTGGTGGCTGGTTTTTTATTATTTATGGCTGGTATAGTAAAAGCAAATTTTTTTAAATCCTATTTTGCCAGAGGAATGGTAAAAACGCAATCCTTTAGCTCAATTATAATTAAAGGCCAATCTTTGGGGATCATGGCCGGAGAAAGCAGCCCAAGTTGGAGAGTCCCCATGGGTTGAATTACTGCATTGATGGCTCTCAAATCAGTTAGGATGCACCATCTGCCTGATTTTTTCTGAATTACAAACGCAGGAGAATGCCAAGGTGAAAATGAAGGCTCAATGTTTCCCTTTTCTAATTGTTCCTTTGCCACTAAGTGTAAGGCCTCCAGTTTTTGCTTTGGTAGTGGCCACTGATTTACCCATACAGGCTTTTCTGTTTTCCCAGTTAATGGAATGGGTTTTGGAGGCTCTACAGTGGCCACTCCTAAAAAGGATACCCTATTTCTTTTTTTTTTTTTTTTTTGGATTTTTTTAGCCTCAATTGGGACTTTAATGCCTTCTCCATTTTTCCCTAGTCCTTTACCAGAGAGATATCCCATTTTAGTCATGATTTTTTGACTCGTGGGGCTGTATAGGGAGACTGGAATAGTAATCTCTGCATGCCACTGTTCTAACAAGTCTCGGCCCCATAAGTTAATTGGAATAGAAATAATCATAGGCTGAACTGTACTCTCTTGATTATTAGGGCCTAGACAATGTAAAATCATGGCACTTTGATACACTTCTGAGGCGGTGCCCACACCAACAAATCCTGTAACAGGCTTTTGTTTAGGACAATTTTTTGGCCATTGATTTAAGACAATAATAGAAACATCAGCCCCAGTAGCCACTAATCCTTCAAACTGCTTTCCCTGAATAGTGACTGTACACACAGGTCTATTCTCTGAGAGCTGACTAGCCCAATAAACAACTTTTCCAGCAGGGTTGGTACTTCCAAACCCTCCTGTTCTTTCTGTTTTGCTATTCCCAATTTTAATATAAGGCAAAAGCAATAATTGAGCAATTCTATCACCTGGATTGGCACTCCAGGGAACAGCAGAGCTGATCACTAACTGAATTTCCCCTTTATAATCTGAATCAATTACCCCAGTATGAATTTGGACTCCCTTTAAATTTAGACTTGATCTTCCTAAAATAAGGCCTACCATCCCTTCTGGCAGCAGGCCATACACCCCAGTAGGAATCTTTTGAGGGAGCACTCCAGGGAGTGAAGAAACCATTTGAGTAGAACATAAATCTACTGCTGCGCTGCCTGCTGTGGTGGGGGATAACTGTTGTATTGTTGTAATTGGCTGATTCCCTGGAATGGTGGTATTTACTGTGGGGGTTGTTGTCCCTGAAAACCCTGAGGAACAAATGGCTGAATCAAGAATGCCCCACTTTGTTGCGGGGCCTGGGGCTGGTCCCTCTTCTCGTTTCCTGACAATGGTTGCCCATTTTTATCAAATTTAGAACAACATTCCTTAGCCCAGTGTTTTCCTCTTTCACATTTTGGACACAGGCCAGGTGGCTGTTTATTTTTGTTCTGTTTATTTAAGACTGGGCAATTCTTTTTTAGATGACCGATTTGACCACAATTATAACATTTTCCCCCAAATGTTTTAACTTGTCCTCCTAAAGCAACCCCCGTAATTGCTTGAGCCAGTAGCATTGCCTTATGCATAGTTCCTCCAATCCCATCACAAGCCTTCACATATTCTGTAATTACATCAACTCCTGCTGAAACCTTTCCTCTTAATGGCTTTATGGCCAATTGACATCCTGGATTTGCATTTTGATAACCCATTATTTCTACAACAACTTTTTGGGCGTTATCATCTGCAATCGATTTTTGAGCTGCATCTTGCAACCTTGCCACAAAGTCTGGATATGGCTCTTTAGAGCCTTGTCTGATTGAACTAAAAGAAGGGCAGGAGGTTCCTGGGTCCTGAATCTTTTCCCAGACCCTGAGGCAAATAGCCCTTAATTGTTCAATAGCCTCATTCTGCATTACTGATTGTTGGTTAATAGTGCTCCAATTTGGACCTGTTTCTGGCAATTGGTCTGCATCTATATTAACAACAGGATTAGTAGCCTGATTTTTCCATACCTGTTCTTGTACTCCGTCAATCCACCAGGTTTTAAATTGTAGATACTGAGAGGGTGAAAGAGAAGATTTAGCCAAAATTTCCCAATCATAAGGAATAAGTCTATTCCCATTAGCAATGGAATCTAATAATGTTCTCATATAAGGAGAGTTGGGTCCATATTGTTTAACTGCCTCCTTCATATCTTTTAACATTTTCATGGTGAAAGATTCATATCTAGCCTCAGTTTGGACAGACGCTCCTGCTTGACTCCGTTTTCCAGCCGGTATTGGTTGTAAAATTACCAGGAACTGCCCTGCCTCAAGATCTCCCTGTTTTCTGGCTTTATCAATGATTTTTTGCAGTGCACTATCTTGTCCACTAGGTGGTAGTGTAGGATCAAACACCATCGCCATGGGTTGTTGCTATACTGCCCTGCTATTTGGCACAGGACACAACACCTGGGATCTATACTGAACCACTGGAGACGGCCGATACTGAAATTCGGCTGATGGCTGGTGTTCATAAACTACTGATGGTTGGGTTTTATTTTCTACCGGCTGATATTGTGGATACTGTGTCTGGATTGGCATTTGAGGTTGTAATGTCACAGGCATCTGAACCGTGGGAGAAGGAGTTGTTGGCCATCGTGGTCTAAACTCTGATGGACCAAATAATTCTGGACCTCCTTCCTCCAATTTTGATGATTTAGGATATATTACCTCCTGTAATTGATTATAGTCAACATTTTGTGTTGACCGAACCATTGCAGACTCTACTACATTTTTACAATGTGAACTTTCTGTTCCATTCTTGAACTGTCTTCCTACCTCTTCTTCACAAACTATTACACAGCTTTCAGGGGCATCAGAAACTGAAATGCTATCTTCTTCTATTTGAAATAGTTCTCAAGTTGCTTTAATAATAGCCCAATCATTCCATGCTGTAAGTGGGATGATTTTACCTTCCCTACTTGCTTGTTTTAATTCTTTGCTAATTTTTCCCCAGTCTTTTAAATCTAAAGTTCCCTGTTCTGGAAACCATGGGCAGAATTGTTCTATTGTTTGAAATAGCATAATTAGATTCTCTGTAGAAGCTTAAACTCCCTGTCTTAAGAGAATTTTAATGAAGCTGAGATAAGAGGCATATTTACTTCCAGTTTGCCCCATTGTTACCCTGGATTCCTCCAAGTGCACAAGCTTACCGCAAGGCTGACCGTGGATGTACTCGGGAATCTCTTGTTGGCTGTCCTCAATACTCACTTAGCGTACTTTCACCCTAGAGAAAGGCCCCATGTTGGATGCCAGATGAAGGGGTGGCCTGCCCCTCCACACCTGTGGGTATTTCTAGTCAGGTGGGATGAGAGACTGAGAAAGAGAAATAAGACACAGAGACAAAGTATAGAGAAACAACAGTGGGCCGAGGGGACCGGCGCTCAGCATACCAAGGACCTGCACCAGCACCGGTCTCTGAGTTCCCTCAGTTTTTATTGATTATTATTGTCATCATTTCAGTAAAAAGGAATGTAGTAGGAGGGCAGGGTGATTATAAGGAGAAGGTCAGCAACAATCATGTGAGGAATAGAATCTACGTCATAATTAAGTTCAAGGGAAGGTACTATGACTGGACGTGCATGTAAGCCAGATTTATGTTTCTCTCCACCCAAACATCTCAGTGGAGTAAAGAATAACAAGGCAGCATTGCTGCAAACATGTCTCGCCTCCCACCATAGGGCGGTTTTTCTCTCATCTCAGAACTGAACAAATGTACAATCGGGATTTATACTGAGACATTTAGTTCCCAGGGACAGGCAGGAGACAGTGGCCTTCCTCTATCTCAACTGCAAGATGCTTTCCTCTTTTACTAATCCACCTCAGCACAGACCCTTTATGGGTGTCAGGCTGGGGGACGGTCAGGTCTTTCTCATCCCATGAGGCCATATTTCAGACTATCACATGGGGAGAAACCTTGGACAATACCCCGCTTTCAAGGGCAGAGGTCCCTGTAGCTTTCCACAGTACACTGTGCCACTGAGCCCACACCCACCCAGAACTAGCGCTGGCCTGCAAGCACTGTGCACAGCCCCAGTTCCTGCCCATGCTTCTCCCTCCACACCTCCCTGCAAGCTGAGGGAGCCAGCTCTGGTCTTGGCCAGCCCAGAAAGGGGCTCCCACAGTGCAGCATGGGCTGAAGGGCTCCTCAAGCATGGCCAGAGTGGGTGCCAAGGCCAAGGAGGCGCCGAGAGCGAGCGAGGGCTGCCAGCACGCTGCCACCTCTCAAAGGGATGGAGGAAGATCTACCAAACAAATGGAAAGCAAAGAAAAGCAGGGATTGCAATCCTGGTCTCTGATAAAACAGACATTAAACCAACAAAGATAAAAGGAGACAAAGAAGGCCATCACATAATGGTAAAGGAATCAGTTCAACAGGAAGAGCTAACTATCCTAAATATATATGCACCCAATACAGGAGAACCCAGATTCATAAAGCAAGTTCTTAGAGACCTACAAAGAGGCTTAGACTCCCATACAATAGTAATGGGAGACAGTAACACCCCACTGTTAATATTAGACAGAAAACATGACAAAATTAATAAGGATGTCCAGGACTTGAACTCAGCTCTAGACCAAGTAGGCCTAATACACATCTACAGAACTCTCCACCCCAAGTCAACACAATATACATTCTTCTCAGCACCACATCACACTTATTCTAAAATTGACCACATAATTGGAAGTAAAACACTCCTCAGCAAATGCCAAAGAACAGCAATCACAACAAACTGTCTCCCAGACCACAGTGCAATCAAATTAGAACTCAGGACTGAAAAACTCACTCAAAACTGCACAACTACATGGAAACTGAACAACCTGCTCCTGAATGACTACTAGGTAAATAACAAACTGAAGGCAGAAATAAACATGGTCTTTGAAACCAATGAGAACAAAGACACAGTGTAGCAGAATCTCTGGGACACATTTAAAACAGTGTGTAGAGGGATATTTACAGCACTGAATACCCACAAGAGAAAGCAGGAAAGATCTAAAATCAACACCCTAACCTCAAAATTAAAAGAACTAGAGAAGCAAGAGCAAACAAATTCAAAAGCTAGCAGAAGACAACAAATAATGATGATCAGAGCAGAACTGAAGGTGATAGAGACATTAAAAAAAAAACCTTCAAAGGATCAATGAATCCAGGAGCTGGATTTTTGAAAAGATCAACAAAATGGACTGCTAGCAAGACTAATAAGGAAGAAAAGAGAGAAGAGTCAAATAGACACAATAAAAAATCATAAAGGGGATATCACCAGTGATCCCACAGAAATACACACTACCATCAGAGAATACTATAAACACCTCTATGCAAATAAACTAGAAAACCTAGAAGAATTGGATAAATTCTTGGACACATACACCTTCTGCAGACTAAATCAGGACGAAGTTGAATTGCTGAATAGACCAATAACAGCTTCTGAAATTGAGGCAATAATTAATAGCCTACCAAACCAAAAAAGTCCAGGACCAGATGGATTCATAGCCGAATTCTACCAGAGGTACAAAGAGGAGCTGGTACTATTCCTTCTGAAACTATACCGATCAATAGAAAAAGAAAGAATCCTCCCTAACTCATTTTATAATGCCAGAATCATCCGGATATCAAAGCTTGGCAGAGACACAACAAAACAAAGAAAATTTTAGGCCAGTATCCCTGATGAACATCAATGCAAAAATCCTCAATAAAATACTGGCAAACCGAATCCAGCATAAGGATGCATTCTCTCACCACTCTTATTCAACATAGTATTGGAAGTTCTGGCCAGGGCAATCAGGCAAGAGGAAGAAATAAAGGGTATTCAATTAGGAAAAGAGGAAGTCAAATTGTCTCTGTTTGCAGATGATTTCACCGTATATTTAGAAACCCCATGATCTCAGCCCAAAATCTCCTTAAGCTGATAAGCAACTTCAGCAAAGTCTCAGGATACAAAATCAATGTGCAAAAATCACAAGCATTCCTATATGCAAATAATAGACAGAGAGCCAAATCATGAGTGAAGTCCCATTCACAATTGCTACAAAGAGAATAAAATACCTAGAAATCCAACTTACAAGGGATGTGAAGGACCTCTTCAAGGAAAACTACAAACCACTGCTCAAGGAAATAAGTGAGGACACAAACAAATGGAAGAATATTGCATGCTCATCGATAGGAAGACTCAATATCATGAAAATGGCCATATTGCCCAAAGTAAATTATAGACTCAATGCTATCCCCATCAAGCTACCACTGACTTTCCTCACAGAATTGGAAAAAACTACTTTAAATTTCATATGGAACCAAAAAAGAGCCAGTATAGCCAAGGAAATCATAAGCAAAAAGAACAAAGCTGGAGGCGTCACACTACCTGACTTCAAACTATACTGCAAGGCTACAGTAACCAAAACAGCATGGTACCGGTACCAAAACATATCTAGACCAATGGAACAGAACAGAGGCCTCAGAAATAATGGAACAGAACAGAAGCCTCAGAAATAACACCACACATCTTCAACCATCTGCTCTTTGACAAACCTGACAGAAACAAGCAATGGGGAAAGGATTCCCTATTTAATAAATGGTGCTGGGAAAACTAGCTAGCCATATGTAGAAAGCTGAAACTGCATGCGTTCCTTACACCTTATACTAAAATTAACTCAAGATGGATTAAAGCCTTAAATGTAAGACCTAAAACCATAAAAACCCTAGAAGAAAACCTAGACAGTACCATTCAGGACATAGGCATGGGCAAAGACTTCATGATAAAAACACCAAAAGTAATGGCAACAAAAGCCAAAATAGACTAATGGGATCTACCTAAACTAAAGAGCTTCTGCACAGCAAAAGAAACTATCATCAGAGTGAAAAGGCAACCTACAGAATAGGAGAAAATTCTTGCAATCTATCCATCTGACAAAGGTCTAATATTCAGAATCTACAAAGAACTTAAATAAATTTACAAGAAAAAAAATAACCCCATCAAAAAGTGGGTAAAAAGTATGAACAGAAACTTCTCAAAAGAAGACATTTACACAGCCAACAGACATATGAATAAATGCTCATCATCACTGGTCATCAGAGAAATGCAAAGCAAAACCACAATGAGATACCATCTCACAACACTTAGAATGGCAACATTAAAAAGTCAGGAAACAATAGAAGCTGGAGAGGATGTGGAGAAATAGGAAGGCTTTTAGACTGTTGGTGGGAGTGTAAATTAGTTCAACCATTGTGGAAGACACTGTGGCCATTCCTCAAGGATCTAGAACCAGAAATACCAATTGATCCAGCAACCCCATTACTGGATATCTACCCAAAGGATCATAAATCATTCTACTATAAAGACACATACACACATATGTTTATTGCAGCACTGTTCACAATAGCAAAAACTTGGAACCAACCCAAATGCCCATCAATGATAGACTGGATAAAGGAAATGTGGCACATGTATACCATGGAATACTATGCAGCCATAAAAAAGGATGAGTTCGTGTCCTTTGCAGGGACATGGATGAAGCTGGAAATCATCACTTTCAGCAAAATATCACAAGGACAGAAAACCAAACGCTGCATCTTCTCACTCATAAGTGGAAGTGGAACAAGGAGAACACATGGAAACAGAGAGGGGATCATCACACACCAGGGTCTGTTGGGGGCTGGGGGGCTGGGAGAGGGATAGCATTAGGAGAAATACCTAATGTAAATGACGAGTTGATGGATCCAGCAAACCAACCTGATACATGTATACCTATGTAAAAAACCTGCACGTTGTGCACATGTGCCCTAGAACTCAAAGTATAATAATAAAAAAAGAAATTCTAGATAGAGCAATATCTCACAAAATTAATAATCCATTCCATTTAAATAGACTATATCAGTCAGCCTCTGGCACCTACAAATCCATTCACTGTTTTCTTTTCTGGGTTCTTTTTTAAGTAAATAATTGGCTTACATTTAAAATTTAAATATTTCCTATTGCCATCTGGATTTCTAGCTTCTGTTTAAATACCCCAAGGGCTGGCAGTGCTGAGCCAGCATTCTCAATGACAAACATGAGTGGAACTGGGTGTGCCTCAGATCTGCAAGTTGCAGTTCTGCAAGTTGGCCACTGCGACCTAAAGTGTGTTACCATTTTATCACTGAGCTTAAGCCACCACCAAAGTTTAAGCCATTCTATATACTATGCATAAGGGAGTAGAGCAGCAGGTAAATTCACTTTACGGGGAAAAATTCATCAAAACTGCTTAAATCTGTGAAAATAAATAAAATTTAAAAGCTGTGGGAACCCCCAAAATCACTTTAAGCCTTGAGACGTGACTGTGATCTGAGTCGTATGTGGTTATAACTTCTGTTCTCAAATTATAGATGAACTAGCTTTCTTATTTTTCTTCTTCTGTACAATGACTAGAGAGAATTAAATGACATCATGGAAAAAAACCTCTGGCCTTCTTAATTAATGACCCTTGTTGTATATTAATTTCCCATTGTTGTCCTGCTTTGCTTAGACCAGATGACAAAAACCCACAATTATTGCACCCTCTAAAAAACATGTTAATTGTATCCTTCCCAAAAATAAACACTGCGTATAACTGATCAAATGGCTGTAACTATGTGCCAACCTTGTACAAATAATGTTATAATTTTGCTAAACACTCCTCTCTCTCTGGATATAAAATTGAAACCTTAACTTCTCCACTTCAGAATGCTGACTGCATTCCTTTGGATTTGATGTTTCCAGATGGTCCATCCTCACACTTTGCACTTCAATAAACACTCCTTAAATTCAATTCTCACCCTTTTATTATTTTAGGTTGACAAATCTTTTTTAAGGTAATTTGACCATCATAGCCATCAATTTAAAACTTTGGCCCAGCGTACAAATGTATTTGTACCAAACACACAAAAATACATATTCATCCAGTGTTGTTCACCATAGCATTGTTTGAAATAGCAAAACACTGGAAGCTACTTAAATATCCATCAGTAGGAGACTAGCTAAATAAATTATGGAATAGCCACACAATAGAATACTGTACAGCTATTTTATAAAAGAAGAGAGAGAATAAAGTAGGTCTATTATGTACCACTCATTAGCCAAGAATGTATTTTAAAAAATAAAAAGGGTGGCTGACAAGATGACCAAATAGGAACAGCTCCAGTCTGCAGCTCCCAGCGAGATCAATGCAGAAGGCAGGTGATTTCTGCATTTCCAACTGAGGTACCTGGCTCAACTCACTGGGACTGGTGAGACAGTGGGTGCAGCCCATGAAGAGCCAGCTGAATCAGGGTGGCCATCACCTCACTCAGGAAGCACAAGGGGTCAGAGGACCCCCTCCCCTAGCCAAGGGAAGCTGTGAAGGACTGCGCCATGAGGAATGGTTATGAAGCCAAACTAAGCTTCACAAGTGAAGGAGAAATAAAATCCTTTACAGACAAGCAAATGCTGAGAGATTTTGTCACCACCAGGCCTGATGTACAAGAGCTCCTGAAGGAAGCACTAAACATGGAAAGGATCAACCAGTACCAGCCACTGCAAAACCATACCAAATTGTCAAGACTATTGACACTATGAAGAAACTGCGTCAACTAATGGGCAAAATAACCAGCTAGCATCATAATGACAGGATCAAATTCACACATAACAATATTAACCTTAAATGTAAACAGGCTAAGTGCCCCAAGTAAAAGACACAGACTGGCAAATTGGATAAAGAGTCAAGACCCATCATTGTGCTGTATTCAAGAGACCCATCTCATGTGCCAAGACACACATAGGCTCAAAATAAAGGGATGGAGGAATATTTACCAAGCAAATGCAAAGCAAAAAAAAGCAGGGGTTGCAATCCTGGTCTCCGATAAAACAGACTTTAAACCAACAAAGATCAAAAGAGACAAGGCCATTACATAATGGTAAAGGGATCAATTCAACAAGAAGAGCTAACTATCCTAAATATATATGTACCCAATACAGGAGCACCCAGATTCATAAAGCAAGTGCTTAGAGACCTACAAAGAGACTTAGACTCCCACACAATAGCAATGGGAGACGTTAACACCCCAACACCCCACTGTCAGTATTAGACAGATCAATGAGACAGAAAATTAACAAGGATATCCAGGACTTGAACTCAGCTCTAGACTAGGCAGACCTAATAGACATCTACAGAACTCTCCACCCCAAGTCAACAGAATATACATTCTTCTCAGCACCACATCGCACTTATTCTAAAATTGATCACATAATTGGAAGTAAAACCCTCCTCAGCAAATGCAAAAGAATGGAAATCATAACAAACAGTCTCTCGGGCTGCGGTGCAATCAGATTAGAACTCAGATTAAGAAACTCACTCAAAACCACACAACTACATGGAAACTGAACAACCTGCTCCTGAATGACTATTGGGTATATAATGAAATTATAGTAGAAATAAATAACTTCTTTGAAACCAGGGAGAACAAAGACACTATGTACCAGAATCCCTGGGACACAGCCAAAGCAGTGTTTAGAGTGAAATTTATAGCACTAAATGCCCACAGGAGAAAGCAGGAAAGATATAAAACCAACACCCTAACATCACAATTAAAAGAACTAGAAAAGCAAGAGCAAACATATTCAAAAGCCAGGAGAAGACAAGAAATAACTAAGATCAGAGCAGAACTGAAGGAGACAGAGACAGGAAAGAACCTTCAAAAAAACCAGTGAATCCAGGAGCTGGTTTTTTGATAAGATCAACAAAATAGATAGACTGCTAGCTAGACCAATAAAGAAGAAAAGAGAGAAGAATCAAATAGGTGCAATAAAAAATGATGGAGGGGATATCACCACTGATCCCACAGAAATACAAGCTACCATCAGAGAATACTATAAACTACTCTATGCAAATAAACTAGAAAATCTGGAAGAAATAGATAAATTCCTGGACGAATACACCCTCCCAAGACTAAATCAGGAAGAATTCAAATCCCTAAATAGACCAATAACAAGTTCTGAAATTGAAGCAGTAATGCATGGCCTATCAAACAAAAAAAAGCTCAGGACCAGACGGATTCACAGCTGAATTCTACCAGAGGTACAAAGAGGAGCTGGTACCATTCCTTCTGAAATTATTCCAAACACCAGAAAAACAGGAACTCCTCCCTAACTCATTTTATGAGGCCAGCATCATCCTGATACCAAAAGCTGGCAGAGACACAACAAAAGAAAGAAAATTTCAGGCCAGTATCCCTGATGAACATCATTGAGAACATCCTCAATAAAATACTGGCAAACTGAATCCAGCAACACATCAAAAAGCTTATCCACCATGATCAAGTTAGCTTTATTCCTGGGATACAAGGCTGGTTCAACATAAGCAAATCAATAAACATAGTCCATCACATAAACAGAACCAATGACAAAAACCACATGATTATCTCAATAGATGCAGAAAAGACCTTTGACAAAATTCAACAGCCTTTCATGCTAAAAACTCTCAATAAACTAGGTATTGATAGAACGTATCTCAAAATAGTAAGAGTTATTTATGACAGACCCACAGCCAACATCATACTGAGTGGGCAAAAGCTGGATGCATTCCCTTTGAAAATCGGCACAAGACAAGGATGCATTCTCTCACCACTCCTATTCAACATACTATTGGAAGTTTTCTAGCCAGGGCACTCAGGCAAGAGGAAGAAATAAAGGGTATTCAATTAGGAAAAGAGGAAGTCAAATTGTCTCTGTTTGCAGATGACATGATTGTATATTTAGAAAACGCCATCATCTCAGCTCAAAATCTCCTTAAGCTGATAAGCAACTTCAGCAAAGTCTCAGGATACAAAATCAATGTGCAAAAATCAGAAGCATTCCTATATGCCAATAATAGACAGAGAGCCAAATCATGAGTGAACTCCCATTCGCGACTGCTACAAAGAGAATAAAATACCTAGGAATCCAATTTACAAGGGATGTGAAGGACCTCTTCAAGGAGAACTACAAACCACTGCTCAAGGAAATAAGTGAGGACACAAACAAATGGAAAAACAGTCCATGCTCATGGATAGGAAGAATCAATATCGTGAAAATGGCCATACTGCCCAAGGTAATTTATAGATTCAGTGCTATCCCCATCAAGCTACTAATGACTTTCTTCACAAAATTGGAAAAAACTACTTTAAATTTCATATGGAACCAAAAAAAGAGCCCATATAGCTGAAGGGGGCCAGCCCCTCCACACCTGTGGGTATTTCTTGTCAGGCAGGATGAGAGACTGAGGAAAGAAATAAGACACAGAGACAAAGTATAGAGAAAGAAAAGTGGGCCCAGGGGACTGGCACTCAGCATACAGAGGACCCACACTGGCACCAGTCTCTGAGTTCCCTCAGCATTTATTAATTACTATTTTTACTATCTCAGCAAGAGGAATGCAGCAGAAGAGCAGGGTGATAGTGGGGAGAAAGTCAGCAAGAAAACATGTGGCAAAGGAATCTGTGTCACAAATAAGTTCAAGGGAAGGTACTATGCCTGGATGTGCATGTAGGCCAGATTTATGCTTCTCTCCACCCAAACATCTCAGTGGAGTAAAGAATAACAAGGCAGCATTGCTGCAAACTTGTCTCACCTCCTGCCACAGGGTGGTTGTTCTCCTAACTCAGAATTGAACAAATGTACAATCGTGTTTTATACCAAGACACTCAGTTCCCAGGGGCAGGCAGGAGACAGTGGCCTTCCTCTATCTCAACTGCAAGAGGCCTTCCTCTTTTATTAATCCTCCTCAGCACAGACCCTTCATGGGTGTCGGGCTGGGGGACGGTCAGGGCTCTCCCATCCCACGTGGCCATATTTCAGACTATCACATGGGGAGAAACCTTGGACAGTAACCAGCGTTGCAGGGCAGAGGTCCCTGCGGCTTTCCGCAGTGCATTGTGCCCCTGATTTATTGAGACTGAAGAATGGTGATGACTTTTACCAAGCATACTGCCTGTAAACATTTTGTTAACAAGGCACATCCTGCACAGCCCTAGATCCCTTAAACCTTGGTTCCATAAAACACATGTTTCTGTGAGCTCAAGGTCGGGGCTAAAGTTACAGATTAACAGCATCTCAGGGCAAAGCAATTGTTCAGGGTACAGGTCAAAATGGAGTTTCTTATGTCTTCCTTTTCTACATAGACACAGTAACAGTCTGATCTCTCTTTCTTTTCCCTACATATAGCCAAGACAATCCAAAGCAAAAAGAACACAGCTGGAGGCATCACGCTACCTGACTTCAAACTACTGCAAGGCTACAGTAACCAAGACAGCATGGTAATAGTACCAAACAGATATCTAGACCAATGGAATGGAACAGAGGCTGCATAAATAACACCACACACCTACAACCATCAGATTTTTGACAAACCTGACAAAAACAAGCAATGGGGAAAGGATTCCCTATTTTATAAATGATGTTGGGAAAGCTGGCTAGCCGTAGGCAGAAAACTGAAACTGGACCCCTTCCTTACACCTTATACAAAAAAACTGAAACTGGACCCCTTCCTTACACCTTATACAAAAATTAACTCAATTTTATTATGTTGTATTAAATTAAGTTGGGTTTAATTAAGATGGATTAAAGACTTAATTATAAGACCTAAAACCATAAAAACCCTAGAAGAAAACCTAGGCCATACCATTCAGGACACGGGTATGGGCAAAGACTTCATAACTAAAACACCAAAAGCAATGGCAACGAAGTCCAAATAGACAAATTGGACCTGATTAAACTAAAGAGCTTCAGCACAGCAGAAGAGACTATCGTCAGAGTGAACAGGCAACCCACAGAATGGAAGAAAATTCTTGCAATCTATCCATCTGACAAGGGGCTAATATCCAAAATCTACAAAGAACTTAAACAAATTTACAAGGAAAAACACAAACAACCCCATCAAAAAGTGGGCTAAGGATGTGAACAGACACTTCTCAAAAGAAAACATTTATGCAGCCAACAAACATGAAAAAAAGTTCATCATCACTGCTCATTAGAGACATGCAAATCAAAACCACAATGAGATACCATCCCACACCAGTTAGAATGGCAATCATTAAAATGTCAGGAAACAACAGATGCTGGAGAGGATGTGGAGAAATAGGAACACTTTTACACTGTTGGTGGTAGTGTAAATTAGTTCAACCGTTGTGGAAGACAGTGTGACCATTCCTCAAAGACCTATAACCTGAAACACCATTTGACCCAGCAATCCCATTACTGGGTATATATCCAAAGGATTATAAATCATTCTACTATAAAGACACATGCACACATATGCTTATTGCAGCACTGTTCACAGTAGCAAAGACTTGGAACCAACCCAAATGCCCATCAATGATAGACTGCATAAAGAAAATGGGGCACATATACACCATGGAATACTATGCAGCCATAAAAAAAGATGAGTTCATGTCCTTTGCAGGGACATGGATGAAGCTGGAAACCATCATTCTCAGCAAACTAACACAAAAACAGAAAACCAAACACCACATGTTCTCACTCATAAGTGGGAGTGGAACAATGAGAACACATGGACACAGGGAGGGGAACATCACACACCAGGGCCTGTTGGGTTTATAGGGGGCTGGGGAAGGGATAGCATTAGGAGAAATACTTAATATAGATGACGTGTTGATGGGTGCGGTAAACCACCATGGCACGTTTATACCTATATAACAAACCTGCAAGTTCTGCACATGTATCTCAGAACTTAAAGTATAATAATTTAAAAAAAGAAAAAATGTAAAAAAAAGAAATTAAAAAGAGTTGGAGCATAGAAGAAAGAAAAGAAATGCAATTTGAAGGGCAGTATGTGCAGTGTAATCTCATTTGTGGAAACAATTTTTAAAAGAAAAATGCATGTAAATGTATAGGAAACTTCTGGAAAGATACACAAAGCCAAGAGCTGTATGGGAAGAAGGTAAAAGAACCATAGGGAAGAGTTACCTTTTACTTTTCACATAACTTTCTTTCCCTTTTTAAAATAATAAGCATGTTTTATTTTTATAATTTAATGAACAGATGTGTTGATTTGAAAAACACACTGATCCTGAAAGTTAAAATTCCAATTCAGAGAAAATTGATTTCTATGAAAAGTATCAATCCCCCAACAATGTCATCAAAATGAAGTGTAGCTATACAACACAGACAGTGGTTGAGGTTGTCATCACTCACTCGACTTTCACATATAGAATTTAAAACACCCGACCGGGCGCAGTGGCTCATGCCTGTAATCCCAGCACTTTTGGAGGCCAAGGCAGGAAGATCACTAGGTCAAGAGATGGAAACCATCCTGGCCAACATGGTGAAACCCCATCTCTACTAAAAATACAAAAATTAGCTGAGCGAGGTGTTGTGCTAGCTCACCAGGTACTGTAGTCCCAGCTACTCGGGAGGCTGAGGCAGGAGAATCGCTTGAACCCGGGAGGCAGAGGTTGCAGTGAGCCAAGATTGTGCCACTGCACTCCAGCCTGATGACAGAGCAAGATGCCATCTCAAAAAAAAAAAAAAAAAAAAGAATTTAAAATGCCACAGTCCTTGGTGGACTGAACAAAAGAAGATTAACATGGTAATAAAGACAAATGAGTACATATGGAAGAAGGGGTCAGGGGGCTCATTTCTTCTAGGGAACAAGGGCCCTGAGCTTCTATACCCCTTCGTATTTACTGAGTAAAGGAGATAGGGAGAAAGGGGTGGTTGTCAGTAAGCTGCTTGACTTAGTGTAGGCTTGTATGACTGCATTCTTTGAACAGTAGTCTCCAGAGGTTCCAGTAGATAACCTCAAGGAGCACAGCACCAGGGAGTAATTGCCCTCAGCAAACCTCCTGGTGGCAGGTGCAGAAGCGAGTTTGCCCACATTTTGCAATCATGATAAACAGTTGGCTGTTTGATCATATAGCCTTCAGTGGAATGCTGAGTTGGTCACGACCCTCAGGCCTTTGGCTCCCTACATTAAAACACCCATTTCACCAGATTAAAAATATTCAATAAAATTTCTAAAAAGCACTTAACACTTGCCAGCACTTACTAAGGAAGTGCTCAATAAATGCTGTTAACACTCTTACTATTATTTCTCTGCTTGGCAGTTGTCCTAATCCCACACCAGCCCTTCCACATAGCCTAATCCTGACTTGTGTCAGTGATGCATGACTCAACAGTGAATCTGGGACAGCTATTGCAAAATGCAAGACTTAAAATCCATCCCAGATGAATTCTCTTCTGGACCGCAGGCAGCCCTTGAAAAGGATGAGAGTAGAGCCCTCAATCATGGAGGCATTTGTCCCTCAAGATAGGCAGATGTTACCACCTCCATACAAGAACAATCCCATTGCCTATTACAGTTCCCATTTCAGAGAGATACTCCCACATATGTATGTATTTCCCTGAAAGGTTTCTTGTTCCTCTTCTTTTTTTATTTTTTTGAGATGGAGTCGCTCCTTCTGTTGCCCAGGCTGGAGTGCAGTGGCATGATCTCAGCTCACTGCAACCTCTGCCTCCCAGGTTCAAGCAATTCTCCTGCCTCAGCCTCCTGAGTAGCTGGGATTACAGGCACATGCCACCAGGCATGTATTTTTAGTAGAGACAGGGTTTCACCATGTTGGTCAGGCTGGTCTTGAACTCTTGACCATGCCCAGCTAATTTTTGTATTTTTAGTAAAGACAGGATTTCACCATGTTAGCCAGGCTTGTCTCAAACTCCAGACCACACCCGGCTCATTTTTTTATTTTCAGTAGAGACGAGGTTTCATCATCTCAGCCAGCTGGTCTCAAACTCCTGACCTCAAGTGATCTGCCCACCTCAGCCTCCTAAAGTGCTGGGATTACAGGCATGAGCCACCATGCCCACCCCAAGATTTCCTGTTCTTATCTCCAATAAGCCAGCTTGATGAGGAGTAGCGCTAGAGATTCCCATACTTCTTGACTTCCTTCTATCCTTTTCTGCTCACAGGCCCCCTGTGAGAACACTGCATGTTCTCACTCATAGGTGGGAATTGAACAATGAGAACACTTGGACACAGGGTGGGGAACATCACACACTGGGGCCTGTCGTGGGGTGCAGGCATGGGGAAGGGATAGCATTAGGAGGAATACCGAATGTAAATGATGAGTTAACGGGTGCAGCACACCAACATGGCACATGTGTACATATGTAAAAAACCTGCACGTTGTACACGTGCACCCTAGAACTTAAAGTATAATAAAAAAAAAAAAAGAAAGAAAGAAAGAAAAAGAAATAGTGCTGGAGGCCAAATAGCAACCCTGCCCACACAAGGAAGGGCCATGTGTTGTTCACCAAGCTCCCAAGCCACAATTCTCTTTTCCCAGAATCCTTTGCTCTTTGAAGTGTGGTCTTCCTCACTTTCCTGGAACCCTCAGCCCCTCAGTGGGCCCGTCTACCTCTGAAGAGAAGAGGAAGAGAGATCAAATACCCCCCTGGAGGCTTGTCCCTTTGAACCAAGCCCTGAGAACCCCCGCAGCAGTCCTCCTGTGTACCCTCCCCCCAGCCCCACACAGATGGAGAGCCCTGGGAAGGGTTCCCACAGTGCATGAGCTCCAAACAGTGCAAGAGCACAAGGAGTGTGGCGCTTCCAGCCTCTGTCAATAATTCATGAGGCTCAGACTGAGGAGCACCAGTCAGAGTCAGCTTTGCCTGGACATGGGGAAAATTATACTGCAGCTCTCCTGTCTCATCGGGATGTGCTGAGTAGCAAAGCAGAGTGCTGCAGCTGTAACTTCTTGGCTGAGGAAAACACTAGAAATCCAGTGCAGGCCTGTTCTATTACTTGCTCGCCATACACCCCCTTTTGAATGTTGAAATCCTTGTTTTTTTTCTTTTTGTTGAGACAGAGTCTCCATCTGTCGCTCAGGTTGGAGTGCAGTGGCGTGATCTTGGCTCACTGCAAGCTCCGCATCCCGTGTTCATGCCATTCCCCTGCCTCAGCCTCCCGAGTAGCTGGGACTACAGGCAAGTACCACCACGCCCGGCTAATTTTTTGTATTTTTAGTAGGGACGAGTTTCACCGTGTTAGCCAGGATGGACTTGATCTCCTGACCCCGTGATCCGCCCGCCTCGGCCTCCCAAAGTGCTGGGATTACAGGGTGAGCCACCACGCCCAGCTGAATGTCCAAATCCTTTTTCAGCTGCTCAGCTGACCTGCACATATACTAAATGAATCTTGAGCAAACATGAATTCTATTCAAAAGTCATGCCTAGAACTGGATTTCACAAACCAGGATTCTTTCCCCTCTAATTGTAGGGACTGGCATAAGGCTGCCAAACTGGTGATTTCACCAATAACACATCTCTAAACCTACCCATCTGCTTTCATCATCTTTTCTGAAACAAAACACTAACACACACACACACAAAAAGAAGGAAAGGTATACTCCACAATAAAGGACTGTTAAATAAGCTTAGCTTTATGAAACTCACTGTAATTGTTTCCTTTTCTCATTTTGCTTTGAACTAGTGAAAACGCTGCCATGAACCAGCACTGCTTCTCAGTCTGGCTTTGGAGGCCAGTGGGTTAAACTAATTCAGATACTTACCTTTGGGTCTGTTGCGGCCTTTCTACACTGTACCATAAGCCATCCATATTTATTCATTCTCCCGGAAACCCAGGAGGGAGATCATTTCAGCCCACTTGGCAGAAGTGGAGACTGAAGTCTTGGACACAGAATTTATAGCTGGCAAGGACTTTATTCATCATCCATACCCTCAGTAATTTACAGATGAAGAGTCTGGCCCAGGGCACCAATAATAATCACTACATGGTGGCAGTAACTACTATGTGCTTAGTAGCTTACAGTTCATAAAGAGATTTTGCATTCAACAAATATTTATTGAACTAGGATGGAGGCTAAGACCTGGGGACAGAGTGGTTAGGGAGAACTTGAGTGCCCCGAGTTCTTTGCATTTCCACCACTGCTTGAGGGACTGTCCAGCCTCCTCGCTACCACTTAGCCCCTGTAAAGGAGGAAGTCCCTTTGGCGAGGGATATGAGATCCTGTTTTGCCAATGACCGTAGTCTGCCCTCCAAGGGCCCGTGAAGATGGAAGAGACCTTGGGCAGAGTGAAGGGCAGTGCCAGGCCTGGCGCAGCTACTGCCTATCACGTCTCTCTCCCAGGCTGCTCCAGCCTCACCTGGTGGACTCCATGGGGACCACAGGCCTCACCTCCATGGGCAGTCTCAAAACATTTGCCCTCCTGTGGGCTGTCACATACATAGACCCAGACTTTCTTGGAGAAGGAATTCTGAAGAAGCAAAAGCAACCAACTCAAAACCCCCACTTCCCCAAGAAGAAAACGTGGACAAGCAGATGCAGAAGGGCAGCAGCCAAAGTCTGCGGGTTCCTGCGGGGGCCAGGGGAGGGGCGAGCCCTACAGGCAACTTGAACGGAGAGCGCTTTGATCACTCACCAGCCCGGGAAGGCAAGCCCCAGTCAGGCGGAAGGTAGCTGGCTGCGGGGCGGGGCGACTGGCGGGCGGCGGGAGGCGCCAACCGCCACAGACGACTCCCAGCTGGCCGAGGGCGGGAAGGGGGCAGGCAGGGAAGCGGCCCGCCCTTCGTCCTGCCCCTTCGCCCTACTCTGTCACCTCCGCTGGAAGGAGTGGAACCCAGACTTGCTGGTCTGATCCATGCAGATGGCCAGGCTGCTAGGCCTCTGTGCCTGGGCACGGAAGTCGGTGCGGATGGCCAGCTCCAGGATGACCCGCCGGGACCCGCTCACAAATAAGGTGGCCCTGGTAACGGCCTCCACCGACGGGTGAGTGTTGGTGCCGGAGTTTCTGAGGCCCTGGCTGCCTGGAAACATGCACTGGTGTCTCGTCCTTTGCCTCCAGTGCCCCTGTCCTCAGACCTCACATACCGCCAAAGTCTGGCCATGGAAAAAAAGTAGCCACGTGGTCCGCCTGAAGCCCCTCCGAATACCCTGGCCCTCCCTTGCCAGCCCTTCTGTCCCTGCTGCCTCTGGCACAACTGTGCCACCTCTGTGCAGCCCCATCGATCTAGTCCCCCCAGTGTTCTGGGCTGCCCCAGTCAACCAGCCTTACCTAGCCTCTGGGAAGACCAGAAACTGGAAATGCAAGGGAATCTGGATTCAAAATCTTATAACAAGGCCTCCAGCTTTTTGAAAATGTACCATTCTATTTGGGCTCCAGAAAGTGTCCCGGAACCCCTCCCCCTTACCTAGATGGGACACCAGAGCCATGTGTCGAGACTTTTTTTTAGGTCGGTACATCTGGGCCTACCTTGCCCAGCCTGTTTCTCACCCACCTCTCTTGTCAGTCCTGGTTCTCATTTCTACAGGACTTTGCTAGATGCCAGCTCTTCACAAAACTAAAATACAAATGTAGATAAAATGCTAATGGCTGACAACTGCAGAATGTGTAACTCTTCTTCCCAAGGCAATATTTACGTTTTTGACCAGAGACCATCTTTTCACATGCACCCCAAAAAATAATTATGGAAAGAATTTTGAGAATGATGTAGACTAGTAAGAAAGAAACCTGGCGGCAGGACTGTTCTGAGTGAGACCTTCAAATCACGGAAGTGGCTGCTGCTGCACACCCAGCTCATTTCTCACCTCTCAGTCCCAACAGGAGATGAAGCCTGTCACCCGTGGTGGGAACTGTAGAAAGTGATGTCAGTTCTTGGGAACTAAGGCTGTGATCCAGGTCATAATAAAAATAAGTAAAGCAGTGCTAAAAATGGCCATGCCATTAAGCCTGTTTTACACATAGTAGGCACACGTAGGAGTTATATAGAGAAAGAGCCAGAATTCAAACCCGGGCAGTCTTAACTTCAGAGCCCATGCTGTCGACCTCTTCCCCTGCACAGGCCTTAGCAGTCTTTGTCTCTTTCTGCTCACAGGATCGGCTTCGCCATCGCCCGGCGTTTGGCCCAGGACAGGGCCCACGTGGTCGTCAGCAGCCGGAAGCAGCAGAATGTGGACCAGGCGGTGGCCACGCTGCAGGGGGAGGGGCTGAGCGTGACGGGCACTGTGTGCCATGTGGGGAAGGCGGAGGACCGGGAGCGGCTGGTGGCCATGGTGAGCTGCAGGGAAATGGGCACAGAGCCAGGAGGTGGAAAAGGAAGCCAGCCTGAGCCTCCTTCCCTGCTTTCCTAGACAGCAGCACATTTTTACTGTGTGCCTTTCTATTATGTCCATATACTAACGTCAGAGAATCATCCCATCTCAGTCAGAGAATTTTAAAACATTCTAATGCTTCAACCCTGCATCATCCCTTGAGTACCCCAAAGAAACAGCTGGTACTGGTTCTGCAGTAATTTTCAATCTAATTGAACAGATGTGAAGGGTAAATACAATCACAAAATAGATGTTCCCACCCATGAGCTAATAAACATTCCCCTCTTCTTCAGCTTATAGAGTCAAGTCCCTGGGAACCTCAGGAAGCAGCCCACCATGTTTCAGCCACTTACTATGTGCCATTTCCTGTGTTCAGAGCCTTACACAGGTTATCTCTAGACCTGACAACAACCCAAGCAAGGCAAGGACTATTCTCTCAGTCTGCAGACCCTGGCTCAGATAGCTGGAGCAACTTCCCAAGGTCCCACAGCCAGTAAGGAAAGACCCAGACCTCCCAAGCTCCCTTCCTTTATTGGCTGCCTGTGGACTACCAGGTACTGGACTTCAGTCTCAAAGAAAGTACATAAGTCAATGTCATAATTAGTAGTGGACAACAGCCTTGCAGCTGCTGAAGCAACTATGAAGCATTCACAAAGGAAGCTCCTCTTCCCTTGAGGCTCAGGGCACACACTTTATTTCCCAGAGTGGAAGGGAGAATCTACCCAAAAATGGAAAGTACAGGATTCTGCTAACAGATTGGAAGGTTGGCAGAAATAATTTGCATAATCTTCTTAGAAGAGGAGGATCTTAAGCAATAGTAGACAGAATAGGGTAATTCCATTTTTAAGGAACAGTCTGGCAGACACTCAAATGTGCATTGGAAAGAGCCAAATATGAGTCCAAGAAAGTCACAAATGTGAGTCCAAAAAAGCTTGGCTTAGACTGGTCGACAAAGCCCAAGATTGGGGCCTTGATCCTGATGGTGGAAGGAGCCGTTTGGGAGTCTGGATCAATTAGCACTAACCATACGACATGTAAGTAGCAATGTAATGTGAAAATCCTCCTAGAAAAACAACCTGTGCCCCCCACCAGGTTCACTTAACATGGCCTACAGGCCTGGCCCAGAAGTGGTACTTGAGCTAAACCTTAAGGAATGGATGGGAATGGACAGATGGAATAGTGACGAGGTTCCAGATAACTCTGCAAAATGAGCAGACAGCCAAGGAGGAACTGAAGGAAAGAGAGGAGCACTGTCAGTCCACAGTGGAGAGCACAGGCTCAGGAGTACTGCTGGGGAAGGGGCTGCATTGGAAAGATAGAGGCCATGGGCCTCCATATCTTTTTTTTTTTTTTTTGAGACAGAGTTTCATTCTTGTTGCCCAGGCTGAAGTGATATGGCACAATCTCAGCTCACTGCAACCTACGCCTCCAGGTTCAAGCAATTCTCATGCCTCAGCCTCCCGAGTAGCTAGGATTACAGGCATCCACCACCACGTCCAGCTAATTTTTGTATTTTTAGTAGAGACGGGGTTTCACCATGTTGGCCAGGCTGGTCTTGAACTCCTGACCTCAGGTGATCCACCCCCTCGGCCTCTCAAAGTGCTGGGATTACAGGCGTGAGCCACTGTGCCCGGCCATAGCTTCTTAAAAGGATACGTTAAGGACCTTAAAAGGATATGGCCTCTTAAAAGGATATGTTTACACATTCTTGCAGCAAATAAGAAGCCATGTGAGGTTTTGAGCAAGAGAAAGATGGTTATTAGGAAAGCTAATCTGGCTCTGGTAGGAAGGATATACAGAGGAGACACCGAATCCAGGGCATCAGTGAGGAAGCTGTTGCTGTCGTCCAGGTTTAGAGCAGTGGCGGCGGGACTGGAATAGATGTGCCCAAGAGACATTTAGTGGAAACGAACCAAGATTTTCCAACCCCATGTCAAAAAGTGGGAAATAGAGAAGTCAAAAATGACTCTCAGGTAGTTTGTATGACCATTGTCAGAGAAGAGAATGATAGAATACTTGTCAGCAATTTGAAATGTCTTCTGCCAGTTGCCACATGTTACCCTGCAATAAGAAAAGCCACTGCCCTGAGAATGGATACTACCCAGTGGCCTCCTCATCTGCACACCACGAAGCTTCTCACTGGTGTTGTAAGTGGAAACCAGAGTAGCTGCCTATCTGCTTGATTATATTTTTTCTTAAAAATGTATAACTATCAGAACACAGAACAAACAGCTCCTAACCGCTTTAGTGTAGTGATCACACAATTTAGAATAAGACTTAGAAGACTTTCTTTTATTTTTTTCCAGAGACAGTGCCTCATTCTGTTGCCCAGGCTGCAGTGCAGTGACATGATCATAGCTCACTGTAACCTCGAAGTCCTGAACTCAAGCAATCCTCCCACCTCAGCCTCCCAAGTGGCTAAAACTATAGGCATGCACCACCACACCAGTTCATTTTTTAAATTTTTTGTAGAGTTGGGGCTGTATTTCCCAGGCTGTTTTGAACTCCTGGCCTCAAGTGGTCCTCCCCACTGGGCCTACCAAAGTGCTAGGATTATAGGTGTGAGCCACCACACCCAGCCTCATTCATCTTTTATGGTTTGCTGTCTCTGTTCAATCAAAACCCAGCCTCCTCCCATCTCTGTGCTGACAGACCTGGAAGGAGAGGAGTATGGGGTATACAGCAGAGTAGAAAATGTCTCCAGGTGATTCTAGAGCAATCCATTGTCTCCTCCCAGCCCAAACACATGTGTACTGAGCACAGTGCACATCACTTATTAACTTACTCTGCACCTCCCTAGTAACAAGTCCATTGGTGAGACTTACACAGAGCCAACCCAGGTGACTTGGCTTTGTGCCAGGATGCCAAAATTTAAAGGGTGCAAGAAAGTATTAATACCGATTTTAAAAGATTATGTGACTGTAAATTTTGTTAGATTAACACGTTGACAAACCCAGCATTCCTTCCACTGTCTAGAAACAACTGAGCTTAGCACCTAGTTAACAAGAATAATTAGTTAAAACGGGAAGCTAGCAGATGGTGTACATTGTTAGTAACACCCCTCTCTGTGCCAAATCCAGAGCACAAAGTTGACCAAGGGCCCACATACTGCAACTTGCCCAAGGCATCAAAATTGCCAGTTCCGGGCAAATGCAAAGTCTAGTTTCAGGGTGGCTTTGTACTGAAAACCCTTGTTGGCAGATTCTGCTTGGCCATTCATTACTCTAGCACACGCCTCACTATCTACTTATAACTTATTAAGGAGGTGAGATGTTGCCTTTCTTCGCTTTCTCAATTTAAATTTCAGTTTCTGCCTTGAATCTTTCATGCCTCCAGGTCAAAAGAGAGAGACAGAGACAGGGAAAATGACATCATAACCAAATATGGAATTGCTTTAAATTCAGGCTGGTATCTTCTCCCATCATGGCTCTCCTGGGCAGCTGGTTTACTAATGACCCCAACTCACTTTCAGAGGTCTCTTATGAATTAGCTCTGTGCTACAAAGTGGGAGACTGACCTCACTTCTTCCACTACTGACTAGCTTTGTGCCCTGAAAAAATCACTTCACCCCTCCCAAACACAGAATAAGCAGGCCTCCTGTTCTTAGCTAGCCCCAGTGTGCCACTACTGAAGTATAAGATCTTGAGAAAATTCTCTGAACCTGTTTCATCATCTCCACCTTAAGGACACTGGAATAGATGATCTCAAAGGCCCCTCCAGGGTAACTTTCTTCAGCTCTATTTAAGCCAGTTTTTCCATTCAGGTAAGTGTGGACAGATTGACTTTGAGATAATGGTAACTTATTCAGGGAGAACTGGACAGTAAGCACTTGGAGAAATGTGGGTGGAACTCAGTGTGAAAGGAAGAGGAGGGGTCTGGAAATAGATTTTGGGGTGAGACTTGAAATCATGAGAATGAAGGAGCTTTCCAAAGGGAAAGTGTAAAGAAAAGAGCGTCAGAGACAGCCTTGGAAGAATAGGAGGTGGGAAGAAAAGACTGCAAAAGAAATAGGGCCAACTTCCTGGTGGCTTGTGCCTATAACACTTTAGGATACCAAGGCAGGTGGATGGCTTGAGCCCAGGAGTTCCAGACCAGCCTGGGCAACATGGCAAGACCCTGTCTCTACAAAAAATACAAAAATTGCCCGGGTGTGGTGGCACGCACTTCTACTCTCAACTACTTGGGGGGCTGAGCCAAGAGGATGGCTTGAACCCAGTAGGTCAAGGCTGCAGTGAGCTGAGAACATGCCACTGTGCTCCAGTCTGGATGACAGAGCAAGACTCCATCTAAAAAAGAAAGAAGCCAACCTTAAATGGTTAGCGGCAGATCTTAGGGTAGTTTTCAAAAAAGATGTTTTAAGAAATAGAAGTTATTTTGACAATAGTTCTTAAGAATGAAGCTTTTGTTGTCATTGTTGTTGTTGTTTTTAATATAAAGATAAGGTCTCGCTGCATGGCCCAGGCTTCTCTCAAATTCCTCAGCTCAAGTGAGCCTCCCACCTTGGCCTCCCAAAGTGCTATGATTACAGGCATGAGCCACAGCTCCTTGCCCAGAAGGAAGTTTTTATCAACATGGGTAAATGCACCTCCCTTACTTACTGCAGCCCTGGTCCAGACCTTACCCCTCTCTCTAGGCTGTGAAGCTTCATGGAGGTATCGATATCCTAGTCTCCAATGCTGCTGTCAACCCTTTCTTTGGAAGCCTAATGGATGTCACCGAGGAGGTGTGGGACAAGGTGAGAGGGGATTAAAGAAGCGCGGAAGGGGGCCTCGGGACACATTCAGCACAAACTCCATCTGCTTTTAGAATGCATTTCTCAAGGGCAGTGTAAATGTGAGGACTCTTTGCCACGTGCCACACACCTGGAGCACACCTTGCAAAGGGCAGGTGGGGGTGGCTCTTTCTCTGCCCTTCTCATTCGTTTCTGCTGCTCCTAGTTCTCTCTGCTTCTATCTGCTCTTCATTAGCCACTGCTCCCCTCCCCAGGCTTCTTCCCTGGCATGCTCTTCTGCCTTGTTGATTTCCAACAGAGACGTAGGCAGCTAATATGCCAACAACTACAACACTTAATTTACACACCCACCTGTCCTCTTTTCAGCTGACAAAAACTAATCATTTTTTATTAGTTGGGAAATATTAAATGCTGCTAGTTATTTAAAATACTAATTCTGGTGAAATGACCAGTTGCCACTTTATAACATACATCCTTTAAAAAAATAAAATAAAAACCTATGTTATTTTCTTCTTAACTGCAATGTCAAGAAAATCTGAGATCCAGATGTCTAAATTCAAGTGGTAGAATATTGGGTTTTATGTGAAAGTGTATAATTACATTATATTCATAATATATTTCACACACACCCTTTAATTACAAAGCTTTAATTAAAATATTTGTCTTTGTTTATTAAGGTTAATATTCCCACATGATTGGGAAATGCTAATTTTTATGATCTCCCATGGTTCTGCGTTTTACACTGATGTTGTATTAGTCTGTTTTGCATTGCTATAAAGGAATACCTGAGCTGGGCAATTTATAAAGAAAAGAAGTGTGTTTTGGCTTACGATACTGCAGACTGTACAAGAAGCATGGTGCCAGTATCTGCTTCTGATGAGGCCTCAGGAAGCTTACAATCATGGCAGAAGGAAAAAGGGAGCAAGTGTGTCACATGGCAAGACAGGAAGCAAGAGAGAGATACCAGTCTCTTTTAAACAACTAGTTCTGGCATGAAATAATAGAGTGAGAACTCACTCATTGCCACAGGGAGGGCACCAAGCCATTCATAAGGGATCCACCCTCATGACCCAAACACCTCACACCAGGCCCCACCTGGAACACTGGTGATCACATTTCAACATGGGACTTAGAGGGGACAAACTTACCAACTATATCAGGTGTCATCAAAATTTCTCAACACTAAAGTATCAGGTTGCCAAAATACTATGATTTATTTACCAGTGTTTCATACACATAAAGACCAAACTGCCAAAATGTTCTTCAGTGAGCTAGTTTTTGATTCTAGTTTGAGCTAGTTTGAGAGAAGGCTGGGCAACACAGCGAGACCTTTTCTCTATATTAAAAACAACAACAACAACAATGACAACAAAACCTTCCTTCTTAGGAACTATCATCAAAATAACTTCTCTTTCTTAAACCATCTTTTCTTCAAAACTACCCAGAGATTTGCTGCTAACCATTTAAGTTTGGCTTCTTTCTTTCTTTTTTTAGACAGACTCTTGCTCTGTCTTTTTTCCTTTTTTTTTTTTTTCCCCCTCGCTGTGTCATTGAGGCTAGAGGGCTGTGGTGTGATCTCAGCTCACTGCAACCTCAGCCTCCCAGGTTCAAGCGATTCTTGTGCCTCAGCCTCCCAAGTACCTGGGACTACAGGCATGTGCCATCATGCCTGGCTAATTTTTTGTATTGAGATGGGGTTTCACTGTGTTGCTCAGGCTGGTCTCAAATTCCTGGCCTCAACTGATCCCCACACCTCAGCCCCCCAAAATATTGGGATTACAGGCATGAGCCACCACACACAGCCAGATTCTGATAGTCTTTAAAATAAAGGAGCATCATTCATGAACAGTCTGAATACAGACCATATGAAAGTCAGTTTTAAACTAAGTACAGGCACGCCTCAGAGATATTGTGGGTCTGGTTCCAGGCCACCACACAATAAAGTGAATATTATAATAAAGTGAGTCACATGAATTTTTTGGTTTCCCAGTGCATATAAAAGTTAGGTTTACATTATAATGATCATCTAATGGAAGTCTATTAACTGAGCAATAGCATTATGTTTTAAAATATATATACGTATCTTAATTTTAAAATACTTTATTGCTAAAAAAATGCTGACAATCATCTGAGCCTTTACAACTTGTAATCTTTTTGCTGGTGGAGGATCTTGCCTCAACATTGATGGTGGCTGACTTAGGGTGGTGTTGCTGAAGGCTGGGGTGGCTGTGGCAGTTTTTTCAAATAAGACAGCAGTGAAGTTTGCCACATCAGTTGACTCTTCCTTTCACAAGAGATTTCTCTGTAGCATGCAATCCTGTTTGATAGCATTTACCCACAGTAGAACTTCTTTCAAAATTGGAGTCAATCCTATCAAACTCTACCACTGCTTACTCTACTAAGTACCTATAATATTCTGAATCCCGTGTTGTGATTTCAACAATATTCATGGCATCTTCACCAGAAATAGATTCCATCCCAAGAAACCACTTTCTTTGCTTATCCGTACGAACCAGCTCCTCAGCCATCTACATTTTATCGTGAGATTGTAGCAATTCAGTCCTATCTTCCAGCTCCGCTTCTAGTTCTCTTGCTATTTCCACCACATCTGCAGTTCCTTCCTCTGATGCAGTCTTGAACCCTTCCACGTCATCCATGAGGGTTGGAATCAACTTCTTCCAGACTCCTGTAAATCTAGATATTTTGACCTCCTCCCATGAATCACAAATATTCTTAATGGCATCTAAAATGGTGCATCCTTTACAGAAGGTTTTCAGTTAACTTTGCCAACATCCATCAGAGGAATCACTATCCATGGCAGCTATAGCCTTACAAAATGTATTTCTTAAATAATAAGTCTTGGAAGTCAGAATTACCCCCGATCCATGGGCTGCAGAATGGATGTTGTGTTAGCAGGCATGAAAACAACATTAATCTCCTTGTACATCTCCATCAGAGCTTTTGAGTGACCAGGTGCATTGTCAATGAGCAGTAACAGTTTTAAAGGAATCTTTTTCTGAGCAGTAGCCATCAACGGTGAGCTTAAAATATTCAGTAAACCATGCTATAAACAGATGTGCTGTTATTCAGGCTTTGTTGTTCCATTTACAGAGCACAGGCAGAGTAGATTTAGCGTAAATCTTGAGAGCCCTAGAATTTTCAGAATGGTAAATGAGCATTGGCTTCAACTTAAAGTCACTGGCTGCATTAGCCCCTAACAAGAGAATAAGCCTGTCCTTTGAAGTTTTGAAGCCAGGCATTGACTTCTCCTCTCTAGCTATTAAAGCCCTACATGGCATCTTCTTCCACTAGAAGGTTGTTTCATCTACATTGAAAATCTGTTGTTTGCTGTAGCCACCTTCATCAATGATCTTAGCTAGATCTTCTGGATAACTGGCTGCAGCTTCTACATCAGCACTCGCTGCTTCATCTTGCACTTTTATGTTACAGAGGTGGCTTCTTAAACCTCATGAACCAACCACTGCTAGCTTCCAACTTTTCCGGAGCTTCTTCACTTCTCTCAGCCTTCAAAGAATTAAAAAGTTAGGGCCTTTTTCTGATTAGGCTTTGGCTTAAGGGAATGTTGTGGCTAGTTTGATCTTCTGTCCAGAACATAAGAACTTTCTCTCCATATTAACAATAAACCTCTTTTGCTTTCTTATCATTTATATGTTCAGAGAAGTAGCACTTTTAATTTCCTTCAAGAATTTTTCCTTTGCATTCACAATTTGGCTAACTGGTGCACATGGTCTAACTTTCAGCCTGCCTCAGCTTTCAACATGCCTTCCTCACTAAGCTTAATTGTTTCTAGCTTTTGATTTAAAGTGAAAGATGTGTGACTCTTCCTTTTGCTTAAACACTTACAAGCCATTGTAGGGTTAATAGTTGGCCTAATTTCAATGTAAATGTGTCTCAGGGAATATGGAGGTCCACAGAGAGGGAGAGAGATGAGAGAAGGGCAGAGCAGTCAGAACACACAACATTTTTCAATTAAGTTGACCTTCTTTTCTGGGTGTGGTTTGTGGTACCCCAAAACAATTATAATAAAACCATGAAAGATCACTCATCACAGATCACCGTAACAGATATAATAATAATGGAAAGGTCTGAAATATTCCAAGAATTACCAAAATGTGACCCAGAGACAAAGTGAGCACATGCAATTGGAAAAATGGCTCGAATTAATGCAGGGTTGCCACGAAACTCCAATTTGTAAAAAAAAAAAAAAAAAAAAAAAAAAAAAACAATATCTGCAAAGCATAAGAAAATATGTGTCTATAACTTTTCTTTTAATTTGTATATTTTTTAAACTATCACAGTATGTCAAATCCAAACATAATGGCTGATCCTTGATTGAACTCTGGACTTTAAAAAACACACACACACATTTGGGGGATAATTGAGGCCAATATGTTAGATAAAATTATCATCATTGTCAAACTCTTGGTTGTGATAACAGATTATGGTTGTGTAAAAGAAAATCCTTACTCTTTGGAAATGTATGCTAAGTATTTGGGGATAGAACATTGTACTATCTGCAACTGAGTTTACTTATTTTATTTTAGGTTATTTATTTATTTTTGTGATGGAGCCTCACTCTGTTACCCAGGCTGGAGTGCAGTGGTGCTATCTCAGCTCACTGCAACCTCCACCTCCCGGGTTCAAGCTATTCTGCTGTCTCATCCTCCTGAGTAGCTTGGATTACAAACACATGCCACCACGTCTGGCTAATTTTTGTATTTTTAGTACAGACGAGGTTTGCCATGTTGCCCAGGCTGTTCTCGAACTCCTGACCTAAAAGTGATCCACCCATCTTGGCCTCCCGAAGTGCAGGGATTGCAGGCATGAGCCACCATGCCCAGCCCTGAGTTTTTTTTTTTTTAATTTACATTTTTTTATTTTTGTTCTTTGTAATTTTTGATTTTATTATATAAAATCTTTCAGAAAACTTGCAACTGAGTTTCAATGGTTCATTTAAAAAACTGTACAGATCTACAGAGAGGACAAATAGGACAAAATGTGAACAATTGGTGACTCTAAGTGAAGGATATCTAGACATTCATTGTACTTCTATCTCCAATTTTTCTGTAAGATTGAAATATTTTAATATAAGCAGTTGTCTAGAACAGTGTAAACAGGGTCATACATTTGTTTTAGATTATGGATGTGGGGATTCTGATTGTAGCCTGTCCCCCAGCTTCCCCAGAAGGTGACTCCTCATGATCCCACTTTCTAACCATGCCTAGCCAGACAGTCCTTCCTAGAGGGCCAAGAACATCTCACTCCCTAAGCCCAGAAGCCAGAGAAGTGCTAGAACAACCCCACATATCCAAGGTCAGGCCACATTTTCCCTGAGAAGCATGGCCTACTCTAGGGCAGGTCCAGGAGGCTGACAATTCCAGGCTCTACCTACTTGGAAGAAACAGAGAAAACACAGCTCAAATCCAAAGGCCCCTTCTGGCCCAAATCATACTTGGCTGATTATGAAACAAGATGAACCAGGCTCCATTTTTGCTCACCTGAACCTAATGTATCATTATCTAGCTGAGCAGCTGGTGAGAGCTACTTCTCCCTGAACCTCAGTTCCTTCATGTGTAAGATGCAGGTATATCATCCTAAGATCTTCGTCAGCTCTGACAAACATCCTAGGAACCCACTCTAACTCCTCATTTTTTCATGCCTCCTCCAGTGCTCTTCACTCATGCTGTTTCCCCTTCTTCTCTTGGCTTCAGACTCTGGACATTAATGTGAAGGCCCCAGCCCTGATGACAAAGGCAGTGGTGCCAGAAATGGAGAAACGAGGGTACAGAGAGTGAGAGAGAGCCTGGGTGAGAGGGGACCCCACACAGGCTGAGGGCAGTGGTCCACACTGGGAAGACGGTCAGCTCTCTTCTTTTTCCAGAGGCGGCTCAGTGGTGATCGTGTCTTCCATAGCAGCCTTCAGTCCATCTCCTGTAAGAACCCTTTTGTCTACCTCTTCCATCCCACCCTCCACTCCACATCTTTCCACCCCTCCTATTACCCAAAGAAGTTTGTGTCCCCTTGTAGAATCACACCACCAAGTCCCTGCCCACAAAATAGATGCCTTGCCTCCACAAACCATAACCTAGGGGAGGTTTAGCCACAAGACAGTTTCCTAACTCTGCCCCTCCCTTACAGGAGATCCCTACTGAGCACTGCCCTCTATGTCTAGTTATTAGAACCAAGAATGACCTGGAAACTATGAGTCTAACACATTCTCTTCTTTCTCCAGGGCTTCAGTCCTTACAATGTCAGTAAAACAGCCTTGCTGGGCCTCAACAATACCCTGGCCATAGAGCTGGCCCCAAGGAACATTAGGGTGAACTGCCTGCACCTGGACTTATCAAGACTAGCTTCAGCAGGATGGTGAGGAAGGGGAGCTTTGCATTTGACTGGGACCCCTTGAAAGGCATCCATCTTCTTGGACAGGGAAGCCCACTACCTGAGTCCTGAGCTCTCAGCCACTCCATTCTCCTTCCCTGGACTTTCCCATATTCCCTCTCTGTACCACCTGCCCTATACAAGCCACACTCTTATCACACCTTTTCTGAGGTATAGGCTGGAGACTGAGGTATTCAGACTGTACTCACACTGTTTCCTCCCTCCTTACATGGATGAGAATTGGAGAGACGCAGCAAAATGCATCACTAGAACCTGAAACAAATGAAACAGATGAGGGCAGTGGGGAGAGCTGGGAGCTAGAAAAAAATAGGAAGTGAAAGAGGGAAGTCTCTCACCCCATCCCTCCTCTCAGTTACCATGAGGATGGGCAGTTTCTTCCCTTTCCATTCTTCACTTTCCTCTTCTTTTTTTTTTTTTTTTCTTTTTTAATTATTATTATTATTATACTTTAAGTTTTAGGGTACATGTGCACATTGTGCAGGTTAGTTACATATGTATACATGTGCCATGCTGGTGCGCTGCACCCACTAACGTGTCATCTAGCATTAGATATATCTCCCAATGCTATCCCTCCCCACTCCCCCGACCCCACCACAGTCCCCAGAGTGTGATATTCCCCTTCCTGTGTCCATGTGATCTCATTGTTCAATTCCCACCTATGAGTGAGAATATGTGGTGTTTGGTTTTTTGTTCTTGCGATAGTTTACTGAGAATGATGGTTTCCAATTTCATCCATGTCCCTACAAAGGACATGAACTCATCATTTTTTATGGCTGCATAGTATTCCATGGTGTATATGTGCCACATTTTCTTAATCCAGTCTATCATTGTTGGACATTTGGGTTGGTTCCAAGTCTTTGCTATTGTGAATAATGCCGCAATAAACATACGTGTGCATGTGTCTTTATAGCAGCATGATTTATAGTCATTTGGGTATATACCCAGTAATGGGATGGCTGGGTCAAATGGTATTTCTAGTTCTAGATCCCTGAGGAATCGCCACACTGACTTCCACAATGGTTGAACTAGTTTACAGTCCCACCAACAGTGTAAAAGTGTTCCTATTTCTCCACATCCTCTCCAGCACCTGTTGTTTCCTGACTTTTTAATGATCGCCATTCTAACTGGTGTGAGATGATATCTCATAGTGGTTTTGATTTGCATTTCTCTGATGGCCAGTGATGATGAGCATTTTTTCATGTATTTTTTGGCTGCATAAATGTCTTCTTTTGAGAAGTGTCTGTTCATGTCCTTCGCCCACTTTTTGATGGGGTTGTTTGTTTTTTTCTTGTAAATTTGTTTGAGTTCATTGTAGATTCTGGATATTAGCCCTTTGTCAGATGAGTAGGTTGCGAAAATTTTCTCCCATGTTGTAGGTTGCCTGTTCACTCTGATGGTAGTTTCTTTTGCGGTGCAGAAGCTCTTTAGTTTAATTAGATCCCATTTGTCAATTTTGGCTTTTGTTGCCATTGCTTTTGGTGTTTTGGACATGAAGTCCTTGCCCACGCCTATGTCCTGAATGGTAATGCCTAGGTTTTCTTCTAGGGTTTTTATGGTTTTAGGTCTAACGTTTAAATCTTTAATCCATCTTGAATTGATTTTTGTATAAGGTGTAAGGAAGGGATCCAGTTTCAGCTTTCTACATATGGCTAGCCAGTTTTCCCAGCACCATTTATTAAATAGGGAATCCTTTCCCCATTGCTTGTTTTTCTCAGGTTTGTCAAAGATCAGATAGTTGTGGATATGCGGCATTATTTCTGAGGGTTCTGTTCTGTTCCATTGATCTATATCTCTGTTTTGGTACCAGTACCATGCTGTTTTGGTTACTGTAGCCTTGTAGTATAGTTTGAAGTCAGGTAGTGTGATGCCTCCAGCTTTGTTCTTTTGGCTTAGGATTGACTTGGCGATGCGGGCTCTTTTTTGGTTCCATATGAACTTTAAAGTAGTTTTTTCCAATTCTGTGAAGAAAGTCATTGGTAGCTTGATGGGGATGGCATTGAATCTGTAAATTACCTTGGGCAGTATGGCCATTTTCACGATATTGATTCTTCCTACCCATGAGCATGGAATGTTCTTCCATTTGTTTGTGTCCTCTTTTATTTCCTTGAGCAGTGGTTTGTAGTTCTCCTTGAAGAGGTCCTTCACATCCCTTGTAAGTTGGATTCCTAGGTATTTTATTCTCTTTGAAGCAATTGTGAATGGGAGTTCACTCATGATTTGGCTCTCTGTTTGTCTGTTGTTGGTGTATAAGAATGCTTGTGATTTTTGTACATTGATTTTGTATCCTGAGACTTTGCTGAAGTTGCTTATCAGCTTAAGGAGATTTTGGGCTGAGACGATGGGGTTTTCTAGATAAACAATCATGTCGTCTGCAAACAGGGACAATTTGACTTCCTCTTTTCCTAATTGATTCCTCTTCTTAAACATAAAGAGATTTCTGGGTGGGGTGGCTCATGCCTGTAATCCCAGCACATTGGGAGGCCGAGGCGGGCAGATCACGAGGTCAGGAGGTCGAGACCATCTTGGCTAACACGGTGAAACCCCGTCTCTACTAAAAATACAAAAAATTAGCCGGGCGCAGTGGCGGGCGCCTGTAATCCCAGCTACTCGGGAGGCTGAGGCAGGAGAATGGCATAACCCGGGAGGCGGAGTTTGCAGTGAGCCAAGATAGCGCCACTAC
Organism: Homo sapiens; assembly: GCF_000001405.40. Lineage (NCBI taxonomy): Eukaryota > Metazoa > Chordata > Mammalia > Primates > Hominidae > Homo > Homo sapiens. The sequence goes on from NW_018654722.1 coordinate 310,568, forward strand.
AGTCCGGCCTGGGCAAAAGAGCAAGACTCCGTCTCTAAAAAAAAAAAAAAAAAAAGAAAGGAAAAGAAAAAAAAACATAAAGAGATTTCCCTTCTTCCTACAGCTCTGGATGGACAAGGAAAAAGAGGAAAGCATGAAAGAAACCCTGCGGATAAGAAGGTAAACTGTCATGAGGGCAAGGGCACTAAGAGACATGAAGATGGGAAGGTCTGGTCCCTAGCAGCCCACAGCCCGCTGTCTCAGTCCCACAGATAACACAGGCAGGCTCTCTTCTGCCTCACAGACCACGAATTCATAAACACTATCACTACAGTGACCTGAGCAAGAAGTCAGCTTCCCTTTCCAAAGGTAAACACAGAGACATCGGGGTTTCAGCAGTGCAGAGGTCTCGGAGAAGCCCTGAGTCCTCTCTCCACCTGGGGGATTGCCTCCACCTCTGAGCATCCATGGAGACCAGGGACCATAACCAAAACCATGCTTTGTTAGTCCCCTTGAATAATGACACATGTTTACAAAACTCAGGTTGATGATCTACAATCCAAATGAAAAGAATGAAGAGTTTTACTAAGCCCCAAACTCCCCTTGCCTAAGGAGTTACTTTCTTCCCCAGTGAGCTGGGTGAACTGTTCAAGCACCTTTGTCGGGCTCCCTTTCCTCTAAGTTCCCTGCCTCTCTCTACCTTCTGGCTTCAAGGACAAATGCCAGTAATGCCTAACTCTGTACTCGTCCAGACATCCCAAATCTTCCCAAAGCCATTCTGATGTGAGACATGAGCTGCAGGCCTGGTTCATAACTCATTAATAAGTGAGGGGATTGTCAACCTAGAGCACCAATGAATGATCTAGCCCATGTAGCTCAATACTGGATTCACATTAGAATCACCTGGGGAGCTTTTTAAACTGCAGGTGCTCAGGCCCCACCCACTCCCAGAGATTCTTTTTAATTGGTCCAAGGTAGGACTTGACCATCTGGGCTTTTGTTTTTCTTTGTCTTTTCTTTTCTTTTCTTTTTTGGTTTAAGCCTCTCAAATGATTGCAAGATACAAGTAGAATGGAGAAGCATTAATTCAGCCCTTCTAGGTTTGAGTTACTCACTCTGCCCACCTCTAGAGCATTCTATGGCAGGGAGATTAAAGTGTCTCCTAACTATGCAGTCACTGATAAAATAAGAATTAGCACATTCTCACTAAATGAACCTGACTTTAAGGCACAAGTATAGATTCCTGAAAAAGTTCTAAGCTGAACCTGTACAAATGGAATCATTTTAAACACACCATTTACTGTCACACAGACTCCCTGATACTTTAGTGTGTGCACATGTGAAACCATTTTTTTGAAGTATGAAATAATTGCTCACCATTTTATCTATATAACTTTGGATTTTGGTGTCCTGAGCTCTCTAAAAACCGGTGTGTTTCTATAGTATTTGAATATTATGGGTAATAGTTTTGCAGAGTACAGTATGCTTATACTAAATTATAACAGCATATCCTCGTGGTAACCCTATTTGATAGGCAGAAAGCTTGTACACTGACCCTGAAAAAGCCATCTGATAATTCTTGATTAAGCAAATTTAACTCCCTGTGTCCCAGGTGAGGGAGGCAGAACTGTTTGATTTTTACCTCCTTCCTTGCTTCCCTTATTCCCCAGGTTAGGCGAGCCAGAGGATTGTGCTGGCATCGTGTCTTTCCTGTGCTCTGAAGATGCCAGCTACATCACTGGGGAAACAGTGGTGGTGGGTGGAGGAACCCCGTCCCGCCTCTGAGGACCGGGAGACAGCCCACAGGCCAGAGTTGGGCTCTAGCTCCTGGTGCTGTTCCCGCATTCACCCACTGGCCTTTCCCACCTCTGCTCACCTTACTGTTCACCTCATCAAATCAGTTCTGCCCTGTGAAAAGATCCAGCCTTCCCTGCCGTCAAGGTGGCGTCTTACTCGGGATTTCTGCTGTTGTTGTGGCCTTGGGTAAAGGCCTCCCCTGAGAACACAGGACAGGCCTGCTGACAAGGCTGAGTCTACCTTGGCAAAGACCAAGATATTTTTTCCCGGGCCACTGGGGAATCTGAGGGGTGATGGGAGAGAAGGAACCTGGAGTGGAAGGAGCAGAGTTGCAAATTAACAACTTGCAAATGAGGTGCAAATAAAATGCAGATGATTGCGCGGCTTTGAATCCAATTGACCTGTTCATTTCTCAGTGTTGGGTGCTTAGCTGAGCAGAGAGCAGAAGTCTATTCAGGCTGGATCTCTGGATCCCCCAGCCCTCCTCCCTGTCTCCAGAACTTGAGCGTGATGTTCACGGGTGGAGGTGTCTGCAGAGCTGCCAGCTGGAAGGAAGGTGGCACGGGAACTCCCAGGACGCCACGGGAATCCCCGAGGCAGCGCGAGCCCGGAGAGAGTGGGGAAGGATGAACTCTCTAACACCTCCCCGCCCCTTGCCTCCCAGATCAGGCCAGGTCCTCTCCCCGCATGGCCCTACGACCCGAGTTCCCTCCCGAGTCAGCAAGTACAAGCTGGATGGGTCCTGAGCCGGTGGGGAATAGAGAAAGGCCCTGCAAGGTACCCAGGCCCACAAACAAAAGCAATGGGTTCTGCCCACGGGCCCGAGGATTCAGTAGAAGGAAAGTGGGGACGCTGTCCCCCGCCCCAAAGGCACTGACACTGGGCGACACACGCTGAGCCTCTCACGCCGACGGGCCTCTCACGCCGGAGCCGGCAAGAAAGGTCGGCGCCAGCCCGCGGGCTCTCAGGAGGCTCGGCAGCGCGACGCGCATGCTCAGTCGGGCAGCTCTCCGGGCCGGCGTGGGAGCCCGCGCTCCAAGGCCCGGTGGGGGGAGGGGCGCTCACGCAACCGCCACTGTCTGGAGCGGGCTCGCCTCTGCGGCAGCCCTCACCGCCCGGGCTTTACTGAAGCGGAGTCTAGCATGTGCGGCTGCTCCACAGCGGTGTGGGTGGCGGCGGCTCCTCTGCAGCAGCCTCGGCAGTAGGGGTCAGGGTGGCCAAGCCCACCGTGGAGCTCATCTGAGAGTTGTAAGGTACGGGACTGCCTCGGTCTTTGGGACGCCCCGTCTGGTAGCATCCCAGATCCAGCACGTTCCTTCCGGCCCTGCACCCCGGCCCGGTGCCTCACACCCCGCTACCCCAAGCATCCAGACTCTAAGGCAGCCCCTGCATCTCAGTCCTGACATCGCTGTCCCTGGAGCATCCTCCGCTGGAGCTGGAGCTTGACAGGTAGGGTGGAGAGGGCGGTGGGGGGCGGGGGGCCGAAACTGCATCAGTTAACGGGGCCGTGGGGGAGGGAAGTCCTCCATTGCTAAGGCTTCAGTAGGCGTTCTATGATCACAGTGTAAACAAAGCTGCAGGGAAGCTCTAACTGGGCGGAACCCACCGCAGCTCAGCAAGGCCTACTGCCTCTCCAGATTCCACCTCAGGGGCCAGGGCATATCTGAACAAAAGGCAGCGGACAGCTTCTGCAGACTTCAGTGTCCTTGCCTGACATCTCTAAAGACAGCAGTGGTTCTCCCAGCACGGAGTTCGTGCTCCGATAACGGACAGACTGCCTCCCCGAGTGGGTCCCTGACCCCCATGTAGCTTGACTGAAAAACACCGACCAGTAGGGGCGGAGAGACACCTCATACAGGTGGGTGCCCCTGTGGAACAAAGCTTCCAGAAGAAGGATCAGGCAGCAATATTTGCTGTTCTGCAGCCTCCTCTACTGATACCCAAGAAAATAAGGTCTGGAATGGACTTCCAGCAAACCCCCAAAGACCTGCAGCTGAGGGGCCTGTTAGAAGGAAAACTAACAAACAGAAAGGAATAGCATCAACATCAGCAAAGGACAGCATCAACATCAGAATAGCAAAGGACATCCACACTAAAACCCCATCCATAGGTCACCAACATCAAAGACCAAAGGTAGATAAAACCACAAAGATGGAGAGAAACCAGAGCAGAAATGCTGAAACTTCCAGAAACCAGAACGTCTCTTCTCTTCCAAAGGAATACAAGTCCTCACCAGCAAGGGAACAAAACTGGATGGAGAATAAGTTTGATAACTTGACAGAAGTTAAGCTTCAGAAGGTCAGTAATAACAAACTACTCCCAGCTAAAGGAACATGTTCTAACCCATTACAAGGAAGCTAAAAACCTTCAAAAAAAGGTTAAACGAATGGCTAACTAGAATGAAGAATGTAGAGAAGAGCTTAAATGACCTGATGGAGCTGATAACCACAGTACAAGAACTTCATGAAGGATACACAAGCTTCAATAGCTGATTCAATCAAGTGGAAGAAAGGATATCAGTGATTGAAGATAAAATTAATGAAATAAAGTGAGAAGACAAGATTAGAGACAAAAAAATAAAAAAGAAACATTCAAATTCAGGAAATACAGAGAACATCACAAAGATACTCCTTGAGAAGAGCAACCCCAAGACACATAATTGTCAGACTCAGCAAGGTTAAGGGCAGCCAGAGAGAAAGGTTGGGTGACCAACAAAGGGAAGCCCATCAGACTAACAGCAGATCTCTCAGCAGAAACCATACAAACCAGAAAAGAGTTGGGACCAATATTCAACATTCTGAAAGAAAAGATTTTTGAAACTAGAATTTCATATCCAGCCAAACTAAGCTTCGTATGTGAATGAGAAATAAAATCCTTTGCAGACAAGGAGATGCTGAGAGATTTTGTCACCACCAGGCCTGCCTTACAATAAGAGCTCCTGAAGGAAGCACTAAACATGGAAAGGAACAACGGGTACCAGCCACTGCAAAAACATACGAAATTGTAAAGACCATTGATGCTATGAAGAAACTGCATCAATTAATGGGCAAAATAACCAGCTAACGTCATGACAGGATCAAATTCACATATAACAATACTAACCTTCAATGTAAATGGGATAAATGCCCCAATTAAAAGACACAGACTGGCAAATTGGATAAAGAATCAAGACCCATATGGTGTGCTGTATTCAGGAGACCCATCTCACATGCAAAGACACACATAGGCCCAAAATGAAGGTATGTCTGGAATTGGTGGGTTCTTGGTCTCACTGACTTCAAGAATGAAGCTGCGGACCCTCGCGGTGAGTGTTACAGTTCTTAAAGGCAGCGTGTCTGGAGTTTGTTCCTTCTGATGTTCAGACATGTTCAGAGTTTCTTCCTTCTGGTGGGTTCGTGGTCTTGCTGGCTTCAGGAGTGAAGCTGCGGACCTTCGCAGTGAGTGTTACAGCTCTTAAGGCAGCATGTCTGGAGTTGTTCGTTCCTCCTGTCTGGAGTTGTTCATTCCTCCTGGTGGGTTCGTGGCCTCACTGGCCTCAGGAGTGAAGCTGCAGACCTTCACGGTGAGTGTTACAGCTCATAAAGGCAGTGTGGACCCAAAGAGTGAGCAGCAGCAAGATTTATTGCAAAGAGTGAAAGAACAAAGCTTCCACAGTGTGGAAGGGGACCCAAGCGGGTTGCTACTGCTTGAAGGGGTGGCTTGCCCCTCCACACCTGTGGGTATTTCTAGTCAGGTGGGACAAGAGACTGAGAAAGAGAAATAAGACACAGAGACAAAGTATAGAGAAACAACAGTGAGTCCAGGGGACCGGCGCTCAGCATACCAAGGACCTGCACCGGCACCGGTCTCTGAATTCCCTCAGTTTTTATTGATTATTATCGTCATTATTTCAGTAAAAAGGAATGTAGTAGGAGGGCAGGGTGATAATAAGGAGAAGGTCAGCAACAAACGTGAGCAATAGAATCTACATCATAATTCAGTTCAAGGGAAGGTACTATGACTGGACGTGCACGTAAGCCAGATTTATGTTTCTCTCCACCCAAACATGTCGGTGGAGTAAAGAATAACAAGGCAGCATTGCTGCAAACATGTCTCGCCTCCCACCATAGGGCAGTTTTTCTCTCATTTCAGAATTGAACAAATGTACAATCGGGATTTATACCGAGACATTTAGTTCCCATGGGCAGGCAGGAGACAGTGGCCTTCCTCTATCTCGACTGCAAGAGGCTTTCCTCTTTTACTAATCCACCAGAGCACAGACCCTTTATGGGTGTCAGGCTGGGGGACAGTCAGGTCTTTCTCATCCCATGAGGCCATATTTCAGACTATCACATGGGGAGAAACCTTGGACAATACCCTGCTTTCAAGGGCAGAGGTCCCTGTGGCTTTCTGCAGTGCATTGTGCCGCCAAGGCCACACCCACCCAGAACTCGTGCTGGCCTGCAAGTGCTGCGCACAGCCCCAGTTCCCGCCCATGCCTCTCCCTCCACACCTCCCTGCAATCTGAGGAAGCCAGCTCCAGTCTCAGCCAGCCCAGAAAGGGGCTCCCACAGTGCAGCGGCGGGCTGAAGGGCTCCTCAAGCGTGGCCAGAGTGGGTGCTGAGGCTGAGGAGGTGCCAAGAGTGAGCGAGGGCTGCCAGCACACTGCCACCTCTCAAAGGGATGGAGGAAGATCTACAAAACAAATGGAAAGCAAAAAAAAGCAGGGATTGCAATCCTGGTCTCTGATAAAACAGACATTAAACCAACAAAGATGAAAGGAGACAAAGAAGGCCATCACATAATGGTAAGGGGATCAGTTCAACAAGAAGAGCTAACTATCCTAAATATATATGCACCCAATACAGGAGAACCCAGATTCATAAAGCAAGTTCTTAGAGACCTACAAAGAGGCTTAGACTCCCATACAATAGTAATGGGAGACAGTAACACCCCACTGTTAATATTAGACAGAAAACATGACAAAATTAATAAGGATGTCCAGGACTTGAACTCAGCTCTAGACCAAGTAGGCCTAATACACATCTACAGAACTCTCCACCCCAAGTCAACACAATATACATTCTTCTCAGCACCACATCACACTTATTCTAAAATTGACCACATAATTGGAAGTAAAACACTCCTCAGCAAATGCCAAAGAACAGCAATCACAACAAACTGTCTCCCAGACCACAGTGCAATCAAATTAGAACTCAGGACTGAGAAACTCACTCAAAACTGCACAACTACATGGAAACTGAACAACCTGCTCCTGAATGACTACTGGGTAAATAACAAAATGAAGGCAGAAATAAACATGGTCATTGAAACCAATGAGAACAAAGACACAGTGTACCAGAATTTCTGGGACACATTTAAAACAGTGTGTAAATGGATATTTACAGCACTGAATACCCACAAGAGAAAGGAGGAAAGATCTAAAATCAACACCCTAACCTCAAAATTAAAAGAACTAGAGAAGCAAGAGCAAACAAATTCAAAAGCTAGCAGAAGACAGCAAATAACGATGATCAGAGCAGAACTGAAGGAAATAGAGGCATTAAAAAAAAAACCTTCAAAGGATCAATGAATCCAGGAGCTGGATTTTTGAAAAGATCAACAAAATGGACTGCTAGCAAGACTAATAAGGAAGAAAAGAGAGAAGAGTCAAATAGACACAATAAAAAATGATAAAGGTGATATCACCAGTGATCCCGCAGAAATACACACTACCATCAGAGAATACTATAAACACCTCTATGCAAATAAACTAGAAAACCTAGAAGAATTGGATAAATTATTGGACACATATACCTTCCCCAGACTAAATCAGGAAGAAGCTGAATTGCTGAATAGACCAATAACAGCTTCTGAAATTGAGGCAATAATTAATAGCCTACTAAACCAAAAAAAGTCCAGGACCAGATGGATTCATAGCCGAATTCTACCAGAGGTACAAAGAGGAGTTGGTACCATTCCTTCTGAAACTATACCGATCAATAGAAAAAGAAAGAATCCTCCCTAACTCATTTTATAATGCCAGAATCATCCGGATATCAAAGCTTGGCAGAGACACAACAAAACAAAGAAAATTTTAGGCCAGTATCCCTGATGAACATCAATGCAAAAATGCTCAATAAAATACTGGCAAACCGAATCCAGCGGCACATCAAAAAGCTTATCCACCACGATCAAGGTGGCTTCATCCCTGGGATGCAAACCTGGTTCAGCATAAGCAAATCAACAAACATAATCCATCACACAAACAGAACCGACAAACACCACATGATTATCTCAATAGATGCAGAAAGGCCTTCGAACAAAATTAAACACCCCTTCATGCTAAAAACTCTCCATAAACTTGGTATTCATGGAATGTAACTCAAAATAATAAGAGCTATTTATGACAAACCCATAGCCAATATCATACTGAATGTGCAAAAACTGGAAGCATTCCCTTTGAAAACTGGTACAAGACAAGGATGCCCTATCTCACCACTCCTATTCAACATAGTATTGGAAGTTCTGGCCAAGGCAATCAGGCAAGAGGAAGAAATAAAGGGTATTCAATTAGGAAAAGAGGAAGTCAAATTGTCTCTGTTTGCAGATGATTTCACCGTATATTTAGAAACCCCATGATCTCAGCCCAAAATCTCCTTAAGCTGATAAGCAACTTCAGCAAAGTCTCAGGATACAAAATCAATGTGCAAAAATCACAAGCATTCCTGTATGCCAATAATAGACAGAGAGCCAAATCATGAGTGAAGTCCCATTCACAATTGCTACAAAGAGAATAAAATACCTAGAAATCCAACTTACAAGGGATGTGAAGGACCTCTTCAAGGAAAACTACAAACCACTGCTCAAGGAAATAAGTGAGGACACAAACAAATGGAAGAGTATTCCATGCTCATGGATAGGAAGACTCAATATCATGAAAATGGCCATATTGCCCAAAGTAAATTATAGACTCAATGCTATCCCCATCAAGCTACCACTGACTTTCCTCACAGAATTGGAAAAAACTACTTTAAATTTCATATGGAACCAAAAAAGAGCTGGTATAGCCAAGACAATCATAAGCAAAAAGAACAAAGCTGGAGGCATCACACTACCTGACTTCAAACTATACTGCAAGGCTACAGTAACCAAAACAGCATGGTACTGGTACCAAAACAGATATCTAGACCAATGGAACAGAACAGAGGCCTCAGAAATAACACCACACATCTTCAACCATCTGATCTTTGACAAATCTGACAGAAACAAGCAATGGGGAAAGGATTCCCTATTTAATAAATGGTGCTGGGAAAACTAGCTAGCCATATGTAGAAAGCTGAAACTGCATGCGTTCCTTACACCTTATACTAAAATTAACTCAAGATGGATTAAAGCCTTAAATGTAAGACCTAAAACCATAAAAACCCTAGAAGAAAACCTAGACAGTACCATTCAGGACATAGGCATGGGCAAAGACTTCATGATAAAAACACCAAAAGTAATGGCAACAAAAGCCAAAATAGACTAATGGGATCTACCTAAACTAAAGAGCTTCTGCACAGCAAAAGAAACTATCATCAGAGTGAGAAGGCAACTTACAGAATAGGAGAAAATTCTTGCAATCTATCCATCTGACAAAGGGCTAATATCCAGAATACAAAGAACTTAAACAAATTACAAGAAAAAAAAAAACAAATAACCCCATCAAAAAGTGAGTAAAAAGTATGAACAGAAACTTCTCAAAAGAAGACATTTACACAGCCAACAGACATATGAATAAATGCTCATCATCACTGGTCATCAGAGAAATGCAAAGAAAAACCACAATGAGATACCATCTCATGACACTTGGAATGGCAACATTAAGAAGTCAGGAAATAACAGAAGCTGGAGAGGATGTGGAGAAATAGGAAGGCTTTTAGACTGTTGGTGGGAGTGTAAATTAGTTCAACCATTGTGGAAGACACTGTGGCCATTCCTCAAGGATCTAGAACCAGAAATACCAATTGATCCAGCAACCCCATTACTGGATATCTACCCAAAGGATCATAAATCATTCTACTATAAAGACACATATACACATATGTTTATTGCAGCACTGTTCACAATAGCAAAAACTTGGAACCAACCCAAATGCCCATCAATGATAGACTGGATAAAGAAAATGTGGCACATGTATACCATGGAATACTATGCAGCCATAAAAAAGGATGAGTTCATGTCCTTTGCAGGAACATGGATGAAGCTGGAAATCATCACTTTCAGCAAAATATCACAAGGACAGAAAACCAAACACCGCATGTTCTCACTCATAGGTGGAAGTGGAACAAGCAGACCACATGGAAACAGAGAGGGGATCATCATACACCAGGGTCTGTTAGAGGCTGGGGGGCTGGGGGAGGGATAGCATTAGGAGAAATACCTAATGTAAATGACGAGTTGATGGATCCAGCAAACCAACCTGATACACGTATACCTATGTAAAAAACCTGCACGTTGTGCACATGTGCCCTAGAACTTAAAGTATAATAATAAAAAATGAAATTCTAGATAGAGCAATATCTCACAAAATTAATAATTCATTCCATTTAAATAGGCTATATCAGTCAGCCTCTGGCACCTACAGATCCATTCACTGTTTTCTTTTCTGGGTTCTTTTTTAAGTAAATAATTGGCCAACATTTAAAATTTAAATATTTCCTATTACCATCCGGATTTCTAGCTTCTGTTTAAATATCCCAAGGGCTGGCAGTGCTGAGCCAGCATTCTCAATGACAAACATGAGTGGAACTGGGTGTGCCTCAGATCTGCAAGTTGCAGTTCTGCAAGTTGGCCACTGCGACCTAAAGTGTGGTACCATTTTACCACTGAGCTTAAGCCACCACCAAAGTTTAAGCCATTCTATATACTATGCATAAGGGAGTACAGCAGCAGGTAAATTCACTTTAGGGGGAAAAATTCATCAAAACTGCTTAAATCTGTGAAAATAAATAAAATTTAAAAGCTGTGGGAACCCCCAAAATCACTTTAAGCCTTGAGACGTGACTGTGATCTGAGTCGTATGTGGTTATAACTTCTGTTCTCAAATTATAGATTAACTAGCTTTCTTATTTTTCTTCTTCTGTACAATGACTAGAGAGAATTAAATGACATCATGGAAAAAAACCTCTGGCCTTCTTAATTAATGACCCTTATTGTATATTAATTTCCTATTGTTGTCCTGCTTTGCTTAGACCAGATGACAAAAACCCACAATTACTACACCCTCTAAAAAACATGTTAAATGTATCCTTCCCAAAAAGAAACACTGCGTTTAACCTATCAAATGGCTGTAACTATGTGCCAACCTTGTACGAATAATGTTATAATTTTGCTAAACACTCTTCTCTCTCTGCATATATAATTGAAACCATAACTTCTCTACTGCAGAATGCTGACTGCATTCCTTTGGATTTGATGTTTCCAGATGGTCCATCCTCACACTTTGCACTTCAATAAACACTCCTTAAATTCAATTCTCACCCTTTTATTATTTTAGGTTGACAAATCTTTTTTAAGGTAATTTGACCGTCATAGCCATCAATTTAAAACTTTGGCCCAGCGTACAAATGTATTTGTACCAAACACACAAAAATACATATTCATCCAATGTTGTTCACCATAGCATTGTTTGAAATAGCAAAACACTGGAAGCTACTTAAATATCCATCAGTAGGAGACTAGCTAAATAAATTATGGAATAGCCACACAATAGAATACTGTACAGCTATTTTATAAAAGAAGAGAGAGAATAAAGTAGGTCTATTATGTACCACTCATTAGCCAAGAATGTATTTTAAAAAATAAAAAGGGTGGCTGACAAGATGACCAAATAGGAACAGCTCCAGTCTGCAGCTCCCAGCGAGATCAACGCAGAAGGCAGGTGATTTCTGCATTTCCAACTGAGGTACCTGGCTCAACTCACTGGGACTGGTGAGACAGTGGGTGCAGCCCATGAAGAGCCAGCTGAATCAGGGTGGCCATCACCTCACTCAGGAAGCACAAGGGGTCAGAGGACCCCCTCCCCTAGCCAAGGGAAGCTGTGAAGGACTGCGCCATGAGGAATGGTTATGAAGCCAAACTAAGCTTCACAAGTGAAGGAGAAATAAAATCCTTTACAGACAAGCAAATGCTGAGAGATTTTGTCACCACCAGGCCTGATGTACAAGAGCTCCTGAAGGAAGCACTAAACATGGAAAGGATCAACCAGTACCAGCCACTGCAAAACCATACCAAATTGTCAAGACTATTGACACTATGAAGAAACTGCGTCAACTAATGGGCAAAATAATCAGCTAGCATCATAATGACAGGATCAAATTCACACATAACAATATTAACCTTAAATGTAAACAGGCTAAGTGCCCCAAGTAAAAGACACAGACTGGCAAATTGGATAAAGAGTCAAGACCCATCATTGTGCTGTATTCAAGAGACCCGTCTCATGTGCCAAGACACACATAGGCTCAAAATAAAGGGATGGAGGAATATTTACCAAGCAAATGCAAAGCAAAAAAAAGCAGGGGTTGCAATCCTGGTCTCCGATAAAACAGACTTTAAACCAACAAAGATCAAAAGAGACAAAGTAGGCCATCACATAATGGTAAAGGGATCAATTCAACAAGAAGAGCTAACTATCCTAAATATATATGTACCCAATACAGGAGCACCCAGATTCATAAAGCAAGTGCTTAGAGACCTACAAAGAGACTTAGACTCCCACACAATAGCAATGGGAGACGTTAACACCCCAACACCCCACTGTCAGTATTAGACAGATCAATGAGACAGAAAATTAACAAGGATATCCAGGACTTGAACTCAGCTCTAGACTAGGCAGACCTAATAGACATCTACAGAACTCTCCACCCCAAGTCAACAGAATATACATTCTTCTCAGCACCACATCGCACTTATTCTAAAATTGATCACATAATTGGAAGTAAAACCCTCCTCAGCAAATGCAAAAGAATGGAAATCATAACAAACAGTCTCTCGGGCTGCAGTGCAATCAGATTAGAACTCAGATTAAGAAACTCACTCAAAACCACACAACTACATGGAAACTGAACAACCTGCTCCTGAATGACTATTGGGTATATAATGAAATTATAGTAGAAATAAATAACTTCTTTGAAACCAGGGAGAACAAAGACACTATGTACCAGAATCCCTGGGACACAGCCAAAGCAGTGTTTAGAGTGAAATTTATAGCACTAAATGCCCACAGGAGAAAGCAGGAAAGATATAAAACCAACACCCTAACATCACAATTAAAAGAACTAGAAAAGCAAGAGCAAACATATTCAAAAGCCAGGAGAAGACAAGAAATAACTAAGATCAGAGCAGAACTGAAGGAGACAGAGACAGGAAAGAACCTTCAAAAAAACCAGTGAATCCAGGAGCTGGTTTTTTGATAAGATCAACAAAATAGATAGACTGCTAGCTAGACCAATAAAGAAGAAAAGAGAGAAGAATCAAATAGGTGCAATAAAAAATGATGGAGGGGATATCACCACTGATCCCACAGAAATACAAGCTACCATCAGAGAATACTATAAACTACTCTATGCAAATAAACTAGAAAATCTGGAAGAAATAGATAAATTCCTGGACGAATACACCCTCCCAAGACTAAATCAGGAAGAATTCAAATCCCTAAATAGACCAATAACAAGTTCTGAAATTGAAGCAGTAATGCATGGCCTATCAAACAAAAAAAAGCTCAGGACCAGACGGATTCACAGCTGAATTCTACCAGAGGTACAAAGAGGAGCTGGTACCATTCCTTCTGAAATTATTCCAAACACCAGAAAAACAGGAACTCCTCCCTAACTCATTTTATGAGGCCAGCATCATCCTGATACCAAAAGCTGGCAGAGACACAACAAAAGAAAGAAAATTTCAGGCCAGTATCCCTGATGAACATCATTGAGAAAATCCTCAATAAAATACTGGCAAACTGAATCCAGCAACACATCAAAAAGCTTATCCACCATGATCAAGTTAGCTTTATTCCTGGGATACAAGGCTGGTTCAACATAAGCAAATCAATAAACATAGTCCATCACATAAACAGAACCAATGAAAAAAACCACATGATTATCTCAATAGATGCAGAAAAGACCTTTGACAAAATTCAACAGCCTTTCATGCTAAAAACTCTCAATAAACTAGGTACTGATGGAACGTATCTCAAAATAGTAAGAGTTATTTATGACAGACCCACAGCCAATATCATACTGAATGGGCAAAAGCTGGATGCATTCCCTTTGAAAATCGGCTGGATGCATTCCCTTTGAAAATCGGCACAAGACAAGGATGCATTATCTCACCACTCCTATTCAACATAGTATTGGAAGTTTTCTAGCCAGGGCACTCAGGCAAGAGGAAAAAATAAAGGGTATTCAATTAGGAAAAGAGGAAGTCAAATTGTCTCTGTTTGCAGATGACATGATTGTGTATTTAGAAAATGCCATCATCTCAGCCCAAAGTCTCCTTAAGCTGATAAGCAACTTCAGCAAAGTCTCAGGATACAAAATCAATGTGCAAAAATCAGAAGCATTCCTATATGCCAATAATAGACAGAGAGCCAAATCATGAGTGAACTCCCATTTGCAACTGCTACAAAGAGAATAAAATACCTAGGAATCCAATTTGCAAGGGACATGAAGGACCTCTTCAAGGAGAACTACAAACCACTGCTCAAGGAAATAAGTGAGGACACAAACAAACAGAAAAACAGTCCATGCTCATGGATAGGAAGAATCAATATCATGAAAATGGCCATACTGCCCAAGGTAATTTACGGATTCAATGCTATCCCCATCAAGCTGCCAATTACTTTCTTCACAAAATTGGAAAAAAAGTACTTTAAATTTCATATGGAACCAAAAAAAGAGCCCATATAGCTGAAGGGGGCCAGCCCCTCCACACCTGTGGGTATTTCTTGTCAGGCAGGATGAGAGACTGAGGAAAGAAATAAGACACAAAGTATAGAGAAAGAAAAGTGGGCCCAGGGGACTGGCACTCAGCATACAGAGGACCCACACTGGCACCAGTCTCTGAGTTCCCTCAGCCTTTGTTAATTACTATTTTTACTATCTCAGCAAGAGGAATGCGGCAGAAGAGCAGGGTGATAGTGGGGAGAAGGTCAGCAAGAAAACGTGGCAAAGGAATCTGTGTCACAAATAAGTTCAAGGGAAGGTACTATGCCTGGATGTGCATGTAGGCCAGATTTATGCTTCTCTCCACCCAAACATCTCAGTGGAGTAAAGAATAACAAGGCAGCATTGCTGCCAACATGTCTCGCCTCCCGCCACAGGGCGGTTGTTCTCCTAACTCAGAATTGAACAAATGTACAATCGTGTTTTATACCAAGACACTCAGTTCCCAGGGGCAGGCAGGAGACAGTGGCCTTCCTCTATCTCAACTGCAAGAGGCCTCCCTCTTTTATTAATCCTCCTCAGCACAGACCCTTCATGGATGTTGGGCTGGGGGACGGTCAGGTCTTTCCCATCCCACGAGGCCATATTTCAGACTATCACATGGGGAGAAACCTTGGACAATACCCAGCGTTGCAGGGCAGAGGTCCCTGCGGCTTTCCACAGTGCATTGTGCCCCTGATTTATTGAGACTGGAGAATGATGGTGACTTTTACCAAGCATACTGCCTGTAAACATTTTGTTAACAAGGCACATCCTGCACAGCCCTAGATCCCTTAAACCTTGATTTCATACAACACATGTTTCTGTGAGCTCAAGGTTGGGGCTAAAGTTACAGATTAACAGCATCTCAGGGCAAAGCAATAGTTCAGGGTACAGGTCAAAATGGAGTTTCTTATGTCTTCCTTTTCTGCATAGACACAGTAACAGTCTGATCTCTCTTCCTTTTCCCTACATATAGCCAAGACAATCCAAAGCAAAAAGAACACAGCTGGAGGCATCACGCTACCTGACTTCAAACTATACTGCAAGGCTACAGTAACCAAGACAGCATGGTACTAGTACCAAACAGATATCTAGACCAATGGAATGGAACAGAGGCTGCAGAAATAACACCGCACACCTACAACCATCAGATTTTTGACAAACCTGACAAAAACAAGCAATGGGGAAAGGATTCCCTATTTAATAAATGATGTTGGGAAAGCTGGCTAGCCATAGGCAGAAAACTGAAACTGGACCCCTTCCTTACACCTTATACAAAAATTAACTCAATTTTATTATGTTGTATTAAATTAAGTTGGATTTAATTAAGATGGATTAAAGACTTAATTATAAGACCTAAAACCATAAAAACCCTAGAAGAAAACCTAGGCCATACCATTCAGGACACGGGTATGGGCAAAGACTTCATAACTAAAACACCAAAAGCAATGGCAACGAAGTCCAAATAGACAAATTGGACCTGATTAAACTAAAGAGCTTCAGCACAGCAAAAAAGACTATCGTCAGAGTGAACAGGCAACCTACAGAATGGAAGAAAATTATTGCAATCTATCCATCTGACAAAGGGCTAATATCCAAAATCTACAAAGAACTTAAACAAATTTACAAGAAAAAACACAAACAACCCCATCAAAAAGTGGGGTAAGGATGTGAACAGACACTTCTCAAAAGAAAACATTAATGCAGCCAACAAACATGAAAAAAAGCTCATCATCACTGCTCATTAGAGACATGCAAATCAAAACCACAATGAGATACCATCTCACACCAGTTAGAATGGCAATCATTAAAATGTCAGGAAACAACAGATGCTGGAGAGGATGTGGAGAAATAGGAACACTTTTACACTGTTGGTGGGAGTGTAAATTAGTTCAACCGTTGTGGAAGACAGTGTGGCCATTCCTCAAAGACCTAGACACATAATTGTCAGATTCACCAAAGTTGAAATGAAGGAAAAAATGTTAAGGGCAGCCAGAGAGAAAAGTCAGGTTACCCACAAGGGGAAGCCCATCAGACTAACAGCTGATCTCTCAGCAGGAACTCTACAAGCCAGAAGAGAGTGGGGGCCAATATTCAACATTCTTAAAGAAAATAATTTTCAACCCAGAATTTCATATCCAGCCAAACCAAGCTTCATAAGTGAAGGAGAAATAAAATACTTTACAGACAAGCAAATGCCGAGAGATTTTGTCACCACCAGGCCTGCCCTAAAAGAGCCCCTGAAGGAAGCACTAAAAATGGAAAGGAACAACCGGTACCAGCCACTGCAAAAACATGCCAAATTGTAAAGATCATCAATGCTAGGGAGAAGCTGCATCAACTAAGGAGCAAAATAACCAGCTAACATCATAATGACAAGATCAAATTCACACATAACAATATTAACCTTAAATGTAAATGGGCTAAATGCTCCAATTAAAAGACACAGACTGGCAAATTGGATAAAGAGTCAAGACCCATCAGTGTGCTGTATTCAGGAAACCCATCTCACGTGCAGAGACACACATTGGGTCAAAATAAAGGGCTGGAGGAAGATCTACCAAGCAAATGGAAAAGAAAAAAAGGCAGGGGTTGCATTCCTAGTCTCTGATAAAACAGACTTTAAACCAACAAAGATCAAAAGAGACAAAGTAGGCCATTACATAATGGTAAAGGGATCAATTCAATAAGAAGAGCTAACTATCCTAAATATATATGCACCCAATACAGGAGCACCCAGATTCATAAAGCAAGTCCTTAGAGACCTACAAAGAGACTTAGACTCCCCACACAATAATAATGGGAGACTTTAATATCCCACTGTCAATATTAGACAGATCAATGAGACAGAAAATTAACAAGGATATCCAGGAATTGAACTCAGCTCTGCACCAAGTGGACCTAATAGACATCTACAGAACTCTCCACCCCAAATCAACAGAATATACATTCTTCTCAGCACCACACTGCACTTATTGCAAAATTGACCACATAGTTGGAAGTAAAGCACTCCTCAGCAAATGTAAAAGAACAGAAATCACAACAAACTGTCTCTCAGACCACAGTGCAATCAAACTAGCACTAAGGATTAAGAAACTCCCTCAAAACCACTCAACTACATGGAAAATGAACAACTTGCTCCTGAATGACTACTGGGTACATAACAAAATGAAGGCAGAATAAAGTTGTTCTTTGAAACCAATGAGAACAAAGACACAACATACCAGAATCTCTGGGACACATTCAAAGCAGTGTGTAGAGGGAAATTTATAGCACTAAATGCCCACAAGAGAAAGCAGGAAAGATCTAAAATTCACACCTTAACATCACAATTAAAGGAACTAGAGAAGCAAGAGCAAACACAATCAAAAGTTAGCAGAAGGCAAGAAATAAGTAAGATCAGAGCAGAACTGAAGGAAATAGAGACACAAAAAACCCTTCAAAAAATCAGTGAATCCAGGAGCTGGTGTTTTGAAAAGATCAACAAAATTGATAGACCACTAGCAAGACTAATAAAGAAGAAAAGAGAGAAGAATCAAATAGATGCAATAAAAAATGATAAAGGGGATATCACCACCGATCCCACAGAAATACAAACTACCATCAGGGAATGCTATAAACACCTCTACGCAAATAAACTAGAAAATCTAGAAGAAATGGATACATTCCTCGACACATACACCCTCCCAAAACTAAACCAGGAAGAAGTTGATTCTCTGAATAGACCAATAACAGGCTCTGAAATTGAGGCAATAGTTAATAACTTACCAACCAAAAAAAGGCCAGGACCAGATGGATTCACAACCGAATTCTACCAGAGGTACAAGGAGGAACTGGCACCATTCCTTCCGAAACTATTCCAATCAATAAAAAAGAGGGAATCCTCCCCAACTCATTTTATGAAGCCAGCATCATCCTGATACCAAAGCCTGGCAGAGAAACAACAGAAAAAGAGAATTTTAGACCAATATCCCTGATGAACATCGATGCAAAAATCCTCAATAAAATACTGGCAAACCGAATCCAGCAGCACATCAAAAAGCTTATCCACCATGATCAAGTGGGCTTCATTCCTGGGATGCAACGCTGGTTCAACATACGCAAATCAATAAACATAATCCAGCATATAAACAGAACCAACAACAAAAACCATGTGATTATCTCAATAGATGCAGAAAAGGCCTTTGACAAAATTCAACAGCCCTTCATGCTAAAAACTCTCCATAAATTAGGTATTGATGGGATGTATCTCAAAATAATAAGAGCTATCTATGACAAACCCACAGCCAATATCATACTGAATGTGCAAAAACTGGAAGCATTCCCTTTGAAAACTGGCACAAGACAGGGATGCCCTCTCTCACCACTCCTATTCAACATAGTGTTGGAAGTTCTGGCCAGGGCAATCAGGCAGGAGAAGGAAATAAAGGGTATTCAATTAGGAAAAGAGGAATTCAAATTGTCCCTGTTTGCAGATGACATGGTTGTATATCTAGAAAACCCCATCGTCTCAGCCCAAAATCTCCTCAAGCTGATAAGCAACTTCAGCAAAGTCTCAGGATACCAAATCAATGTGCAAAAATCACAAGCATTCTTACACACAAATAACAGACAGACAGCCAAATCATGAGTGAACTCCAATTCACAATTGCTTCAAAGAGAATAAAATACCTGGGAATCCAACTTACAAGGGACGTGAAGGACCTCTTCAAGGAGAACTACAGACCACTGCTCAATGAAATAAAAGAGGATACAAACAAATGGAAGAACACTCCATGCTCATGGGTAGGAAGAATCAATATCTTGAAAATGGCCATACTGCCCAAGGTAATTTATAGATTCAATGCCATCCCCATCAAGCTACCAATGACTTTCTTCGCAGAATTGGAAAAAACTACTTTAAAGTTCATATGGAACCAAAAAAGAGCCCACATTGCCAAGTCAACCCTAAGCCAAAAGAACAAAGCTGGAGGCATCACACTACCTGACTTCAAACTATACTACAAGGCTACAGTAACAAAAACAGCATGGTACTGGTACCAAAACAGAAATATAGACCAATGGAACAGAACAGAGCCCTCAGAAATAATGCTGCATATCTACAACCATCTGATCTTTGACAAACCTGACAAAAACAAGAAATGGGGAAAGGATTCCCTATTTAATAAATGGTGCTGGGAAAACTGGCTAGCCATACGTAGAAAGCTGAAAGTGGATCCCTTCCTTACACCTTATACAAAAATTAATTCAAGATGGATTCGAGACTTAAATGTTAGACCTAAAACCATAAAAACCCTAGAAGAAAACCTAGGAAATACCATTCAGGACATAGGCATGGGCAAGGACTTCATGTCTAAAACACCGAAAGCAATGGCAACAAAAGCCGAAATTGACAAATGGGATCTAATTAAACTAAAGAGCTTCCGCACAGCAAGGGAAACTACCATCAGAGTGAACAGGCAACCTACAGAATGGGAGAAAATTTTTGCAATCTACTCATCTGACAAAAGGGCTAATATCCAGAATCTACAATGAACTCAAACAAATTTACAAGAAAAAAACAAACAACACCATCAACAAGTGGGCAAATGATATGAATAGACACTTCTCAAAAGAAGACATTTATGCACCCAAAAAACACATGAAAAAATGCTCATCATCACTGGCCATCAGAGAAATGCAAATCAAAACCACAATGAGATACCATCTCACACCAGTTAGAATGGCGATCATTAAAAAGTCAGGAAACAACAGGTGCTGGAGAGGATGTGGAGAAATAGGAACACTTTTACACTGTTGGTGGGACTGTAAACTAGTTCAACCATTGTGGAAGTCAGTGTGGCGATTCCTCAGGGATCTAGAACTAGAAATACCATTTGACCCAGCCATCCCATTACTGGGTATATACCCAAGGGATTATAAATCATGCTGCTATAAAGACACATGCACATGTATGTTTATTGTGGCACCATTCACAATAGCAAAGACTTGGAACCAAGCCAAATGTCCAACAATGATAGACTGGATTAAGAAAATGTGGCACATATACACCATGGAATACTATGCAGCCATAAAAAATGATGAGTTCATGTCCTTTGTAGGGACATGGATGAAGCCAGAAACCATCATTCTCAGCAAACTGTCACAAGGACAAAAAACCAAACACCACATGTTCTCACTCATGGGTGGGAATTGAACAATGAGAACACAAGGACACAGGAATAGGAACATCACACACCCGGGCCTCTTGTGGGGTGGGGGGAGGGGGGAAGGATAGCATTAGGAGATACACCTAATGTTAAATGACGAGTTGATGGGTGCAGCACACCAACATGGCATATGTATACCTATGTAACTAACGTGCACGTTGTGCACATGTACCCTAAAACTTAAAGTATAATTAAAAAAAAAAGACTTAAACGTAAGACCTAAAACCATAAAAACCCTAAAAGAAAACTGAGGCCATACCATTCAGGACATAAATATGGGCAAAGATTTCATGACAAAAACACCAAAAGCAATGGCAACAAAAGCCAAAATAGATAAATGGGACCTAATTAAAGAGCTTCGGTGCAGCAAAAGAATCTCATCAGAGTGAACAGGCCATCTACAGATGGGAGAAAATTTTTGCAATCTATCCATCTGACAATGGGCTAATATCCAGACTAAAAATACTTAAACAAATTTACAAGAAAAAAACAAACAACCCCATCAAAAAGTGAGCTAAGGATGTCAACAGACCCTTCTGAAAAGAAAACATTTCTGCAGCCAACAAAAATGAAAAAAGCTCACCCTCACTGCTCATTAGAGAAATGCAAATCAAAACCACAGTGAGATACCATCTCACACCAGTTAGAATGGCAATCATTAAAATGTTAGGAAACAACAGATGCTGGAGAGGATGTGGAGAAGTAGGAAGGCTTTTAGACTGTTGGTGAGAGTGTAAATTAGTTCAACCACTGTGGAAGACAGTGTGGCCATTCCTCAAGGATCTAGAACCAGAAATACCATTTGACCCAGCAATCCCATTACTGGGTATATACCCAAAGGATTATAAATCATTCTACCATAAAGATACATGCACACATATGTTTATTGCAGCACTGTTCACAATACACAGACTTGGAACCAACCCAAATGCCCATCAATGATAGACTGGATAAAGAAAATGTGGCACATACATACCATGGAATACTATGCAGCCATAAAAAAGGATGCGTTCATGTCCTTTGCATGGACATGGATGAAACTGGAAACCATCATTCTCAACAAACTAACACAAAAACAGAAAACCAAACACTGCATGTTTTCACTAATAAGTAGGAGTAGAACAATGAGAACACATGGACACAGGGAGGGGAACATCACACACCAGGGCCTGTCTGGAGCGTGGAGGGCTAGGGGAGAGATAGCATGAGAAAAAATACTTAATGTAGAGGATGGGTTGATGGGTGTGGCAAACCACCATGGCTCATTTATACCTATATAACAAACCTGCAAGTTCTGCACATGTATCTCAGAACTTAAAGTATAATAATTTAAAAAAAAGAAAAAAATTTAAAAGAAATAAAAAAGGAGGGGTTGGAGCATGGGAGAAAGAAAAGAAAAGCAATTTGAAGGACAGTATGTATAGTGTCATCTCATTTGTGAAACAATTTTTAAAAGAAAAATGCATGTAAATGTATAAGAAACTGCTGGAAGGATACACAAAGCCAAGAGCTATATGAAGAAGGTAAAGGAACCATAAGGAAGAGTTACCTTTCAGTTTTCACATAACTTTCTATCCCTTTTTAAAATAATAAGCATGTTATAATTTAATGAGTAGATGTGTTGATTTGAAAAACACACTGATCCTGAAAGTTAAAATTCCAATTCAGAGAAAATTGATTTCTATGAAAAGTATCAATTCCCCAACAATGCGAGAAAAATGAAGTGTAACTATACAACACAAACAGTAATTGAGGTTGTCATCATTCACTCTGATTTCACATATAGAATTTAAAACACCCGACTGGGCACAGTGGCTCACACCTGTAATCCCAGCACGTTGGGAGGCCAAGGCAGGAAGATCACTAGGTCGAGATGGAGACCATCCTGGCCAAAATGGTGAAACCTCGTCTCTACTAAAAATACAAAAATTAGTTGGGTGAGGTGTTGTGCTAGCTCACCAGGTACTGTAGTCCTAGCTACTCAGGAGGCTGAGTCAGGAGAATTGCTTGAACCTGGGAGGCAGAGGTTGCAGTGAGCCAAGATTGTGCCACTGCACTCCAGCCTGGTGACAGAGCAAGATGCCGTCTCAAAAAAAAAAAATTTAAAATGCCGCAGTCCTTCATGGACTGAACAAAACAAGATGAATGTGGGAATAAAGACAAAGGCAAAAGAGTATATTTGGAAGAAAGGATCAGGAGGCTCCTTGCTTCTAGTGAACAAGGGTGCTGAGCTTCTACAGCCCTTCGTATTTATTGAGTAAAGGAGATAGGGAGAAGGTGGTGGTTGTCAGTCAGCTGCTTGGCTTAGTGCAGGCTTGCATGACTGCATTCTTTGAACAGTAGTCTCCAGATGTTCCAGCAGATAACCTCAAGGAGCACAGCACCAGGGAGTGATTGCCCTCAGCAAACCTTCTGGCAGCAGGTGCAGAAGTGAGTTTGTACACGTTCTGCATTCATGATAAACAGTTTGCTGTTTGATCATGCAGCCTTCAGTGGAATGCTGAGTTGGTCACAACCCTCAGGCCTTTGGCTCCCTACATTAAAACACCCATTTCACCAGATTGAAAATATTCAGTAAAATTTCTGAAAAGGACTTAACACTTGCCAGCACTTAGTAAGGAAGTGCTCAATAAATACTGTTAACACTGTTACTATTATTTCTCTGCCTGGCAGTTGTCCTAACCCCACACCAGACCTCCCACATTGCCTAATCCTGACTTGTGTCAGTGATGCATGACTCAGCAGTGAATCTGGGACAGCTATTGCAAAATGCAAGACTTAAATTCCACCCCAGGTGAATTCTCTTCTGGACCACAGGCAGGCCTTGAAAAGGATGGGAGTAGAGCCCTCAATCATGGAGGCATTTGTCCCTCAAGATAGGCAGATGTTACCACCTCCATACAAGAACAATCCCATTGCCTATTACAGTTCCCATTTCAAAGAGATACTCCCACATATGCATGTATTTCCCTGAAGGATATCTTGTTCTTTTTTTTTTTTTTTTTTTTTTTGAGATGGAGTCTCTCATTCTATTGCCCAGGCTGGAGTGCAGTGGTGTGATCTAGGCTCACTGCAACCTCTGCCTCCCAGGTTCAAGCAATACTCCTGCCTCAGCCTTCTGAGTAGCTGGGATTACAGGCACGTGCCACCAGGCCTGGCTAGTTATTGTACTTTTAGTAGAGATGGAGTTTCACCATGTTGGTCAGCCTAGTCTCGAACTCCTGACCATGCCCAGCTAATTTTTGTATTGTTAGTAAAGACAGGTTTTCACCATGTTGGCCAGGCTGGTCTTGAGCTCCTGACCACACCCGGCTAATTTTTGTATTTTCAGTAGAGACTAGGTTTCAGCATATTGGCCAGCTGGTCTCAAACTCCTGACCTCAAGTGATCTGCCCACCTCAGCCTCCTAAAGTGCTGGGATTACAGGCATGAGCCACCATGCCCGGACCAAGATTTCCTGCTCTTATCTCCAATAAGCCAGCTTGATGAGGAGTAGTGCTAGAGATTCCCACACTTCTTGACTTCCTTCTATCCTTTTCTGCTCACAGGCCCCCTCCCTAATGTCCCCTGTGCTCTCCGCAAAAGAAATAGGCTGGAGGCCCAATAGCAACCCTGCCCACACAAGGGAGGGCCATGTGATGTTCACCAAGCTCCCAAGCCACAATTCTCTTTTCCCAGAATCCTTTGCTCTTTGAAGTATAGTCTTGCTCACCTTCCTGCAACCCTCAGCCCCTCAGTGGCCGTGTCTACCTCTGAAGAGAAGGGGAAGAGAGATCAAACGCCCCCTGCAGGCCTGTCCGTTTGAACCAAGCCTTGAGAACCCCCACAGCCGTCCTCCTGTGTACCCCCACCCCAGCGCCACACACAGATGGAGAGCCCTGGTAAAGGTTCCCACAGTGCATTAGCTCCAAACAGTGCAAGAGGACAAGGAGTGTGGTGCTTCCAGCCTCTGTCAATAGTTCATGAGGCTCAAACTAAGGAGCACCAGTCAGAGTCAGTTTTCCCTGGACATGGGGAAAATGATACTTAAGCTCTCCTGTCTCATCGGGATGTGCTGAGTAGCAAAGCAGAGTACTGCAGCTGTAACTTCTTGGCTGAGGAAAACACTATCAATACAGTGCAGGCCGTCCTATTACTTGCTCACTATACGCCACCGTTTGAATGTCGAAACCCTTTTTTTTTTTTTTTTTTGAGACAGAGTCTCCATCTGTCGGTCAGGCTGGAGTGCAGTGGCATGATCTCGGCTCACTGCAAGCTCCGCATCCCGGGTTCATGCCATTCTCCTGCCTCAGCCTCCCGAGTAGCTGCGACTACATGCACATGCCACCACGCCCGGATAATTTTTTGTATTTTTAGTAGAGACCGGTTTCATCGTGTTAGCCAGGATGGACTTGATCTCCTGACCTTGTGATCCACCTGCCTCGGCCTCCCAAAGTGCTGGGATTACAGGGTGAGCCACCACGCCCTGCTGAATGTTGAAATCCTTTTTCAGCTGCTCAGCTGACCTGCACATACACTAAATGAATCTTGAGCAAACATGAATTCTATTCAAAAGTCATGCCTAGAACTGGATTTTACAAACCAGGATTCTTTCCCCTCTAATTGTAGGGACTGGCATAAGGCTGCAAAACTGGTGATTTCACCAACAACACATCTCCAAACCTACCCATCTGCTTTCATCATCTTTTCTAAAAGAAAACACTAACACACAAAAAAAGAAGCAAACGTATACTCCACAATAAAGGACTGTTAAATAAGCTTAGCTTTATGAAACTCACTGTAATTGTTTCCTTTTCTCATTTTGCTTTGAACTAATGAAAACGCTGCCATGAACCAGCACTGCTTCTCAGTCTGGCTTAGGAGGCCAGTGGGTTAAACTAATTCAGATGCTTACATTTGGGTCTGTTGGGGCCTTTCTACAGTGTACCATAAGCCATCCATATTTATTCATTCTCCCGGAAACCCAGGAGGGAGATCATTTCAGCCCACTTGGCAGAAGTGGAGACTGAAGTCTTGGACACAGAATTTATAGCTGGCAAGGACTTTATTCATCATCTACTCCATACCCTCAGTAATTTACAGATGAAGAGTCTGGCCCAGGGCACCAATAATAATCACTACATGGTGGCAGTAACTACTATGTGCTTAGTAGCTTACAGTTCATAAAGAGATTTTGCATTCAACAAATATTTATTGAACTAGGATGGAGGCTAAGACCTGGGGACAGAGTGGTTAGGGAGAACTTGAGTGCCCCGAGTTCTTTGCATTTCCACCACTGCTTGAGGGACTGTCCAGCCTCCTCGCTACCACTTAGCCCCTGTAAAGGAGGAAGTCCCTTTGGCGAGGGATATGAGATCCTGTTTGGCCAATGATCATTGTCTGCAACATGGAGACCTTGGGCAGAGGGAAGGGCAGTGCCAGGCCTGGTGCAGCTACTCCCTATCACGTCTCTCTCCCAGGCTGCTCCAGCCTCACCTGGTGGACTCCATGGGGACCACAGGCCTCACCTCCATGGGCAGTCTCAAAACATTTGCCCTCCTGTGGGCTGTCACATACATAGACCCAGACTTTCTTGGAGAAGGAATTCTGAAGAAGCAAAAGCAACCAACTCAAAACCCCCACTTCCCCAAGAAGAAAAGGTGGGCAAGCAGATGCAGAAAGGCAGCAGCCAAAGGCTGCGGGTTCCTGCGGGGGCCAGGGGAGGGGCGAGCCCTACAGGCAACTTGAACGGAGAGCGCTTTGATCACCCGCCAGCCCGGGAAGGCAAGCCCCAGTCAGGCGGAAGGTAGCTGGCTGCGGGGCGCGGCGACTGGCGGGCGGCGGGCGGCGGGAGGCGCCAACCGCCACAGACGACTCCCAGCTGGCTGAGGGCGGGGAGGGAGCAGGCAGGGAAGCGGCCCGCCCTTCGTCCTGCCCCTTCGCCCTACTCTGTCACCTCGCTGGAAGGAGTGGAACCCAGACTTGCTGGTCTGATCCATGCACAAGGCGCGGCTACGAGGCCACTGTGCCCGGGCAGGGAAGTCGGTGCGGTTGGCCAGCTCCGGGATGACCCGCCGGGACCCGCTCACAAATAAGGTGGCCCTGGTAACGGCCTCCACCGACTGGTGAGTGTTGGTGCCGGAGTTTCTGAGGCCCTGGCTGCCTGGAAACAGGCACTGGTGTCTCGTCCTTTGCCTCCAGTGCCCCTGTCCTCAGACCTCACATACCGCCAAAGTCTGGCCATGGAAAAGAAGTAGCCACGTGGTCCGCCCGAAGCCCCTCCGAATCCCCTGGCCCTGGACCCTCCCTTGCCTGCCTTCGTGTCCCTGCTGCCTCTGGCACAACTGTGCCTCCTCTGTGAAGTCCCATCGATCTAGTCCCCCCAGTGTTCTGGGCTGCCCCCGTCAACCAGCACCACCTAGCGTCCGGGAAGACCAGAAACTAGAAATCCAAGGGAATCTGGATTTCAAAATCATATCCCAAGGCCTCCAGCACTTTGAAAATGTACCAGACATTCTATTTGGGCACCGGAAAGTCTCCCGGAACCCCTCCCCCTTACCTAGATGGGACACCAGAGCCAAGTGTCGAGATTTTTGTTTAGGTCGGTACATCTGGGCCGACCTTCGCCAGCCTGTTTCTCACCCACCTCTCTTCTCAGTCCTGGTTCTCATTTCTACAGGACTTTGCTAGATGCCAACTCTTCACAAAACTAAAATACAAATGTAGGTAAAATGCTAATGGCTGACAAGTGCAAAATGTGTAACTCTTCCTCCCAAGGCAATATTTACATTTTTGACCGGAGACCATCTTTTCACATGCACCCCAAAAAATAATTAAGGATAGAATTTTCAGAATGATGTAGACTAGTAAGAAAGAAACCTGGAGGCAGGGCTGTTCTGAGTGAGACCCTCAAATCACGGAAGTGGCTGCTGCTGCAAACCCAGCTCATTTCTCACCTCTCAGTCCCAAGAGGGGATGAAGCCTGTCACCCATGGTGGGAACTGTAGAAAGTGATGTCAGTTCTTGGGAACTGAGGCTGCAGTCCAAGATGATAATAAAAATAAGTAAAGGAACGCCAAAAATGGCTGTGCCATTAAGCCTGTTTTACACGTAGTAGAGACACATGGAGGTCATATAGAGAAAGAGCCAGAATTCAAAACCGGGCAGTCTAACTTCAGAGCCCATGCTGTCCATCTCTTCCCCTGCACAAGCCTTAGCAGTCTTTGTCTCTGCTCACAGGATCGGCTTCGCCGTCGCCCAGCGTCTGGCCCAAGACGGGGCCCACGTGGTAGTCAGCCGCCGGAAGCAGCAGAATGTGGACCAGGCAGTGGCCACGCTGCAGGGGGAGGGGCTGAGCATGACGGGCACTGTGTGCCATGTGGGGAAGATGAAGGACTGGGAGCGGCTGGTGGCCACAGTGAGCTGCAGGGAAATGGGCACAGAGCCAGGAGGTGGAAAAGGGAGCCAGCCTGAGCCTCCTTCCCTGCTTTCCTGGACAGCATTGGTGAGATCCAACGCAGTGATGTTAACTAAAACATAACAGTGTGTTCTGCATACCCAACCAGCCCACCAGCACGTTTTTATTGTGTGCCTTTCTATTATGTCCATATATTAAAGTTGGAGAATAATCCCATCCCAATCAGAGAATGTTAAAACATTCTAATGCTTCAACCCTGCATCATCCCTTGCATACCCCAAAGAAACCGCTGGTACTGGTTCTCCAGTAATTTTCAACCTAACTGGACAGATGAGAAGGGTAAATACAATCACAAAATAGATGTTCCCACCCATGAGCTAATAAACATTCCCCTCTTCTTCAGCTTACAGAGTCAAGTCCCTGGGAACTTCAGGAAGCAGCCCACCATGTTTCAACCACTTACTATGTGCCATTTCCTGTGTTCAGAGCCTTACACAGGTTATCTCTAGACCTGACAACAACCCAAGCAAGGCAAGGACTATTCTCTCGGTCTGCAGACGCTGGCTCAGATAGCTGGAGCAACTTCCCAAGGTCCCACAGCCAGTAAGGAAAGACCCAGACCTCCCAAGCTCCCTTCCTTTATTGGCTGCCTGTGGACTACCAGGTACTGGACTTTAGTCTCAAAGAAAGTATATAAGTCAGTGTCACAGTTAGTAGTGGATACCAGCCTTCCAGCTGCCGAAGGAAATATGAACCATCCAGCAAAGCAAGCTCCTCTTCCCTTGAGGCTCAGGATACACACTTTATTTTCCAGAGTGGAAGGGAGAATCTACCCAAAAATGGAAAGTACAGGGTTGTGCTAACAGATTGGAAGGTTGGCAGAAATAATTTGCATAATCTTAGAAGAGGAGGATCTTAAGCAATAGTAGACAGTAGCATGGTAGACAGTATAGGGTAATTCCGTTTTTAAGGAACTGTCTGGCAAATGCTCAAATGTGCATTGGAAAGAGCCAAATGTGAGTCCTAGAAAGTCACCTTGCCTGGCCTAGGCTGGTGGACAGAGCCCAAGATTGGGGCCTTGATCCTGATGGTGGAAGGAGCCGTTTGGGAGTCTGGGTCAATTAGTGACTAACCATATCACATGTAAGTAGCAATGTAATGTGAAAACCCTGTTGGGAAAACATCCTGTGGCCCCCACCAGGTTCACTTAACATGGCCTACAGGCCTGGCCCAGAGGTGGTACTTGAGCTAAACCTTAAGGAATGGATGGGAATGGACAGATGGAATAGTGACGAGGTTCCAGATAACTCTGCAAAATGAGCAGACAGCCAAGGAGGAACTGAAGGAAAGAGAGGAGCACTGTCAGGCCACAATGGAGAGCACAGGCTCAGGAGTACTGCTGGGGAAGGGGCTGCATTGGAAAGATAGAGGCCATGGGCCTCCATATCTTTTTTTTTTTTTTTTTTTTTTTTTTTTTTTTTTTTTTGTGACGGAGTTTCACTCTTGTCGCCTAGGCTGGAGTACAGTGGCACCATCTCGGCTTACTGCAACCTCTGCCTCCCAGGTTCAAGCAATTCTCCTGCCTCAGCCTCCTGAGTAGCTGGGATTACAGGTGCCCACCACCATGCCCAGCTAATTTTTGTATTTTTAGTAGAGACGGGGTTTCACCATGTTGGCCAGGCTGGTCTTGAACTCCTGACCTCAGGTGATCCACCCACTCAGCCTCCCAAAGTGCTGGGATTACAGGCGTGAGCCACTGCGCCCGGCCATAGCTTCTTAAAAGGATACGTTAAGGACCTTAAAAGGATATAGCCTCTTAAAAGGATATGTTTACACACTCTTGTAGCAAATAAGAAGCCATGTGAGGTTTTGAGCAAGAGAAAGATGGTTATTAGGAAAGCTAATCTGGCTCTGGTAGGAAGGATATACAGAGGAGACACCAAATCCAGGGCATCAGTGAGGAAGCTGTTGCTGTCGTCCAGGTTTAGAGCAGTGGCGGTGGGACTGGAATAGATGTGCCCAAGAGACATTCAGTGGAAACGAACCAAGATTTTCCAACCCCATGTCAAAAAGTGGGAAATAGAGAAGTCAAAAATGACTCTCAGGTAGTTTGTATGACCATTGTCAGAGAGGAGAATGATAGAATACTTGTCAGCAATTTGAAATGTCTTCTGCCAGTTGTCACATGTTACCCTGCAATGAGAAAAGCCACTGCCCTGAGAATGGATACTACCCAGTGGCCTCCTCATCTGCACACCACGAAGCTTCTCACTGGTGTTGTAAGTGGAAACCAGAGTAGCTGCCTATCTGCTTGATTATATTTTTTCTTAAAAATGTATAACTATCAGAACACAGAACAAACAGCTCCTAACCACTTTAGTGTAGTGATCACACAATTTAGAACACTTAGAAGACATCTTTTTCTTTTCCCCCCAGAGACAGGGCCTCACTCTGTTGCCCAGGCTGGAGTGCAGTGGCATGATCATAGCTCACTGTAACCTCCAACTCTTGAGCTCAAGCAGTCCTCCCCCGTCAGCCTCCCAAGTGGCTAAGATTATAGGCATGCACCACCACGCCAGTTCATCTTTTAAATTTGTTGTAGAGTTGGGGCTTTATTGCCCAGGCTGGTTTTGAACTCCTGGCCTCAAGCGGTCCTCCCTACTGGCCGTACCAAAGTGCTAGGATTATAGGTGTGAGCCACCACACCCAGCCTCATTCATCTTTTATGGTTTGCTGTCTCTGTTCATTCAAAACCCAGCCTCCTCCCATCTCTGTGCTGACAGACCTGGAAGTAGAGGGGCATGGGGTATGCAGCAGAGTAGAAAATGTCTCCAGGTGATTCTGGAGCAATCCACTGTCTTCTCCCAGCCCAAACACACGTGCACTGAGCACAGCACACATCACTTATTAACTTATTCTGCACCTCCCTAGTAACAAGTACATTGGTGAGACTTACACAGAGCCAAGGCAGGTGACTTGGCTTTGTGCCAGGATACCAAAATTTAAAGGGTGCAAGAAAGTATTCATACTGGTTTTAAAAGAGTACTTGACTTTAAATTTTGTTAGATTTACACGTTGACAGCCCAGGCATTTCTTCAACTGTGTTGAAGGTTAGCACCTAGTTAACAAGAATAATTAGTTAAAATGGGAAGCTAGCAGATGGTGTACATTGTTAATAACACCCCTCCGTGGGCCAAATCCGGAGCACAAAATTGACCAAGGGCCCATGTACTGCTACTTGCCCAAGGCATCAAAATTGCCAGTTCCAGGCAAATGCAAAGTCTGGTTTCAGGGTGGCTTTGTACTGAAAACCCTTGTTGGCAGATTCTGCTTGGCCATTCATTACTCTAGCACATGCCTCACTACCTACTTATAACTTATTAAGGAGGTGAGATGTTGCCTTTCTTGGCTTTCTCAGTTTAAATTTCCCTTTCTGCCTTGAATCTTTCATGCCTCCAGGTCAAAAGAGAGAGACAGAGACAGGGAAAATGACATCATAACCAAATATGGAATTGCTTTAAATTCAGGCTGGTATCTTCTCCCATCATGGCTCTCCTGGGCAGCCGGTTTCCTAATGACCCCAGCTCACTTTCAGAGGGCTCTTACGAATTAGCTCTGTGCTACAAAGTGGGAGACTGACCTCAGTTCTTCCACCACTAACTAGCTTTATGCCCTGAACAAATCACTTTCCCCAACACGGAATAAGCAGGCCTCCTGTTCTTAGCTAGCCCCAGTGTGTTACTACTGAACTATATGATCTTGAGAAAATTCCCTGAACCTGTTTCATCATCTCCACCTTAAGGACATTGGAATAGATGATCTCAAAGGCCCCTCCAGGGTAACTTTCTACAGCTCTATTTAAGCCAGTTTTTCCATTCAGGTAAGTGTGGCCAGATTGACTTTGAAATAATGGTAACTTATTCAAGAAGAACTGGACAGTAAGCACTTGGAGAAATGTGGGTGGAACTCAGTGTGAAAGGAAGAGGAGGGGTCTGGAAATAGATTTTGGGGTGAGATTTGAAATCACGAGAATGAAGGAGCTCCCAAATGGGAAAATGTAAAGAAAAGAGCATAGGGTCAGAGACAGCCTTAGAAGAATAGGAGGTGGGAAGAAAACACTGCAAAAGAAATAAGGCCAACTTCCTGGTGGCTCACACCTGTAACACTTTGAGAGGCCGAGGCAGGCGGATGGCTTTAGCTCAGGAGTTCCAGACCAGCCTGGGCAACATGGCAAGACCCTGTCTCTACAAAAAGTACAAAAATTGCCCAGGTGTGATGGCACGCACCTGTATTCTCAGCTACTTGGGGGGCTGAGGCAGGAGGATGGCTTGAACCCAGTAGGTCAAGGCTGCAGTGAGCTGGGATCATGCCACTGAACTCCAGCCTGGGTGACAGAGGAAGACTCCATCTAAAAAAAGAAAGAAGCCAACCTTAAATGGTTAGCAGCAGATCTTAGGGTAGTTTTCAAAAAAGATGTTTTAAGAAATAGAAGTTATTTTGACGATAGTTCCTAAGAAGGAAGATTTGTTGTTGTTGTTGTTGTCATTGTTGTTGTTTTTTTAAATATAGGGATAAGGTCTCCCTATGTTGCCCAGGCTTCTCTCAAACTGCTCAGTTCAAGTGGTCCTCCCACCGTGACCTCCCAAAGTGCCATGATTCCCGGCGTGAGCCACCACGCCCCGCCCAGAAGGAAGTTTTTATCAACGTGAATAAATGCACCTCCCTTACTTACTGCAGCCCTGGTCCAGACCTTACCCCTCTCCCTAGGCTATGAAGCTTCATGGAGTTATTGATATCCTATCACTATCGATAACAAACTCCGTCTGCTTTTAGAATGTGTTTATCAAGTGCAGTGTAAATGTGAGGAGTCTTTGCCACATGCCACACACCTGGAGCACACCTGGTAAAGGGCGGGTGGGGGCAGCTTCCTCTGTCCCTGCCCTTCTCATTCGTTTCTGCTGCTCCTACTTCTGTCTGCTTCCATCTGCCCTTCACTATCCACCGTCTGCTCCCCTCCCCAGCCTTCTTCCCGGCATGCTCTGCTACCTGGTTGATTTCCAACAGAGACGTGGCAGCTAATATGCCAACAACTATGACACTTAAACTTACACACCCAACTGTCCCCCTTTCAGCTGCCAAAAAGGAATCATTTTTCATTAGCTGGGAAATATTAAAAGCTGCTAGTTAAGTAAAATACTAATTCTGGTGAAATAACCAGTTGCCACTTTATAATATACATCCTTTAAAAAAGTAAAAATAAAAACCTATATTATTTTCTTCCTAACTGCAATGTCAAGAAAATCTGAGATCCAGATGTCTATATTCAAGTGGTACAATATTGGGTTTTATGTGTAAGTATATAATTACATTACATTCGTAATATATTTCACACACATTCTTTAATTACAAAGCTTTAATTAAAATATTTGTCTTTGTATACTAAGGTTAATAGTCCCACGATTTGGAAATGCTAATTTTTTATGATCTCCCATGGTTTTGCTTTTTACTCTGATGTTGTATTAGTCTGTTTTGCGTTGCTATAAAGGAATACCTGAGCTGGGCAATTTATAAAGAAAAAGAGGGTTGTGGCCGGGCGCGGTGGCTAACGCCTGTAATCCCAACACTTTGGGAGGTCGAGGCGGGCAGATCACGAGGTCAGGAGATCGAGACCATCTTGGCTAACATGGTGAAAGCCCGTCTCTACTAAAAATACAAAAAATCAGCCGGGTGTGGTGGCGGGCACCTGTAGTCTCAGCTACTTGGGAGGCTGAGGCAGGAGAATGGTGTGAACCCGGGAGGCGGAGCTTGCAGTGAGCCGAGATTGCGCCACTGCACTCCAGCCTGGGTGACAGAGCGAGACTCCGTCTCAAAAAAAAAAAAAAAAGAAAAGAAAAGAGGGTTGTTTTGGTTTACACTTCTGCAGACTGCAGAAGAAGCATGGTGCCAGTATCTGCTTCTGATGAGGCCTCAGGAAGCTTACAATCATAGCAGAAGGCAAAAGGGAGCAGGCGCGTTACATGGCAAGAGAGGAAGTGAGATACCAGGCTTTTAAACAACTAGCTCTGGCATGAACTAATAGAGTGAGAGCTCACTAATTGCCACCAGGAGAGCACCAAGCCATTCATAAGGGATCCACCCCATGACCCAAACACCTCACACCAGGTTCCACCTTGAACACTGGTGATCACATTTCAACATGGGACTTAGAGGGGACAAACATACCAACTATATCAGATGTCATCAAACATTTCTCAACACTAAAGTATCAGGATGTGAAAACACTATGATTTATTTACCAGTGTTTCATACACATAAAGACCAAAGTGCCAAAATGTTCTTCAGTGAGCTAGTTTTTTATTGTTAAGCTTTGTCCCTCTTTTTTTTTTTTTCCTCGCTGTGTCATCGAGGCTGGAGTGCAGTGCTGCGATCTAGCTCACTGCAACCCCCGCCTCCCAGGTTCAAGCGATTCTTGTGCCTCAGCCTGCCAAGTACCTGGGACTACAGGCATGTGCCACCATGCCCGGCTAATTTTTGATATTTTCAGTAGAGACAGGGTTTCACTGTGTTGCCCAGGCTGGTCTCAAATTCCTGGCCTCAACTGATCCACCCACCTCGGCCTCTCAAAGTGCTGGGATTATAGGCGTGAGCCACTGCACCCAGACAGATTCTGATAGTCTTTACAATGGAGGAACATCTTTCATGAACAGTCTGAATAGAGACCCTATGAAAGTCAGTTTTAAACTAAGTACAGGCACACCTCGGAGATATTGTGGGTCTGGTTCCAGGCCACCGCACAATAAAGTGAATATTATAATAAAGTGAGACACACGAATTTTTTGGTTTCCCAGTGCATATAAAAGTTACGTTTACACTATAATGGTCATCTAATGGTTGTCTATTAAATGAGCAATAGCATTATGTCTTTAAAAATATATACATATCTTAATTTTAAAATACTTTATTGCTAAAAAGTGCTAACAATGATCTGAGCCTTTAGAAGTTGTAATCTTTTTGCTGGTGGAGGGTCTTTTTTTTTTTTTTTTTTTAGATGGAGTCTCACTGTGTAGCCCAGGCTGGAGTGCAATGGCACCATCTCGGCTCACTGCAACCTCCGCCTCCCAGGTTCAAGCGATTCTCCTGCCTCAGCCTCCTGAGTAGCTGGGACTATAGGCACCCGCCACCACACCCAGCTAATTTTTTGTATTTTTAGTAGAGACGGGGTTTCACCGTGTTAGCCAGGATGGTCTCAATCTCCTGACCTCGTGATTCACCCGCCTCGGTTTCCCAAAGTGCTAGGATTACAGGCGTGAGCCACCACATCCGGCCTTAGAGGGTCTTGCCTCAACATTGATGGTGGCTGACTTAGGGTGGTGTTGCTGAAGGCTGGGGTGGCTGTGGCAATTTCTTCAAATAAGACAGCAGTGAAGTTTGCCACATCAGTTGACTCTTCCTTTCACAAAAGATTTCTCTGTAGCATGCAAGCCTGTTTGATAGCATTTACCCACAGTAGAACTTCTTTCAAAATTGGAGTCAATCCTACAAACTCTACCACTGCTTACTCAACTAAGTACATATCATATTCTGAATCCCGTGTTGTGATTTCAACAATGTTCATGGCATCTTCACCGGAAATAGATTCCATCCCAAGAAACCACTTTATTTGCTTATCCGTAAGAACCAGCTCCTCAGCCATCTACATTTTGTCGTGAGATTGCAGCAATTCAGTCCCATCTTCCAGCTCCACTTCTAGTTCTCTTGCTATTTCCACCACATCTGCAGTTCCTTCCTCTGATGCAGTGTTGAACCCTTCCACGTCATCCATGAGGGTTGGAATCAACTTCTTCCAGACTCCTGTTAATGTAGATATTTTGACCTCCTCCCATGAATCACAAATATTCTTAATGGCATCTAGAATGGTGGATCCTTTTTAGAAGGTTTTCAGTTGACTTTGCCCAGATAAATCAGAGGAATCATTATCTATGGCAGCTACAGCCTTACAAAATGTATTTCTTAAATAACAAGTCTTGCAAGTCAGAATTACCCCCTGATCCATGGGCTGCAGAATGGATGTTGTGTTAGCAGGCATGAAAACAACATTAATCTCCTTGTACATCTCCATCAGAGCTTTTGAGTGACCAGGTGCATTGTCAATGAGCAGTAACAGTTTGAAAGGAATCTTTTTCTGAGCAGTAGCTATCAACGGTGAGCTTAAAATATTCAGTTAACCATGCTATAAACAGATGTGCTGTTATCCAGGCTTTGTTGTTCCATTTATAGAGCACAGGCAGAGTAGATTTAGCATAAATCTTGAGAGCCCTAGAATTTTCAGAATGGTAAATGAGCATTGGCTTCAACTTAAAGTCACTGGCTGCATTAGCCCCTAACAAGAGAATAAGCCTGTCCTTTGAAGTTTTGAAGCCATATTAACAATAAAGCTGTTTTGCTTTCTTATCATTTATGTGTTCACAGAAGTAGCACTTTTAATATCCTTCAGAGATTTTTCCTTTGCACTCATGATTTGGCTACTGGTGCACACGGCCTAGCTTTCAGCCTGCCTCAGCTTTCAATATGCCTTCCTCACTAAGCTCAATTATTTCCAGCTTTTGATTTAAAGTGTAAGATGTGTTACTCTTCCTTTCACTTGAACACCTAGAGGCCATTGTAGGGTTAATAATTGGCCTAATTTCAATGTAAATGTGTCTCAGGGAATATGGAGGCCAACAGAGAGGGAGAGAGATGGGAGAAGGGCGGAGCAGTCAGAACACACAACATTTTTCCATTAAGTTGACCTTCTTTTCTGGGTGTGGTTTGTGGTACCCCAAAACAATTATAATAAAAACACAAAAGATCACAGATCACCGTAACAGACGTAATAATAATGGAAAAGTCTGAAATATTCCAAGAATTACCAAAATGTGACCCAGAGACAAACTGAGCACATGCCATTGGAAAAATGGCTCCAATTAGCACAGGGTTGCCATGAACCTTCAATTTGTAAAAGACGCAATATCTGCAAAGAGTAATAAAATAAAGTGTGCCTGTAACTTTTCTTTTAGTTTATATATTATTTTAAATATCACAGTACATCAAATCCAAACATAATAGCTGATCCTTGATTGAACTCTGGACTTTAAAAAAAAAAAACCACATTTCGGGGACAATTGAGGCCAATATATTAGATAAAATTATCATCAATGTCAAACTTCTTGGGTGTGATAATGGATTATGGTTGTGTAAAAGAACATCCTTACTCTTTGGGAATGTATGCTAAGTATTTAGGGATAGAGCATTCTAATATCTGCAACTAAGTTTATTTATTTTAATTTTTTTTATTTATTTTTTGAAATGGAGTCTCGCTTTATTGCCCAGGCTGGAGTGCAGTGTTGCGATCTTGGCTCACTGCAACCTCCACCTCCCGGGTTCAAGCTATTCTCCTGTCCCATCCTCCTGAGTAGCTGGGATTACAGAAACATGCCACCACGTCTGGCTAATTTTTGTATTTTTAGTAGAGAAAAATTGGTGAATCTAAGTGAAGGATCTCTAGATTCTCCTTGTACTTCTATTTCCAATTTTTCTGTAAGATTGAAATATTTTAATATAAGCAGTTGTCTAGAACAATGTAAACAGGGTCATACATTTGTTTTAGATTATGGATGTGGGGATTCTGATTGTAGCCATCCCCCAGCTTCCCCAGAAGGTGCCTCCTCGTGCTCCCACTTTCTAACCATGCCTAGCCAGACAGTCCACCCTAGAGGACCAATAGCATCTCATTCCCTAAATGCAGAAGCCAGAGAAGTGCTAGAACAACCCCAGGTATCCAAGGTCAGGCCACATTTTCCCTGAGAAGCATGGCCTACTCTAGGGCAGGTCCAGAAGGCTGACAATTCCAGACTTTCCCTACTTTGAAAAAACAGAGAAAACACAGCTCAAATCCGAAGGAGCCCTGAGGATTTAGGCTCCTTCTGGGCCAAATCATACTTGGCTGGTTATGAAACTAGATGAACCAGGCTCCATTTTTGCTCACCTGAACCTAATGTATCATTATCTAGCTGAGCAGCTGGTGAGAGCTACTTCTCCCTGAACCTCAGTTGCTTCATGTGTAAGATACAGGTATATCATCCTAAGATCTTCGTCAGCTTTGACAAACATCCTAGGAACCCATTCTAACTCCTCATTGCCATGTCTCCTCCAGTGCTCTACACTCATGTTGTTTCCCCTTCTTCTTTTGGCTTCAGAATCTGGACATTAATGGGAAGGCCCTAGCCCTAATGATAAAGGCAGTGGTGCCAGAAATGGAGAAACGAGGGTACAGAGAGTGAGAGAGAGCCTGGGTGAGATGGGACCCCACACAGGCTGAGGGCAGTGGTCCACACTGGGAAGACGGTCAGCTCTCTTCTTTTTCCAGGGGTGGTTCAGTGGGGTTCCTGGCCTCTGTAGCAGCCTTCAGGCCACTTCCTGTAAGAACCCTTTTGATTGCCCTTTCCATCCCATCCTCCACTCCACATCTTTCCACCCCTCCTATTACCCAAGGAAGTTTGTGTCCCCTTGTAGAATCACACCACCAAGTCCCTGCCCACAAAATAGATGCCTTGCCTCCACAAACCATAACCTAGGGGAGATTTAGCCACAAGACAGTTCCCTAACTCTGCCCCTCCCTTACAGGAGATCCCTATTGAGCACTGCCCTCTATGTCTAGTTATTAGAACCAAGAATGACCTGGAAACTATGAGTCTAACACATTCTCTTCTTTCTCCAGGGCTTCAGTCCTTACAATGTCAGTAAAACAGCCTTGCTGGGCCTCAACAAGACCTTGGCCATAGAGCTGGCCCCAAGGAACATTAGGGTGAACTGCCTAGCACCTGGACTTATCAAGACTAGCTTCAGCAGGATGGTGAGGAAGGGGAGCTTTGCATCCCACTGGGACCCCTTGAAAGGCATCCATCTTCTTGGACAGGGAAACCCAGTACCTGAGTCCTGAGCTCTCAACCACTCCATTCTCCTTCCCTGGTCTTTTCCATATTCACTCTCTGTACCAGCTGCCCTATACAAGCCACACTCCTATCACACCTTTCCTGAGGTGCAGAGTGGAGACTGAGATATTCACACTCTACTCACACTGTTTCCTCTCTCCTTACATGGATGAGAATTGGAGAGACACAGCAAAATGCATCACTAGAACCTGAAACAAATGAAACAGATGAGGGCAGTGGGGAGAGCTGGGAGCTAGAAAAAAATAGGAAGTGAAAGAGGGAAGTCTCTCTCCCCATCCCTCCTCTCAGTTGCCATGAGGATGGGCAGTTTCTTCCCTTTCTGTTCCTCACTTTCCTCTTCTTAAACATAAAGAGATTTCCCTTCTTCCTGCAGCTCTGGATGGACAAGGAAAAAGAGGAAAGCATGAAAGAAACCCTGCGGATAAGAAGGTAAACTGTCATACGGGCAAGGGCACTAAGAGACATGAAGATGGGAAGGTCTGGTCCCTAGCAGCCCACAGCCCGCTGTCTCAGTCCCACAGATAACACAGGCAGGCTCTCCTCTGCCTCACAGACCACGAATTCATAAACACTATCACTACAGTGACCTGAGCAAGAAGTCAGCTTCCCTTTCCAAAGGTAAACACAGAGACATCGGGGTTTCAGCAGTGCAGAGCTCTCGGAGAAGCCCTGAGTCCTCTCTCCACCTGGGGGATTGCCTCCACCTCTGAGCATCCATGGAGACCAGGGACTATAACCAAAACCATGCTTTTTTAGTCCCCTTGAATAATGACACATGTTTACAAAACTCAGGTTGATGATCTACAATCCAAATGAAAAGAATGAAGAGTTTTACTAAGCCCCAAACTCCCCTTGCCTAAGGAGTTACTTTCTTCCCCAGTGAGCTGGGTGAACTGTTCAAGCACCTTTGTCGGGCTCCCTTTCCTCTAAGTTCCCTGCCTCTCTCTACCTTCTGGCTTCTGGGCACTATCTAGTTTCTCCATCTTGTCCCTCAAGGACAAATGCCAGCAATGCCTAATTCCGTACTGGTCCAGACATCCCAAATCTTCCCAAAGCCATTCTGATGTCAGGCATGAGCTACAGGCCTAGTTCATAACTCATTAATAAGTCAGGGGATTGTCAACCTAGAGCTCCAGTGAATGATCTAGCCCATGTAGCTCAATACTGGATGCACATTAGAATCACCTGGGGAGCTTTTTAAACTGCAGGTGCTCAGGCCCCACCCACTCCCAAAGATTCTTTTTTAATTGGTCCAAGGTAGGACTTGACCATCTAGGGTTTTGTTTTTCTTTGTCTTTTCTTTTCTTTTTTTGTTTAAGCCTCTCAAATGATTGCAAGGTACAGCTAGAATGGAGAAGCATTAATTCAGCCCTTCTAGGTTTGAGTTACTCTGCCCACCTCTAGAGCATTCTATGGCAGGCAGATTAAAGTGTCTCCTAACTATGCAGTCACTGATAAAATAAGAATTAGCACATTCTCACCAAATGATCCTGACTTTAAGGGACAAGTATAGATTCCTGAAAAAATTGTCTCTAAGTTGAACCTGTACAAATGGAATCATTTTAAACACACCATTTACTGTCACACAGACTCCCTGATACTTTAGTGTGTGCACATGTGAAACCATTTTTTTGAAGTATGAAATAATTACTATTTTAC
The DNA here is from genome assembly GCF_000001405.40 of Homo sapiens. NCBI lineage: Eukaryota > Metazoa > Chordata > Mammalia > Primates > Hominidae > Homo > Homo sapiens. The sequence continues at coordinate 351,549 of NW_018654722.1, forward strand.
CTGTATAACTTTGGATTTTGGTGTCCTGAGCTCTCTAAAAAACAGTGTCTCTATAGTATTTGAATATTATGGGTAATGGTTTTTGCAGAGTACAGTATGCTTATACTAAATTATAACAGCATATCCTCATGGTAACCCTATTTGATAGGCGGAAAGTTTGTACACTGATCCTGAAAAGTTATCTGATAATTCTTGATTAAGCAAATTTCATTCCCCGTGTCCCAGGTGAGGGAGGCAGACCTGTTTGATTTTTACTCCCTTCCTTGCTTCCCCTATTCCCCAGGTTAGGCGAGCCAGAGGATTCTCTTGGCATCGTGTCTTTCCTGTGCTCTGAAGATGCCAGCTACCTCACTGGGGAAACAGTGATGGTGGGTGGAGGAACCCCGTCCCGCCTCTGAGGACCCGGAGACAGCCCACAGGCCAGAGTTGGGCTCTAGCTCCTGGTGCTGTTCCTGCATTCACCCACTGGCCTTTCCCACCTCTGCTCACCTTACTGTTCACCTCATCAAATCAGTTCTGCCCTGTGAAAAGATCCAGCCTTCCCTGCCGTCAAGGTGGTGTCTTACTCGGGATTCCTGCTGTTGTTGTGGCCTTGGGTAAAGGCCTCCCCTGAGAACACAGGACAGGCCTGCTGACAAGGCTGAGTCTACCTTGGCAAAGACCAAGATATTTTTTGCCCAGGCCACTGGGGAATTTGAGGGGAGATGAGAGAGAAGGAAGCTGGAGTGGAAGGAGCAGAGTTGCAAATTAACAACTTGCAAATGAGGTGCAAATAAAATGCAGATGATTGCGCGGCTTTGAATCGAATCGACGTTTTCTCAGTGCGGGGTGCTTAGCTGAGCAGAGAGCAGAAGTCTGGCCAGGCTGGATCTCTGGATCCCCCAGCCCTCCTCCCTGTCTCCAGGACCTGAGCGTGATGTTCAGGGGTGGAGGTGTCTGCAGAGCTGCCAACTGGAAGGAAGGTGGGACAGGAACTCCCAGGACGCCACGGGGATCCCCGAGGCAGGGCGAGTCGGGCGAGGGTGGGGAAGGAGGAACTCTCTAACACCTCCCCGCCCCTCGCCTCCCAGATCCAGCCATGCCCTCTCCCAGCATGGCCCTAGGTCCCGAGTCAGCAAGGACAAGCTGGAGGGGTCCTGAGCCGGTGGGGAATAGAGAAAGGCCCTGCAAGGTGCCCGGGCCCACAAACAAAAGAAATGGCTTCTGCCCACGGGCCCGAGGATTGAGTAGATGGAAAGCGGGGACGCTGCCCCCCGCCCCGAAGGCCCGGACACCGGGCGACGCACACCGGCCAGCTCACGCGGGAGCCAGCGAGAAGGGTCGGCGCGAGCGCGCGCGGGGTCTCACGCGGCTCGGCAGCGCGGAGCGCATGCTCAGTCCGGCAGCTCTCCCTGCTGGGCGGGGGAGCCGGCGCTCCGAGGCGGGGGGAGGAGCGCTCAAGCAGCCGCCCCTGACCGGAGCGGGCTCGGCCGCTGCTGCAGCGCTCAGCGCCCGGGCCCTGCTGAAGCCGGGTCTAGCATGTGCCGCGGCTCCCCGGCGGCGGCGGCGGCTCCTCTGCAGCAGCCTCAGCAGCAGCGGCCGCCATGGCCAAGCCCAGCGTGGAGCTCACCCGCGAGTTGCAAGGTACGAGGCTGCCTCGGTCTCTGGGACGCCCCGTCCGGGAGCATCCCAGACCCAGCGCGTTCCTCCCCGTGGTGCATCCCAGCCCGGTGTCTCACACCCCTCACCCCATGCATCCTGGCTCCAAGGCAGCCCCTGCATTCCAGTCCGGGCATCGCTGTCCCCGGAGCATCCTCCGCTGCCTGCCTCGCCTCACCCGGTCGGGACCTTCCTGTCCCGGAGCCGCCCGTCCCGCCCTTCGGTGACAGGTGCAGTTCCCTGGCGCTCCCTGGGGCTGACTCTCGGCGTTCCTAGCCCACCCTCGGCGAAGCGTCCAGTCTCCCATCCGGAGAGTCCCCGCTTCCCCGCCGGGCGGGGCCAAGCCCGCCCCTCCCTGCGATGGGAGCTGCCCCTGGTCCTGACCGCTGCGTGGCTTAACACCCTCCCTCCTCCCGGCCCCGCCCCGGAACTGGCCCTGAAGAGCCCCTTAGGAGCTGGGCAGCGCCCAGGCCAGTGGGGCAAAGAAAGGAGTCAGGGAAGAGGCCCTGGATTGGAGCTAAAACCAAGAGCAGGAGGGTCTCTGAGGCTCGCCTCCCACAGCCCCGTCCCAGCCTGCTTCCTTCTCGCTACCCACCACCCACACATCAAGGCTTCTCCCGTTTGCATGGTTCTCAGACCTAGCCCAAACCCAGGCCCGGCCACCCAGCACTGCCACAACCCTGACCCCCAGAGACGGGAGCACAGGCTAGCCCACGCAAAGCGCAGGATGCTCGTGGATACTCAGAGGCATGCTGCGCCGTGGCAATCTCCCACACCTGCACACACACACAGCACAATCATTAGACGTGTGTAAACACATCTTCACAGAGATGGCACCCCAGCACACGCGCGTGCACACACACACACACACACTATATCTGGGTGGTTCTGCCAGCAGATGGGTATGGGGCTCATTTAAACATTAATTCTTCTCCCCGCCCAACACACACAGAGGAAGTGTCTGGCTCTGTGCCCCTTCCACAGCATACTCATTCACACTTACCTGTCCCCACCAATGCCACACTCAGGCTCCCTGACATCTCCAGGAGGCATGCACACTCTCATAGTAAAGGCAGACACTCACACCCGGACCACCTAGAATATAGTCAAAGGGACACCCCACACCCCCACACAGTGACTCACTTTGTATGTGTCAATGGCTGTTGTAGTGCATGGGTTGGAAAAATTCTTCACACCCTCAGAAGTGTGAGACACACCCTCCCACAGACAGTCAGCAACCGTCCCCTGACTCAGGGACATCAGGAGCCGGAGTTTTCTCCACACCCTACTCCCTCTCTAATAGGAAGAGAAAAGTCAAAAAAGAGACAGTGTGAAAAGTCACCCAAGAAGGAATGCCCTCTGTCCCTGTCCTCCCTTCTTTGTCTCTCTGTTTCTCTCTTATCCCATTTGACCCTGACCCTGCCTCTATCTGGAGAGCTCTGGGAGGTGGGGGTGGCCAGGGTAAGGTGAAGCTCTGAGCAGGCTCCCACCCCCCCTCAGACAGCATCCGGAGGTGCCTGAGCCAAGGGGCCGTGCTCCAACAACATCATGTGAAGTTGGAGACAAAGCCCAAGAAGTTTGAGGACCGAGTGCTGGTGAGGGCACTGGGCATGTGGGGAGGGAGGAGGTGGCTGGCAAGGGCAGCTGGCCAGTAGAGGGCAGGGAGCCGGGAGGACAGAAGAGACAGAAGTGGGTGGACACTGAGGAGACAAAACCTGGGGGGAGGAGGCAGGGCTGGACTGTGTTGATGTCCAGAAGTCTAGGGTAGGGCATCGGGTTGGGGAGACACTCCAAGAGCAGAGCTGAAGGGCTTAAGGAGGGCAGGGCCACCAAGGCCCAGCAGCTGCCATGAGCTGCCGATTTTTTCCTCTCTCTGTAGGCCCTGACCTCCTGGCGCCTCCACCTCTTCCTCCTTAAAGTCCCGGCCAAGGTGAGTTGGGCTGAGGAGCAGGAGAGCACCTGGCATGCTCCCTACCTCCCAAGCCTGGCAACCCAGGTCCTTACCAGGAGCTGAGCATCTCCATCCCTCCTAGGTGGAGAGCTCCTTCAATGTCCTGGAGATCCGTGCCTTCAACACGCTCAGTCAGAATCAGGTGAGTACCAGGGCTTTGGGCCCCACTACTGGGCCAGCTGGAGGAGGGAGCAGAGAGGAGGGAGTCTGAGGCTCTGACGCTTCGTCTCCCCCAGATCCTGGTGGAGACGGAGCGTGGCATGGTGAGCATGCGACTGCCATCAGCTGAAAGTGTGGACCAGGTGACACGACATGTGAGCTCTGCCCTGTCCAAGGTCTGCCCTGGCCCTGGGTGAGTGGCAAATAAGGGGTCTCTTAAGGCATTAGATGAGAGGGAGAGTTCATCCCTTCCTCCTTCCCCTGGGCCAGGGCTGAGAAGGAGAGCTCTCATGTCCCCACTCCTGGTTTTTCCTGGGATGCAGGAGCTATAACGTGGGAAGAACTGAGAGCCTCTTTCCAGCCCTCTCTGGAATGACTTGTTTCTTTTCCAGGTGTTTGATCCGGCGTGGAAACGCAGACACCCCAGAGGGGCCCCGAGATACATCCCCCAACTCTGAGACTTCCACATCTACCACCCACAGTGTCTGCGGTGAGCAGGGGCAGATGTGAGGAAAGTAGGCGCTCCACCATCTTGCCCCATGATCAGAGCCCTTTGTGCACAGGGTGTTGCCTGGGCGGGCGGGCTTTGCCTGCCTGAAGGACTCCCAGCTCCCAGACCTCAGGAAGTTCATGGCATAGCAAGAACCAAGAGCACTGGCACATAAAGTGACCTTGACTGTTCTTGAACCCCAAGCCTATTCCCCATCTCCTTACCCTCATGGAATCAGCCTATCTCCTGCCCCACAGGTGGCTTCTCTGAGACCTACGCTGCTCTGTGTGACTACAATGGGCTACACTGCCGTGAGGAGGTTCAATGGGTATGTTGGGCAGGGACCCCATAGGGAACAGGTGGGACCTGGAGGGAAGGGGCTAAGAAGGAAGTGGGGAGCAGGTGTGAGCCAGTTCCACCTCTCCAAGGATGTGGACACCATCTACCATGCTGAAGATAACCGGGAGTTCAATCTTTTGGATTTCAGCCACTTGGAGAGCCGGTAAGCAGATGGGGCAGAGACTCCACCCTCAAATTCCCAAATTCAGCCCAACCCCAGCCCTTCCCAGGAGTGCCCTTCTGGTCCCACAGCCCCAGCTCTATCTCCCCAACTCCATCCCATCCCCATCTACCCATTTAGGCCTTCCCCAGCCCAACCACCCTATCCTTGGTCTCTTCTTTTCTGACCCAACCACCTGCTCACCACTTTCCTGCCCCCTTCCATATCCCCACAGAGACTTGGCCCTAATGGTAGCAGCCCTGGCCTACAACCAGTGGTTCACCAAACTCTACTGCAAGGACTTGCGGCTGGTAGGAACTGGGAGGGGCTGGTGAGGTGGGAGAAGTAGTGCCCCCCTTGGCCCCTGATCACAAGACCCCCCTCTGTCCTCAGGGCTCTGAAGTGCTAGAACAGGTGCTACATACCCTAAGCAAGTCGGGGAGCCTCGAAGAGCTGGTGCTGGACAACGCCGGGCTTAAGACGTGAGGCCAGTCTCCTCCTTGGGCAGTAGTGCACCCTTGATGTAGTTTTAGGGTCCCAGAACCTCAGAGCATGATGCAGGCCTCTGGACTATCTTATCCAGTGCCTCTCTCTACAGAAGAGGAGACCAAGGCCAAAAGAGGGCACAAAGCAAGTCGGAGGTCAAGCTAGAACTCAGACCCAAGCCTCCTGACGCCCAGCTCCATGGCCTTTCCCCAGGATGTTCCATGCCCCGTCCTCTTTTTCCATTAACTACCAAGCAGGGTGGGCTGCTCCAGTCTTGAGGACCCAAAGCTGACCTTTGTCTCAGCACAACTTCCTAAGGTGTGGAATGCCCCCAGGTACTCCGGAGTGGTGACAAGCTCCCTGGCAGGCCCTGAGCTGTTCCCCTGTTGTGGGGGCCTCTGACCATGCAGCCCCAGCCAGGCAGTCAGGTAGAGGAGGAGGGGAAGCCCAGAGGCTGGGACCTGGGGCTCAGCTCAGGACAAATCCTTCCTCCCCTTCCCTGAAGGGACTTTGTCCAGAAGCTGGCCGGGGTGTTTGGGGAGAACGGGAGCTGTGTGCTGCATGCCCTCACTCTGTCCCACAACCCCATCGAGGACAAGGGTGAGCCCCAGCCCTGAATCCTGTCCCCATCCCAATGCAGACCCCTGTCCTAGCCCAGAGCCCAACCAGGTCTGAACAGCAGCTCTCCAGCCTGATTCCAGCCCCTGCCCTGACACCTCCATCCTTGACCCAAGGCCTGTACCCTACTCGAGCCCCCAACCTGACTCTGTGCCACCTGCACCCACTGCCCTGCCCCTCACTGGGCCCGTTTCTCTCTCCACTCCCCAGGTTTTCTCAGTCTGAGCCAGCAGCTCCTCTGCTTCCCCTCTGGCCTCACCAAACTGTGCCTGGCCAAGACTGCCATTTCCCCTCGAGGTACTCGCACCAAGGACCCCTGACCTCTGACCCTACCCTGGTGCTGCCTGGGGTGTTGAGCTCCAGAGGTACACCCACACATTCACACACCACCTCAGGGATGGAAGAGTGAAAAGGAGCCACGTTTGGGGAGAGGGGAAGAGTTATGTGCTGAGGGGAAGAGGTGGGGCTAGGGGCCAACCCAGCCCAGTGCCCGCTGTGCTCAGGGCTCCAGGCACTCGGCCAGACCTTCGGGGCAAACCCAGCATTTGCCAGCTCCCTTCGATACCTGGACCTGAGCAAGAATCCTGGGCTCCTCGCCACGGATGAGGCCAATGTGAGTCCTCAGAACAGCCTCAGCCCCCTGCAGAAAGCATGCTTAAGCTTCAGGAGCTGGGAGGCCTTCTGCCCCATGGCCTCTGGGGGTGGCGAGACTCCATCATCCCTTCCCCTGCAACCCCTCTTCCTTCCTACTCCAGGCCCTCTACAGTTTCCTGGCCCAACCCAACGCCCTGGTGCACCTGGACCTGTCAGGAACTGACTGCGTCATCGACTTGGTGAGGAGTTGGTGATGGGAAGCCAGTCTGAGGTGATTTGGGGAAGACCACAGTGGGCCTCGGTCTCACCCCCTATCCCTGAGTACACAGGCGGGCAGAGCTGTCTAGATGACTTCAGGTTCAGCTGAAGTATAAAGCAATGTCCATAGTTCATACCTGTGTGGCACTTTATCCAGGTCACAAGCTTGTGCTTGCTGTGCTTAAAAGCCAGCCCTTGCTCCCTTCCCCAGCTGTGCACCCTGGCTCCACCAGGGGAATGGATGCTTTTCCTAACTTGAACAAGGCACCTTAGGAGTCAGTGGTGGCCCTGGCTTTACACATCCACTGCCTGTGAGCAGCTTCATGCCCCTGGAAGCCAGGCAGGGAGTAGACCCATGTTCCACAGGGGAGAAAACAGAGACTTCAAGAATCTGAGTGGGCATCTCCAGTGGAGCTCACACAGGCTGACCACAGAGAATGAAGAGCCAGGAACCTCGATGGGGAGGGAGGGGGAGTCCTTTCCTGCCACCCCCTACCCCCTTCCAGCTCCCCTGAGACCCACCATATCTCCCCCCACAGCTTCTCGGTGCCCTGCTCCACGGCTGCTGCTCCCACCTCACCTACCTCAACCTGGCTCGCAACAGCTGCTCCCACAGGTGGGAGAGGAGGGGGAAGGGAGGACAGGGCAAGACATGGCCAACCCCCTCCCTCGCTGACCCCAGGGGTCTCTCCACAGGAAGGGTCGAGAGGCCCCGCCGGCCTTCAAGCAGTTCTTCAGCAGCGCCTACACACTGAGCCACGTCAATCTGTCGGCCACAAAGCTGCCCCTGGAGGCCCTCAGGTCGGGTGGGTGCAGGGTTGGGGGCGCATCCAAGGGAACCACGGGGAGCGGGAAGAGGTAAAGGAGGGCCTGCTGACCTCCCTCCCACAGGGCGCTGCTTCAGGGCCTCTCCCTCAACAGTCACCTCAGTGACCTGCACCTGGATCTCAGCAGCTGCGAGGTGAGCCCTCAGTCCCCAACCCCTCTGCCCGCCTCCGATCCATGTGCATTTCTCAGACCTAAGTCAAACCCTGGCTCCATCTAGCCTCTGTGCTGACCCTCTGCGACCCCCTGACCTGGCCACACCACCACTTTCCCCTCTCAGTCTGGCCTCTTTTCCAGAGGCCATTCATTCTCAGTCTCTAGTATCTCTGCCCTTAAAGCTTTGGGGTGGGAGATACCAGACTTTTCCACCAGAGGGCAGGAGCAAGCTGTCTTAGGAATAGCAGCCTTCCTGGCCGAAGGGAGGGAAGCCAGCTCTAGGGAAGGATCTGGTGTGGGGAAAGAGTCTCCCTGATTTTACACCCAGATCCTGGCATGACTTTGAGTTCTGGTGTGACTACTATATCCTAAGCATTAAAGGTGCCCTACCCCCACCCCAACCCCTGCCTTCCCTACCTCACCTTGTCCCTGCAGCTCCGTTCAGCGGGAGCCCAAGCCTTGCAGGAGCAGCTGGGAGCTGTCACCTGTGTAGGCAGCCTGGATCTGTCAGACAATGGTGAGTAGTGGTTCCTCCCTTCCCTGGGGCCAGGGGAGAACAGGGGCCTGGAGCATGCAGAAGCAGCCCTGATGGGACACCAGTCAGCCTCAGGCCTCCAGGCCAGGCCTCTCCCATCTGCTCACCAGGGTTCGACTCGGACCTCCTGACACTGGTGCCTGCACTTGGCAAGAACAAGTCCCTCAAGCACCTGTTTTTGGGCAAGAACTTCAATGTCAAGGCCAAGTGAGGCCCCCTTTCCATGCCCACAGACCCTCATCCCATCATTCACCCATCCTCTTGGCTCACCGTATTACCTCTGGCCACCTCTCTCCTCCTCCAATAGCATGACCCCAGCCCTTCCCCTCCTACTCTGAGCCCCGCCTCCCTGCAGGACCCTGGAGGAGATCCTCCACAAGCTGGTGCAGCTGATCCAGGAAGAGGACTGTGTGAGTGCCTGGGCCTGGGAGGGGACCTGCAGTCGGAGGAGGCTGTGGGGACTGGGTCCAACCGCCCCTTGCCCACACAGTCCCTGCAGTCACTGTCGGTGGCAGACTCCCGGCTGAAGCTTCGCACCAGCATCCTCATCAATGCCCTGGGCAGCAACACCTGCCTGGCCAAGGTGGATCTGAGCGGCAATGGCATGGAGGACATCGGGGCCAAGATGCTGTCTAAGGCCCTGCAGATAAACTCCTCCCTCAGGTGGGGCCCACACCGGGACCCCCTGACCTGGAGCCCCAGCCCCTCCCCATATGTACATAATCTCCCTGCTTTCCTTGATGCTCTGGACCCCAGCTTCCAGAAGACCCCCAGCCCCAGAACCATCTCTGAGTCAGCCTTATTGCCCCAAGAGGTTTGTGTCCCTGGCCCCTAGTAGGGACCCAGGAGGAGAGGTGCCAAACTGGTGCTTACCCTCCCCCCAGAACTATCCTATGGGATCGGAACAATACATCTGCCCTGGGCTTCCTGGACATCGCAAGGGCCCTGGAGAGGTGAGTAGACCATGGTCCTGCCCTGATCCAAGTCCCCAGCCTCCCTGTGCCTGGATCAGGCCTGAACTACTCTTGCCCCACCCTAGCCCCTTTGACCTATTTGCACAGAAATTTTAGGAAGGGCCATGGAAGACAGAAATGATGAGCAAGGGGGCTGGAGGGCTGCTCACCAACAGAGGAGGCAGGGGCCTCCCATCCTCACCTGTTCCCACCCAGCTGTGCCCCTGTGTCCCACAGCAACCACACGCTGCGCTTCATGTCCTTCCCCGTGAGCGACATCTCCCAAGCCTATCGCAGCGCGCCTGAGCGCACCGAGGACGTCTGGCAGAAGGTGCAGGGTGCTGTCCTAAGCAGGGTGGCACAGCAAGGGGCAGGGGGCAGCCCCCATCCCCAGGCCCTGACCCACCAACCCCATCATCTCCAGATCCAATGGTGCTTAGTGAGGAACAACCACTCCCAGACGTGCCCCCAGGAGCAGGCCTTCAGGTTGCAGCAGGGCCTGGTGACCAGCAGCGCCGAGCAAGTAAACGTTTCCCTCTGGGACACGGGGCATACCCGGGGCATGCAGGGCACAGTGTGATGTGATGGAAAATTGAGTGGGGGAGCATGAAGAGGCACTGCATGGTGCCTATCACTGGACTGAGCATGTGGGGAAGCAAAAAGAGAGGACATGCAGGATATGGGCTTCAAACATATGTGGGCGAACAGCAGGAGTGCACAGGACTCTGGGAGCTCAGCTGGGCATTCAAGAAGGCTGTAGCAATGGGGACCAGGCCAGCCAGAGACATCACCTCCACCACTGTCGGTGCCAGCACCAGTAGCACTGTCTAAGGGGTCCTACCTGCGAAGATGTGGAAGCAGGGGTCCCCTTGACACCCCTGCCACTGTGCTCCAGATGCTGCAGCGGCTGTGTGGACGAGTGCAGGAGGAGGTGCGGGCCCTGAGACTATGCCCCCTGGAGCCTGTGCAGGATGAGCTACTCTACGCTCGGGACCTCATCAAAGATGCCAAGAACTCCCGGGCGGTGAGCCCTCCACAGGCTACCCTTCCCCTGAAGTCTGGAGAACCCAAGAAGGCCGACCATGCTAAGCCATGACAGCCCTGCCCTGTGCATCTGCCTTCCTAGCCCAGGGACCCCAGAGACCTAGCAAGTCCTGGTTCTGGCCTGCTAATCATAACCCCTTCCTTCTCCAGCTGTTTCCCAGCCTCTATGAGCTGGGCCACGTGCTGGCCAATGATGGGCCTGTGCGGCAGAGGCTGGAATCAGTAGCAAGTGAGGTGTCCAAAGCTGTGGACAAGGAGCTGCAGGCAAGTCCTGGAGGAGGGAGGAATCCATGGTGGGAACCTAGTGTTGACTGAGGCCCTAAGCCCAGAGCTAAAGTCAGAGCTGGGAGACTTCTGGAGGGCCAGGAGGACATGCAGAGTTGAGACCACCCACGCTCCCACTGTACCAAGGCATTGCTGCAATATCAGGCTTGGATTTTTTTCTGCTAGCTTTGATGTTGGTCCCTGAACTCTGACCTCCCTGCTCTGGATTTGGATCCTTGGACTGACTGCCCCTGTCTGTATGGTAGGGTGGAAGGAGCACTGACCAGAAAGTGGGGAAGCCTTAGTGTCCAAGGCTCTGCCACTAACAGTTTTGTGACTTAGGCAGGTCCCTCAGTCTCAGCAGGAGGGGCTGGAATAGATAAAGTCTCTTCTGCTGTGGTGCCAGCCCTGATCCTGTCCCCCTTGGGCCTCTGGCCTCCCTTTCCCCCATACTAGGTGATCCTGGAGTCCATGGTCAGCCTGACACAGGAGTTATGCCCTGTGGCCATGCGGGTGGCCGAGGGACACAACAAGATGCTGAGCAATGTGGCGGAGCGTGTCACTGTGCCCCGGAACTTCATCCGAGGGGCACTGCTGGAGCAAGCAGGACAGGACATTCAGAACAAGCTGGAGTGAGAGGCAAAGGGCAGGGCTGGGGCTGAGCTGGATTTGGCCCAGATCACTTAGGGACTTAGGACTGGAGAGCTATCAGCAATGAATAATGAATGGCACAATCTCCATTACAAGGATCAATCTTTAACCAAGTGCAACCTTGCTATTTAGGGTCTGGCTGGTCTTTGCCCTAGAAATCTAAGTGCTGAGCTGGGGTTTAGGAGCCAAGTTTGTGCCCACACAGGTGTACACACACATACCCACACAAATACACCAGGAATGGGATAGCAGGGCCTCCTCGGAGGCATGGACAAAGAAAAGTACCTGAGTTGGGTGCATGGAAGCACTGTCTTCCTCCCAGTTTTCATTGCCCCTAGAGTTCTTTCATTCTGGGTCTGGGTGCCACCACTCACCAAACCAAAGGAAAACTAGTACACATACCTATGAAACAGCTAGGCCCAAGGAAGGGTCTTTCCTACCCTCACAGTAGCAACTAGCAGGGTTTAGTTACTCAGCACCCCAATTACCTAGCTCTGTTCCACTGGGGCTCCAGGGGCCTGACCTAGGGCCCCCTTGCTCCTTCTCCTCGAATTCCTCTTTCCCCACACATAGTTGGGCTGGGGGCTCTGGGGTGGGACTAGACGTGTATTTGTGGAGAAATGAGTGTCAAGGGCTAGGCTGCCTCCTTCAGCAGCCACATGCGCTCCATGGGCAGACAGACCAGGCCAGCTGGCCGTTCTCTCAGGCTTCTGGGAGAGGGAGTGCCTCAGGGGCCATGCGGGGGACTGAGGTGCTAATGTTCTGAGTAGCCCCACCTGTGCCCACAGTGAAGTGAAGCTCTCAGTCGTCACCTACCTAACCAGCTCCATAGTGGATGAGATCCTGCAAGAGCTCTACCATTCCCACAAGAGCCTGGTAAGGCTTCTTCTGCAGCCTGGCCTGGCTCGGGCACGCCCTCCACCCCACATTATCCTGTCTCCCTAATCACCCTCCCCTTCAAGGCCCTGGGAGGTGGGCAGCTTCCATGGAATTCTGTTCACACCTGCCCTTCCCCAGGCCCGGCACCTGACCCAGCTAAGGACGCTGTCAGATCCACCAGGGTGCCCAGGCCAAGGGCAGGATCTGTCCTCCCGGGGCCGAGGCCGGAACCATGACCATGAGGAGACCACAGATGATGAACTTGGGACCAACATTGTGAGCCCCCCGCTCCCTGCTCCTCCTTAATAACCTGGGCCCTGCCCTTAAACCTGCACAACACTGTCCCCTTCCACTGATCTGTACTCCCCTGGCCACCTCACTGTGCCTGGCCTTCTGCCTCCAATCTCAATCCAGCCCAACCTCTTCCCTCATCCCAGTGCCTCAGCCCCCTGAGGAGCGAGGGGCAGGATGGGCTCAAATAAGGTTTCATGAGGAATGGATGGCTCTGGGTGAGGTGCCTGGCCCTGCCACTCGTCTTCATTTCTGCAGGACACCATGGCCATCAAAAAGCAGAAACGCTGCCGCAAGATTCGGCCGGTGTCTGCCTTCATCAGTGAGTCTCCCAGCCTCCGTTCTCATGGACTCCAGACTCCCGCCCTCTGTAGCCCCTCTTTCCCTTGATTTTTTCTCTGTCTCCCCATCCTGCTTTCTCCCCATTCCTCTGCTAGTCCCTCTAATGCTGCTGTCTTTGCAGGCGGGAGCCCTCAGGACATGGAAAGCCAACTGGGGAATCTGGGGATCCCCCCTGGCTGGTTCTCAGGACTTGGGGGCAGCCAGCCCACAGCTAGTGGCTCCTGGGAAGGTCTATCTGAGCTGCCCACTCATGGTTACAAACTAAGGCATCAAACACAAGGGAGGCCCCGCCCCCCCAGGACCACACCTCCAGGACCTGGTCGACCCAGTGTGAGTCCCTAAGGCTTCACAAGAGGATCCCCTTCACTCAGTGACACCAGAGCCAGGAGTTTTACCTTTAGGACCCAAATGCCAGAGACAGTAGCCTTGAGGGATTGGGCAGGAGTCCAGGCATGCCAATGAACAGATGAGGGATTGCCCAGTTTTTATGAGAGCTAGACCTTGTCACAGATAAGAAAGCTCTGTCTGCCGGGCAGTGTCATTCTTATTTTGGTGAAGGATAGAGCCACCAAGAACACCAAGAGCCACCAAGCTTAGGAAACACTAGGTGAGCTGGGCATGGTGGCTCAGGCCTGTAATCCCAGCACTTTGGGAGGCTGAGGCGGGCAGATCACGAGGTCAAGAGATCGAGATCATCCTGGCCAAGATGGTGAAACCCCATCTCCACTAAAAATACAAAAATTAGCCGGGCGTGGTGGCGCCTGCCTGTAATCCCAGCTACTCGGGAGGCTGAGGCAGGAGAACTGCGTGAACCCAGGAGGCGGAGGTTGCAGTGAGCCAAAATCATGCCACTGCACTCCAGCCTGGGTGACAGAGCAAGACTCCGTCTCAAAAAAAAAAAAAAAAAAGAAAAAGAAACACTGGGTGAACTGAAGTCTACATTTCCATAAATGTCCAAGCCCAAAGGGGAATGCTCTGAGTGGATGGGAGGTGGGGCTTCCTGACCTAGATGAGATGTCCCACGGGACTTTCCTCCCAGCAGATGCCAGCACCTGGGACTCGTCAGGAGAATGGGATGGCCACCCGCCTGGATGAAGGGCTGGAGGACTTCTTCAGCCGAAGGGTCCTGGAGGAAAGTTCTAGGTGTGATGCCTAAACACACTCCCATTTTCAGCAGGCCCCAAGGCCCTAGAAGGGCTGCTGTGTCCTCCCAGCTCCCATGGGAGTCTCCATAACAGCAGTGCCCAAAGCCAGTCTCTGTGAGAAATTTCCCCACATTCTCATCCTTCCCCACCCAGCCCTCAGGGCCCATGACCTCTGCGTCTTCCCAGGACAGCTGGGAAGAATGGGGCCAGAGTGAACCACCACAGTGGGGTTGGAGAGCAGGTGTGGATGAGAGGGAGGTGGGGGGCAGCCCTGGGACAGGATACCCATTAGTGGTGAGAGGCCCGGGGGGTAGTGTTCCCTGTCACTGTCCTGCAGACTGCCCAGGGTCTGTCCAGGAGGAGCCAGGTCACTTGGAGAAGCTGAGAGGAGTTGCAGGGGAGGTGCCTGGGAAGAAACATCAGTCTGCGGGAAAGGCTGCTGGAGGATTACAACGGGACAGGAAAGGCAAGGGCATCATCTCCCTGAGAACTAAGTGGAAAGGGCTGCAGTGCAGCAGGGGAGACCAGATGAGAGGAAAGCAGGTTTATCAGACCCAGGATTGAGCTTGCATCTGGCATTTGTTGCTAACTTACCCCGATTCTCCCCAGCTACCCCCGGACTCTGAGGACCGTGCGGCCAGGACTCTCGGAGGCACCGCTGCCTCCACTCCAGAAGAAGAGGCGCCGGGGCCTGTTTCACTTTCGCCGGCCCCGGAGCTTCAAGGGGGACAGGGGGCCGGGGTCCCCTACCACTGGACTCCTCCTCCCTCCACCCCCACCCCCTCCCCCGACTCAGGAGAGCCCCCCTAGCCCAGACCCCCCAAGCCTCGGCAATAACTCCTCTCCCTGCTGGAGCCCAGAGGAGGAGAGCAGCCTCCTCCCTGGATTTGGTGGGGGCCGGGGACCTTCCTTCCGCCGGAAGATGGTAAGTGAGGCAGGGGGTGCTGTGTCTTCCCCTTTTCCTGCCCCACACTTAACCCAGTCTCCTACCCCACCCCAAGCTTAATGGGAGAATGCTAGGACCCAGGGTTCTTGGGAACATTGGTCATTTCAATTCTCCTCTCCTTGAGAGTGGACTAAGACCCAGTGGCCAAGAGCATGCTGGGAGTGCTATATGCGAATGCAGGCGTTGGAAGGACTCTTCAGAGGGTCTCTGCAGGGCTTCCCCGTGGCTAGGGACTCAGTGAGGCAGGGGTCCTCCTGACAACTCCCTCACAGCCTGGGGAGCCCCCTTCGACTGGGAACTGCTAATAAATAAGAGACCTTGTTCTAGGGCACTGAGGGGTCAGAGCCAGGGGAGGGGGGCCCAGCCCCTGGGACAGCACAGCAGCCAAGGGTTCACGGTGTTGCCCTTCCCGGGTTGGAAAGAGCCAAGGGTTGGAGCTTCGATGGGAAACGAGAGGTGAGTGGAGCCTGGGACAACAAACTGTGGGTCCTGAGGGTATCTGTCCACCACCCTCTCCTTCCCACTCCCTCATCCCTGGTGGTTCAGTAGAGAAAGCAGATGCTTTGGCATTAGAAGATGTTAGCTGCTCTTCAGCCCCCACCACACACTTGCCGTGGAGCCCTGGACTGGTCACTTCACCTCCTGAAACCTCTCCTTCTTTACTGTAAAATGAGGGGTTATAAAAATACTTACCTCTAGAGCTCTGTTTCCCAAACAATGGTGACTTGATTATAACCTTTGCGACTGATTTTTACCTGAATTATTACTTACATAGTATTTTTATTTAAATTAACTCACCTTTTTTTAACTTAGGCTAGACCTAGACATTATCTTTAAAATCGCAGGCTTTTTGAATGAGTCGTGTTTTTTTCTACTACATGTAAAATACATATGTAACTATAAAGATGGAAGTATACTCATTTGTGTAAGCCATTTCTTGTGCCCCTGGGGAGGTATGGGTGCCACTCTTTGGGAAACAGTTTTAAGTGTCTAGGGACTAATGACATGAGAATGACATGGAGATGCTAGAGCAGAAGCCCTTTGTCAGCTGCAGTCCTGCCACAGAGGAGACTTTCTTACAACCTGACCCACTGTTCTTTCAGGGCCCAGGCCCAGACCAGGAGGGCAGCACCCAGGCCTGGCAGAAACGGCGCTCTTCAGACGACGCAGGTAAGAACAGTCACATTCAAAGCCCTTTTGGACCCCTCTCTCAGGGGTCAAATTTACCTTTTCCCTTTCTCCTCTCTTTCTCATCCCCTCTCTCTACTCCAGGGCCTGGATCCTGGAAGCCCCCACCACCGCCCCAAAGCACCAAACCAAGCTTCAGCGCCATGCGCAGAGCAGAGGCCACATGGCACATAGGTATGGAAAGCCTCTTTTCAGGCAGCAGTACTGAAAGCCCAGGGTGTGTCCAAAGAAACAGAAGCCCATGGCCCCTGTGCTGGGGAATTTATGGCCAAGGTGGGGCAGTGAGAAGTCAACACAGTGAAAATGTTTAAGGATATTTACAAAGCTATATCCAAAAGAGACAAACAACCCAATCCAAAGAAAGCTTCTACAGAACAAAAGCGGCTTCTCCAGTGTTGGCAAACAGGAGCGATGCTTTGTGGATGGCTCTGGCGAATTCTCCAGGGCAGGTGCAGCCTCTGGTCACCATTGGCACAGTGGCAGCCTCTGTAGACAAGGCTCCTCTCTGCACCTTGCTGGGAAGAGGGTGGGCAAGTCAAACTGCCAGCAAGTACCAGCTGTGCCAGGCCCACCTCAGATTCCAGCCTCCTCCAGAAGTCGTTTATCAACTCACCCTCAGCTCACGCAGAAAGGTGCCCCAAACATGGGCAAGAGCTCGCCTCGGAGGTCAGAAACCTGCAGTATTAGTCCTTCTCAGCCACCCGCGACCTTAAACAAGTCATTTACTTTCTGGCCCCATGACCGGAGGAGTAAAAGGGAGGGGATTATCCCAGGCATGACACTTCCTTTCTGCTGGCTTCAGAGCACCTTCCGCTTAGGGAGCCACTAAAGAAAAGCTGGTCAGCTCAGCATTCGCTCAGTCCAGCAGTTGCCAAAGGCCTGGACCATGACCCTCCAGCAATATTGACATAGACAAAATCTCTCTGTAGATGGAGACACCCCCTCAGCCTCTTTCACTCCCACCACCAGGCTAGGGCGTAAGGGCTGGAAAGAGCTAAGAGCTGAGCGGGCTGGTCTGGCTTGAGCCACATGCTCCCCACTGTCCTATCCCACCCATTCTGCATCTGCCCCTCTCTCCCCTGTAGTGCAGAATCAGGCTAGCCTGAGACTTGGAGTGCCTGTGTCCTTGCCTCCTCCTCCAAGGCCAACCCAGCACTGGGGGCATCTTTGCTGATTTTTTCCATCCCATACACAGGCTAATTAAAGCGCCCCAAAGTAGGGCTCCATCTTTCATTTAGGAAACCGCAATAGTCAGTTGCCCCACTGCACACACACCTCACAGATCCACATGCAGACAACACTTTCCAGTGTCAGAGCCACAGGCTCATGTTGCTTAAAGGCCACTGGGGCGGAGGATGAGTGTGCCAGGGCACCCCTCCATCTAAATCAGACTTTCAGACAGAGTTCTGGGAATGCCAGGCTGCAGCCTTGGCAGAGCCCCCAGGGCACTGCAGCCTGGATGGGCAGCATGCCTGTGGACCCAGCAGGCCCTGGGCCCTGCCCCAGCAGGAAAGGGGTTGGGCACTGCTCTGCAAGAGGGACAGCTAGGCCAGAGTCCCCTCCAGAGGTGATGGCCTCAGGATGATCCTGGGAAACAAGGGCTAAGGAGCGTGGATGTAGAAAGGCATATGAAAGACCGGGTGCGGTGGCTCATGCCTGTAATCCCAACACTTTGGGAGACCGAGGTAGGTGGATCACTAGGTCAAGAGATCGAGACAATCCTGGCCAACACGGTGAAACCCTGTCTCTACTAAAAATACAAAAATTAGCTGGGCGTGGTGGCACGCACCTGTAGTCCCAGTTGTTCGGGAGGCTGAGACAGGAGAATCGCTCAAACCCGAGAGGTGGAGGTTGCAGTGAGCCAAGATTGCACCACTGTACTCCAGCCTGGGTGACAGAGCAAAACTCCATCTCCAAAAAAAAAAAAAGAAAGAAAGAAAGAAAAGAAAAAAAAAAGGCACATGAAAGGCAGAGACATAGGAGCAAGTGGGCTTGGAGGGAGAAAGTCCTGGCCTCCAGGGCTTCAGTGGAGAGAGGAGACAGGGACAGGAGCTATGCAAGAATGCCTTTTCCTGCAGCTTCTCCTCTCTCTCATCCCCAGCTGAAGAGAGTGCCCCCAACCACAGCTGCCAGAGTCCCAGCCCAGCCTCCCAAGATGGGGAAGAGGAGAAGGAGGGGACCCTCTTCCCAGAGAGGACACTTCCAGCTAGGAATGCCAAGGTGAGAGCTGGCAAGATGGGTGGGGGAGGCACTTTGATGAGGCAAAGGGACTAACTGACCCAGCATCTTCCTTCCTCTGCCAGCTACAGGACCCCGCTCTAGCTCCATGGCCTCCCAAGCCAGTGGCTGTGCCCAGGGGCCGCCAGCCTCCCCAGGAGCCAGGGGTCAGGGAGGAGGCTGAGGCTGGAGATGCAGCTCCAGGAGTCAACAAACCCCGGCTGAGGCTGAGCTCACAGCAAGACCAAGAGGAGCCCGAAGTCCAAGGTCTGCCACCCTGGCTGAGTGGGGGGCTCAGGGCACCTCTAGGACTTTGCTGTCCACATCAGGTCCTCTTCCAGAGCATGGAATGAGTGACAACCAGGAGTCACAGCCTGGATGAGCATCCCAGCATGAGCCCCACTCCTGTGTTAGGCCTGCCTTGATTGTTATTTCAGGGCCCCCTGATCCAGGCCGGCGGACTGCCCCCCTGAAGCCCAAGAGGACACGGCGGGCACAGTCCTGTGACAAGCTGGAACCTGATAGAAGACGGCCTCCTGACCCCACAGGTGCTGGTGGTGAGAGGGCAGGTCCCCCCTTCCCACCTATCTGTCCAACATGACACCCCCCGAAGCCCCAACACCAGGTGGCTGGCTGTCCCTGCCCAGGAAACAGGGCTCCCTGGATTTGTCCCCAGCAGGAACCAGTGAGCCAGGAACAGACTGACAACTGCCACAACACCCTCCTCAGCCCTCGACATGTGCCTCGCAAGGACTCAGACCCCTATCCACCCCCAGTCCCCAGGGCCCCCTGCCAGCCCCTGTCCTACAGGGGCAAGACGGCAGGACCAGGCATGGGGGAGCTGGAGGCAGGGACTAGAACAGAGGGAGCCACCTGGAGAGACGGAGGCTGTCAGTGCCTGCCTCGATACCTCTCTCTGCAGAGAGCTTCTGGGTGGGGGCTTATCTCCTCCCCCAGGAGGGTGGATCTCTGTCCCTCTATCCCCAGGGACTCTCTCCCCTCTTGTATAGAATAAAAAAACAAAATCATCGCCTGCCTCGAGTCTCTGCTATCTTCCCCATTCACTGCCTCCACAATCTGCTCTCTTCCCACAAACCCTCAGAGCTTGGCCACAGTGGAGAAAAATGAGAAACATTCCACAGGGATAGACTTGGGGTTCTGAGAGGAGCAGGAGAAAAAAACAGAGAACTGCCGAGGGAAGGGGACTGATAAGTCCCCAAGCCAAGATGGGTGTTATGCCCAGGGTCAGGGCTGAGCTTCCTGGAGAAAGAACCAAAAGGACAGAAACCAACACAAAGTCTGTCCAGCTTTTGGGGGTGTAATGGGATTGGAAGCCCCAGTGTACCAGAGGGACACGGGAGCAGTGTGTGTGTGTGTGTGTGTGTGCATGCATGCACACTAATGGGGGAATTACATGATGTTGTGTCGTCCTGGGGGCACCCTCACTAGTCAGAAGTCTCAATAGCAGAGTGGCTTGCAGGTGAACAGAAGTCTCTGTGGCATGAGGTCAGCAACTAAAGTAGCTGTCTCCCATGGTGTTCTAGCAAATACTATCTTGGCATTCAAGATCCCACTCAAAAGCCCCTTCCTCTGTGAAGTCCTTCCTGATGCCTTCCCCACTCATCCATATTGCACCCTGCTTTAATGTGCTCCCACTGCATCCTGAGCAGGTCCATAACATTGCACCTGTCACGCTTCATTGCGTATGCGTATTGGCTTATCCTCTCTCTGTCTGCCTGTCTTTCTGTTCCATATACATCTGCCTCCCCCAGGGGCAGAGGCTGTGTCTTAATCACCTGTGTAGCCCCAGCACCTGGCACAGTGCCTGACACCCAGGAGATGCTCAATAAATGGCTGCTATATTAATACATGAGCAGCTTAAGGGGATGGAGGGCGAAGGTAAATGCTCTTGCGTACTCATCGCAGACCACAATGTGCCCAAATGTCTTCATGTGTGGTTTGCAGCTCCCCAGGCAACTGCTTACTTCCCTTACTTACTGATTTCACCAGGAATTACTTGTTTTGTTTCCTTAAGATCTGTGCATGGCACAGCCCCTCCCACAAGGGTAAGGCCATATGGGTTGAATCTTGGGGGGTGTTGGGTACATTGTGGCACCGGGAAGAAGCCTTGGGAGTCAGTCCTTCAGCAGATGCCCTCATGTGACCAGGATATGAGGTTGGGTGTCCTTAAGCAATTATGTCCATTTCCTGTGTCTCCTTATAAAATGGTGGCTAGGGAACTGGACATCATTCTCAAAGCTATGACGTTCAGCAAGGTATGTGATGGCTTTTAAGGAGCACGGGAAGATCACATCCTGCTGTATTCCGGGTTAGTTTGAGTGAGTACATGTGTGACAAGGACAGCCCAGTGTTCCTGTATATGTGACTGCAGATATCCTTAGCTAGTGTAACAATGTTGAAAGTGATGTGAGAAGGGGTATGTTTCCCAATGTGTATCCGCCGGGGGCTGTAACTGTCGTGGTGTCACAGTGAGTTTATGTACTGGCGCCTGTGTGTGTCAAGATATGTGTGAGCCTGTGAGTCGTGGGTGCATGTGTCGCCATCATTTCTCTGTTTGAATGTGTATGTGCATGCCACTGCAATGTGCGCATCTCTGCGATTCTGGGTGTGGGTGTAGTGTGAAGGGGAAGATGTGTGTCACTGTGTCTGTGGGGGTCCTGCCTCTAAGCCACCCCCAGCCTGCCCTCCTCCCCCGGTTCTGTGGCTCCCTCCCAGGCTGTGGCCCTGCCCCTTCCCTCTTCTCCCTCCCAATCCATCCACGCGGGGGGAGCTGGTGCTGCGCCCCCCCCCACCCCTCCCCATCCAGGCCCCATAAATAGCAGCAGAGCCGGAGCTGGAGCCGGCGCCAGCGGCTGGAGCAGCAAGGGAGTCAGGGCCAGGGCCAGAGAGCCGGAGAGAGGAGCCCCCGACCGAGAGCCCAGGTGAGCCCACCCTTCCTCCCCAGCCCAGCCCCAGCCCAGCCCAGCTTGGCCCAGTCTCCATAACAACATCTCCTGGAGCCCGCAGAGAGATCCCAGCCCTGCCCAATCCCTTCACCACCACAAGCCCCTGCCTATCTCGGGGACCCCCAAGAACTGGGAGACTTGTGGCTGGAAGGCAGAGACCCCCCTCCCCCAGCCCAGACCCTCCCTCACATATCCAGAAAGGCACACACTGTGGGGAGGTAGATACCCAGCCAGAGAAAGGTCCCACTTCTGAGGGAGGTACAGGAACTGTCACACCCTCCTGGAAACGGACACACGACATGGGGGGACAGACACGGAGGGTGGGGCACTCAGACACACCAATGCACACTCACTCGGGGAAGCATGACATGGGATCAGACAGCCTCACCCTGAGATCTGTACAGACACAGATAGATGGACTGACCGGCCATGAACTCTGGCCGGCATACCCCTGCCTGCTTCAGCCCGAGGCTTGGTACCACTGCTGGGGGAAGGTGGCATGCGTGCATCCCACGGGCAGCATGGAGGGAGCCACGACTCCCCAAAAATCCTGTCGCTAAGAGACGGTGCCAGTGCTGCCAAGAAGTGTGAAAACAGGGGAGGTGGGGAGGGATGTGAGGCTTGTCACAGTTAGAGCTCCTGCCAGGAGCCTGAAGGAGCTTTCAGCAGAGCCCTGGTCCTGCCTCCCAGCCCACCACCACTCCTTTTCCATCAGCTAGCCAGAAGGGGAATGGGGGTAGGGAGTGGATAGGGATAGCCCAGCAGGGGACTTTCCAACCTGTCTCCTGCCCACTGCAGACTCCACTTCTGAGACCCATCCTCTTCAGAACTCCAGAGGCCTCTCCACCCCCTGCCCCACCCCCTTGCCCTAGTTTAGCTCCCTCGTGCCAAGACTGAGTGCAGCGCTGGCACAACACCAGTCGGGAAATAGCAGAAGGTGCTGAGGCGGCAGAAAGTGTAGATCAATCGATGGCCTAGGAGCCAAGACTGCCAGGAACATCCCCACCCCAATCCTTCAGCCCTCTCCAGCCCCATCCACGCATACCTAGGCCAGCAGCACAGGGCTTCTGAGCAGGAGTGGGAGGCTCAGGTCCTCTGCCCTCCCCTGCTCAGAACTCTGGTGAAGCTGAGGAAGCAGGAGGTCCGTGAGGCCCCAGGGTCTAGGGAAGGAGGTTAAGGGGTGGGGCCCAGGGACCCTAGAGGATAGACCCCTCTGCTGGCAGGTGTTCCCTTTCCAGAGTCCAGGCCACCTGCTCTGTCCCCACAGTGACATGTCGGACCCTGAGATGGGATGGGTGCCTGAGCCCCCAACCATGACGCTGGGGGCCTCTCGGGTGGAGCTGCGGGTGTCCTGCCATGGCCTCCTGGACCGGGACACACTCACCAAACCCCACCCCTGCGTGCTGCTCAAGCTCTACTCTGATGAGCAGTGGGTGGAGGTGAGAGCAGCTCAGGTTTCTCCTTAACTAACCTGGGTTAAGCTTGGGAAAGAGGGAGGCTGGGTGGGAGCAGTGAAAGCCTTGCAGGGAAATGTGTGGACTCTGCGGCGCCTTCTCGAGGCCGCTTGGGTACCCTGGAGATGGTGTCCCAGAGGGTCCTGAGATTGACCCAGAGGCAGTGGGGTTGCTCCCAAAGGCCTCATGATAGCCCGGAGGACTGAGAGTCCAGTGGGCAGGCAGCACCCCAAGCTCAGGGATCAGCTTAGGAAGAGAAGAGCTGGTTGCTGGGGACGTGGGGGCCCAAGAAGAGCTGGCATGACTAGGGCAGTCCAGGACAGGGAAAAGTATCCTCGGTTCCCAGACAGCCCTCGCCTCCCTTCAACCACTACCACAGGTAGAGCGCACAGAGGTGCTTCGCTCCTGTTCCAGCCCTGTCTTCTCCCGGGTGCTGGCCCTTGAGTATTTTTTTGAGGAGAAGCAGCCCCTGCAGTTCCACGTGTTCGATGCCGAGGACGGAGCCACCAGCCCCCGAAATGATACCTTCCTCGGCTCTACGGAGTGCACCTTGGGCCAGGTCTGCATTCCCGGCCTCCCCGGCTACCCTACCCTACCTCCATCAGCTTTGCCTCTGGAAGCCAAAAAGAGAGAAAACATGAGCTCTAGAGCTAGTTCAACCCAGCCTTGGCTCCCATCTCTGCCATTCACTAGCTGTGCAGCCTCAGGAAAGATACTTAACCTCTCTGAGTCTTAGTTTTCCTATCTAAAAAATGGAGGAGTGGTCAGAGTGCTTCCCTCTTCAGACTATTGTAAAAATTGAGCCCAACCCTAGCCCAACTCAAAGTGCCAACCCTTGCAGACACTCAGAGCATTTATTATTCCATCCCTTGTACGTGGCCAAGGCAGATGGGGATGTCACAGCTGGGTCTCCCTCCACCTCCATCCCCAGATTGTGTCACAAACCAAGGTCACTAAGCCATTATTGCTGAAGAATGGGAAGACTGCGGGCAAGTCCACCATCACGGTAGGCAAGATCACCTGTACTCACCCTTGGTCCAGGTATTCAATGCCCCTGCATGGACACCTATGGTGACATCATGCCCAGGACCACCCCCACCTAAGGGAAAGGGGATGGGGTGGCCCTTGTGGTAAGGTTAGGGGAGTCCTGCCACTTGTATCCCCCTTGCAGATCGTGGCCGAGGAGGTATCAGGCACAAACGACTATGTGCAACTCACCTTCAGAGCCTACAAGCTGGACAACAAGGTTGGAACCCCAGAGTCCAGGCCCCCAACTCCCCTGTCACTCCTAGGCCTCCCACTCAAGACAGATCCCAGGAGCCCAGGCCTGCTCTCTTCCCAGTGGGAGCCCATCCCCCACCCTCCTTGCAGCTCTCACCAACCTCAAGGGCCCTTTCTCCTGTATCTTCAGGATCTGTTCAGCAAGTCTGACCCTTTCATGGAAATCTATAAGACCAACGAGGACCAAAGTGATCAGCTGGTCTGGAGAACTGAGGTTGGTGCCTGGGGCTATGGGGATGAAGGGAGGGAGAGTAAAGTAAGAAGACACAGACAGGAGCTGACCAGCCACCTGGTGCCTCTCCAAGGTGGTGAAGAACAACCTGAACCCCAGCTGGGAGCCGTTCCGCCTGTCCCTGCATTCCCTATGCAGCTGTGATGTTCACCGACCTCTCAAGGTGAAGTCCCAGCCAAGCCAGCACAGCCTACTTAGAGCAACCAATCTGCTATCTAAGACCTTTCCCCTGCATGTGGCAAGCCTCCCTCCTCTCCCCCAAGTGATAATCACATCCCACTGTGGGATAAATAATAGGTCACAGCTCAATGTTAAACTTCCCACATGTGTGCATTTTATCAGTGGCCAAAGTCCCTAGCAGACTGAGCCAAAGAACAAAGTTCAGCAGGTGGCCTCTCCGGGCAGGCTGAGGATGTCTGTTTGGGCATGGAGACTCTAAGGCCCAAGTCCCCCTACTCCAAGTCCCCGAGTCCCCCTACTCACCGTGAATACCGCAGAGCATCTCCAACCTGACCCCACCCCTCCCCCTGCCTTCTCAGTTCCTGGTGTATGACTATGACTCCAGTGGGAAGCATGACTTCATCGGCGAGTTCACCAGCACTTTCCAGGAGATGCAGGAAGGGACGGCAAACCCTGGGCAGGAGGTGCCACAAATACCCCACCCCCAGAATCCCACCCAGATCCCTGGGAGAATCCTGAGGGTGATGCTGAAGAGACCACCATAGGTGATAGGAAGTGGAGAGGGTGGAAAGCACCTGGGCTCAGCTGAAGGACGGAACCATGGGGGTCTTGCTCTGGGAGGCTCTGCTGGAAGGGAGAAAGAGGGGTCACCTGATGGACTTGTGACCCTGAGCTTGTGGGGTGGGGTCTAGATGCAGTGGGACTGTATCAACCCCAAGTATCGGGACAAGAAGAAGAATTACAAGAGCTCAGGGACGGTAGTGCTGGCCCAGTGCACGGTAAATTTCACTTCCTGCTTCAAGCCTTGCCCCAGCCCCTGCCCCTACCACACTCTCAGGTTCAACCCTTCCCTTGTTTCAAAGACCAGTTTCTCTGCTTCTGGGAACTGGAAACCACCCCCAACTGCAACCCAAAAAACTCTGGCTCCCCCATGTTCCCCACAGAAGCCCTACCCAAGCTCCCTCCTCAAAGGACCACCCCATCCCCTCGCCTTACCCCTCTCCCTACCTCCAGGTGGAGAAGGTGCACACCTTCCTGGATTACATCATGGGTGGCTGCCAGATCAGCTTCACGGTAAAGACTCAGAGGGAGGGCACACAGGCAAGAGGGAGGGGCTGAGTCCATAGTGAAAGGAAGGAGCCCAGAATCTCCACTGCCCCAACTTGGGCTGCTCATGAGCCTTCGCATTGTCAGCTTATGCACCCCCACATCATTATGTGGCTACCTGTAGCCTCCCCACCACTCATCTTAGTCCTCCCTACAGATCCCAGCTCTGGCCTAGGCAATCTGGTGGCTCTCATGGTTGCAGCATGACCTTCTTCCCACCCCCACCCAGGTGGCCATTGACTTCACCGCCTCCAATGGGGACCCGAGGAGCAGCCAGTCCCTGCACTGCCTCAGTCCCCGACAGCCCAACCACTACCTGCAGGCCCTGCGTGCAGTGGGAGGCATCTGCCAGGACTATGACAGGTAGGAGAGAGTGGGGCGGGAGGGAACAGGCAGGGAGGCCTTGCCCAACGGATTCCACAGCTTTTTCTTCTCCCCAGTGATAAGCGGTTCCCAGCTTTTGGCTTTGGGGCTCGAATCCCCCCCAACTTCGAGGTAGGCTAGATGCGAGGGAAAGAAGGAGATGGGGGGCGTGTCAGTCAGGCAGAAAAGGCAGGCCCTCACTGCTCCCGCCTTGCCCTCACAGGTGTCCCATGACTTTGCTATCAACTTTGACCCGGAAAATCCTGAATGTGAAGGTAAAAGGGGAGATTTTCACCTGCCCCGCCTCCCCGCAGACACACTCCACACAGGAGCACAGACTCCACTCCCCAGGGCCCAGCTTCCTGTCCCTTCCACCCATCCCAGGCCTGTCTTTATCAGGTGAGGCTTCCAGGGCCGAGGCCCAGCATCTGCACCCAACTCTCCCTGCCAAGGGACCATCCAACTCTCCCACTGCTTAATGAAGGAACTCGAGGGGAGGGCAGTCCTCAGACCTGGAAGCATTTCCTTGCTTTAAGGAGTGTCAGGAGGGGGCCCTGCTCATTTCTGCCAGCTTCACAACTTCTCTTCACTCACAGAGATCTCAGGGGTCATCGCCTCCTACCGTCGTTGCCTGCCCCAGATCCAGCTCTACGGCCCCACCAATGTGGCCCCCATCATCAACCGTGTGGCTGAGCCGGCCCAGCGGGAGCAGAGCACCGGCCAAGCCACGGTAGGAAGACATGGCGGGCAAACAGGAGCTGTCCCATGTGTCTTTAAGTGGTGCCAGGGCCAGGGTCTGCACCTTGGTGGAAACGGTGTCAACGCCCTTGCACACAAAGCCAACCCTTCCACCCTCTCTGCTTGCCCTCAGAAGTACTCGGTGCTGCTGGTGCTCACTGACGGTGTGGTGAGCGACATGGCTGAGACTCGCACTGCTATCGTGCGTGCCTCCCGCCTGCCCATGTCCATCATCATCGTAGGCGTGGGCAATGCTGACTTCTCTGACATGCGGCTGCTGGATGGCGACGACGGCCCCTTGCGCTGCCCCCGAGGGGTGCCTGCAGCCCGAGACATTGTCCAGTTCGTGCCCTTCCGAGACTTCAAGGATGTGAGTCCCCCGGGCCCCTTCCGGCTGAAGGACTCCTCAGCTTCTCATCCCCCCAAATCTGACCTTCGTCTTCCACCATTTGATGTCCTGCTAAGGACGCGGGAGCCCAGCTGGCCACCCTGAAGCCCCACTTCTCCCTCAGATGACCCTGCCTCCCCTACTCTTCCTCTCACCCCTAACCACATCACTGTCCCCACCCTAGGCTGCCCCCTCTGCACTCGCCAAGTGTGTCCTGGCTGAGGTGCCACGGCAGGTGGTGGAGTACTACGCCAGCCAGGGCATCAGCCCTGGGGCTCCCAGGCCCTGCACACTGGCTACGACTCCCAGCCCTAGCCCGTGACTGCCTCCCTCCGGACCGACACTCCCTCAGCCTCTCAGTGAGTCCTGGGGCTTCCAAAGGAGTGGACACAGGGGGTGCAAAGTGGGGCTTGGTAGAGCCCAACTAGGCTGGGTGTAGTGTAGAAGAGAGTGCTTATGACTCTCCCACCCCCTCCCAGGTGCCTGTCCTGACCCTCGTGACTCCAGTGACCAATGCCTCCACCTCTTGGACCAGGTGTGCCCCCTGGGTTCTGGACGTGAGTGGTGGGTCCTGCTCCTATCTCTCCAAACCCCATACCCTTCAATGCTGTGGCCCCTCAGTGACTTCCTTGGGTGATCCTGACTTTCTAGCCATTAATAAAGAGAACTGCTCCTAGCACCTCAGCCTCTAACCATCATGCCTCAGATGCCCACTGGGCAGCCTGCAGCACCCCCACACACACCATAAGAAATGAGGACCAGCACCTTTCAAAATCTGAGACAGAGCTCCCCAGGCAGGCTGCTGTCTCTGCAGTCTTACCCCAGCTATGTGCCAGTGGGATCTGAGGAGCCCCCTCCCTCACCTCCCAACCCCAGGGGGTCTAGGCACCATGGAGAATAATTACAGGAGATAGGAGGATAATTACGGGCTGTCAGGAGGGCAGGCTGAAGCTTTCTTATAGCTGTCTCCAGAGAGGCCCTGCTGAGTCCCCCAGGAGCTGAACCCCAGCCCCCACACAGCTGTGGGGCGGGCCAAGAGCAGGTGCTGGGGGATACTGAAGGAGGGCAGCAGGTCTGCTAGTGAATTGGGAACATAGTGGAGCATCTAAGGCCTATACAGTCTGGTTTCCCGGGTGTGTCAATGTGTGTGTCTGTTCATGGCCTTAATGGGTCACACTCATGGACTCAGGGATGTGCAGTGCATGAACACACAGATTCACACACTTAACAATCACATCAGCAACAACAGCAAATATCATTACGTAGCATGTGTCAACTTTATGCTAAGTGCTTATTTAAATGCATTTATTCTCAGTAGGTGGTTACCATTATTTTCACCATTTTTCTGACAATCAAGTGAGGCTTGATTTTAACCCACCCATGGTCAAAAAACTGGTAGAACTGCAACTTGAAACAGGGTCTCACTCTGCCACCCAGGCTGGAATGCAGTGGCACGATTATGGCTCACTGCATCCCCGAACTCCTGGGCTCAAGTTATCCTTCCACCTTAGCCTCCTGGGTAGGTGGGACTCCAGGTGCATGCCATTACATCTGAATTTATTTTATTTTATTTTTTTGTAGTGACAGGGTTCTCGCTATGTTGCCCAGGCTGGTCTCAAACTTCCTCCTTGGCCTCCCAAAGTGTTGGGATTACAGGCAGGAACCACTGCGCCCCACCTAAAGCACTACTCTTAATCACCACAGTGTGCAACTTTGTTTTTTTAAGTATACTCAGGTAACCCAGGAGTATCATTTTGAGACCCAGGTATGGTACTGTATATGTGGCCTAGTTGTGTGCTCAGGTGTCTATGGATGGTTCTGTCTGTCTTTGTGTGCCATGCAGGTGAGAAAAGTGAACAAGAAAAGTAGTGGGTCTGAATTACAGCTCCAGGGCAGGCAAGGATAGACACAGGTGAAATTTAGAGTGAGAGAAAAAGAGCTGGGCTCCCGGAAGGACCCTCCCTGCCCCATCCTCTCCCTTCAACAATGAGTGTGGAAGGGGATGAAGAAAGAGAAGCTAAAGGTTCTGTGAGCCCCTCAGAGAGAGAATCCAGAGCCAGAGAGGATGGCCAGTGGCCAATGGTGGGGAAGGGAGAGGAGACGAGAGAAATTCTGAGAGCGATGGAGGAGAGGACTCCCATTGCAGGCTCCTAAGCGGAGGAGGGATGAGCTGGGATAGAGGAGGGGAAAGAGGGAGCAAGAACTGTGATGGGAAGAGAAGAGACAGCTGGGGAGGGGGTGGAGAGAGGGGGTAGAAAGGAAGAGGGACATATGGGAGCCTCTTCCCCCATGCCCGAAAGCTTCTCCCATTTATTATGTCCGGTAGAGGACAGATGACAGTAACTCGTGAGGCGGCTGCTCCCAGCACAACGCCTGTGCTCTGCCCAGAGGCCCCATCTGCCCTCCCCTTAGCCTGCTGAACTGGAGGACTGGGTTACCATGGAAACTGTGAGACCTGGATAGCCACTGACAGGCCGAGCTGGGCCACTGAGGCTTCTGAGTTTGGTGGTGGTGGTGGTGAGAGGGGGAGGATCCATCTGTTCCAATGCCTGCCCCTCCACCCCATTTCCATTGGCTCTCCATAACAGATGTGCCACCCAGCTCCAGGTGGGGACTTCCCTTTTTCTTGCTCTCTCTCTCTCTCCCTCTCTCTCCCTCTCCCACACACAGACACACAAACAGTAGCCTGAAGCAGGGATAAAGAATGAACACTTCTTAAATTGCAAGAACATTTAGCTTATTGCATTAGAATTCTGCCTGGACTTCAAGTTTAATTCACAAAAGCTGCACTCTCTCAGCAAATTGTCATCCCAGGAGAAGTCTCACCTCAGCCCTCAGAGAGGTGGGAGGTGGCAGGAGCACCCTGTGCAGGTCTGGAGGCCCAGACAGCCTGGAGGGAGCTGCCGAGGACCCACGTATGTGCTCACAGAGAAGCCAGGCTTCCTCGCCTGGGCTGTGCATCCCCTGCCTAGGCTGCAGCTGGGAAACTGCAGCAGGATAGGAGGTGCCTTTGGCGAGATTGTCTTGGGGACTTCTTGGGGAGACCACCGGGACTTCCATACTGGGGAGATGCCAGAACTGGAAAGGGAGCAGAAGTCGTCCAATCCACATGAGAATTAGATGAAGTAACACAAGTCCAGGAAGCAACTGATTTGCTCAGGGTGACAGGGGGATCCCATGGAAGAGCTGGGACTAGGACCCAGGTTTCCAGACTTCTGCACACAGCTCTCTCCCAACCCACACCAACAACCCCCAGAGCTCACTCTTCAGGCCTTTGCTGCTCTGAGCCCTGAAGGCCACAGGGTTGGGCAGGGAAAAAGCATCTCGGATAGAGGTCCTAATCTATCTAGTTGTTGGATATTGAAATCTTGAAAATTCTGTAGTGCTAAAATGGGGAGGTTACAAGCTTCAGAATGAAAATACAGCCTCATTGCTAATTACAGCTTTAATGTGTTACAGGTTGAAAACCCTGAATTAAAAACTAAACTGAGGTGGGAGCTGCAACCCTCCTCCACCTCCCATTCACTGTGTCACCACACTTCCACCCCCCAGTGCCTGGCACTGGTCCCTGCAGAGCTCAGCGTGCTAGTCATGTGGGCTGGGTTTCTGTGTTCGTAAGGGGAGGGGACCCCTCTCCAGAAAATGACCAGCATCTAAATTCGGGCATGACTTGAGGACCCAAAAGCTTTGGGGATATTTGCGCGGTCATACAGGGCGTGGCTAGGACCAGAAGGCGCTCTGGTAACGATGCAGAGAACCGTGCAGCCGCCTCCTGGGCGGAGCCACCCCACCCAGCCCCCACTACACCACAAGGTGCTCTGAACGGCTCAGAGGAAGAGGTGGGAGGGGTCCCCGGACCCGGGGCCGCTCGAGGTTAGCCGGTCACAGCGAGCCTTGTAGAGATCGCGCTCCCGGGCCAGGCGGGCCACCTCGGCCCGCAGCGCGTCCAGCTGGGCGGCCAGGCGGGCGCGCTCGGCCTCCAGCCCGCGCCGCTGCTGCAGCCGCTTGGAGCGACAGGCCTGCGCGTAGCCGCGGTTCTTCAGCGTGCGGCGCCTCTGCTTCAGCCGCAGCGCCTCGTCGCGCCCGCAGCCCCGCAGCTGCCGGTTTAGCTCCCGCACAGACATCGAGACCAGCGCCGCGTCGGAAAACCGCTCTGCCAGCTGCGGAGGGAGAATGCAGAAACCGGGTCAGCGCCAGGTCGCACCCGGCTCTGCCCTGAGGGCCCGACGCTACCTGGCTCCGCCCCGGGACAGCCCCGCCCCGGCTCCCACCTTCACCGGAAGGCTCGCCCTTCCACGCAGTCTGTTTCGGTCCAGAGCCCGCCCCAGGCCCCGACGCTCCCCGGGCCCCCCAGCTGACCGTTGCTCCAGTCAGGCGGGCGCCCCACGGTGCAGGGCCGGCCACGGTCAGGCGAGCCCGTCGCGCACCTAAACCCCGGGCTCGTCTCTGGGATCCCCGGCATCCAGCTCCAGGCCCGGGTGTGTCCAGTGGACCCGCACCCAGACAGCCCCCAACCCTCCAACGCGCTGCGTTTCCCTGTCCTGAAGCCTGCAACCCGGTGACCCTCACAGGATTTGGATTACATCCTAATGCCCGCAACACCCCCATCTGTGTCTGTAATTAATAGGATGAGTCCCAATCCTTCCTGAGAAGGTTGGGGGCTGGGAAGCACGAAGTCTTGAAAAGGCCAATCTAAACCAGTCTTAACCCAGCTCCACTCCACACATAACCCTTTCCCTGGTTTCCACACACCATGTATCTGTTTACCCCCCGGAGTCGCCCACTCCCCAGCTCAATTCTTCCCTTTGGATTCTCTGCTAATCTTATCTTCTCCCTGCTCCTCCTGGTTCAGCCTACTCATTTCTCTCCATTTTAAGAAAAGGGGGAGAAGCAGAATGTAGTTTTCTCGATCTGATTGCTTTCAAGGGACCTTCTCCCCTTCTCCTGCCCTCTGTCCCCTGTCCCAGTCCATAACCCCCTCTGGGAGCTCCCCTTCCTCTCTTGGGCAGTCCTCCTTCCTTGCCCTGCCTCCCCTCAGGCCAGCTTGCTGACCACTCACCTGGACGTGCTGGGCTCCTGTCTCCTCTGGGCTCCCTGGGTAGTAGCCATGGGGCCCATCAACAGGGACTGGGCCCTGACCCTGCAGCAGCTCCATGGCCTCTTCAGGACTCAGCCCCAATGCCTCCCCAGCCCCCAGCTGCTGCTGCAGGGTAGCCAGCCAGTACAGCTCCTCCAGGCCTGGCCGGGTGCCCTCGGTTGCCCCCACCATGCCTGGTTCACTGAAGGTGGGTGAAGGAGGCACTGAGCTGTAAGGTGTGGAGCCCAGTGAGGCTGTAGGGGGGCCAGGTCGGCCCTCAGAGGGTTCCCGCTTTACCTCAAACTTCATCAAGTCAAAGTCATTGACATATTCCATGGCCAGGGGGCTGGGGGGCAGGGCCATTCTGGAGCTGGGCTGGGAGGAGTGCACCTGCAAAGAGGAGGAGAGGTCTGGAGCACATGGAGGCCACCTGCCATCCCCTCTTCACCAAGTCCCTCTTCCCTCAAAGCCCAAGTGCCCTGGAGCAAGAGTTTGGGAAAGCCAGAGGGATGGTGCAGCTCTGTTCACTGCAGAGTCCCCACCAGGCTGAAGAGTAACCTTTCAGAGGGCAGGGGCTCCTGACAGGGGACAAGCAGCTGAATTCCTGAAGGAGGAAGAGGACAGCACAGCCTCTCGCCCCACTGATGCCTCAGGATCTATGAAAAGCAAGAGCAGTATGGCAGTGCTCCCAACCCTAGTGCTGAGACATGCCGAGAGGTCTGTCATCTCAAGAGGCATCATTCCATTTCCAAGCCATTTTTTTAAATTGCTTAATTAACTGTGACAAAGTGAGTGTATATTTTAGGACAGTGGGAAGGCATGTATGCTGTGAATTTTAAGAGCCAAGGATAATGTGTTCTTATAGCTCTCTGTCTCTCAAAGCACTCAGGGAAGTGCCTTGCCTATAGAAGACCCTCAGTGTACATTTGTTCTATGGATTAATCAATCAATGAATCCCTTTTGTAGGGGCAAGAGGCTTTATATGGAAAAAAGAAAGGTCCTAGAATTAGTTCTAGAAAGATCAGAATCAACTGGCCACCATCTTTCCTCAAGGCCAGTCTCTCCAAGGGGAACAGACCAAGATTGATTTTCCTTCTATTCAGAACTTGTTACGTTGTGTGAACTTGGCAGATCACCTTCACCCTTCTGACCCGTTTTCCCTTCTGTTCAATGAGGGCAGTTAGACTTTGTAACATATACCAAAGAGTGTTCTCTAGAACACTGATTCTGAACAATACCTATGAAGAGGTCTGTGCTCAGATAACTTTGAGAAATGTTGCCTCCTATCCCTACCTCTTACAGATGCACATAGCACAAGAGCATATTAACCTGAGCAATCCTTTAGTAAACCGTCTGTTCAAGTTCAACAAAAAGTGTCCTAAACTTATGTCACCAAGGAACTCTCCTGTCTGTTATCAATCATGGGGCACATGTTCACCTGAGGAACTTCTGGCTGGGTGACCTCAGATACCCTTCCCAGCCTTGAAGTCCAAGCTCTAGTCCAGCTCCCAATTCCAGTAACTCCCACCCCACCCCCAGAAGGTGCGCGGCATGGAGTGTTCATCCCCAGGGCTTAGACTTCGGCTCCTTCTAGATGCCCCAAGCCTAGGTAGCCTTCTTTCCAACCACATGTCAGACCCCCAGGCTCTACCCAGAGAGGCAAAGAGGAAGACCCAGGCCTCTCTCTTCCTGTTCCAGGGCAGGGTTGCTGCCCTCTCTATGGAACCTGTCACCCTTGAGAGGACAGAGGGGATGGAAACAGACACAGATTAAAGGAACTGGGTCTTGGCAGAAAGGAGATGGTGAGACACTGAGAGAGGTATCCAGAAAGAACTGGATGTACAGAAGGAGTAGTGGGGAAGGTTGTTTATCTTTCTGACGTGATAGCAGTGAGGGACACAGGCCAGTCAGGGTGGGAGTGGAGTAGGGTACCAAGGTGTTAGGATTCTTGAAAACAGACAACAGAGAGCAGGTGTTAAAGAGGGGGTTCTAGGTGAGCGGCCTGACACCCAGGTAGGCCCTGGATATACTCACTTCAGAAATGGCCGAGAGGATGTGGTCAGTGCCAGAGCCAGACAGGCACAGCTTCCCAGGAGACTGAAGGCTCCATGGAGCAGGGCCTGGTGCCTCTGCTCAGCTCCAGGGGGCTGTGGGCACAGAGCCCAAAGGGCATTCTTAAAGGGCCAGCTCTCTGAGGTCATCTGTGGTCCTGAGGCCTCCAACCAATAAGGTAAGGAGATCATTTGCATATCTTATTGGCCTGGGGTTGGGGGAAATGGAGAGAGAGGAGAGTACAAGTGTGCTTATTCTCAAAGAAGGAAAGGGAGCATCTTCCCCAACAAAGCTCCTCACTGATGATCCGACTCCCAAGTGCTCAGTTTCCCAGTTCGGACAGAAACATGGGTCTGAACCACCACCCCTCTATGTGAACACAACCCTCAGCCCTAGCCATGCATAGCCTGGGATTGGAAAAAGAGGACCAGACAAACTCCCAGCACCCCCACCTTCCAAGGCCCTGCAGCCCCTCATCTGTCTTTGGAGACTATAAGCTCTCCCACGCCCACTCTCACCGGGCCTTTTGGATCTGTTTCCTATTTTCAAGAATCCTCACATTTCTACCTCTGCCCCATCTTCATGCTGACTGGTCTTATGCCCCTCATAGCCGTCGCATCAGAAAGGAAAGCAACTTTTCCCACAGGGGATCTCCAGGACTTGACCACCATATTTTGTCTCTCCCATTCTTGCTAATCCAGCTTGGGAGAAAGAGTAGGAAAAAAGAGAACAGGGAACTCTGTTCCTTCCTTCTGGGCCTCAAGGGACATTGAAATCTAATCACCACCAGTCCGTCGGAGACACTTTTGTAACTGGCCTCATATGCCCTCTGCTTTCTCTCACCTTTTCCCTGTGTGTGTCTCTGCCCCTCTCTCCTCTCTCACTCATTCTAGTTCCCAGATGGCTGAGGGGTGACCTACATTTTCAGCCTAATCCCCTAACACCTCTTAGAGCTATCATCCCTGAGTAGGAGTGGGAACAGGGATACTAGGAATTATCCAAGGAGATGTTTAAACCTGTCCGAAGCTGTTTAAATAGGGTCTATGGAGTTAAAGGCCACTTCCTACCTTCTGAGGCCACCCAAATACTCCCATGGGGTTAATAGTTCCTCTTTCTCAACACAGAGGCCTGGGTGTCCATCAGACCCCAAAGGTCATCACTTATAAAACTTAACCTGGTCCCAGCCTTATATGTTGGGGAAAAGCTGGCAGATACAGATTATCTAAGAAGGTGGTTTCTGAAGTGTGGTCCCCAGAGCAGCAGCATCCATATCACCTGGGAACTTGCTAGAAATACATGTTACCTGATCTCACCTTAAATCTACTGAGTCAGAAACTCCGGGGGTGGGGCCCAGAAATCTGTGTTTTAAGGCCCTTCCAGCAAGTCTGACATGCTTGAAAGTTTAAAGGCCAGGCACGCCTGTAATCCCAGCATTTTGGGAGGCCAAGGTGGGCGGATCACTTGAGGTCAGGAGTTCAAGACCAGCCTGGCCAACATGGTGAAACCCCATCTCTACTAAAAATACAAAAATTAGCTGGGCATAGTGGCAGGCACCTGTAATGCCAGCTACTCCTACTGAGGCAGGAGAATCACTTGAACCTGGGAGGCGGAGGTTGCAGTGAGCCGAGATCGTGCCCCTGCACTCCAGCTTGGGCAACAGAGAGAGACTCCATCTCAAAAAAAAAAGAAGAGAAAAGAAAGAAAGTTTGAGAACTGCACAGAATGCCTGCAGTCTACCCAGCTTCCCTGGGGAGGCATGTATATATGTCTGTCTGTGCATGTGTATGTGGTCTCTCCTACCATGCTTTCCATACACATATTGGAAAACCTAGATCAGATGACATCACTCTCTTCCCACACCTGGGTTTCTGTTTTAAGGAGCAGAAACCATCGTCACCATTCAAGCTTCTCTGTGTGACTGCCTGGATCTACTGCTGTTTTCTCAAAAGAATAAAAAAGCCTAAGGCCTAGGAACCAACCACAAAATGGGAATGAGGATCATGGAGAGGCAGGACCCCACACACATGCCCATGGAATGTAGCTCTCCAAAGTGGACACCCAGGAAAGAGACTCTACAATTTCCCTGGTTGAAGAAGGAATGGGAAGTGTTGAGTGCAGCCCCTTTTTCATGCCTGCTCTGGCCTGGCCAGACACTTGCCCCCAACCAGCAGCTGTCAGGTCTGCACTGATCCTCTTGTTTACTGGAGGGCTCAAAGGAGAGGTGGGAGGGCTAAGCTGCTAACGGGCTAAGGGAGTCAGACTAAACAAGCTCAGGCGAGTTGAGCTGCTTGGGGCTCAGACCAGGCACCACTAAACCAGGGAAAGGAGCTGGGGGAGTGAGGGTTGGGCCCAGTCTGGGCCAGAGGAAAGGACCAAGGGCACAGAGAGGAGAGTCTGTGGCAGTCAGTGGGGACCCAGAAAGCAGAGCCCATCTCCCATATCCACTGGAGACTGAGAAATGAATACTGAGACTAATGGGCTCAAGGACATCTAGGGATGAAAAAGATGAAGCCAGTGTGACTCCAGGAATAATAGAACAGAGGAAGGAGACTAAGGAGGCAGTAGGTGTAGATGTGAGATAGAGGACAGGACAAGTCAGGGTCTCCATGGGGATTTGGATTAAAGGAGACAGAAAGATGTAGGCACATGGACGAGATGGATAAAGAAAGGAAGTCTTCCAGGAGAGGACCAAGAAGGGAGTAGGGGACAACAAGGACTAGAACAGTAAGAGTGGTAGAAGGAAGGGACAGGACATAAGATTGGGGACCAAGACCTAGACACCAATACAAAGAAATAGACACATAGGCCACAGAGGAAGAGCAGTGGCCAAAGGACAGAAAGGTAGCAAGATATGGATGGAGTGATATTGGACCATGGGGAAAGAGGGGCAGGCAGGCAAAGGGCCTGCAGGAGTGGGGTAGAAAATGAAGAGGAAGGAGAGAAAATGAGACAGTCAGCATTCCAGGATGCTACCTCCTCTCCTCTGTCCTGCACTCTCATTTTTGGAACCCTGAAAGACTGGTTCTCATTCCTACTTCTGGCTCATGGTATCTAGATCTTCAGTAATAGATCCAAATCCTCAACCTCTTCTTGGTGTACCTCCTACATTCTTTTGAAAAATGCATATTAAACACCTATTCTGCACCACATCCTGAGTAAGGCATTAGCGACCCCTCAGTAACTTACACTAATACCAGCCCTGACTTCAAGAAACTTACAGACTGATGAAACAGAGAAACATCAAATTATTGCCCTTTGGCTGGGTGCAGAGGCTCATGCCTGTAATCCTAGCACTTTGGAAGGCCAAGATGGGTGGATCGCTTGAGCCCAGAAGTTCGACACCAGCCTGGGCAACATGGCAAAACCCTGTCTCTACTAAAAATACAAAAACTGAGGTGGGAGGATCAGGAGCCTGGGGAGGATGAGGGTGCAGTGGGCCATGATGGTGCCACTGCACTCTAGCTTTGGAGACAGAAAGAAACCCTGTCTCAAAAAAAAAATAATAAATAAATTATTGTCCTTAGGCCCAGGCAGGAGTGGCCCCTGCCCTGGGCCCTGTGCTTTAGAAGGCTCCACTCTGGCCTCCTCTGGCTATGTCCCACCACATGGGTGAGGAGTCCAACTATCCTCTGCCCATACCTTAATCCTCTCAGGACCACACTCCAGATAGCTAAGCATTCCCTGTCCAAAAGGCCCAAGCCCACTCCTAGGGCCCACGTGAACCTCTTCCCTGGGTTTGCCCTCCCACGGCTGGGCCACATGACTGGTTCACACATTCTGAGGTCAAAGGGTAGACAAGGGGTAGCTGCTTGCAGGAGACTGTGGACAGACTTGGGATGGCCTGATGGGAGGTCCACATGGTTCCACACAAGGCCCCTTGCAGTCCAAGATGGTGTCAGGGGTAGGAGGCAAAGTGGGCCCAGCTGAGGGCCAGTGGCCAAAACTACATCCCCCTACACCATCACATTCTGGTGCAGAACCCTGAGGATTCCAAATAAAATACAAATCTGAACCTGGCCTTCCAGGCCATTGTGAAGTATGTATTTGTCAATATATTTGTCAAGGTAGAAGAACAGAATATATTTTGTGTAACAGTTTGTTAGCCTGAATTATACTTTTTTTTTTTTTTTTTTGAGATAGCTCTGTCGCCCTGGCTGGAGTGCAGTGGTGTGATCTCGGCTTACTGCAACCTCTGTCTCCTGGGTTCAAGTGATTCTCCTGGCTCAGCCTATCAAGTAGCAGACATGCACCACCATGCCTGGCTAATTTTTTTTTTTTTTTTTTTTTTCACAGAGTCTTGCTCTGTCCCCCAGGCTGGAGGGCAGTGGCGCGATCTTGGCTGACGGCAAGCTCCGCCTCCCAGGTTCATGCCATTCTCCTGCCTCAGACTCCGGCTGGAACTACAGGCACCCGCCACCATGCCTGGCTAATTTTTTTTTTGTATTTTTAGTAGAGATGGGGTTTCACTGGGTTAGCCAAGATGGTCTCGATCTCCTGACCTCGTGATCCGCCCGCCTCGGCCTCCCAAAGTGCTGGGATTACAGGCGTGAGCCACTGCGCCTGGCCTAATTTTTGTATTTTTAGTAGAGACAGGGTTTCATGTTGGCCAGGCTGGTCTTGAACTCCTGACCTCAAATGATCCACCCGCCTCAGCCTCCCAAAGCGCTGGGGTTATAGGCATGAGCCACTGCGCCGACCCTGAGTTATACATTTTAATCTTTTTTTTTTGAGACAGGGTCTCGCTCTGTTACCCAGGCTGGAGTGCAGTGGTGCAATCATAGCTCACTGCAGCCTTGAACTCCTGGGCTCAAGCTATCTCCCACTTTAGTCTCCCAAGCAGTTGGGACTACAGGTGCACACCACCATGCCTGGCTACTTTTTTATTTTTTGTAGAGAAGAAGTCTCACTATGTTGTTCAGGCTGGTCTTAAACTCCTGGGCTCAAGTGATCCTCCAGCCTCTGCCTCCCAAAGTGCTGGGATTACAAGGCATGAGCCACCACACCCAGCCCATTTTAAATATTTAAACACAAGGTTTGAGGGCCTCTATTTGTACTCCTGCCGCAGGTCCTACATATGTTAGAGATGTGTCTACATAAAAACAAACCATTTAAACAGAGATGAATGTGCTAAGAAGAAGAAGGGCAGGGTGCTATGAAATTTTCTTCCACGAAGACATACTCTAATACAAAGCCAGAGGGGATGCATCACAGGGACAGGTTGCCTAAGAAAGTCATGCTAAACCAAGACTGGTCAGGTGAATAAGAAGTGACCCTGCCTGGAGGTGTGGACAGGGTGGGAATTCCAGGCGGCAGAAACAACATATGCAAAGGTTGTGAGGCAGGAAAGATGTAGACATGTTCACAAAACTGAGAAAAGATCCACGTAGCCAGAGAGTAGAAAGCCTGGAAGGTGGGAAGAACAGTGATAGCTGAGGCTGGAGAAGTCAGCAGGGGCCAGATCATGCAGAGCCTGGGAGGTCACATTAAGGGTTTGGGCTTTATTCTAAGAGCAGGGAGAAGCTACTGAAGGGTTTTCAGTAGAGACATGATGTGATCAGATTTGTGTTCGGAAGGATCACGTATGTCAGCACTTTGTGTTTGTGGAGGAAGGCAACAATGAAATAAGAGTCAGATTAGAGGACTAATGCCGTAACCAAGTTGAGCCTGAGGAATATTTGCAACTGGAAGCACACTCTGAGACAGAAACTTGTGTGCAGGTGGTTTACTCGGGGGGGGGGGGGGGGCACGGGGGGGGACTTTCAAAGAAAGAGTAGCAGGACCCAAGAGAGGGAACAGTTGAATGGCACTGCAGTTGTAATCAGCTGAGCCTAAAGAGCTCTGGGGCTGGGATGGACCTTCAGAGTTGTCCCAAACTGAGACAAAGGGCTAGGCCTCTGTACTTTATAACAACCATTCATTGGATACATACTGCCCCCAGGAAGCGGGCATTGCATTTGGTGAGACAGCTCCCTTTGGCCACAGATAGTGCTCAAGGAAGTACTCAGCTGTGAGCTATCAGCAGCCAACACTCAGCAGCTGGAACAATGAGCATCATGATCCTGAAGCGGGAATCTGGGCTACACACCACAGCATCACTACTCGGGCTGTGAGACTTCAGGGATGAACCCAGAGGCCCCAGAGAGGACAATGCAGATCACACTCTGCCCCCTGGTGGTACTCCTTGGACATAGGGCCAGCTGGTGGGCCAGGCTCTCCCGGCAGGGAACTAAAGAAAAGTGTGTGGCAGATAAGGGGAAATGAGCAGTGCAAGGAAATCTGCACGTGAGCCCCTTGCTCCATCTGCCTAAAGCTAGAGAAGAAAGTAATGGTGGGGAAGAAGAATTCAGAAACGTGGCACTCATTCATTCTTTTATTCAACCAACTTTTATTAAGTGCCTGTTATAGGCCAGGTACTGCTGGGAACTAGGAGAAAAACAAGACTGAAATCATCACTCTAGTGAGGATTACAGAGATATAAAAGTAACTACAGTATAGTAAAGTACAAAAATATAGGCATATACATGGGATAGAAGCAACACAGATGAAATAGATGTTCATTCTAAGGGACGAACAGAAAAGGCCTGTGTGTGTGTGTGTGTGTGTGTGTGTGTGTGTGTGTGTGTGTGTGTTAGAGACAGAGTCTCACTGTGTTGCCCAGGCTGGAGTGCAGTGGTGCGATCTCGGCTCACTGCAACCTCCGCCTCCCGGGTTCAAGCGATTCTCCTGCCTCAGCCTCCTGAGTAGCTGGGACTACCGGCGTGCGCCACCACACCAAGCTAATTTTTGTATTTTTAGTAGAGACGGGGTTTCACCATGTTGGCCAGGATGGTGTGTGTTTAATTTGAGTGCAGATGCCCAGAAAAAGTTCACAGAAGTGCTCTGGAAACTTCAGAGTTCAGTACGTAGGAGAAAAGGAGGCAAGTGGGGATGTGGGGGTGACAACATTAGATAAATAGGAGTCAGATTATGAAGGACATAAGATATCATGTGATGGAAAGAGCCTGGAAGAGATTTTAAGCTTAAGAGTGATATGATCTAATTTTTAATGGTAAATCAAGGGGACAGTATAGGATTTATAGGGAGAGGGGGACTTGGTAATTAGAGTCAGAAAGATATGGATTCAGATTCCATTTCTCCTGCTAACCATTTGTGTGACTTTGAGCAAATGACTCTTTTTTTTTTCAATATACACAAAGCAATTTTATTTGTATGTACTTGTGGTAAACAATTAGAACATTTCATTCATAATAGGATAAAAGTATAAAATATTCATGAATAATTTTTTTTCAGAACAGGAATGGAAGTTTATTAAAAAGCTTTAGAGCAGGAATGAAAGAAAGGAAAGTACACTTGGAAGAGGCCCAAGCAGGCATCTTGGAGGTCAAGTGCGGCATTTGACCTTTGATTTAGGGTGTTATATGTTGGCATACTTCTGGGGTCCTGCCTCCCTTTTTCCTTGATTCTTCCCTTAGGGTGACCGAGCAAATGACTCTTTAAGCCCGTGTCCACATATGTAAAATATAGTTGTGAAACAGAATGAGATTATGCATGCAGAGTTGCTGACACAGAGCCTGGCACCTACTGTCCATAGCATAAACATTATTCTTCTCTCTTAACTTTCCAAGTGGATTTGCATGCACAGTGTGGGGAGTGGCTTGGTAGGGAGAGGGGTTGGTGTTTGGAGAGGCAGGAGTCCAAGAAGTGCCTTAGAAGCTATCACCTGAAGCCAGGTGAGAGATAAGCCCTGAACTAAGGCCCTGGCCATGGGGATAGTTGCAGACTTGAGGGCTAATTGAGAAGTACAATTCCAAAGGTCCTGGCATCTGATTAGCTATGCAGGATAAGAATAGTCTAGACTGATTCCCTTTGGGGCAACTGGCCAGATGATGGTGCCATTTGCTGAGGTAGGAAACCATGAGAGCAGGTGCAGGATTATGGAGAAGATGATGACCTTCAGGTCAACCATGCTGCCACCAGTGTGCACACCTTTAGGCCCAAAGGTTGGCCAAGAGGTATGTGTTTGCAGCTGGGTAAGTGTGGACAGAGTTTGGATCTATGAACTGGGGGGAAAGAGATCCAAATACATATACCTGAGGTTGAGTGTAGGCTAGAGCCTGAGGGGGAAGAGACGGGGACCAGTAGCAAGCCCGTGGCTGGAGACCAGCTCTCCTTATCCCACTATGTTCCAGCATAGAACTCCAAGAAATCTGAGAATCAAGACTGTTTCTGTTGCAAGTGGCAGAACTCCAATTAAAATTAGCTTGAGCAAGAGAAGAAATGCATCAATTCCTGTAACTGAAATCAGGAATCCATTGCTCGCCATCTCCCTGCTCTGCTTCCTCTAGGCTGGCTTCTGTCTCAGCCAGGTTCCTGCTTTGCAGTGCCAAGCTAACACTCAGCAGCTCCAGGCTTATATTCTACCAGCTCAGCAACTCAGCAGAAAGAGAGCTAACTTCCAAAGTTTTAGAAAAAGTCCCAGAGAGGGATCTCATGCCCATCCTTGAACATCCTTGATTGCTGTGGCCAGAGTGAGGAACACAAAAGTTGGCTAAGCTGCAAGCCTACCCCCAAGAGGGGTGACATCAGACCCACATGACAATACAGACTGAGGAGATGGTTCCCCAAAAGAAAATCAGGGTGCTATTACCAGAAAAGGCGAGTGGATGCTGAGCAGACACCCATCATAGATATGCTGAGTTTGAGGTGCTATATAGCATTGTGGGTGATATCCAGTGGTCTCAGGTTGGAGAGAGATGTCCCAATGGAGGTATAGCTTGAGAAATCACCTGAGGACTTTATGATGGTAGTTGGGTGGGCAGATGAGTTTCCTCATTGGATTGTGGAGAGAAAGAATGACCAGGCCGGGCGTGGTGGCTCACGCCTGTAAATTCCAGCACTTTGGGAGGCCAAGGCAGGCGGATCACGAGGTCAGGAGTTGGAGACCAGCTTGGCCAGCATGGAGAAACCCCGTCTTTACAAAAAATACAAAAAATCAGCCGAGTGTGGTGGCAGGCGCCTGTAATTCCAGCTACTCTGCAGGTTGAGACAGGAGAATTGCTTGAACCCGGGAGGCGGAGTGTGCAGTGAGCCGAGATCGCGCCACTGCACGCACTCCAGCCTGGGTGACAGAGTAAGACTCCGTCAGGGGAAGAGGGGATGTGCCGGGGGAGGAGAATGACCAGATCAGAGGACCAAGGAAGAGACCCAGGGGTAGAGAGACTCCACCATTTCATGGCAAGGCAGAAAGGAGCCTTGATCAGGAGGAGAAACGGGGATTTAGGAGTTGGGGACTAAGTGGACCTTAGCATTGGGCACTTGGACTACAGAAAGGCCCAGGACTCAGGGTGTCGCGTCCCCAGGAGGAGGAACTGGAAAGGCAATGCCCAACCCCCTAACTTCTAGACGTCTGGCCCCTGTAGTCTCCCGCCCCTGGCCTCGCCCCTCGTTCCTAGCTTGTTTGCCACCTAGTGTCTCTCCCGGGAGCAAGAGTCCTCAAAGTTACATCATGTGCGGCTGGGAGGGCGGTGGCGGATGGGGGGCGGGGCCTCGAAGTCGGGGGCCGAAGAGTGGACCCAGTCCTCCAATGGGAGAGATGGGTTTGGCGGTTTGGAGGCAGGGGTTGGGGCGGCGGCTGGGCTGACCTGGAGCCTGGAGCCCCGGGGCCGAGGGAGCTGGCCTGCCAGCGGGGCGGAGGAAAGCTAGTGCCAGCCCTACCAGGTTCCGCCCCCGCGCCTGCCCCCCTCCTTTTTAAGCGCCTCCCGCCAGCCTCTGCTGTGGCTCGCTTCGCCGCGCTCCCTCCTTCCCCGCCTTCCATACCTCCCCGGCTCCGCTCGGTTCCTGGCCACCCCGCAGCCCCTGCCCAGGTGCCATGGCCGCATTGTACCGCCCTGGCCTGCGGTGAGTGACCCCCGGCCCGGGGCCCACCCGCACCTTCCGCTGCGCTCGCCCCCTCGGGGCTGCCAGTGGCGCTCTCCTGCTCTCAGCCTCCGCCAGGTTTCCCATCCTAGGCGGAGGCGGGCAGGGGCGACTGCTGTGGGTCCAGCCTCCCGCGCCGCGCGTCTCTTGGGAGGGCAGCCGGCCGGTGCTCCTCGTTTCCGCCTGCACCTCCCCTTCTCTGCCTCGCTCGCCTCTGACCGCGCGATCTCTATCTGCCACTCTCAGAACTTCCTCTCTCTCCTCGCTCCTCTCTGCTGAGCCAGGTCTCCGCATATCCTCCTTTCCTTCCCAGATACCTCCCTCGGACCTCTAACGGGCTCTCAGCCAGCGCCCCAGGGTACTTCGAGAGGCAGCAGGGCCCTGGGGACAAGGGTACGTGAGCCCCGGGAGACTAAGCTCAGAGCCCCCTAAAGAAGGTGGAAGGTTAAATATCCATTCCCGGCCTCTCCCGGACTGGAAGGACTGGAACCTGGCGGGAAGTCCAGAGCAGCCCGAGGGACCTGGGCCCAGGGGAGGGAGGCAAGCAAGGTGGGAGGAGGGCGCCAAGTTG
Organism: Homo sapiens; assembly: GCF_000001405.40. Classification (NCBI taxonomy): domain Eukaryota; kingdom Metazoa; phylum Chordata; class Mammalia; order Primates; family Hominidae; genus Homo; species Homo sapiens. The sequence goes on from NW_018654722.1 coordinate 396,002, forward strand.
CCTTCGTTTCTTACATAGCTGGCTTCTTCCTCCGTCCAGGCCTGGAGCCCCCAGGCTCGTCCTGTTTGTCTGCCTGTCCTCTTAGTCTCCTATTTATTCTCTGAGGCCTCTCTTCTCAGCTTTTGTCCCAGAGTCGGAAGTGACCCACATCTGTCGCACAGCCCGTTCCACTTGGGCAGCCCTTGTGGGTGGTCTCTGAAGGAAACGTCCCACTTAGAGGGCTGCAAGAGGGTGTGGGGGCTTCACAAGAGATAACGTGAGCCAGGCTCCAGGGAGAGAGAGGCTGTCCTCAAGACTGTGTGCTTGAAAACTGATGCTCACGGAGAACTTCCCTCTGAGGCAGGAACAGACCCAGGTCCCAGTAGCCCTCCTCCCCTGCCCCTGGGGCCACACTGATCATCTATCCTGCTTTAGCGGAAACCACCCCAGCTTCTACCCCAGACAGACTCAAGCTCCCGTATCCATGCTCTGAGCTTTCTTCCTTCCCCAGGCTAACACCCTCTGAGTCTGAGCTGCCAGCAAGCTGCTGTTCCACCCTCCCACCAACACCAAAGCTCTCTAGGCATGTGGCCTCTAGGAAGAAGAGCCAGGGGAAGCACGGGGTCACGTGGTCCTGGGTGTGGGGGCAGTTTCTGATGGGCGAGGCCTTGATAGAGGAGGAGAGTAACATCCCCTTCATGGTCTTTGCTCTCTCGGGTTTACTCCACCTTGAGTCCAGGCCAATCAGAGCAGACGTTGCTTCTCTGTCTCCCAGGGCCATGAGAGGACAGACAACAGGACGCTGACCTCCTGAGAATTAAGCCCATGAACCCCAGCCAGTGACACTCATTCCCCAGTGGTCAACCTTCCGCAGAGTTCAGAAATACTTACCCGAGGGCAACATTTTATGCAACCATTGTTGGTCCAAGTGGGCAGCAGCAGATCAGGGCCTGGAAGCCCAGCATCCAGTCACCTATTCTCTGTGCAAGAGCCCTCATCTAGAAACCTGGCACTGGAAAGACTGTGACCTTTGCTTGGGGCTTTCATAGTCTTACAGCATACACACCAGAAGGAAAGAATAAACACAGCTGCCATTTTAATTTATAAAAAACTATACTTGAAAATGGAAATAAAATGGATGAGGCTTCAAATACCAGACATATGAAATTGTCACCTGGGCCCAACTTCTTGTCTTGACACTTGGGCCAAAGGCCCCTACTCATTTCTTTTTTTTTTTTTTTTTTTTTTTTTTTTGAGACAGAGTCTTGCTCTGTCGCCCAGGTTGGAGTGCAGTGTCCCGATCTCGGCTCACTGCAACCTCCACCTCCCGGGTTCAAGCGATTCTCCTGCCTCAGCCTCCTGAGTAGCTGGGACTAGAGGCACACGCCACCACATCCGGCTAATTTTTATATTTTTAGTAGATGGGGTTTCACCATGTTGCCCAGTATGGTCTTGATCTCCTGACCTCATGATCCACCTGCCTCAGCCTCCCAAAGTGCTGGGATTACAGGCATGAGCCACCGTGCCCAGCCATCTCCCTACTTATTTCTAAACGTTGATTAAACAGTTAAACATGGGCATGGGCTACACAGGCAGTAACATCAGCATGCCTACATGTATACTTCCACACAGCCAGGCATGTGCCTTTTTTGCTCATTTGGCCATATCTGTCCCTCGCTGAGCAGGAGACACCCTCCTCAAGCCTCATAAAGGCTACAAGATACATGTGTCCTGAACACATCCCACACACCAACTGCAACCTGCTCTTCATGGTCCCTGCATGCAGACATGTTTTAGCAGGCTGCAGCCCAAGCTTTCTGTCTCTCCACCACCTGCCTTGTCCACTCTCGATGACAGCAACTAGCTCATTGCCTCTGTTTCTCCTATAGGCTTAACTGGCATGGGCTGAGCCCCTTGGGCTGGCCATCATGCCGTAGCATCCAGACCCTGCGAGTGCTTAGTGGAGATCTGGGCCAGCTTCCCACTGGCATTCGAGATTTTGTAGAGCACAGTGCCCGCCTGTGCCAACCAGAGGGCATCCACATCTGTGATGGAACTGAGGCTGAGAATACTGCCACACTGACCCTGCTGGAGCAGCAGGGCCTCATCCGAAAGCTCCCCAAGTACAATAACTGGTAAGCCTTGGGCTCCACAACCTGCAGGATAGGTGCACTGAGGCCACTTTGGGTTCACCAAGGCAAAATCAACTTAACTAGAACATCCCAATGGAATGAACAAGAATGAGAGCTTTGGGGTAAACAGACCCAGAAACTGGGATTTGCTTACGCCTATAATCCCAGCACTTTGAGAGGCCAAGGCGGGTGGATCACCAGGTGTCGGGAGTTTGGGACCAGCCTGACCAACATGGAGAAACCCCGTCTCTACTGAAAAAAAAAAAAAAAAATACAAAAATTAGCCCAGCATGGCAGCGCATGCCTGTAATCCCAGCTACTTGGGAGGGTGAGGCAGGAGAATCACTTAAACCCAAGAGGCGGAGGTTGCAGTGAGCCAAGATCGCGTCATTGCACTCCAGCCTGGGCAATAAGAGCGAAACTCTGTCTCAAAAAAAAAAAAGAAAGAAACTGGGATTTTTTTTTTTTTTTGAGATGGAGTCTCACTGTATCACCCAGGCTGGAGTGCAGTGGCATGATTTCAGCTCACAACAACCTCTGCCTCCGGGGAATTGTCTCAAGCAATTCTCCTGCCTCAGCCTCCGGAGTAGCTGGGATTACAAGCATGCGCCACCACACCCAGCTGATTTTTGTATTTTTAGTAGAGACAGGGTTTCACCATGTTGGCCAGGTTGGTCTCAAACTCCTAACCTCAAGTGATCCACCCACCTCAGCCTCCCAAAGTGCTGGGATTACAGGCATGAGCCACTGCGCCCAGCCTAGTTTGTAGTTTGTATTTTATTTTAATGTTAAATGAAGAAGCTGATATAAATAAGATCCTTTGCTTTTTTTTTTTTTCCTCACCAGTTCAGGGAGCTTTTGCCAGGGGCAGAGACCCCCAGAGGGCTGGGACCTTGGGGAACACCCCTTAGATGGGACAAAGCCTGGAGGAAGGGACTGAGATGTGATTGGGTGGGGAAACATAAGGCCAACAGAAGACCTGGAGTCAAAGTTGGACTTGAAAAAGTGGGTCTAGGGACAAGGGAAACCTGCTGGCCACCATCTTCCTGACAATCCCCTCTCCCCCAGCTGGCTGGCCCGCACAGACCCCAAGGATGTGGCACGAGTAGAGAGCAAGACGGTGATTGTAACTCCTTCTCAGCGGGACACGGTACCACTCCCGCCTGGTGGGGCCCGTGGGCAGCTGGGCAACTGGATGTCCCCAGCTGATTTCCAGCGAGCTGTGGATGAGAGGTTTCCAGGCTGCATGCAGGGTAACCAGGGCAGGGGCACAGTGGCAAGGGCACGGAAGATGTGAACAGGTTTGGAACCCTTCATCCAGGGGATGCCTTCCTCCACAGGCCGCACCATGTATGTGCTTCCATTCAGCATGGGTCCTGTGGGCTCCCCGCTGTCCCGCATCGGGGTGCAGCTCACTGACTCAGCCTATGTGGTGGCAAGCATGCGTATTATGACCCGACTGGGGACACCTGTGCTTCAGGCCCTGGGAGATGGTGACTTTGTCAAGTGTCTGCACTCCGTGGGCCAGCCCCTGACAGGACAAGGTAAGCACCTGCTCTGCCCCAAGGGGAACACAGAGGCCTTCTTGTACTCAGAGGAAATCCCAAATCCTACCTCTCCACAGACCCTAAGAACCTGTCCTCTCTGGCAACCTAATTCCCAAGATCCAGAGCAGCAGTCCCAGCAGAGGGATAAGGCTGTGTTTGCAGAGCACTTTGCACTAGGTTGAGAAAAATCCGTGTCCAAGAATAGGGGCATGGAAGCTGATGGTTATTATGAGGTGGGGGGCTTCAGCCACCTCTTGGTGCTGCTACTGCTCCCAAGTGTCTCTCCTGCCAATCCCTGATCCCTCTGGCCCCGACACCCCAGTTCCTGATGCTGCTGCCAGCAGCCCCATGACCCCATTGTCCCCAGGGGAGCCAGTGAGCCAGTGGCCGTGCAACCCAGAGAAAACCCTGATTGGCCACGTGCCCGACCAGCGGGAGATCATCTCCTTCGGCAGCGGCTATGGTGGCAACTCCCTGCTGGGCAAGAAGTGCTTTGCCCTACGCATCGCCTCTCGGCTGGCCCGGGATGAGGGCTGGCTGGCAGAGCACATGCTGGTGAGGGCCTGGTGAGAAGCAGGGCAGCTGCCGGGGACAGGGCAGGGGTGGGGCCTGGCCAGTCTGCCTCAGCCTCACCTCCCTCCTGCCAGGTGCCAGGCTGGTGGGCGGGGACTCTACTTGAAGGCCCAAAGCTTTGGCCTCAGGCTGCTGAATGTTGAGGTTTCCCCTGCCACTAACCCAGGCCTGATGGCAGGGCAATCACTTATATAGTTAATAAACATTGGTCCTCCCTATTAGACCCTAGCTGCCCTTCCCCATGCAGACCATGCCCTGACTTTTGGTGACCTCTTTCTTATTCCCTCTCTCCCCAATGCACAGATCCTGGGCATCACCAGCCCTGCAGGGAAGAAGCGCTATGTGGCAGCCGCCTTCCCTAGTGCCTGTGGCAAGACCAACCTGGCTATGATGCGGCCTGCACTGCCAGGCTGGAAAGTGGAGTGTGTGGGGGATGATATTGCTTGGATGAGGTTTGACAGTGAAGGTGAGGGACTCTCAGATCATACTCTTGGTTCTGGCTCTTGTCAGAGCCTCGGGGTCTCCTCTCTAGTGTTCACAATGACTTTGTCAGTGAGAAAGTTTCCTGAACACCCAACCCTGCTCCATTCCTCTGGCAGCCCAGCCACCCGAGAGACAGCCTTTCCTCATCAGATCTTGGGTCCATCTCAGGACAGGGGTGGGTGGAGCAGGACCTTCTTTGGTCTTACATCTCAAGTTTTCCTTGTTTGGTCCTTCCTTTCTTTCACTTCTCCTAACAGGTCGACTCCGGGCCATCAACCCTGAGAACGGCTTCTTTGGGGTTGCCCCTGGTACCTCTGCCACCACCAATCCCAACGCCATGGCTACAATCCAGAGTAACACTATTTTTACCAATGTGGCTGAGACCAGTGATGGTGGCGTGTACTGGGAGGGCATTGACCAGCCTCTTCCACCTGGTGTTACTGTGACCTCCTGGCTGGGCAAACCCTGGAAACCTGGTATGTGCGGTGGGGAAGGTGTGGCACAGCCTCCAGGCCTCAGCACCTTAATGGTGGAAAAGCTTTCTCCACAACCTCCAACCATCTTCTAGGACTGCCAGGAGGCACAGAAGTCATGAACGTTTGCAGTTTCCAGTCCCAGGCAAAATCTCAGTTCATGTCCCAACTCCACCAGTCACTGGTTTTGTGATCTGGCTAAGTTGCTCAACTTCCCTAAGCTTTAGTTTCCACATCAGTTGAATGAGGGTAGTTGTGATAGTACCTATCTCATGAGATTGTTGGAGGATTAAATAGTGCATAAAAAGGGTTTATCACACTGACAAATACACAGTAAATTCTCAATAATAAATACAGGCTGGATTTTTTTTTAATGAAAGGAAAAGGAAGGACTTTTGAACATTCTTACAGAAGGTATTGGGCTCCAAGCACTATCCATAAAGTTTGGCCCATTAGGAAAAGAGGAAAGCTGCCTCCTCTGCTCCAACTCTCCTCCTGCCACTTGGCTCCCACTGTCCCCTGTATAATAACCACTGTCTAAAGGTCAGTATTGTTACCGTCACCCTTCCCCTGTCCCTCCAAAGCATTCACCCCAATCCTTCCTACAAACAAAATCAGGTCAGTGCTTGAGTCTTTCCCAGAAGCTAGTTTCTGAATCCTGTCATTACCCTGGGCGCCTGGGAGTCCCACCTCTCCCTCAGCCCTGCACTCTGGACCTTCAGTATTCTTTCCATGGCCTTCTGCAGTCAGGCAGTCCAGACACCAAGAGGCAGGGGCAAAGAAGAGCATGGGAGGGGAGGCTGGCCTTGTAGTCACTGAAGCCTATATTCAGGTTTGCCAGGCTGGCCTAGCAGTCACCCTCCTTGCTTCATCTAATCACCCTTTATTTTTACTAACACCATCATTAAGCCCCCCTCAGCCTTCCCACCCAACTGAGAAATCCAAGAAACTTTCATCTTTCCCCACAGGCTAGTTCCCCAACCCTTTCATCATCTCCAGATTTGGGGGCATAACTAGGGCATCTTGTCCCCAGCTTCAATTCCCAGAATAATACCCTGTGTTAGGATTCTGCACTGGGTGCTGAAGAAGGATGGCTCTTATCTGCAATGGCGGGCAGAAGCTGGCGGATGGGAGAGGGTGGGGATTTTGGCCCCGTGGCTTCCCCACTCCCCAGGTCTGACCAGCAACCTCCAGCAGAGAAGGCACCATGTCCACTCAGGGGCCACACAGTGGTGCTTCATACATGTGCCACTGACTTAGTCCCAACCCCCCTCCAGGACACCTGAAGGTGCCAAGTGTGACCTGGGCTCCTGAGGTTATCCCTACCCATGTGATATCCCTATCTCTATTTTTCCAGCCCTATCACTTCATCAGGGTCTAAGCAGGGCAGGGAAATCACCAACATGTTGTTAGCTTTAAAATCAATTCCTTGCAGGGCACAGTGACTCACATCTGTAATCCCAGCACTTTGGGAGGCCGAGGCAGTTGGATCACCTGAGGTCAGGAGTTCGAGACCAGCCTGGCAACATGGCAAAACCCCGTCTCCAATAAAATACAAAAATTAGCCAGGCATGGTGGCTCATGCCTGTAATCCCAGCTACTCAGGAGGCAGGAAAATTGCTTGATCCCAGGAGGCAGAGGTTGCAGTGAGACAAGATCATGCCACTGCACTCCAGCCTGGTGACAGAGTGAGACTCCGTCTCATAACTAAATTAATTAAGTAAATAAAATCAGGCCAGGCGCAGTGGCTCATGCCTGTAATCCTACTACTTTGGGAGGCCAAGGTGGGCAGATCAGTTAAGGTCAGGAGTTTGAAACCAGCCTGGCCAACATGGTGAAACCCCATCTCTATTAAAAATACAAAAAAATCAGCCAGGCATGGTGGTGGGTGCCTGTAATCCCAGCTACTGGGGAGGCTGAGGTAGGAGAATTGTTTGAACCTGGGAGGCGGAGGTTGCAGTAAGCCAAGATTGCACCACTGCACTACAGCCTGGGCAACAGAGCAAGACTCTGCCTCAAAAATAAAAAGATAAAATAAATTCCTATTTGCATTTGGATAACTTAGGAGAACCTGTCTTCCCCGGTTTGCTGACGGAAAGTCAATTGTCTGAAGTACTAAGCTGACATTCTCAGTTTTTGCTTTAGGTTTGGGTATTCATTTAAATAATAATCTCACAAATAATGAAATAGTTTCTGGGGGAAAAATTATTATAACCTTATGCCCATATCTAACCCCATTCCCTTGAGCCCTGGTCAGTGCCAAGTGCCAGTAGCTTGGCACAAACATTAGTGCCCTGCCAAACCCCAATTCCTCTCCCACTCTTTTCTCACATAGCTCAGCTGGCCGCACCTTCATGGCTAAACAACCTGAGCTCTTGGAGATGCCCTGGCTCCCCTCTCTCTGCTCCTTATCACACAAGGTTCTAGGCAGCTGATGAGGCAAAAAAAAAAAAAGAACCCTGCAAGAATGTGTGCCCATGTATGTGTGTGTTGGGGGTCGACATGACCTTGGAAATAATAGTGTTTGTATTTCCTCTGCCAGGTGACAAGGAGCCCTGTGCACATCCCAACTCTCGATTTTGTGCCCCGGCTCGCCAGTGCCCCATCATGGACCCAGCCTGGGAGGCCCCAGAGGGTGTCCCCATTGACGCCATCATCTTTGGTGGCCGCAGACCCAAAGGTAAACAACATATGAGCTCCATGTTCTTGGCAAAAGGGCTATCTCTGTATTAGGGCCTACCTCCCTCCCTCTGATCCAGAGCCTCAGCCTGGATCTCACCTTTCTCCAGAGTTCTCCCCTGGTGAATGCAAACTTGGGAGGAGGCAAAGGGTCTGAAAATGGGATAGCCGAGGTCTTAGGAGAGAGAGTACCAGTCAAGCTCACCAGAAGGGCTGGAGTTAGGGTCCAAAGAAAAGGGCTGCCTGTGACTCTGTTCATTGGTGATCTAGGGGTACCCCTGGTATACGAGGCCTTCAACTGGCGTCATGGGGTGTTTGTGGGCAGCGCCATGCGCTCTGAGTCCACTGCTGCAGCAGAACACAAAGGTGAGCACCCTCACCATTCCTCCCTCTCCTGTGTGTGCACACAGCACGTCCTCTCTCCCTTCCTGAGCCAGACCTTCCTTTTGTCCACCCCTGGAGTCTGATATGGCCCCACCTCTTCCCACTTCTATCTTTTCCCCATCCCTGAAGATATTCAGAACCATAAGCCTTTCACAGCTTCCTCCAACTGGATGCAGGGTGCCCTTCCCTACCCCAGTGAGAAGGAAGATTCCTTACCCATCTTGCTTCCCCCCCAGGGAAGATCATCATGCACGACCCATTTGCCATGCGGCCCTTTTTTGGCTACAACTTCGGGCACTACCTGGAACACTGGCTGAGCATGGAAGGGCGCAAGGGGGCCCAGCTGCCCCGTATCTTCCATGTCAACTGGTTCCGGCGTGACGAGGCAGGGCACTTCCTGTGGCCAGGCTTTGGGGAGAATGCTCGGGTGCTAGACTGGATCTGCCGGCGGTTAGAGGGGGAGGACAGTGCCCGAGAGACACCCATTGGGCTGGTGCCAAAGGAAGGAGCCTTGGATCTCAGCGGCCTCAGAGCTATAGACACCACTCAGCTGTTCTCCCTCCCCAAGGACTTCTGGGAACAGGAGGTTCGTGACATTCGGAGCTACCTGACAGAGCAGGTCAACCAGGATCTGCCCAAAGAGGTGTTGGCTGAGCTTGAGGCCCTGGAGAGACGTGTGCACAAAATGTGACCTGAGGCCCTAGTCTAGCAAGAGGACATAGCACCCTCATCTGGGAATAGGGAAGGCACCTTGCAGAAAATATGAGCAATTTGATATTAACTAACATCTTCAATGTGCCATAGACCTTCCCACAAAGACTGTCCAATAATAAGAGATGCTTATCTATTTTACACAAGATTTGTGCTGTTTTCATTTCCCACCTATCTTCACAGGCTTCCCTCTAACACCTGTCTCACAATCATCTTCTTCCAGCCCCTAGAAGAAGCACAGCCTGGCACAATCAAAGATCTGTTTTACAGGTAGCTCTAGCACTGGGTCACAGACATAGGAATTGCTGGGAGAAGGCACTATCCACTCTATGTCCTGAGTTCTTAAAAAAAAAAAAATGGTGAGGCTGGGTGTGGTGGTTCACGCCTGTAATCCCAGCACTTTGGGAGGCTGAGGCGCACAGATCACGAGGTCAGGGGATTGAGACCATCCGGGCTAACACGGTGAAACCCTATCGCTACTAAAAATACAAAAAAAAAAAAAAAATTAACCGGGAGTGGTGGCGGGCGCCTGTAGTCCTAGCTATTTGGGAAGCTGAGGCAGGAGAATGGTGTGAACCCAGGAGGCAGAGGTTGCAGTAAACCAAGGTCGTGCCACTGCACACTCCAGTCTGGGCAACAGAGCGAAACTCCGTCACAAAAAAAAAAAACAAAACAAAACAAAACAAAAAAAAAACTGAGGGCCTCAGCAAGCTGCTCAGTACAGCCCCCAAGCCTAAAATTCCTGATCTCCCACTTAGATTGCAGAAGCCTCTACAACTCCATTCTCCAGTGAAGTGGCTTCATTGTCAGTTCTCGAATTTGTTCTTCCCCCTGCCTGACCTGGCACTGGGAGCTGCATAGTATTCATGGAAGCATATTCAATATTAGGACAGCTAACAACACTTCTGTGGCACCTTCTTTATGCCAGGCACTGCTGAGACCAGCTCTGTCAAGGAGACCCTAACCCAGCAGTGCTAGAGGAATTAAAAACACGCACACAGAAATATAGAGGTGTGGAGTGGGAAATCAGGGGTCTCACAGCCTTCAGAGCTGACAGCCTCGAACAGAGATTTACCCACGTGTTTATTGACAGCAAGTCAGTGATAAGCATTGTTTTTATAGATTAACTAAAAGTATTCCTTACGGGAAACAAAGGGATGGGCCAAAATGAAGAGATGGGCTCTGGCTGGTTATCTGCAGCAGGAGCATGTCCTTAAGGCACAGATCGCTCATGCTATTGTTTATGGTTTAAGAATACCTTTAAGCGGTTTTCTGCCCAGGGTGGGCCATGTGTTCCTTGCCCTCATTCCGGTGAACCCACAACCTTCCAGTGTGGGTGTCATGGCCATCACAAACATGTCACAGTGCTGCAGAGATTTTGCTTATGGCCAGTTTTGGGGCCAGTTTATGGCCAGATTTTGGGGGCCTATTCCCAACAAGGCAGTGTTCTAAGCACATACCTAACAACCCTTTGGGGGAATTACCATTTTACAGATGAAGTAACAAAGGCACAGAGAGGTCAAGTAATTTGTCCAAAGCTTCACAGTTAGTAAACAATAGAGCTAAGGGTTAAAGTGATAAAACTGCAAAGACATGTCTTTCATAGTAGTATAGACATCTACAACTGCAAGGACCTTAGAAGTCACCTATTCCACCGGGCGCAGTGGCTCATGCCTATAATCCCAGCACTTTGGGAGGCCAAGGAGGGCGGATCACCTGAGGTTGGGAGTTCAAGACCAGCGTGGCCAACACGGTGAAACCCCTTCTCTACAAAAATACAAAAATTAGCTGGGCATGATGGCAGGTGCCTGTAATCCCAGCTATTTAGGACAATCACTTGAACTCAGGAGGCAGAGGTTGCAGTAAGCCTAGATCATGCCATTGCACTCCAGCCTGGGGGACAGAGCAAGACTCTGTCTCAAAAAAATAAAAAAATAAAAAGTCACCTATTCCGTGTTTCTCAAACTTAAAAGTGCCTTTGAATCACCTGGAGATCTTGTTAAAATGCAGATTGTCACTCAGCAAGTCTGTAGTAGCCTCAAGATTTTGTTTTCCTTACAAGCTCCTGGGTAATGCTGATGCTGCCGGTCTGCGAACTACAGTTTAGAGTAGCCTAAATTCATCTGAAATAAACTTTGGAGAGTAATCAGGAAAACAGTGCAATGATCTCACATGAGTCAGGGGCATCAGCTTAGGATAACTTCTGTGCAATCTGGATCAGGCTGAGAGAATGTATAACCTAAGGTGGGTAGTGTGGTAGTCTTTACCCAGAAAAAGGGAACAAACTTCAACAAATAAAATGGAATTATTGGGAACTCCCTCAAAGGAAAAAACTAGAAGAGGAAACACCAAGTGTTCTCATAGGAAATGCCAGTGACCAGCCAGAATGTGTAAAAATCTAAAGGTCAGAGTGGAACAGAGGTTAGAACAAAGTTAGCAGTGGAGTATATTGTACTTTAAAACACAGCCAGCCAGGCGCGGTGGCTCACACTTTGGGAGGCCGAGGTGGGCAGATCACCTGAGGTCAGCAGTTTGAGACCAGCTAGACCAACATGGTGAAACCCCATCTCTACTAAAAATACAAAAATTAGCCAGGCATGGTGGCCCATGCCTGTAATTCCAGCTACTCAGGAAGCTGAGGCGGGAGAATCACTTGAAACTGGGAGGCTGAGGTTGCAGTGAGCTGAGATCACACCACTGCACTCCAGCCTAGGCGACAGAGTGAGACTCTGTCTCAAAAAAAAAATAAATAAATAAATAAATTTAAAAATTTAAAAATAATAATAAAACACAGCCAAATCCTTAGCTTCATAAATAGCATATGATAACTGAATACCGTCAAAAGCAACATAGCACAGGTATTAAACACATAGTAGACTTGAGCCAGAGGTGCCTCTCAGTTGCTTCATCTGTAAAATGGAAATGCCTACACTTTACAGTCTTGTTGGGAAGATTAAAAGAGTCAGTGGAATAAAGCACTCAGAACTATGCCTGGCACCGAATAACCATTTAATACATGTTAGCTATCATCACCTTTCCACTTTATAATGATTAGAGTAGGCCCTGTAAGCGTATATTACATATTGCTGACTCTACAGTTTAAAAGGAACATGAGCAATGTAAATAAAATCTAGGAGAGAAAGAAAATAGATTTAAAAATAAATCCCTCCAGCTAAGAGGCAGGGAACTGGGGTTCCAGGCACCTTTCTGGTATCTTCTAAATGCACAGGGACAAGAAAGTGTTAGCCTTAAAAATTATTTTTATTAATTAGAATAAAATGGGGCTGCATGCCCTTCAGCTCCAGATAACTGATAAAATATAGTTAACACATTATAATCTTTTTATTTTAAAATAAAACACAGATACAGAAGACCATCTAAAACAAAGTTATGGCTGAATAAACTATCATAAAGTGAACACCTTTGGAACACTACCCAGGGAAAGAAACAGAACTTTGCAGACACCAACCCAGCCCCGCCCCGCCCCGACCCTGTTGCCCATCTCTATCATAGCCACCCCTTCCTGCCATAGTGGATACTATGGTGAGTAATAATTACTTCTTTGCATTTTTTTATAGTTTGATCACCTAAATGTAGATCCTTAGACACTATAGTTTAGCTTTGCTCCCATTTAAAATTTTTTTCATATGTCTTTCAAGTCTCTATCAGTCTACAGATTCCCCCTCCATTCCTTTCTTTTCCTTCAATTTACCCATTGACGAATCCAGACTCAGATGTTCAGTGTCTAAATGCATTAACTCACTAGGGATTGCAAAACAGCCATATTTGAGTTGTCATAACATTGCAATAATTTTATAAAATGGACACTTCTATTTCATTACCCTATGGTATTGTTTATATAGAAACAGCAGGATAACTGCTTAATTCTTTATCTTTATTTATCATCTTCAAAAAAATGATTTGATTTCCTATTATCCTTTGAAAAGGTAACCAGTTAGTTACACACAAACATTATGAACTCATGGATTTAAACATACTTAGTGTTTATTAAATTGACCTTATTAAATGTTCAAATTGTCCCACATTTGGCTATGGAAGCTAGGCCAAAAAGAGCTGAGTCCTTTTGACATGATACATACTCCTTGCTTCCCGGCTATCTGGTATAAGTTGCTCCATGCTCATTGTGTTCATTTCCTTCCCCAAACCTGGAATCAGCTTTTTCTCTAAGAAGCTCTGGCTTCTTTCAGGGGGAAATGGCGTTTTAAGACCACAATCTGGATGCTAGGAGTGTTCATTGATACTGGATTGGTCATTGTTTCTAGATCTTTTTGGTGGATAGCGACAGAAGATAAAACCTCATGAACTCATACTGACATGTTCTATTCAAAATCAGGGCTAAAGGGTTTTCTGGAAACATGGTCTTGCTTTGTTGCCCAGGCTGTAATGCAGTAGCGTGATCACAGCTCACTGCAGCCTTGAATTCCTGGGCTCAAATGATCCTCTTGCCTCAGCCTCCCGAGTAGCTACAGGTGTAAGCCACCACACCTGGCTAATTTTTTTTTTTTTTTTAGAGATGGGGTCTCACTATGTTGCCCAGGCTGGTCTTGAACTCCTGGTTTCAAGCAATCCACCTGCCTCAGCCTCTCAAAGTGCTGGGATTACAGGTGTGAGCCACTACCCCGGGCCACTAAAGGGTATTTACTTATATTACATCTATAGCTCCTACCCTACACACAGAAAAATCTGATTCTTACAGACACAAGACATGAGAGTATTAGAACATCCCATAGTTACTTAGTGGCTTTCTAGTCAACACATTTTAAGTCCCTAGGTAAATTATTAGCACACTCTCCATTTCCATCGACACAGAGAATACTATAAGGCAATGTTCAAACACATGTATGAGCATCAGTCACTCCAAACACGGAACTGTCCCAGGAGCTCTGTGTGGTCACCAAGCTGGGAGCTGCAGTAGAGGAGAGGAGGACAGGGTTAGCTAGAGAATGAAAACACTCCTTTCCTTCTCTCCTCAGCAGCCCAGCCTGCCCTCTAGTGGAGATGCTAATGAGCAGGAAACAGGCCAAGACAGGTCAGGCAGGAAGTCAACTAGCTGACATTTACTTAGCAATTACCAGAAATTGTCCTAAAATGGGTGCTGAAGGTAGAAAAACCTCTCTGTGGCTTTAAGTGACTTTAAGTGCAACTGGAGAGAGTAGAGGTTACCCAAATGAAAAGTGCTTCACAAACTGTAACCACGCAACGTACCAAATTTCAAAATCAAGACAGCATAGGCAAAATTTAGTCTATCAAAATGACTTCACCATAATTATTTTTAAAGATATGCCATTTTATTTATTTCAATAGACACACTGTATACCCTAAGATATAAATGCTCTTACACATTTTGAAAAACATTACAGGTCATAGTGAGATAATCAAGTTCATAGGCTTAAAAATCTTTTATATGCTGCCAGGCGTGGTGGCTCACACCTGTAATCCCAGCACTTTGGGAGGCCTAGGTGGTCAGATCATGAGGTCAGGAGATCGAGACCATCCTGGCTAACATGGTGAAACCCCGTCTCTACTAAGAAAAATACAAAAAATTAGCCGGGCATGGTGGCGGGCGCCTGTAGTCCCAGGTACTCGGGAGGCTGAGGCAGGAGAATAGCATGAACCCGGGAGGCGGAGCTTGCAGTGAGCCGAGATCGGTCCACTGCACTCCAGCCTGGGTGACAGAGCAAGACTCCATCTCAAAAAAAAAAAAAAAAAATCTTTTATACGCAAAAAAATTAATCAATGAATCCAGTGATTAATCTTATATTCTTTCCCATGTGATGTGAAGGACTCAATTTTGTCATAAAACCTCAGTTATTTTAACATTTACCATGACTTTTAAATGTTTTACTCAATAATGTACAAGTTCCATATTACAAAAGCTTGAATTAAAAGATTTTATTCAGGTTTAAACTAATTTGTAAGAAGAAGAGAAAAGAGAATCAAAAAATGAATTGTTAAGGAGATAAGTTTAACAGAAGTTTTTTGTTCGTTTTTCTGGACCTCAGGTGCTATAGCTGTATTCATCATAATCCTTTGTAGAAGCTACACCTTTGTCACCAGTTCATGCAAGCCCTCCCCACTTTGTTTAATGATGTAATGAGCTGGGTATTATTATACTTTTTTTTTTTTTCTTTGAGACGGGGTCTCATTCTCGCCCAGGCTGGATGAAGTGCAGTGGCGCAATCATGGCTCACTGCAGCCTTGACCAGACTCAGGTGATCCTTCCACCTCAGCATCCTGGGTAGCCAAGACTACAGGCCCAGCTCAATTTTGTTTTTGTATTTTTCGTAGAGATGGGGTTTCGTCACATTGCCCAGGCTGATCTCAAATTCCTGTGGTCAAGCGAGCTGCCCGCCTCAGCCTCTCAAAGTACTGGGATTACAGGTGTGAGCTACCACGCCTATTATACTTTCTAATGAAAAAATGAAACCACATCGTTTTTGCATCTATTACATGTCACCAGAAGAAATGATTATCTTTATTTTTTTAACTTGACAATGTAGTTTGCACAATTTCCTATGGTATAAAAATAGAAGGCTACAACAAACCTATACCAGGAATAGGTACCTTAAAAAAAAATTGAAGACTACAACACCATTTTAATAGCTACCTGGTATTTCTGTGTCTATACTACATGGACCATAATTTATTTAACAATCCCATATTGCAAGATATTTAGATCTTTGTTTCCAGTGTTCCACTTTTATCAATAATTGCTATGTAGAACATAAATTTTTATGCATGTCCGGCCTAGATTTCTGGAAGCAGTATTACTGGGTCAAAGTGCAAGGCTGTGAGGAAGGGAGTTTTGTAGACAGCTTCCCTCTAATAAGAAATTCTCCTGGGAAGGTGCAGAGGTAAAAATAAACAAGCTATTTATTGGCATATTTGCTTAGCAGAAATATCAAAAAATGAGGTTACTAAAAATAGACATCCAGGTTTGGAAGTTTGTATTTGAAACAATGAACAATAGTGAGCCATTTGTTGATTTTCTTTTAGAGACAGTCTTTAGCTCTATCCCCAGGCTGGAGTACAGTGGAGCAATCATGGCTCACTGCAGCCTCCACCTCATAGGCTCAAGATTCCCTCCTTCATCCTTCCCAAGTAAGTTGGGACCATAGGCACGCGCCACGATGGCCGGCTATTTTTTTTTTCTTTTTGTAGACTGGGTCTCACTATGTTGCCCAGGCTGGCCTTGAACTCCTGGCCACAAATGATCCTCCTCCTCGGCCTCCCACAGTGCTGGAATTACAGTCGTAAGCCACCGTGCCCAGCTCACTTGTGCGTTAAGCACTAAATGCTGTTAGAGGAGGATTCTTCAGCAGATCAACTACCGGAAGAGGCATAGGTGTTTTTTGTTTGGTTGGTTGATTGTTTTTTGTGTGTGTGTGACGGAGTTTCGCTTTTGTAGCCCAGGCTGGAGTGCAGTGGCGTGATCTCGGCTCAATGCAACCTCCACCTCCCGGGTTCAAGCGATTCTCTTGCCTCAGCCTCTCGAGTGGCTGGGATTACAAGCGCATGCCACCACACTCGGCTTTTTTTTTTTTAGTGACGGGGTTTCACCATGTTGGCCAGGCTGGTCTCGAACTCCTGACCTCAGGTGATCCACCCGCCTTGGCCTCCCAAAGTGCTGGGATTACAGGCGTGAGCCACCGCGCCCGGCCAATTTTTTTAAAAAATGATTCCGTCCTGAGACTTTGCTGAAGTTGCTTATCAGCTTAAGGAGATTTTGGGCTGAGACGATGGGGTTTTCTAGATAAACAATCATGTCGTCTGCAAACAGGGACAATTTGACTTCCTCTTTTCCTAATTGAATACCCTTTATTTCCTTCTCCTGCCTGATTGCCCTGGCCAGAACTTCCAACACTATGTTGAATAGGAGCGGTGAGAGAGGGCATCCCTGTCTTGTGCCAGTTTTCAAAGGGAATGCTTCCAGTTTTTGCCCATTCAGTATGATATTGGCTGTGGGTTTGTCATAGATAGCTCTTATTATTTTGAAATACGTCCCATCAATACCTAATTTATTGAGAGTTTTTAGCATGAAGGGTTGTTGAATTTTGTCAAAGGCTTTTTCTGCATCTATTGAGATAATCATGTGGTTTTTGTCTTTGGCTCTGTTTATATGCTGGATTACATTTATTGATTTGCGTATATTGAACCAGCCTTGCATCCCAGGGATGAAGCCCACTTGATCATGGTCGATAAGCTTTTTGATGTGCTGCTGGATTCGGTTTGCCAGTATTTTATTGAGGATTTTTGCATCAATGTTCATCAAGGATATTGGTCTAAAATTCTCTTTTTTGGTTGTGTCTCTGCCCGGCTTTGGTATCAGAATGATGCTGGCCTCATAAAATGAGTTAGGGAGGATGACAAATGGGATCTAATTAAACTAAAGAGCTTCTGCACAGCAAAAGAAACTACCATCAGAGTGAACAGGCAACCTACAACATGGGAGAAAATTTTCGCAACCTACTCATCTGACAAAGGGCTAATATCCAGAATCTACAATGAACTCAAACAAATTTACAAGAAAAAAACAAACAACCCCATCAAAAAGTGGGCGAAGGACATGAACAGACACTTCTCAAAAGCAGACATTTATGCAGCCAAAAAACACATGAAGAAATGCTCATCATCACTGGCCATCAGAGAAATGCAAATCAAAACCACTATGAGATATCATCTCACACCAGTTAGAATGGCAATCATTAAAAAGTCAGGAAACAACAGGTGCTGGAGAGGATGTGGAGAAATAGGAACACTTTTACACTGTTGGTGGGACTGTAAACTAGTTCAACCATTGTGGAAGTCAGTGTGGCGATTCCTCAGGGATCTAGAACTAGAAATACCATTTGACCCAGCCATCCCATTACTGGGTATATACCCAAAGGACTATAAATCATGCTGCTATAAAGACACATGCACACGTATGTTTATTGCGGCACTATTCACAATAGCAAAGACTTGGAACCAACCCAAATGTCCAACAATGATAGACTGGATTAAGAAAATGTGGCACATATACACCATGGAATACTATGCAGCCATAAAAAATGATGAGTTCATGTCCTTTGTAGGGACATGGATGAAATTGGAAACCATCATTCTCAGTAAACTATCGCAAGAACAAAAAACCAAACACCGCATATTCTCACTCATAGGTGGGAATTGAACAATGAGATCACATGGACACAGGAAGGGGAATATCACACTCTGGGGACTGTGGTGGGGTCGGGGGAGGGGGGAGGGATAGCATTGGGAGATATACCTAATGCTAGATGACACGTTAGTGGTGCAGCGCACCAGCATGGCACATGTATACATATGTAACTAACCTGCACAATGTGCACATGTACCCTAAAACTTAGAGTATAATAAAAAAAAAAAATGATTCCGTCACATTCTGGGAGAACGCAGGTAAAATCAATCAATAAATAAAGATCCCGATTTTCCAGGCTGGATAACCCAGAAACCACGGAATCCTAAAGTCTCAATAAACGTTAAAGCACAGATAGTAAGTAATCTGGCAATAGAGGATGGGCGCCCAGCAGACCGCCTACATAATCAGTGGAGCCGAGTGCAAGATGAAAATACCAGGCACTTGCTTTAAAATTACTAATAATTTCAAGACCGTTAACACTAGAACATTAAACCAAACATTCAGGACCCTTCTAAGCGCAGAGGCCATCAAAGCTAGCCCTGGTGACAAGCTCAGGTCTCCGGATCTAGAGACTAGGAGACGTCGCCCGAAAGCTGGCCAAACCCTCGCCCTCACTGGGAGAGGCCCCAGGAGGGCCCAAGAAGGCCACGAGCCCTCGCTCCCATCCCTGCCCTCAGGAGCGGGCGGAGGGAAGCTCGCAGCTTTCCCAAGGAAGTGCAGGCTGCAGGGAATGAAGTTCAGCTCGGACCCTGAGCCTCTGAGCCCGAGACAGCAAGGTCATTCAACCCACACGTCCCCACCCAGCCAGGGCGAGGATCAGAGATGTGGCAACTCCCGGCCTTGGACTCAGGCTTGTTACTCATAAACCCGCAGGAGGGGGCAGGAGGGGGCAGGAGGCGGCGAGCGCGCACCCTGGACCCGCGGCCGGGGGCGGAGAGGCACCGCGAGGACAGAGGGACTAGCGAAGGTCTGCAAATCCCGGAGGGCCAAGGGAGCGTCAAAGGGGACAGCGGAACCGGAAAAGCTTTGACAGAAAGACGCGTGTATTAGGGAACGTCTGCAAAGACCGCGGCGGAAAGCCAGGGATTGTCTTAAAAAATTGTCAGACCGGATAAAGGGAGGTCTAAAAGGGGACCGTCCCAAGAGCAAGGCTTCCAAAAGCTAAGCCCGGAAGGACGGTATGGAGGTCTACTGGGACGCTGGGCACCCCTTAGGGCAGAACCGACTGGAGCTGCGGCCAGCGACAGAAGAACGGCTCCAGCTGGACAGGGGAAGCAGTGGGGAGAAAGGAGGCCCTTGGGCACTGTCTGAAAAGTGCGATGCCAAATGATCTTTAGGGACAGACAGTAAATTATATCCCTTGCTAAAATACCTCTCGGTAGCGAACCACCAAACGTTTCTTTTTTAAGCCCCGCCTCTCAGCCGTTACGCCTAGTTCGGCTGTCTCTGATTCAGGAAGCTGGCAGTTCCCACTTACTCCTCCCCAGCAAGAGCTAACAGCCCTCCTTGGGTGTGCACTTTCTCCTCCCCTCAGGCACCTCGCGCATTCTCCCGCCTACCTATCAATCATCGTGCTCCGCTGTCCAGTTGGCTGGCCAAGGGGGCGGGGCCGTCGTGTGACGTTTGCAGCCCGCCGGCCAGGAAGCCGCGAGATGCGTGACGAGCGAAGCGCGTGACGGAGGAGCGGTTGGCCAACGCAGTGGCGGCAGTCGGTGTAAACAAGGCCTCGCGCCGCTGCGGGTCCTGCGACCGCTCCTGGCTGGTGGGTGGTCTCGCGTGGGGCGGTTACCGCCGGCTTCAGTGGGAGGTGCTTCTCGGCTTCCTCCCCCTCATGGCGTACACACCCCCGGCGCACCACGTGGGCGTGAGGCGAGGAAGGAGGGGTGTTAGGCCAAATTCTATTTTCATTGGCTGTCACTGCTGCCGGCCTTTGTAAGGGGGCGCTCTGATTGGTCGATAAGGTGGGGGCGTCGAGGGTCTTTGAGTCCTAAGGCTTCTAATTGGTTAGATGAGATAAGCTAGTGAAGCGCTTTCTTCCGAGAGGGATTTCGATTGGTCGGTCAGAGAGGTTACCTGGAAATCCAACACCGCCCAACACCCCTCCCGCTCCCCAGTCCGGGGACTTCGATAGGTGAGTTTGGTGTAGAAAACAAATCTTTCTTCAGTTGGTGAGCTAGGGTAGCGCACTACGGTTCACTCTTGCTTTCTTTGCTTCACAGGATTGGAGAAGGTTTGTGTTCCCGACGCCTTGGTAGTTGGCATAGGCTAAAGAAAAGGGATCTCAGCCCCGAGGAAGGGTCACCCTCCTAGAGATAGCTACTACCCCGTCTCAGGAGACCCTGGTATTTCTAGAGCACGCTTTGCTTTCACCAAACCCAAGGAGGTGACAGGAGGAGCCCCCGCACAGGACCTAAGAATGCTGTGACCAGAAGATGGGATCGCGGAACAGCAGCAGTGCAGGATCCGGGTCCGGAGACCCCTCCGAGGGCTTGCCCCGAAGAGGGGCTGGCCTGCGTCGGAGTGAGGAAGAGGAAGAAGAGGATGAAGATGTGGATCTGGCCCAGGTACTGGCCTATCTCCTCCGCAGGTAACTTACCCTCTGGTGTGACCCCCAGCAGGTGCTACCACAGTGCCTTGATCCCAACTCCAGGCAGGAAAATTACAGAGGTTAGGAAATGGGATTCGCTCAGGACAGCTGTTCTGTTTGAGCTGAACAGCCTTTCCCTGCTGGGCACCCATGGCACTCAGCTCCATACCCAGTAAGAGTGGTTCTTACCTAGGGAGGGTCACCAAGAGGACCTGCTCATGTGTTTGAGGGGCTATTCAAGGGAGCCTGTCTCTGTGACTACACAAATATAGTCTATTTTCCAAGTAAGCTTGAAAAAAAAAAGGGGGGGGTCCTAGTGGGAAAGGAGTGATGTAAGGGGTGAAGAGATGGGAAGGGAGTGTTGAACTTTTTAGTAAGGCAGTTGACACATGATATGAGGCCACTTCGATTTACTTGAAAAACAAGTTTAATTTGCCCTGACTCTAACCTGTTCTTGAGGAAAGAATGCCTTGAAGGGAGAGACCACCTGGAATTGACTGGAAAAGGGTGCAGCTGGCTTTCTTTCTTTGCTTATGGCTCTTTGAGGAGAAGATGGGTTTGGGGGTCCCTTCAGAATATTGTATTCTTTTTTGTTTGTGTTTTGTGTTGTTTTTAGTAGACATAGACAGGGCTCACTGTGTTCCCCAGTCTGGAGAACGGGCTATTCACAGGTGTGATCAAGTGCACACCACAGCCTGCAACTCCTGGGCTCAAGCAATCCTTGCCTCCCAGGTAGCTAAGACTACAGTTGCACACACCACCGCACCCAGCTTAGAATATTGTCTTCTGTGGTGGACTTCTCAGGCAGAGGCTCAGAAGGAAATGCTGTGAGGATGTTTAGCTTGTTGGGAGGTCAACTTAGTAGGTCATGTCCACAGCGTATTGGTCTTGCTCTTGTTCTAAGGAAATGATGTTAGAATGTTTAGCTCGCTGGGAGGTCAACTTAGTAGGTCACGTCCACAGCATGTTGGTCTTGCTCTTGCTGTAAGAGTAAAACTCTCTTTCCTACTGTGTTTTATAGGAGACCAAAAATAACAGCCAAGGTCTAGTCAGCCTCAAACCTCAAAATGAGTACCAAGTGGTCTAAGAGCTAGATAGCCATTGACTCTGAATTTGGTTGGTTTGGGGGAAGAAGTCCCCTCCTTTATAATGGGGGTCTCTCCACAGAGGCCAAGTGAGGTTGGTGCAGGGAGGAGGTGCAGCAAATTTACAATTCATTCAGGCCCTCTTGGACTCAGAGGAAGAGAATGACAGAGCTTGGGATGGTCGTCTTGGGGATCGATACAACCCACCTGGTAAGAGGAAAAGCCCCTAATGTTGGAAGACTTTTACTAGAAAACCTTTTAGTGATATTTTGAATGATAGGTTACATTGAAAGAAGGTACGATAATTTAAGGAATAAGGAGTCCTTACAGCCCCAGTATATTCAGCCACAGGGGTGGGCTTGGGTACAGTTCTGCTAACTGTCCTCTGAGGCTGGCAGACCTAGGATGAAACTTCTCCTTGGTACTCACAGTGGATGCTACCCCTGACACCCGGGAGCTGGAATTCAATGAGATCAAGACACAAGTGGAACTGGCCACAGGGCAGCTGGGGCTTAGGCGGGCCGCCCAGAAGCACAGCTTTCCTCGAATGTTGCACCAGGTAGGCCTCTCCACCTCCCAGCCTGGCAGCAGGCCTGCCAAAGCAGCCAGAAGCTCTGCCAGCCCCAGAGAAAAAGGAAGTCAACTTTCCAAAGTAGAAGCCTCAAGCGCTGGGGCTGGAGAGTTAACCAGCCTCCATCGGAGTTCTGTGGGACAGACTATGATGTGTGTGTCCATTTCTATAACAAGAGCAATATCTTTGGAGGAGGGGGCTTGATATGGCTGAAGTGGCCCTCTATTTCTGCTAGCAATATTCCCCAATCCCTTCCATTTAGAGAGAACGGGGCCTCTGCCATCGGGGAAGCTTCTCCCTTGGAGAACAGTCTCGAGTGATATCTCAGTGAGTATGGGGCTTGGTGAAGAGACTCTAAGGGCCAGATAGGTCTTATCTCCTAAACTTTGAAGGGGTAGGTGTTAAAGGAGCCTCAGAGATATTAAAGGTTAGGTTAAATGGGGTTGAAACTTTGAGAGTAAACAAAGTAGAAAAGTGTAGAAAATTGTAGAAATTTAGAGGATGGTGGAATGGTTGAAAGACGGGATTGCACTCACAGCCAAAAGGGAAGAATGACTGTTCTGATATTCCAGCTCTGTTAGGATTCTGCTGATTGGGACACTCCTTATCCTGAGCACCCCTCACCCTCACTTTCTCTCTCCTTCCCTAGCTTCTTGCCCAATGATCTGGGCTTCACTGATAGCTACTCTCAGAAGGCTTTCTGTGGCATCTACAGCAAAGATGGTCAAATATTCATGTCTGCTTGCCAAGGTACCAGACCCTGGTCCTATAAACTATCTTTTCCTGGAACATGGGACATTCCCCCTGACTGAGGCTAGAAAGCCACAGACGGGGAGCTCAGACCTGGCTTAAGGATGCTTAGCCAGACCATGTTTCCCATGATAAAGGGAAGACTCCACAGGTACACTGAGTGGGAGATGTCTAATCTAGAAAAGTTACAAGGAAACTGTCCCATAATTCTGCCTGATCTTTACTTACACAGACCAGACAATCCGACTCTATGACTGCCGATATGGCCGTTTC
Source organism: Homo sapiens (assembly GCF_000001405.40). Classification (NCBI taxonomy): domain Eukaryota; kingdom Metazoa; phylum Chordata; class Mammalia; order Primates; family Hominidae; genus Homo; species Homo sapiens. The sequence goes on from NW_018654722.1 coordinate 419,407, forward strand.
CGTAAATTCAAGAGCATCAAGGCCCGCGACGTAGGCTGGAGCGTCTTGGATGTGGCCTTCACCCCTGATGGGAACCACTTCCTCTACTCTAGCTGGTCTGATTACAGTGAGTATGCACCAGGCTTCCACTGACTCTCCAGCCTGGGACCTGAGGTTTCCATGTGCCTGTCCCCTCTGAGCCAGGATCCCTCACTTTGTCCTGGGAAAATCACTCCCAAAGTGCTCCAGTACCCTTGTCCCCTGTTTGATCTCTTCCCTAGCTTCACTTCCACTCTTCTTCCCCCATCCCTGAAAGATTCTTGTTTTTCTTGCTTCTCTTAGTTCATATCTGCAATATCTATGGTGAGGGAGATACACACACTGCCCTGGATCTCAGGTACTGGCTTCCCTTTCTGGTCAGACTCATCAGAAACTTCTCAAGGGAAGCTCTTTGGGAGCAAACCTCTTGAGTTGGAAGTTCTGTTTAGGGGAAAAAGTATACTGGTGGGTCTGTGTGCATTCCTGGGAGGGAAGCACCATCTTGTCAGCCAGAGGACTGGGTAAAATAGATGGTTGCAGGATGATTTCTGGGTTCTCACTGAGCATCTGCATTATGGTGCATGTTAGCCAGACTTCTTTTTTCCCCTGGGGATGTGCCTTACAACCGTTGTCAGATTTTATGTAGATTAACAAAAGCTGAAGGAAGTCCACTTAACCCAGCTCCTTCTTGCTTTTAGGCCAGATGAGCGTCGCTTTGCTGTCTTCTCCATTGCTGTCTCCTCAGATGGACGAGAAGTACTAGGAGGGTAAGTGCTTGTGGGGTATGTTTCCCTCAATAACAAGATGGGGGTTCTGCCAGAGATGAGTTCTGCTGTTACACAGATGGCACTGGCAGCTGCAGAGAACAACCAGACCTTCTCCCAAGGTCAGGATTTACAAGTTGCTTCACCCCTTGCTCTCCATTTCCCCAGCACGAGATTGGAGGTGTCAAGCCTCCTTGAAACACAGCTAACTCTTCCCCCACTTCCTGTATAAAAAGAGCAAAGGGCTTGACCCAGAGCAGGATTTCTCAGTGGAACTCTCTAGAGCATATACCACGTTGGTCCTCTCGATCATGGCTCCAGGACCCTCCTTTATCCCTTCCCTTTCAGGGCCAATGATGGCTGCCTGTATGTCTTTGACCGAGAACAGAACCGGCGCACCCTTCAGGTATGGCTCCTGAGATAGAGCCTCTGCCTCCTGGTTTTTGGCTTTTTATAAGACCTAGAAAGAGGTCTTATATCCTGGCCTCCTTTTCGCCTAGATTGAGTCCCATGAGGATGATGTGAATGCAGTGGCCTTTGCTGATATAAGCTCCCAAATCCTGTTCTCTGGGGGAGATGATGCCATCTGCAAAGTGTGGGATCGACGCACCATGCGGGAGGATGACCCCAAGCCTGTGGGTGCACTGGCTGGACACCAGGATGGCATCACCTTCATTGACAGCAAGGTGGGCCAGAAGTCAGGACTGTACAGCCAGGCCGCTAAGGTTCTAGTTGCCCAGGAGGGCATGAAAGCGGACTGGTGTGGGAATTTGACAAGCTCCTTATTAACCAAGGTTTGTAAGAGTTGGAGTTTAGGGAAGGGGCTCAAGCCAGGGAACATGAATTCCATCTGTACTCACCAGTCCTCAAGGAGCAGGGCAGGGCTTTCCGTACAAGAAAAATGGAAGACCGGTCAGGTACAGCGGCTCACACCTGTAATCCTAGCACTTTGGGAGGCTGAGGTGGGAGGATCACTTGAGCTCAGGCGTTCCAGACCAGCCTGTGAAACCTAGCGAGACCTCATCTCTATTTATTTAAAAAAAAAAACAAAAAAAAAAAACTAAGGCCAGATGCCGTGGCTCATGCCTGTAATCCCAGCACTTTGGGAGGCCGAGGCGGGCAGATCACGAGGTCAGGAGATCGAGACCATCCTGGCTAACATGGTGAAACCCCGTCTCTACTAAACATACAAAAAAATTAGCTGGGTGTGGTGGCAGTCGCCTGTAGTCCCATCTACTCAAGAGGCTGAGGCAGGAGAATGGCGTGAACCCGGGAGGCGGAGCTTGCAGTGAGCCGAGATCACCCCACTACACTCCAGCCTGGGTGACAGAGCAAGACTCCATCTCAAAAAAAAATTAGTTAATTAAAAATTAAAAAAAGAAAAATGGAAGACAATCTGATTAAGGCTAGAATAGGAAAGCCGGCCAGTAGCCTGGGCAAGGAAAGGAAAACCTAGCCAGGTGGTAGGATCTGAGGCAGAACGCTGGAAATGAGTTCACCTGGATGAAGAGAGGCAAGTAAAGCCAGAGGCCAGAGTTCTTCTGCTCAACTAGAGAACGGGAACTAGACTGACAGGCGCCGACATTTGCAAGCTCTGATGCTTCACTATCCACCTTTGGATTCATAGGGTGATGCCCGGTATCTGATCTCCAACTCTAAAGACCAGACCATCAAACTCTGGGATATCCGACGCTTTTCCAGCCGGGAAGGCATGGAAGCTTCACGCCAGGCTGCCACACAGCAAAACTGGGACTATCGGTGGCAGCAAGTGCCCAAAAAAGGTGAGACTGGAAGTACAGGCACAGTGGATTTGTCTGTAGCCTGGGAGCCCTGGAGGACCTCCCCCTCAGCCCTCTTTGCCAGGCATTAACTCTTTATTTGCTAAATCATGGATGGAATGGCCAGAGGTTCCTAGGATTGGGGCCTGGGTGGGGGTCACTCAGAATCAACCAATATAAAAGTATGTGAGTGTAATGATTAACCGGCAGGGCCATATTGGAGACTGTCCACTGACTATTAGGTGGAGAAAGAGCCACCACTTGAAGATTGGAAAGGCATTTGTCTCTGGGCATCGAACCTTGCTCAGGACTGGTGGTACGAAACAATCCCAAAGCAGATTTCCTAACCTAGGGTTTACTCTGCATCCCTACCCAGCCTGGCGGAAGCTGAAGCTCCCAGGGGACAGCTCCTTGATGACCTACCGGGGCCACGGAGTGCTGCACACCCTCATCCGCTGCCGGTTCTCCCCCATTCATAGCACTGGCCAGCAGTTCATCTACAGTGGCTGCTCCACTGGCAAAGTGGTTGGTAAGGATTGTGTCAGAACAGGGGGCCTCAGGAAGGGCAGGAATGACTCCTTGCCATTCCACCTATAACGACTAGTGACCACCTTAAAAAGCCCAGTGACAGCTACAGGTAAAATCAAACTTAGCTTGGAGGCTTAAACAGAGAAATAGAAACCATTCTATTTTTCAGTGTTTTAAATTAAGAAAAGGAACATAGAATTCTAGACAGTAAATATAATAGATTGCCAAAAATATAGTTGGTTCTGTTTTTCAGCCAGTCAAGAAAGAGGTTGCAGATGAAAGGTAGGAGGGAACAGAGACAAAATGACACAGGAAGATGGTAGCAAGTAGTTAAGGGACATGCAGTCGCTAAAGCAGAAAAGCATAGAAAGAAATAAGCTGGCTGCAGTGGCTCATGCCTGTAACCCCAGGGCTTTGGGAGGCCAATGAGGGCAGATCACTTGAGCCCAGGAGTTTGAGACCAGCCAGGGCAACATGGAGAAACCTTGTCTCTACAAAAAATGGCTGGACATGGTGGCACAGGCCTGTAGTCCCAGCTACTTGGGAGGCTAGGGTGGGAGAATCACCTGAGCCCGAGACTGCAGTGAGCCATGATTGTGCCACCGCACTTCAGCCTGGGTGACAGAGTGAGAAACTGTCTCAAAAAAAAAAAAAAAAAGGTCGGGCACGGTGGCTCATGCCTGTAATCCCAGCACCGTGGGAGGCCGAGGCGGGCAGATCACCTGATGTCAGGGGTTTGAGACCAGCCTGGCCAACATGGTGAAGCCCCATCTCTATTAAAAACACAAAAATTAGCCAGGCATGGTGGCAGGCGCTGGTAATCACAAGCTACTTGGGAGGCTGAGGCAGGAGAATCGCTTGAGCCCAGGAGGCTGAGGCAGGAGAATCGCTTGAACCCGGGAGGCAGAGGTTGCAGTGAGCCAAGATCGCGCCACGGCACTCTAGCCTGGGCAACAAGAGCGAGACTCCATCTCAAAAAAAAAAAAAAAAGAAAAAGAAAAAAAAAACCAGAAGCACAGCTGCAGATACAAGGAGCCTAAGGCAGTGCTGTCCCTAGAGAGACACTCACAGTCCCATGACAAAAGAAAGATGCACCCTGTCCAGATAAGGTGCAGCAGGTGCACACACCCCCAGACAGCTCATTGTTCACTTTTGTGGTGCCTTCCATATCTTACTAAAATCTTCAAAGCCAGTGCATTTCCTTAACTGTAGCCCCTATGAAATTTAGCTAAGGGCCAGACATACCCACACCACTAAACCATACCCTCAACCCAAGGTATGGAAAGGAACAGGGATAGAAGCAGAAATAACACAGTCTTCTGGTGTGGGCTTTGCTCCCATGGGAACATGGGAAGTTGCCTGAGAGGCAGGTCAGTGGTGCTACTCATGGGGAGGTGAGGGATAGTTTAGATGTCTTGTGGTGGTCCCTCTCCACTCTTGCCTGTCCTGGACAGTGTACGACCTTCTAAGTGGCCACATTGTGAAGAAGCTGACCAACCACAAGGCCTGTGTGCGTGACGTCAGTTGGCACCCCTTTGAAGAGAAGATTGTCAGCAGTTCGGTGAGGTTGCAAGGGTTGAGGGTGCTGGCACATGTCTGGGGCTTGGACTTGGGTGGGGGCAGCACATCCTGACTGCTTGCCACCCTCTGCCCTGCAGTGGGACGGGAACCTGCGTCTGTGGCAGTACCGCCAGGCTGAGTACTTCCAGGATGACATGCCAGAATCTGAGGAATGTGCCAGCGCCCCTGCCCCAGTGCCCCAATCCTCTACACCCTTTTCCTCACCCCAGTAGATCCAACCTCCAGCCCCATATAGGGTGAACCTCTTGATAAGCTCTCTGCCTCCTCCTCCCTTTCTCCCTTGTGGGGAATGTTTGGAGGAATCACTGGCATTTGATGGGGAATAACATAAGCCTGGGCTCTGAGCCTCAGCTGAGCCCTGGAAGATTCTCCCCATGGGGCAGAGTGGTCTCCTTACGTGCTCACACCCAGTCAGCTTGGGTCCCTATCTCTGGCCAGAGTTTGGCAGGACTGCCATTATCTGGGGTGTGGCCTCTGCCAGCAAGAGAAGTGTCCTGGGTGTTTTTAATCATGTTTGAATGTTAGGGGTTGGATCCTAGAGTAGATGCCTGAGGCCACATCTGAACAGACCTGTCAGCCAGGCCTGCCAGGTCTTCACGTTGAGGATTCAACTGGCCAATCACAGGACAGGTGTCCTGGCCTTTCTTCCTGAGGTCTCTAGGGGAGGGGCATGGGTAAGGGTGTTTCCTCAGCACCCTCCTGGGGTGGGGATTATGTCTGCTGTCATGTCTGGGTCTTTAGGGTAGGACAGGCTGTGGTATGAGAGGCAGGAGTCTCCACAAGGCTTCATGTGGCCCCTTATAGGGCAGGCCCTGCCCTCTGGGAAGGTCCCTTCATGCTGGAGGCACACAGCTTTAAGGAAGTAGGTTGAAGTAGGACTCCTTCGTCCTCTCACTGGCTTTGGCTCCCTCAATAAACTGTGTGGGAACCTGGCTCAGTGTCTGTCTCTCTCTCTCACTCTCTGTTTTTCCTATCTGAGGTCTTTCATCTCCTCACTTCAGGAAAACACAGTTCAGCAAAGTCTTCAGATGCGATCCTGTGTAGGAGAAAATACCCTTCTGGTGCCCCATGAAAAAGGGAAATACCAAAACCATTTGTTCACTGAGCCTTGCAATAGGTGCTCCCTTACCAATTTCAGAAGCTTCCCTGCAAGTAGATATCGAGAGAGCACACTTTCCATTAGAGCCTGGTAATACCCATATCACCTCTGCTCTGAGGCTGGGCCTGCAGCTGTGTAGTCTTTGGAAGAGGTAGCCCCTGAACGCAGAGCCTAAGAGAAGCAAGTCGGCCCTGACGCCAGGCCCCAGTGGGCGCCTCACACTCAGAACCTCATACCCCAGAGCAAACCGATGGTCAGGGAGAGGGCTAGAGCTCACACCCAGCTCGGAATAGATCTTCCCTGATGACATTTCATGCCCTCTAAGGCAGTTTTTAAATGAAGGTACACACATCCAGGGGTGTTCACAGGCTTTCACAGCAAGGGTACCTATTTCATGGCAAAATAGGCAGTTTTAAAAGAATAAACAAGCTAGGTGTGGTGGCTCATGCCTGTAATCCTAGCACTTTGGGAAGCCAAAGCTGATGGATCGCTTGAGCCCAGGAGTTTGAGACCAGCCTGGGCAACATGGCAAAACCCCATCTCTACAAAAAATACAAAAAGTAGGCCGGGCACGGTGGTTCACACCTGTAATCCCGGCATTTTGGGAGGCCGAGATAGGTGGATCACCTGAAGTCAGGTGTTTGAGACCAGCCTGGCCAACATGGTGGAACCCAATCTCTACTAAAAATACAAAAAAACTAGCCGGATATGGTGGCGGGTGCCTGTAATCTCAGCTACTTGAGAGGCTGAGGCAGGAGAATCGCTTGAACTTGGGAGCAGAGGTGAGCTGAGTGCAGTGAGCCAAGACCATGCCATTACACTCAAGCTTGGGCAACGAGAGCAAAACTCTGTCTCAAAAAAAAAATTAGCCAGATGTGGTGACGCATGCCTGTAGTCCTAGCTACTCAGGAGGCTGAGGTGGGAGGATCACCTAAGGCCAGGAGGTCAAGGCTGCGGTGAGCCGTGATTGTGCCAATGTACTCCAGCCTAGGTGACAGAGTGAGACCCTGTCTCAAAAATAAATAATAAATAAATAAATGTTCAGATCCTTGGCTTCTGTGTTCTCATTCCTCAAATTGATCTACCTAGTGTGAAACTCCCGTGCCAGATCTCCTTTCCCATCCACGCTTTTCATTCCCCGTCTGCCAAGTGATAAAGTTACCTAAGGTGCTACCCATCTCACCCAGAACCTGTGTTACTTCCAGGGCACCAAATTAAGAGAGAAATTCAAATTGTTAGTATCCTTATAGCTTCATTAGATCAAAGCCCCACAGACCGACCATTCTCAGTAAGAGATGCATTTACAATATAATTTTATGTTATCGAAGTAATGTAAAATGTTTGTTGTACAGGCATACCTAGGAGATATTGTGAGTTCATTTCCAGACCACTGTAATAAAGTGAATATTGCATAAGGCGAGTCAATTTTGTTGGTTTCCCAGTGCATATAAAAGTTATGTTGTTTTTAGGCTGGGCACAGTGGCTCATGCCCGTAATCTCAGCACTTTGGGAGGCCGAGGCAGTGGATCACCTGAGGTCAGGAGTTCAAGACCAGCCTAGCCAACATGGTGAAACCTCGTCTCTACTAAAAATACAAAAATTAGCCAGGTGTGGTGGCAGGCGCCTGTAGTCCCAGCTACTCAGGAGGCTGAGGCAGGAGTATCGCTTGAACCTGGGAGGCGGAGGTTGCAGTGAGCTGAGATCGCACCACTGCACTCCAGCCTGAGCCACAGGGTGAGACTCTGGGGAAAAAAAAAATTTTGTTTTGTTTTGTTTTTTTTTTTTTGAGACGGGGTCTCACTCTGTCACCCAAGCTGGAGTGCAGTGGCATGATCTCAGCTCACTGCAGCCTGGACCTCTCCTGGCTCAAGCAGTCCTCCACCTCAGCCACCTGAGTAGCTGAGACTACAGATGCCCACCACTACACCTGGCTAATTTTTGTGTTTTCTGTAGAGATGGGGTTTCGTCCTGTTGCACAAGCTGTTCTCAAACTCCTGGGCTCAAGCGATCCTCCCACTTCAGCCCCCCAAAATGCTGGGATTATAGGCATAAGCCACTGTGCCTAGCCATGAATGTTCTTAATGGCATCTGGAATGGTGAATCCTTTCCAGAAGGTTTTCAGTTGACTTTGTCGACAGCTATCAGAGGAATCACTATGGCAGCTGCAGTCTTACGAAATGTTTTTTTTTTTCTTTTTTTTTTTTTTGCTTGATATAGGGTCTTGCTCTGTCGCTCAGGCGCAGTGGTGCACTCAGCTCACTGAAACCTCTGCCTCCCCCTGGACTCAAGCGATCCTCCCACTTCAGCCTCCCAAGTAGCTGGGACTACCAGCACACACCACCCACATCCAGCTCGTTTTTGTTATTTTTTGTAGAGACGGGGTTCGAAATGTATTTCTTAAAGAGTAAGACTTGGCCGGGTGCAGTGGCTGACACCTGTAATCCCAGCACTTTGGGAGGCCGAGGCGGGTGGATCACGAGGTCAGGAGATCGAGACCATCCTGGCTAACACAATGAAACCCCGTCTCCACTAAAAATACAAAAAAATAGCTGGGCGTGGTGGTGGGCACCTGTAGTCCCAGCTGCTCAGGAGGCTGAGGCAGGAGAATGGCATGAACCTGGGAGGCGGAGGTTGCAGTGAGCCGAGATCGCGCCACCGCACTGCAGCCTGGGCGACAGAGCAAGACTCAGTCTCAAAAAAAAAAAAAAAAAAAAAAGTAAGACTTGCAAGTCAAAATTACTCCTTGATCCATGGGCTACAGAATGGATGTTGTGTTAGCAGGCATGAAAACATTAATCTCCCTGTACATCTCCAGAGTTTGTAGGTGACCAGGTGCATTGTCAATGAGCAGTAATATTTTGAAAGGAATCTTTATTTCTGAGGAGTAGATCTTAACAGTGAGCTTAAAATATTCTGTAACCCATGCTGCAAACATATGTGCTGTCATGCAGGTTTTGTTGTTTTATTTATAGAGCACAGCAGAATACATTTAGCATAATTCCTAAGGCCCTAGGATTTTCAGAATGGTAAATGAGGATTGGTTTCAACTTAAAGTTACCAGGTGCATTATCTCCTAATAAAAAGAGTTAGTCTGTCCTTTGAAGCTCTGTAGCCAGGCCTTGACTTCTCTCTAGCTGTGAAACTTCTATGTGGCATCTTCTTCCAATAGAAGGCTGTTTTGTTTGCTTTGAAAATCTGTAATTTAGTGTAGCCACCTTCATCAATGATCTTAGCTAGATCTTCTGGATAACTTTCTGCAGATTCTATATCAGCACTTGCTGCTTCACCTTGCATTTTTATGTTATGGAGGTGGCTTCTTTCCTTGAGCATTATGAACCAACCTCTCCTAGCCTCCTCACCACTCTCAGTCTTTATAGTATTGAAGAGAATAGGCTGGGCTCAGTAGCTCACACCTATAATCCCAGCACTTTGGGAGGCCAAGATGGAAGGATCACTTGAGGCCAAGGGTTGGAGACCAGTGTGGGCAACATAGTGAGTGTTGGCATGCACATGTAGTCCCAGCTACTTAGGAGGCAGAGCAGGAGGATTGCTTGAGCTCAGGAGTTTGAGACTGCAGTAAGACATGATCATGCCACTGCACTCCAGGCTGGGCAACAACGCAAGACACTGTCTCTTAAAAAAAAAAAAAAAAAGAGTTGGGGCCTTGCTCCAGATTAGGCTTTGGTTTAAGGGAATGTTGTGGCTGCTTTGATCTTCTATCCAGACCACTAACACTTTCTTGATATCAGCAATAAGGCTATTTCACTTTTGTATCATTCATGTGTTCACTGAAGTGTAGTACCTTTTAATTTCCTTTAAGAACTTTTCCTGGACAGGTGCAGCGGTTCACTTCTGTAATCCCAGCACTTTAGGCAAAGACAGAAGGATCACTTGAGCCCAGGAGTTTAAGACCAGCCTGGGCAACATAGTGAGACCCCTGTCTCTACAAAAAATTTAAAAATTAGCCAAACTTCGTGGCCTGCACCTGTAGTCCCAGCTCAGCGAGAGGAGGATCACTTGAACCAGGGAGGTCAAGGCTGCAGTGAGCTGCAATCATGCCACCGGATTAGGCTTTGATTTAAGAGAATGTTGTGGCTGCTTTAATCTTCTACCCAGACCACTAAAACTTTCTCCATGTCAGTAATAAGACTGTTTCACTTTCCTGACAGAAAGTGACCCTGTCTCAAAAACCCCAAAAACTAAGGTATTCATGTACTAATAATATATTTTAGACTACTAACAGTTACAATGAAAATAGAATCCATAGGAAAAAAATTAACTCTTAGGGCTTTATGGTCACAGGACATTTCTATTTTATTTATTTTATTTATTTTTATTTTTTGAGACAGTCTTGCTCTGTTGCCCAGGCTGGAGTGCAGTGGTGTGGAATGCAGTGGTGTGATCACTGCTCACTGCAACCTCAAATTCCTGGGCTCAAGTGATCTTCCCATCTCAGCCTCCTGAGTAGCTGGGTGGGTGCCACCATCTTTGGCTAATTTGTGTATATTTTGTATAGATAAGGTTTCACCATGTTACTCAGGCTGGTCTAGAACTCCTGGGCTCAAGTGATCCTCCTGCCATGGTCTCCCAAAGGACTGGAATTGCAGGTGTGAGCCACCACACTGGGCCCAGAAACTATAAAAAATTAAATTTTTTGGCTGGGCACGGTGGCTCACGCCTGTAATCCCAGCACTTTGGGAGGCCGAGGCAGGCGAATCACTAGGTCAGGAGTTCGAGACCAGCCTGGCCAACATGGTGAAACCCCATGTCTACTAAAAAAAAAAAAAAAAAAAAGTAGCTGGGTGGTGGCGGGCGCCTGTAATCCCAGCTACTTGGAAGGCTGAGGCAGGAGAATCGCTTGAACCCAGGAAGCAGAGGTTGCAGTGAGCCAAGATCGTGCCACTGCACTTCAGCCGGGGCGACAGAGTGAGACTCCATCTCAAACAAACAAAAAATTAAATTTTTTGAGTTACTTTTCTTGCAGAGAAATGTGATAAATGGTCAATAAAAGACTTTCAGGCATAAAAACATATTAGGATAAATTCTGTGAGGGAGTAGAATGGAAATATAATTTCTGATGTAAAATCTTGTCATGTTTTAATGGATAAAGGTGAAGTATCTAATCACTGTAGTATTTACATTTCATTGGATACATTTGAAACAGTGATATAATGGATTTATTTTGAAATGTCAGTATATGATACACTAGAAATTATGTCCTTTGCAACTATTTAAAACCACAATGAGACCAGGCATGGTAGCTCATGCCTGTAATCCCACCACTCTGGGAGGCCAAGGCAGGAAGATCACCTGAGGCCAGGAGTTCAAGACCAGCCTGGTCAACTTAGTGAGACTTTGTCTCTACAAAATAAATATTGAAACAAGGTCTCACTCTGTTGCTTAGGCTTGGAGTGCAATAGTGCCATCACGGCTCACTGCAATGTCAACCTCCTGGGCCCAAGTGATCCTCCCATTTCGGCCTCCCAAGTAGCTGGAATTACAGGCACGTGCCACTATGCCCAGCTAATTTTTTTAATTTTTGTAGGGACGGCGTCTCACTGTGTGAGACCAGCTCAAGGTGGTCCCGAACTCCTGTGGCTCCTCAGGCTGGTCCCAAAGTGCTGGGATTACAGGCATGAGCTACCACACCTGGCCAAAAAATAAAAAATAACCAACCATGGTGATGCATTCCTGTAGTTCTAGCTACTCAGGAGGCTAGGGCAGATGATCACTTGAGCCCAGGAGTTTGAGGCTGCAGTGAGCCGTGATAGCACACTGCATTCCAGCCTGGGCAAGCGTGAGACACTGTCTCAAAAAAATAAATCATAAAACTTTAATAAATAAAAATGAGTGGAAAGAATTTTTTTTTTTAAGACGGAGTCTTGCTGTTGTTGCTCAGGCTGGAGTGCAATGGCACAATCTCGGCTCACTGCAACCTCCGCCTCCCGTGTTCAAGCGATTCTCCTGCCTCAGCCTCCAGAATAGCTGGGATTACAGGCGCCCGCCACCGTGCCCAGCTAATTTTTTTATTTTCAGTAGAGACGGGGTTTCACTATGTTGGCCAGGCTGGCCTCAGGCGATCCATCCACCTCAGCCTCCCAAACTGCTGGGATTATAGGCGTGAACCACCATGCCCAGCCTAGTTCAAAATTCTTTTATAGGGTTCATTGAAGGTCACTATTCCAAGGTATGGGCTTTAGGATCTGGAAGGAATCTGATTGATTATCCAATCTGTCTTGATCAGTTTATAAAGGAAATTGATTTACTGAGGACTGAAGAGGGTTCATTGATTTTCCTAAAGTCACACAGTTGGGCCCAGAACTCAGGTGTCCTTGCTTGCTCATTCCTTTCACTACTTCCGCTGTGCTCTGAAATCCCACCACTGGTTTTGAGGAATGAGGAAGAAAGAAAAAGTGATCTCGAAACAGTTACTGACTAACAGGCACTCTCCGTGGATAGGTAGCTGACTGCCCTGCTGTCGCCGCCTCAGCAGTCAGACTGGGAGGGCAGGCTTATATGGAGAGCCCTGAGGCCCAGGGTAGTTGGTTGGAGGATGGAACTTAAGGTTTCAATTGACTCCTGTCTGGCAATTGCCCTTTTAGGGTCTCCTCTACCTCTGTCACCTGGGAGTAAACCTAATCTTTAGGGATCTGAGGGTCAACGTGATCAACAGATGAAACCGCCAGTTTATACAGCAGCCCTGGGCCAAACTAGTCCCTTAGAGACCCTCAATCCAGACAGGAACTAGGGCAGAGCCAAGCTGCTGGGGTCACAGGGCACTGAAGTGGATACCCATGCTGATCTGCCTCCCAAGGCCTATGATGGCCACAGTGCTGTGCACAGCCACCTTGCTGCATCCTGCTGTTGGTGGGCTCTTGTGCTCAGAACCCCAGGAGAAGGGCTAGATCACACTGATAAGACTGGCAGCTTTTTTTAAAAAACGACTTTCAAGGTTTGGTTATTTTTATCTCCATGACCTCTGATTTCCCTGTGGAGCAAATGGTAAAGTAGGGGTGGGTGGAGAGGGACTTTGGCAGACTATGGACAAGGACAGCCCTGAACAGCTGGCCCTGTCACAGGAACTGGAACATGGTCGGAGCCAAGGACACAGGACTAACAGGAAAGGACACAGACTGCTGTCAGGACACATACTACCACACACCCGAGGCCAGGACCCTGCTGACGTGGCAGACCTCCACCCTGGCCCCTTACTGCCCCCCGCCCCTCTCCCCCACCTGCCAGCTGCCAACAGGGCTCTGCCTTGTGTCTGCCACACCTGTCACTGCCTATCCTTGTCCAGGGGGGGCCCCATCAGCCCCTCCTCAGCTGCCCAGCAAAGCAAGCAGTTAGTGGGGAGGGGAGGGAACATGGAGCGGGGGCCGGTGGTGGGGGCAGGACTGGGGGCCGGGGCCCGAATCCAGGCACTGCTGGGCTGCCTGCTCAAGGTGCTGCTCTGGGTGGCCTCTGCCTTGCTGTACTTTGGAAGCGAACAGGCCGCCCGCCTTCTGGGCAGCCCCTGCTTACGGCGCCTCTACCATGCCTGGCTGGCAGCAGTGGTCATCTTTGGGCCGCTTCTGCAGTTCCATGTCAACCCTCGGACTATCTTCGCCAGCCACGGCAACTTCTTCAACATGTGAGTCCACTCAAGGCTGTGGGAGCCGGGTCCCTGCACTCTGGGATCCTAGCTCCCTTCTCCAGGCTTCTGTCCTCCTGCCAGTCTGAACACTAAAAATAGGCTAGGAGGTTGAGGAAAAGGTCGGGGGAGGGGGAAGGGAACAGAGCCCTGGGGTACAGGGGAAGTTGGGAACAGGACTAAAGAGGAAATATGGACCCTGGAATGCTGAATTGTCTTCCAAGGAGATAGCAAAGGTTAAATGACTGGGGGCTGTAAAGGGCACGGCAAGGAGAGAACGAGTGATGATGTGTAGGGTTGGGGAGAGTGCAGTGATGGGAGCACAGACCAGGGTGGGAGATGGAGCTTGGGGTCTCAATAGTCTCCCTTCTTTGCCCACAGAAAATTTGTGAATTCAGCCTGGGGCTGGACATGCACTTTCTTAGGGGGCTTTGTGTTGCTGGTGGTGTTCCTGGCTACACGGCGCGTGGCAGTAACTGCCAGACACCTGAGCCGACTGGTAGTAGGGGCAGCCGTGTGGCGGGGAGCCGGCCGGGCCTTCCTGCTCATCGAGGACCTGACTGGCTCCTGCTTCGAGCCACTGCCCCAGGGTCTGCTGCTCCACGAGCTGCCTGACCGCCGCAGCTGCCTGGCAGCCGGCCACCAGTGGCGAGGCTACACCGTCTCCTCCCACACCTTCCTGCTCACCTTTTGCTGCCTGCTCATGGCAGAGGAAGCAGCTGTGTTCGCCAAGTACCTGGCCCATGGGCTTCCTGCCGGCGCCCCACTGCGCCTTGTCTTCCTGCTGAACGTGCTGCTGCTGGGCCTCTGGAACTTCTTGCTGCTCTGTACCGTCATCTATTTCCACCAGTACACTCACAAGGTGGTGGGCGCCGCAGTGGGCACCTTTGCCTGGTACCTCACCTATGGCAGCTGGTATCATCAGCCCTGGTCTCCAGGGAGCCCAGGCCATGGGCTCTTCCCCCGTCCCCACTCCAGCCGCAAGCATAACTGAAAGAAATAAAAACCATCGGGCCTGGCTGTGGCTCCTCTCATCATTTGGTTGGGTCCTTGAAAGGGTGGGAAGAGGGTCTGGTAGTCACTAGGGTTCCCCAGCCATTCCTTGCTCTCATCAACCTTGAATGTCCTTCCTTATGCTTGACCTCCATCCCTCCAGCTGTCCTTTCAGTCTCCTAGTTTTTGCAGACTTCAGGCTATCTGGGGACTGAGACATCCAGGAATGGTGCTTCTAAGGTAATGCCCTTAGGTGTGGGCATCATTCTTGCTGAGCAGTTGCTCCATCTCCAGCCTGTTTGATTGTTTTTCCTGCCTTCTCCACTGAATCTCCACTCCCTCTCTTCAGGGGCCTACCTATCTGGGCACTCCTCGCAGGGACTTTTCCTACCCTGTCTTCCCCGTAGGGGGTCTGTATGTGCTCATCTATTTAACAAATGTTTATTGAGCTGAGCATAGTTCTATGCCATGTAAATAAGACAAGATTTCTGCTGTTTGGAGGCATATGAGCTAACTGGGGAAGGCAGATAATAGATCACACAAATAATAGCAAAACACTTGCACTGCGTTTACTCTGTGCCAGACACTGTTCTAAGTGTCTGTAAGTTCTTTATAAAAGTTAACGCATATGGCCGGGCGCGGTGGCTCACGCCTATAATCCTAGCACTTTGGGAGGCCGAGGTGGGCAGATCACTTGAGGTCAGGAGTTCAAAACCAGCCTGGCCAACATGGTGAAACTCCATCTCCACTAAAAATACAAAAAAAAAAAAAAAAAATTACTTGGGTGTGGTGGCGGGCGCCTGTAATCCCAGCTACTTGGGAGGCTGAGTCAGGAGAATCCCTTGAACCCGGGAGGCGGAGGTTGCAACGAGCTGAGGTTGCACCACTGCACTCCATCCTGGGCAACAAGAGTGAAATTCCATCTCAAAAAAAAAAAAGTTAACACATTTGGTCCTCACAACAATAAAAGTATGAGGTAGGTTGTACTGATCTTGATTGGCAAAAAAAAAAAAAAATTGAGATAGTAGTGTTCCCATTGTACAGTTGCAAACACTGAGACACAGAGGTTAAGTAACTTGTTCACAACTAATAAACAGAGGAGCCATGATTACAAAGCTAGATAATATGGGTATATCATCTATCCTCTAAACCAGGAATTAGCAAACTTTGGCCCTCCTGTGGCCAGTTTTGTATGACCTGCGAGCTAATAATTATATATGTATAATATATATATTTATATATTATATATATTATTATATATTTTATATATAATATTTGCATATATAATATATATATAATTTTTTTTTAAAGACAGAGACCTGGCAGTGATGGCAGTGTAATCCCAGCACTTTGGGAGGCTGAGGCAAGAGGATCACTTGAGCCCAGGAGTTTGAGACCAGCCTGGGCAAGATGGTGAGACCCTGTCTGTATAAAAATTTTTTTTAAAAGGTAAAACATTTTTTACATTTTTATTTTTATTTTATTTTTATTATTTTTTTGGAGACAGAGTCTCACTCTGTTGCCCAGGCTGGAGTGCAATTCTGGCTCACTGCAACCTCCACCTCTCAGGTTCAAGCGATCTCCTGTCTCAGCCTCCCGAGTAGCTGGGATTACAGGCCCCCACCACCACACCCGTCTAGTGTTTGTATTTTTAGTAGGCACAGGGTTTCACCATGTTGGCCAGGCTGGTCTCGAACTTCTGACCTCAAGTGATCTGCCTGCCTTGGCCTCCCAAAGTGCTGGGATTAGAGGCGTGAGTCACTGTGCCCGGCCATTTTTACATTTTTTAATGGTTGAAAAAGCAAAAGAATAAGAATATTTTATTACAGGAGAAAGTTACATGAAATTCAAATTCCAGTGTCTATAAAATGTTATCTCACCAAACTAATTCATTTACATATGGCAGCTTTCCTACTACAATGGCAGAGTTGAGTAGACAGACACTGTAAGGCCTATAAAGCCTAAAATATTTACTCTCTGGCCCTTTATAGAAAAAGTTGGCCAGACGCGGTGGCTCATGCCTGCAATCCCAGCACTTTGGGAGGCCGAGGCGGGCGGATCACGAGGTCAGGAGATCGAGTCCATCCTGGCTAACATGGTGAAACCCCGTCTCTACTAAAAATACAAAAAATTAGCCGGGCGTGGTGGGACGCGCCTGTAGTCCTAGCTACTCCGTAGGCTGAAGCAGGAGAATCGCTTGAACCCTGGAGGTGGAGGTTGCAGTGAGCCTAGATGGTGCCACTGCACTCCACCCTGGGCGACAGAGCGAGACTCCGTCCCCCAACACACACACACACACACACACACACACACACGTTTGCCAAAACCTGGTTTAAATCAGTAAATTATCCTGGAAAAAAAAAAAAAAACACCTGGCTAATATCAGAGAGATAAATGCTATGAATGTACTAAAACAGGATGATTTGTAATAGATTTGGAGGGAGGTTCCTTATAAAGGATGATGAAAATAGTTCTCTCTGAAGAGGTGACATCTAAACTGAGAACCGAATGACAACACCCAGGGTAAGGGTGTTTTAGGCAAAGGGATTATTAGCAAGGGCAAAGGCCCTGAGGCAGAAATGAACATGACACATCTGAGAAACAAATAGCCCAAATATTTGCAAGTGTAATGAATGAAGGGGCAAGCAGTAGAAAGTGGACTTAAAGGGGAGACAGGTGCGACAGCCTTTTGGATTTCATTCAAAGGTCAACAGGCAGCTGAGAAAGGGTTTTAAGCCAGAGAGAGGCATGAACCCGCTGCTCCGTGAGAGTGGGTTATAGAATGGCATCTGCAGCCGTGGTCCAGGAGAGAGTTGGTCCGGGCTTGGATAGGGATGCTGCCAGCTCTGGTGCCGGTGTTGCTACAGGTGCGCAGGATGTCGGCAGAGCCAGAGGCCCACGCTAGCAAGGCTAGGAAAGACAGGCCAGGTCTTATTCCATCTCTAGGGAAAGACGGAAGAGCCCTAAGTAAAGCTTATCTGTCCCAGGCGGAGCAGGGGAAGAAGAGAGCAGGTGGGGAGCCAGTTGGGAGGCGGGAGGTGGAGGTTGGGACGCGGAGAGACTGGCTTGGGCTTGGCGATGGGAGGACCCGGACCCGCCGTCCTCAGGCGGCGGGCGGCAGGTGGCGGGAGGCGGGAGGCGGGGACCGGGCCAGCGGAGGTGGGGAGCCTGGAAGCTGGCCCTCGCGAGGCGGCGCGGGGAGGGTGGGTGAAGAGCGCCTGTGCGCGCTAGGCGGAGCCTCACCCGCCGCCCTCCTCTGCGGCACCGCCCCTTCCATGGCAGGGCTGACCCCGCCTCCTCCATCCGACCCCGCCTCCTCCAGCCCTCCCCGCCCCACTACCCAGGAAGGCGGAGCTGGGTGCGAGCGCCCTACCGCTTTCGCTTTCCCTTCGCGGTGCCCACTCCACTCCTTGTGCGGCGCTAGGCCCCCCGTCCCGGTCATGGCCATGCTCAGGGTCCAGCCCGAGGCCCAAGCCAAGGTGAGCGCCGCGGGGTCTAGAAAGGGCCCACTGGGGAGGCGTGGCTGGAGCGGCCGGGGGCATCCCCGACCCGCCCCCCAGGCTCCCACGCGAGTCGGGGGCAGTCGGCCGAGCTGGCGCGCCCGGAGCACCTGCGCCCCGGGGAGGGCGGCGACTGCTGCCTGCGGGGAGAGGCGAGGCGGCCGTGGTTCTGCGGGGTGAGGTGAAGCGGAGAGCTGGCGTGGAGGGGAACTCCGCTGGCCTGGGGCCGGGGCCACACACAGACTGGGTGCGGGACTGCCCCAGCTACCTTCTGGCCTTTCCCTCAGGGAGGGTCCCGGGGCCCACCCCATCCCTGTCCTACTTGCAGAGGACTCTCAGCACCCCTCCTCACACCTGCCAGGCGACCCCAGAGATCTGTTCTCACGTGAACACTGGCCCTTCACCGCCAGGAATGTTCTCATCCCCCATATCCAGCCCCAGGGATACCCACTCCACTTTCCGTAGATCCAGGTCTGCAGAGATCCACCTTCTCCACCACCCCAACCCACCCTACAGGCATCCATCTCGCTTTCTTCAGGTCTGGCCTTAGAGGGATCCCCTCCACCCTTCCCCAGGTCAGGCCCTACATAACCCTAAGGGAACTGTCCTCAAATGAACTGGCCTTAAAGCCAAGTTTCTGAAGGGATGCGTGTGCCCCACAGGTGGATGTGTTTCGTGAAGACCTCTGTACCAAGGTAAGACATGCCCCATCAGCGTGGCCCCACCCCTGCCCAACTCCTACTGCTCAACCCTGCCTCACTACCTAGGACGGGCATTTGATGCTGACTCCCATCCTCCTCCACCCCCACCTCACACACAGACAGAGAACCTGCTCGGGAGCTATTTCCCCAAGAAGATTTCTGAGCTGGATGCATTTTTAAAGGTACCGCGGCTGGGCAGGGAGCTAGGGAGTAAAGGCCAAGAGAAGAGTCTGGAGGCTGTGAGAGTGAGGTGAGAGGAACTCCCTCACCTCCAGCCCTCCTCCCACCCTACACCAGGAGCCAGCTCTCAATGAAGCCAACTTGAGCAATCTGAAGGCCCCATTGGACATCCCAGTGCCTGATCCAGTCAAGGAGAAAGAGAAAGAGGAGCGGAAGAAACAGCAGGAGGCAAGCTGGGAAGACCTGGGAGAAGGGATCCAACTATGGGGGTAATCAACCTTAGTCCTGACTCTCATGAGCTCCTCTCTTTCTGCAGAAGGAAGACAAGGATGAAAAGAAGAAGGGGGAGGATGAAGACAAAGGTACTTGAAACCACAATGGTGGGAAGAGACTTGAGTCCCACTCACAGGAGCTCCTCCTAAGGATTTCTTTCCAGTCTCCCCTTCGCCCCTCACACAGGCTCAATCATGTGACTGACCCATTGCTCACTCTCTAGGTCCTCCCTGTGGCCCAGTGAACTGCAATGAAAAGATCGTGGTCCTTCTGCAGCGCTTGAAGCCTGAGATCAAGGATGTCATTGAGCAGCTCAACCTGGTAAGCCCTCCCCCTTAAACTCTCAGGCTTCAAGTCAAACCATTGTCCTCTTGGTCCCTGCCATTTAGGGCCTGGCACTTGCCAGGTTTTAGCAAGAGAGGGCACAGCAAGTGAAACCAGAAGTCCAGGCCCTGGGGCTCAGGATAGACCCGGCACGCCTCCACCCAGTGTGGGGAGGGAAGCAAGGGAGAATATGAAACTGGGAATTGGGTAGAGGGCTGATGTGGCATTATGCCATTCCCTCTTCCCAGGTCACCACCTGGTTGCAGCTGCAGATACCTCGGATTGAGGATGGTAACAATTTTGGAGTGGCTGTCCAGGTGAGAGCGCTGCCCCACTTCCCTGCTCTTTTCTAGTCCATGCTTCCTTCCACTTTCCCCCTTGCTTTTTTTCCCTAGGAGAAGGTGTTTGAGCTGATGACCAGCCTCCACACCAAGCTAGAAGGCTTCCACACTCAAATCTCTAAGTGAGTGACCACCCATGTGCACACTGTTTTTGTTTTGGGAGACCTCCTTCTTCTACTCCATACACACTTCTCCTTCCACAGGTATTTCTCTGAGCGTGGTGATGCAGTGACTAAAGCAGCCAAGCAGCCCCATGTGGTAGGTGAGGCCCAGGTCAGGGTGCATGGGGGAAGGACACATGTAAGGTCAGGCCTGACCCGAGCTTCCCACAGGGTGATTATCGGCAGCTGGTGCACGAGCTGGATGAGGCAGAGTACCGGGACATCCGGCTGATGGTCATGGAGATCCGCAATGCTTATGTGAGGAGGCAAGGGCAGGGCAGGGGTGGGCAGAGGCAGCTTTCCCAGGCCACCCACTCCCTGACCCTGCAGGCTAGGGGTTAAGGGTGACAAAGCTCAGCTTCTCCACAAGGCTAGAAATGGGGCACAGAGCCACTGGAGGCCTCTGACTGACCTCTACTCCCTGGCCCTGTAGGCTGTGTTATATGACATCATCCTGAAGAACTTCGAGAAGCTCAAGAAGCCCAGGGGAGAAACAAAGGGAATGATCTATTGAGAGCCCTCTCTCCCATTCTGTGATGAGTACAGCAGAGACCTTCCTGCTTTTTACTGGGGACTCCAGATTTTCCCCAAACTTGCTTCTGTTGAGATTTTTCCCTCACCTTGCCTCTCAGGCACAATAAATATAGTTATACCACTGCCCATCAGCCCAAGTCTCTTTATTGGAACCGGGCCCCGCTGGCCCTGGCTCAGGCATTTCCATTTCCATTAGTGGGACCAACCCACTGGGTGATTTGAGTGTTGAGCCGCTGGTTGGTCCAGTCCTGCCGGATGTCATCAAGGTGGCAGTCAAAGTCCACAAGGTGCTGGTGGGCCCGATCTTCCAGTAGAGCTCCCACCATCTGCCGTGACTCTTCCCAGTCCCTCCACATCACTCTGAAATAGTAACCCCCATGGAGGTCAAACAGCAAGTAGTGGGTCCAGACACAGACTTAACAGAGATTGGGTCTAGAGAAAGACCCTTGGGGCAGGGCCAAGGACAGAGGAGACCCAGGAGCCTTGGGCTTCTAAGAAGAGGTAGAGGGAGTGGGGTACTCACAAGTTCTTATCCTTAGGGACCCAGCGGAGACCTTGGTTCTCCAGGACGATGACCGGGGGCACACGAGGCTGAGGCACCAGTTTCTGATTATCCAACTGAGTGGACAAAGATGGGCAAGTGAGAGTTTCAAGGGTCCCCCCACCCTACTTGCTTTTCACCTCCCCACCCAGAAACCCAAGCCTCACCATAATAAGTACTGCATCAGGGAAGAATTCTGCAATTCGCCCAGCAATTTTCAAGGCCAGGGGCCCAGGGCTGTGTAGAGGGAAGATCAGAGGAGTGAGGAGCCAACTGTGGGCAAAACCCATCCATTTGAGCTGGGCCTCCCAGGTCTCATAGGTGTGGGCGCAGCTGTGGCCTTTCCCTGTAGGTGGCCTGCGGGGATCGGGCCTGCTGGATGCTTGATGCACGACTGCTTGATGCTTGAGTGCTGTGGGAGACAGGTGCTCAGATATTGCTGGTGAGAGTGGAAACCAAAGGTGGTCTTTTTGGAAGGTAATTTGGCATAACCATCCAAATTGAAACTGTATACATACTATACATATGCTGACCCAGAAATTCTACTTATAAAGAATTTATGGTAATCATAGGACAGTGTCTGTAATAAAACACTGGAAACAACCTCAATGTTTAAAGTATTAAATAAATTAGAGTACATTCATATTCAGACTATATAGCTGTTACGGTAGATCTTGGTGTGGAAATGGGATGATGTCAAGTATTTATTAAGTGAGGGAGAAACGCAAATTACAAAACAGTACCTCTAATTGCTCCATGTATATGATTAATATATATATATATATATATATGTCTTTTCCTATATGTATATATATAAGGAAACTGCCTTATTTTTGAAGTTGCTGGTTGGGATTTCTCTGTTCTTTCAGCCCCTGGGGGACACCTCAGTTAAAGCAAGATCAGTCTGTTGGCCGAGAGTGGTGGCTCACGCCTGTAATCCCAGCACTTTGGGAGTCCGAGGCGCGTGGATCACCTGAGGTCAAGTTCTAGACCAGCCTGGCCAACATGGCGAAACCCCATCTCTACTAAAAATAAAAAATAATAATAAATTAAAAAAATAAAAAAAATTAGCCGGGCATGGTGGCGCTCATCTGTGATCCCAGCTACTCGGGAGGCTGAGGCAGGAGAATCGCTTGAATCTAGGAGGTGGAAGTTCCAGTGAGCCGAGATTGCGCCACTGCACTCCAGCCTGGGAGACAGAGGGAGACTCCGTCTCAAAAAAAAAAAAAAAATCAGTCTGTTGATACACAGTTGTCCTCCCCGCCCCAACGGCACTCCAGGGCAGGGCTCTGTCCTATTCATCTTTATATTCCCTCACTCCAGTACCCAGCATAGTGCCTGGTGTAAAGCCCCTGCTCCTAAGCGTTTGATGAAGGAAAGATAAAAGGAACGACCTTGGTTCATCTTGTGCGCCCCCGCCCCGCCCACCGCCCCACGCATCCTCGCCCTCTATTCCTCCAATCCCCAACCCGCCATAATCCTTTCCTTCTTCCTCTGGCTACGCCACTCACCTCTGATCGTTCACAGCTGCATTGGCATGGTAGTAACCAGCCACCACCAGACCGGCCTGTGCTCCCCACACATCCACCTGTCGTAGGAAAGGGGCCATCAGTAATTAAATTGTGCCGCTGGCTTTGTGGATGCGCACTGCTGCCAAGGGACCGGGGATGAACTTGGGCTGGGGTGTTGGGTGGGTTCGCGGTGGGGGATGGGCATCCAACGGAGGCACCTGGTTGAGGGCGACCTCCAACATGACGGACAGGGCCAGGTGGCTGTGGAAGAGGGGCACACAGTCGGTGAGGCACAGGCATTCTCCAGACCGCGGCGCTGGCGCCAAAAACAGCCCGTTGACTGCGGCGTGTGGGTACCGGGCAGCATGCAGGCACATCTTCACGTAGGCCAGGGCCGAGATCTCCACCTCCCCCATGGCGAGCGAGGCCTGGACGGGAAGCAGCAAGCCGGATTAGTACCGGATTAGGCGAGCCGGTGCCTAGCTCGCGTCCGTGAAGCTCCCTCCAGCGCTTCGGCACGCTCTTTGACCCTTCCCCGTGCCCTCTCACTTCGGTTCGGCGACAACGCTAACTCGACTCGCAGGTAGCCCGCCGGCTCCCGGCGCCCTGGGTCCCGGAGTCCGCCCCCGGCCCAGTCCAGGAGGAGGTCCCGATTGCATCCGAGCCCCGCCTTCCCGCGCCCCTAGCTGGCGGCCGCGACTCTGCGCCTGCCTGGGAGACAGACCAAACTGCAGCTCCCTGCAGAACTGGCTCCTGGAGTCCCGCCCACGTGGTGCTCCTTGATAGGGCTAAAGGCTTTCAATTTGTCCAATCAGCGGCCGCGCCCCAACGTTGCCCCGCCTTTGTCTCCAGCGGACTGGAAAGAACCCACCATTGTGAAGCACAGAAAATTGCCCGCACTCTTATTGGCTAGGTTCCCCGACTTCCGCTCTCGGTTGGTGGTTGGCTTTGCCTGTTACCTGTGTTGCCCACTACCACTCGCTCCGCCGAGCCCCAAGGATGGATCGCTATCCCGTAGCCGGGTGTTCCGGAGCGCTGCGGGCAAAGCAGACCGCCTTGCGCCTATTATGGGTTGAGTGGCTCTGTACTCTAGATCGGCTCTGTCACTTACTAATGGGCCGTGTTGCCTTCGCGACTGCAGGTTTTCTTGCCCTTGGTTTATCTTTTGCCCGTGTTCCTTTAAGGATTTAATGAGATATGTATGGGGGCAGGCTTCCAGCCAGTCTAGTGCTTCGCAGCACATTCTTATCTCATATTTTATGACAGGATAAGGCCCTGAATTAAAGAACAATCCCATGGAGTTTACAGCAAGATCACAGCAAAGGAACCCTTGTCTCTATCACCAGCCCAGGGCTGAATCTTGAAAAGCAGAGATAAAGACAGTGATTGGCTGAAGGGGATATGGGGGAGGACAGTAAGAAAAACTTACAGATTCATCCTTCCCATAATGTCCTGCGATGTATTTCCTTCACCACAGTGCCTTGGAAGCATTATTTTTTCCCCTCCTAGCCCTTAAGGAGGGAGTCCAGGCCCGGCGCGGTGGCTCACGCCTTGTAATCCCAGCACTTTGGGAGGCCGAGGTGGGTGGATCGCCTGAGGTCAGGAGTTCGAGACCAGCCTGGCCAACATGGCGAAACCCCGTCTCTATTAAAAATACAAAAAAATTAGCCAGGTGTGGTGGCACATGCCTGTAATTCCAGCTACTCGGGAGGCTGAGGCAGGAGAATTGCTTGAACCCGGGAGACGGAGGTAGCAGTAAGCTGAGATCGTGCCATTGCACTCCAGCCTGGGCAACAGAGCAAGACTCCATCTCAAAAAAAAAAAAAAAAGGGTGGGGGGAGTCCAATCATTCATCCGTAGTTCTCCATAGTTCTCCCAGTGAAACCTTATTCTCCTTCTAGGCTTTTCCTGAACTGATGAGGATTCTTTCTTTCTTCATTCCTGATGTTGACCACAGAACTTTCCCCTTGTGTATCCAAAGCCTGATTATTCCCATAAGGGCTCTGTGCAAATGCCATCTCTTCCAATAATTCCTGAGACCTCTGGATGAAAATAATACTGTTACATTCCAAAATACAGGTTATCTGCATGGCTGCCATGGCATGTAACAATCCCCACCCTAGGCACTCAGGGTGAAGGACTTGGACTATAAACCCAATGGAGAAGATAGCCCTTCAACCTCTGTGACTTTTCTAAAGCTACTTTCCCCCCTTTTTGCCTTAGATGGAAACAGATAAGCAGGAGAAGAAAGAAGGTAAGTGAGATAAGAGGTGACTAGGGAAGGGGAGATGGCACATTGACTACTGGATGAGAAAGGGCCTGAATCCCCTCTTTCTCACAGTCAAGATTACAGTGGGCATCTAAGTCATCTTTGTCTTTGTGACACCCACCCCTTCCCACCACATTCATCTTCAGGCTGGACATAGGTGCCACTCAATAAATGCTTTTTGAATGAATGACACACGCCAGAAGGGAATCCACACAACATATAGATCATTTATTTTCCTTCTAGTCCCGGGTTCAGTACATAGATGGCTTTTCTTCACCCTTTGGGTTGACAATTTTCTCCAGGTTGCTGCTGATGATATGATAAAGCTCAGCCTGGGAGAAGGCCAGAGTGCAAGAGTCAGGTTCTTAGCCAATCCCCTGCCTGCCCCCACTCATCCACCTCCCCTAAAGCCTTACTCCACACTCACATAGAAGGCCCTCAGGTCCAGCACCATGGCCCTGAGCTCCCCATAGGCTGCCTCATCTCGCTCATGCACCAAGGCCCGGTAATCCATCTGCAATGTGGGAGGCAAAGCTGAGTCAGTCCCATGGGAGGCTGGGACATGAGTCTGGTTTCCTTTTATAGGAAATAGGTTAACTTGAGAATGAACCCCTTCTTAGCACCAAGAAATAGGATCCCAAAGGACTGAGCAGAGAAAAGGGTCAAGGTTGTTGAAGCCCAAACCAGTTTTTCTAGGTAATGCTTTTAGCTTAATATTCTCCACATTGGGAAAGTCACAAACAAGACAAGGAGGACTTCTTCCTCCACACCTCCTCGTCCCACACCCAGCTAAAAGGCTGGTGGACTATCCACTCACTACATGAGTCTCCTTGGAGGCCTTGGCCACAGCATCCCCACGTTCTGAGAAGTACCTGCCAGAAGCAAGGGAATACCACAGGAATGAGTGTTCAGGGAGATGTACTCCCTCAGACCCTTCCCAAAGTCTCCCATCATCCTGATAGGGCTGCCCAGCTCTGGGGGTCCCAAAGAAATGCTCCTACTGCCCCCAATGCTGGTCCTCCAGCTGCCCTCACTTGGAAATGGTTGTCTGGAAAGCTTCCACTTTGGTCTTGACGGCATTCACCCTCTCCAGCACCTTCTCCTGTGGTGACACGGGAGGCAAAGACAACACTTCATGTCCTCCCCATTTCATACACTATCTTCCTCCTCCTCCTGGTTCATGTCTAGCTCACCCCCTGAGGCTCTCCCCACTCTAAGTATCTTCAGTTACCCTTTTCTTACCTGGATTGCTACCCCAAAATCATTTCCATCTTCAATCTTGGGGATCAGGTGTTGGATCCATGTAATCACCTGTGTTAAGAGGTATCATGTAAGAATCATTCAACAAACATACTGAGTTCTTCCTATTACTGTCACTTCCTAAAAAAAGTTATATTTAATTGGGTACTTATTACATACCAGGTACTGTGCCATGTATTTATTTCATGTAATCATCACAGCAACCTTCAGAGATATGTATTTATTGTACCCATTTAACAGATGAAAAAACTGAGTCACAGAATGTCTAAGTGACTTACTTAAGGCTACCAGCTAGGTAACTGATAGAATCACGATTTGAACCTAAGCAGTCTCTCTCTAGGGTCCAATCTTTTAAAACAATTCACTCACTATATCATACCACCTCTACTATGAACCCAATACAGCAGTAGGTTCTGAGGTTACAGAGTGGATACTGCACAGTCTCTAATTTTGGGGGTACCGTTGTGATAAGAGAGGTCTAACAGAACGAGGAGAACAAAGGGGATCTAAGCCCAAGGCACAGAAGGAAGTTTTCTTTTTCAGGACTAGGTCTCTGTATGAAGGACTTGTATCTACGGAGGAGTCCAGGGCCTCACCTTGTGTGTCTTCTCTTTCTGCTTCCCCCATTTCCCAGGCTTACCAGAATGCATTTCTCTTTGAGAGTCCAGACTTCTGGCTTAACCAGGGCAAGCAGGGACAGGACTTTCTCATTCCCAGGGAGAAATCCACACTTATGGACTGTGAGAAAGAGGGGATTCAGGCCCTTTCTCATCCAGTAGTCAGTGTGCCATCACCCCTTCCCTAGTCACCTCTTATCTCTCTTACCTTCTTTCTTCTCCTGCTTATCTGTTTCCATCTAAGGCAAAAAGGGGGGAAAGTAGCTTTAGAAAAGTCACAGAGGTTGAAGGGCTATCTTCTCCATTGGGTTTATAGTCCAAGTCCTGCACCCTGAGTGCCTCACCTCATCATCCTTGGGTGGAGGGTCTGGGATGGGGATGTCCAGTGGGGCCCGGAGGGAAGTCAAGTCAGCCACATTGAGGGAGTCCTCCTGCACAGAGCTCACTGTCAAGGGCTGCCCAACCTCTTCCCTTCATCCTAGGTCACAGCCTTCCCTCCATACATCCCACTTGCACTCTGCCTCCCAACCTAGGCTCATGCCTCACGCCATCCTAATGTTCCTAATCCACTATTTGAAACTATTCTCTGCATGCTGAATCCAGTTGTTAGCTAGAGAGGGTGGGCAAAGGGGATAGAGGACATAGGATGGGGCAGAAGGGGCCCACACTACTCACTTGCAAGAGCTGATTCAGGTATATGATTTTCTGTGGCAAGAATCTGTAGAGGAATTCCTCAGCCTGTGGGTTACATTGCAAGGGAGGGGAATCACAGAATATGCTCAATGAGATGTCTGACAAATGGAACTGGAAGGGCCTTTGGAAATCACTGGGTCCAAGACTTGCAAATGAGGAAACTGAAGACCTGAAAATGAAAGGACTTGCCCAAGCTGGTAAATGGCAGAACGAAGGTTAGGACTGTGATATTCCTGCTTTGGAAGCCATGGTTTTTTTCCTCCACATCAAAAGACGGGAGAAGTGCCAGAAGTCGGGAGAGTCATAAGAAAGGTCAGATTAAAGGTAGCTATCAATAATTCCGGGGTTACTTTGGGTGAAGGCTTGGTAAGGGAAGTAGGGTTAAGTCTAGGGTGACTTGGGGGGGTCATTCTGAGAGGCTGTTATCCTCAAGTATTGGTCCAAGATTCTGGGTCAAATCGCTCAAATCCAGAGACTTACCTCCTGGAAAAGATTCTGTCTGAAGACCTCCACCTACACAGAGAGCAGTACCCGGATGTTGGTTAAGGGTCTGGGTTGTCAAAAGCTTCCACCCACAACAGGGTGCCCTCGAACTGTGGCTCAGGCCTTTCTCACCACAAACTAGCTTTCCCTGGAAGCTCCTGCTCACTGCAGTCAGAAGGCAGGAATCTGGGAATCCCCGAGAAGTGAAGGCACTAGCGAGATTGGGGGAGTTCTCTGGCACTGCTTGGTCCCCTGAACCACCCAGCTTGGCCTCCACCCAAGAGGGTTCTATGACCCCTTCCTGGCCTCCGATTCCCCATTACCTGTTTGCGGGCTTCCCCGCTCAGGCGCACCCCACACGGCTTGGCCATGCTGCTTCAGTCGCTAGATCTCTGGTCTCCCGGCTAGTCGCCCGGGCTTTCGCTTTCACTCCCCAGGTCCAGGCCCGCCCCCCTCAACCCCGCCCCCTTTCTTCTTTCCGCCCCCCTCCTCCCGCTGGCAGGCCGCAAGCAGTAGGTAGCCCCTCAGCCATTCCCAGCCAGTTGCCACTAGGAGAGGCGGTGCTGGCTGGGTCACAGTCCAGGGGCTGCCCGAGGGAGGGGCTAGGGTAAGTGGGACCGCGGAGACTGGAGCGGGGGCTGTCCCTCGGAGAGGGGCGGGGCTTATAGCTAGGGCCAACTGGAAGTCCAGGGTTGGGGTAAGAGAGGTGGGAGTATGGCAAAGGGGGTATTCAGTGGCGGGGCTCCCCCAAGAAGGCTCGACCGCAAGTAGCGGACGGAGAGAGATCAGAGCGAGTGGGAGGGGCAGCCAGAGGGAGCGCCTGGGGTGGAGAAGGACTAGCAGCTCTTAGAAGAGAGCGGGCAGGGGTTGGGTGAGGGTCTTCCCTCTGCCTTCAGGACAGACCGGAGATGGGGCGGGACTCGCTCGAGAGGGGTTAGGGCCGGCCAGAGTCGGTTCCCCTGCAGGGTGGGACTTCCTCGGTGAGGCCCGGAGCGTACCGGACTGGTCCAGCTAGAAAAAGAAAGGTTTTGAGCTGAATAGGATAACCCCGCGCCTGCGGCTATCCGGAAGGGGTGGAACCAGATTGGGGGAAGGCGGGGAAGAGCGCTTGACTGAGGGAAGATGCTGGCGCGCTCTGAGGGAGGAGCCAGGAGCCATTTGCCTTCTCATTGGTTGGGACCTGGCCCTCCCTCTTGGCCGCGCCCCCTGGTTTCCTGACACCGCTCCAACCTTAACCTTAAGCCCCGCCCGTTCCTCCGAAATTGGGTCGCAGTCCCACCCTCTCTCCTAGTACTTCCTGTTCTCGGCTAACCCTGGCGCTGGGCCGGGGGCTGGAGAGTGACCGTGGTCTGAGTGACCTGGGGCGGCTGCGTGGGCCGGGGTGGGCCTCAAAGCCGGGCACCAGACGGGAGGGGCGGCGCTCGGGCCGCGCGCTGCCCGCGCCGGGTCCTGGCGGGCGGCGAGGCTGGGGCTGACTCCTGCCTCAGGATGCCGGGGGAGGAAGAGGAGCGGGCCTTCCTGGTGGCCCGCGAGGAGCTGGCGAGCGCCCTGAGGAGGGATTCCGGGCAGGCGTTTTCCCTGGAGCAGCTCCGGCCGCTACTAGCCAGCTCTCTGCCGCTAGCCGCCCGCTACCTGCAGCTGGACGCCGCACGCCTTGTCCGCTGCAACGCTCATGGGGAGGTGAGGCCCGGCCCCGCTTGGAAGGGGGACACCAGGGCCTGAGGCCCAGGCCACGCTCACACCTCTCTGCTCTCCTTGCTCCCAGCCCCGAAACTACCTCAACACCCTGTCCACGGCTCTGAACATCCTGGAGAAATACGGCCGCAACCTTCTCAGCCCTCAGCGGCCTCGGTACTGGCGTGGTGTCAAGTTTAATAACCCTGTCTTTCGCAGCACGGTGGATGCTGTGCAGGTGAATCCCCTGGCCTTATGGGAGAGGGGGCTGGGGTTTGGCTAGAAAAGGCCTGAGGTTGTGCTGAATGGGAAGGGGTCCAGCCCTACTAGGCAGGAAACCTCCTGGGTGGTGACTCGTTTGAATGTGTGGCAGGGGGGCCGAGATGTGCTGCGATTATATGGCTACACAGAGGAGCAACCAGATGGGTTGAGCTTCCCCGAAGGGCAGGAGGAGCCAGATGAGCACCAGGTTGCTACAGTCACACTGGAAGTACTGCTGCTTCGGACAGAGCTCAGCCTGCTATTGCAGGTGAGATGCTCCTCTAGTCTTGATGGACTTATGCACCAGGGCTGGGGAGCCCAGCCTAACTCAAGTAAGTTTGAGGACCCCCGTGCTGCTGAACTATGGGCATAGTTCAGCATTCTGGGAGCTCCGGGTACTGATTTTCCTTCTGTGAATGTTAAGGGACCAGGGCTTAGAGGGAGGGCTTTGTTCTAGGGGTCTAGCTGGAAACCGTTTTTATCTGTATTATTGCAGAATACTCATCCAAGACAGCAGGCACTGGAGCAGCTGTTGGAAGACAAGGTTGAAGATGATGTAAGGAAGGCAGGAAAGGGGCTGGTGTACAAAGGAAACAGGAATTGTGAGACTCTGTGTCCCTAAACCCTTATTCATTCCCTGCCCTTTCTTTTTCAGATGCTGCAGCTTTCAGAATTTGACCCCCTATTGAGAGAGATTGCTCCTGGCCCCCTCACCACACCCTCTGTCCCAGGTATTATTGGTCCTAAATTGGGGACCAGGTAGGAAGCTATATTGATGGAAATTTGGGATGCTCCTCTGTCTTCTTGGTTATCTTCCTTTGTGTTTGTTTGTTTTGAGACGGAGTTTTGCTCTTGTTGCCCAGGCTGGAGTGCAATGGTGCGATCTCCGCTCACCGCAACCTCCACCTCCCGGGTTCAAGCGATTCTCCTGCCTCAGCCTCCCGAGTAGCTGGGATTACAGGCATGCGCCACCGCGCTCGGCTAATTTTGTATTTTTGGTAGAGATGGGGTTTCTCCATGTTGGTCAGGCTGGTCTGGAACTCCTGACCTCAAGTGATCCACCCACCTCAGCCTCCCAAAGTGCTAAGATTACCTGCATGAGCCACCACGCCCGGCCTCTTTGTTTTTTAAAAGAGATTAAAATTGTTTCCTTGGGTCCAGATGTTTAAAAAGTAGTCTTGTGATTTGCCCCCATCCACAGCAGATTCAGATGTAGCCTGGTCTTTTTTGGAAAGATGTTCCATCTCTCCTGCCCTCCAGGCTCCACTCCTGGTCCCTGCTTCCTCTGTGGTTCTGCCCCAGGCACACTGCACTGCCCATCCTGTAAACAGGCCCTGTGTCCAGCCTGTGACCACCTGTTCCATGGACACCCATCCCGTGCTCATCACCTCCGCCAGACCCTGCCTGGGGTCCTGCAGGGTACCCACCTGAGCCCCAGGTGAGAGGGCTTCTCTTCTGGGTGGGAGTGAAATTTAGAGAACTTAAGATCACTTGATTATGGACTACCTGCCAGTTTCTGTGCTAAAGACTGTTTAATAGAGGACAAGTAGCCAGTCAGAACCCTGAAAGAGATAATAGACATACACATCAAGCAGGTAGCAATTGCAGTAACCCAGGTTGTTATGGTAATAGGTGGTTTGCAACCTAGTCTGAAGGGTCAGCTGAATCAGGTGGCAATATTTTAAACACCTAGTGTAGGTCAGGCCATGTGTTAGCAGTATCTACTAGGAAGAAGTGAGCTTTAAGCTGTCATTTAAATGTTGCATAAGCTATGGGTATAGGAGTATTCGAGACAGACAATGTGTGCAAAGGCCAGTGACATGAGTTGTTACCCAGGAAATGGAGAATGCTTAGAGGTGAGGGATCCAGGCACCAGGTGCCACTTCAGCAGGCCATGTCTGCTTTTCCATTACAGTTTACCTGCCTCAGCCCAACCACGGCCCCAGTCGACCTCCCTGCTGGCCCTGGGAGACAGCTCTCTTTCTTCCCCTAATCCTGCAAGTGCTCATTTGCCCTGGCACTGTGCTGCCTGTGCCATGCTAAATGAGCCTTGGGCAGTGCTCTGTGTGGCCTGTGATCGGCCCCGAGGCTGTAAGGGGTTGGGGTTGGGAACTGAGGGTCCCCAAGGAACTGGAGGCCTAGAACCTGATCTTGCACGGGGTCGGTGGGCCTGCCAGAGCTGTACCTTTGAGAATGAGGCAGCTGCTGTGCTATGTTCCATATGTGAGCGACCTCGGCTGGCCCAGCCTCCCAGCTTGGTGGTGGATTCCCGAGATGCTGGCATTTGCCTGCAACCCCTTCAGGTAACTGGCCTTCCCAGCTCTTTATCGTGTGTTACCTCAGGCATTCTCTTCCCTATCCCATGTTTTCCTTCAGTTCCTCCCAACTCCCTGTATTTCTGTTGTGAACTTCAGCCAGCCAGTCAAAGGGATAATTCTCTCTGCCTTCCCAGCAGGGGGATGCTTTGCTGGCCTCTGCCCAGAGTCAAGTCTGGTACTGTATTCACTGTACCTTCTGCAACTCGAGCCCTGGCTGGGTGTGTGTTATGTGCAACCGGACTAGTAGCCCCATTCCAGCACAACATGCCCCCCGGCCCTATGCCAGCTCTTTGGAAAAGGGACCCCCCAAGCCTGGGCCCCCACGACGCCTTAGTGCCCCCCTGCCCAGTTCCTGTGGAGATCCTGAGAAGCAGCGCCAAGACAAGATGCGGGAAGAAGGCCTCCAGCTAGTGAGCATGATCCGGGTAAGGACTGGGCCTGCGATGAGGTAGGGCTGAGCTGGTCTGGGAAAGGAGATGCTGCAGGTGGTTAATAGTTTCTATGAATCTTGTTATTGTTAGCAGCAGCTGCCTGTTACTGAGGCAGTTACCATTGCTGTACACTGATGACATGATCCATATGTCTGAGCTGAGCCACTGTCACCATCTTAGTTCAGGCTGAGGGTGGGTGAAGGGTGCCCCTCCTGATGGGCGGGACTGTGCCTTAGGAAGGGGAAGCCGCAGGTGCCTGTCCAGAGGAGATCTTCTCGGCTCTGCAGTACTCGGGCACTGAGGTGCCTCTGCAGTGGTTGCGCTCAGAACTGCCCTACGTCCTGGAGATGGTGGCTGAGCTGGCTGGACAGCAGGACCCTGGGCTGGGTGCCTTTTCCTGTCAGGAGGCCCGGAGAGCCTGGCTGGATCGTCATGGCAACCTTGATGAAGCTGTGGAGGAGTGTGTGAGGACCAGGCGAAGGAAGGTATCAGCTGTGCTGGATATGGGATAGGGTCGAGAGTCTGCATCTCTCACACTCTCCCTTGCTTGCTTTCCCACTTCATTCCCCCTTGCCACTCCCATCTTGCAGGTGCAGGAGCTCCAGTCTCTAGGCTTTGGGCCTGAGGAGGGGTCTCTCCAGGCATTGTTCCAGCACGGAGGTGATGTGTCACGGGCCCTGACTGAGCTACAGCGCCAACGCCTAGAGCCCTTCCGCCAGCGCCTCTGGGACAGTGGCCCTGAGCCCACCCCTTCCTGGGATGGGCCAGACAAGCAGGTGCTGGGAGGAGGCAAGAAGCCCAAGGGTCCACCTAGAGGAGCAAGAGGGAGCTGAGGGGAAGGGTCCCTGGAGTCTGACAGCACTTCCCCCCTCCACCTGAATCATATTGCAGAGCCTGGTCAGGCGGCTTTTGGCAGTCTACGCACTCCCCAGCTGGGGCCGGGCAGAGCTGGCACTGTCACTGCTGCAGGAGACACCCAGGAACTATGAGTTGGGGGATGTGGTAGAAGCTGTGAGGCACAGCCAGGACCGGGCCTTCCTGCGCCGCTTGCTTGCCCAGGAGTGTGCCGTGTGTGGCTGGGCCCTGCCCCACAACCGGGTAAGTCCCTCCCCACGATACCTGGTCCAAGAATTACTCTATTCTTTTGGACCCCCATCCTACCCCAGTCTCCATCTCTGATCCTGTCTTCTGCTCTTCAGTTGCCCATATACCCCTGAAGGCTCCTGGGAGGGGGAAGTCAGGAACAGGCTTATCTCCTCCCTTTTAAAACAATGTTCTATTATGGAAATTTTCAAACATGCAATAGTAGAAAAATTGTACTACACTGTATAACAAATTCCCATACCCCCCTGCAACCCCTCCACTTCCAGTGTATTTGTCATCAAGCTTCAGCAATTGTCAACAAACATGATCAGTCTTTATTTCACATATATACACAGATGGCTATTATGATATCAAATATCAGGCATAATATAGTTTATAAATGTTTCCGTATATATCTCTAAAATGTAAAACTTTATTTATTTATTTACTTATTTATTTTTTTTAGATGGAATTTCACCCTTGCCCCCAGGCTGGAGTGCAATGGCGTGATCTCGGCTCACTGTAACCTCTGCCTCCTCCAAGCAATTCTCCTGCCTCAGCCTCCTGAGTAGCTGGGATTACAGGCACCCGCCACCACACTCGGCTAATTTTTGTATTTTTAGTAGAGACAGGGTTTCGCCATATTGGCCAGGCTGGTCTCGAGCTCTTGACCTCTACAATTATTTTAAATACAGAGTAAAACCAAAATAAAACACATACAGAGCCAGTCTAACTACTCTGACCTAGAGTACGTGGAGTCTCAGGAACTAAGAAGGGCTTATTCCTATAAACTGGATATTTGCTGATATTAAAGAATTACCAGGCTGGGCGCGGTGGCTCACGCCTCTAATGCCAGCACTTTGGGAGGCCAAGGCAGGCCGATCATGAGGTCAGGAGATCGAGACCATCCTGGCTGACGCAGTGAAACCCTGTCTGTACTAAAAATGTAAAAAATTAGCCAGGTGTGGTGGCAGGCGCCTGTAGTCCCAGCTACTCAGGAGGCTGAGGCAGGAGAATGGCGTGAACTCAGGAGGCGGAGCTTGCAGTGAGCCGAGATCGCGCCACTGCACTCCAGCCTGGGCAACAGCGCAAGACTCCGTCTTAAAAAAAAAAAAAAAGAATTACTGTTCATTTTTGTGTGTGTGTGTGACAGTGCTACTGTGGCTATGTTTTCAAAAAGAATTTTGCTGGGCATGATGCCTCATGCCTGTAATCCTAGAGCTTTGGGAGGCTGAGGTGGGAGAATACCTTGAAGCCAGGAGTTAGAGACCAGCATGGGCAACATAACAAGACTCCCATCTCTAAAAAAATAAATAAAGGTCCGGGCATGGTGGCTCACGCCTGTCATCCCTGCACTTTGGGAGGCCAACGTGGGTGGATCACGAGGTCAAGAGATTGAGACCATCCTGGTCGACATGGTGAAACCCCGTCTCTACTAAAAATACAAAAATTAGCCAGGCGTGGTGGCGTGCACCTGTAATCCCAGCTACTCGAGAGGCTAAGGCAGGAGAATCGCTTGAACCTGGGAGGTGGAGGTTGCAGTGAGCCAAGATCGTGCCACCGCACTCCAGCCTGGGCGACAGAATGAGATTCCGTCTCAAAAAAAAAACTTAAATTAAAAAAAATAATAAAATACATAAAGTTGGCCAGGCGCAGTGGCTCATACCTGTAATCCTAGCACTTTGGGAGGCTGAGGTGGGTGGATCACCTGAGGTCAGGAGTTCGAGACCAGCCTGACCAACATGGTGAAACCCTGTCTCTACAAAAAATACAAAAATTAGCCGGGTGTGGTAGTGGGTGCCTGTAATCCCAGCTACTTGGGAGGCTGAGGCAGGAAAATCTCTTGAACCTGGGAGACAGAGGTTGCAGTGAGCCAGGATTGCGCCACAGCACTCCAGTCTGAGCGACAGAGTGAGACTCTGTCTCAAAATAAATTAAATAAATAAATAAATGTAGAATCTACAGGAAGTTTCAAAAATAGTGCATAGAGTCCTGTGTACTTTTCACTAACCTTCACTCAGCGATGACATTTTTTTGAGACGGAGTCTCGCTCTGTCGCCCTGGCTGGAGCGCAGTCGCGCAATCATGGCTCACTGCAACCTCTGCCTCCCGGTTCAAGCGATTCTCCTGTCCCAGCCTCCCAAGTAGCTGTGATTACAGGCATCTGCAATCATGCCCGGCTAATTTTTTTTTTTTTGAGACAGAGTTTTGCTCTTGTTGCCCAGCCTGGAGTGCAATGGTGCGATCTCGGCTCACTGCAGCCTCCGCCTCCCGAGTTCAAGTGATTCTCCTGCCTCAGCCTCCCGAGTAGCTGGGATTACAGGCATGCGCCACCACACTTGGCTAATTTTGTATTTTTAGTAGAGACGGGTCAGGCTGGTCTGGAACTCCAGATCTCAGGTGATCCGCCTGCCTCAGCCTCCCAAAGTGCTGGGATTACAGGCATAAGCCATGGTGCCTGGCCTAATTTTTGTATTTTTAGTAGAGACAAGGTTTCACAATGTTGGCCAGGCTGGTCTCGAACTCCTAGCCTCAAGTGATGCGCCCGCCTTGGCTTCCCAAAGTACTGGGATTACAGGTGTGAGCCAGCGTGCCCGGCCCCCAGTGGTGACTTCTTATATAGTTATAGTACAATATCAAGACCAAGAAATAAGACATTGCTCCAATGTTAGCTATACTACAGGTCTTGTTCATTTTTCTCATGGATATGCCGCTGTGTGTATGTGTGGTTCTATGCAGTTCTGTCCCACGTATGGATGCATATAACCACCACCATAATCAAGATACAGATTGTTTCATCACCACAAAGGAACTCTCTCATGTACCTCTTTAGTTATACCCTTCTGCCCCCACTTCTAGTCACCTGGCAACCATGAAGCTGTTCTCCACCTCTATAGTTTTGTCATTTCAAGCATGTTATTTGTATATTTAATGGAATATGAATGTTTTTATAGGCACTTTTGCCTTTACCTTAGGTGTCACCATTGTCTATTTTCCTCCACCCGACTGTCTTCAGATGTTTACGTTGCCTGCCTGGCCCCTGCTGGCACTTGAGGTTGTTAACCCTGCCCAGTTGTTAATTAGACCCTGATTTCTTAGTGGACACCTGGCCACTGCCTCTTCCCTAGCCTGGCAGCTGTGGCTTCTGACCCCCTCCCCTCCAACCCCTCACCCTCCAGATGCAGGCCCTGACTTCCTGTGAGTGCACCATCTGTCCTGACTGCTTCCGCCAGCACTTCACCATCGCCTTGAAGGAGAAGCACATCACAGACATGGTGTGCCCTGCCTGTGGCCGCCCCGACCTCACCGATGACACACAGTTGCTCAGCTACTTCTCTACCCTTGACATCCAGGTACTGCAGCCCCTCTAGGACTCAGGTACCCTGAGCTTTGAACAGGGACCCTCCCACCCACCACCTCTGCATCCTGTCCCCAGCTTCGCGAGAGCCTAGAGCCAGATGCCTATGCGTTGTTCCATAAGAAGCTGACCGAGGGTGTGCTGATGCGGGACCCCAAGTTCTTGTGGTGTGCCCAGGTAAGTGGCCTGCCCAGGGCAGCTACTGTGGAGGGGCAGGGGATGGTTCCAGGTCAGGCCTTTGATAACTTTATGCTCTTGCACTTCCAGTGCTCCTTTGGCTTCATATATGAGCGTGAGCAGCTGGAGGCAACTTGTCCCCAGTGTCACCAGACCTTCTGTGTGCGCTGCAAGCGCCAGGTGAGGCACATTCATCCTTTCAGAAATACTTGCTGAGCTACTGCCAGGTACTGTGTTAGACTCAGGGGAGTTTGTGTACTGGAGAGCAAAACAGACATGAGCTCTGAGGTCAAAAGAGCTTACAGACTACTCAGAAAGACTAGGCACAAGGAGAAAGGGAAGCAGAGGGAGGGAGGAAATCGGGAGGGAAAGGAAAGGGGAGGAGGAAGGAAGGAAGGAAAGAAAGTAAGCCAGAGGAACTAATTATACATAGGCATAAATTCTATGAAGAAAACAAACAGGAACCTGAGATCAGGGTAACAGAGTGGACCTACTTAGGGTAGAGAGGTCAGACAAGTCTTCTCTAAAATGGTTTAAGCTCAGGCCTAAACATTAAAAAGAAGCCAGCCATGCAAAGAGCATTTGGGAGAGAAAGAACAACACATGGAAAGGCCAGAATCAGAAAAAAGTGTTGTATGGCTGGAGCCTGGAAAGCAAGGCGGGAATGGCAGGTGGTCAGAGAGAAGCCAGCTGCCAGGTCTGTAGAGCCCTGGAGGCCACGTGAAGCAGGCGTCCGTCTGCCTTCATTCTGAGATAAAGCAAGGGTGATACTATCTCATTTATCTTTCGTTTATTTATTTATTTATTTATTTTTAGAGACAACTCACTGTCACCCAGGCTGGGGTCCACTGGTGCAGTCACAGCTCACTGCAGCCTCCAACTCCTGGTCTCAAGTGATCCCTCGCCTCAGCCTTCCAAAGTACTGGGATTACAGGCATGAGCCACTATGCCCAGCCACATTTATCTTTTAAGAAGTGTAATATTTGGCTAGGCATGGTGGCTTCCGCCTGTAATCCCAGCACTTTGGGAGGCCATGGTGGGTGGATCACTTGAGGTTGGGAGTTCAAGACCAGCCTCCCAATATGGTGAAACCCCGTCTCTACTAAAAATACAAAAATTAGCCGGGTGTGGTGGCATGTGCCTGTAATCCCAACTACTCTGGAGGCTGAGGCAGGAGAATCGCTTGAACCCAGGAGGTGGAGGCTGCAGTGAGCCAAGATCACGCCATTGCACTCCAGCCTGGGTGACAGAGCGAGACTCCATCTCAAAAAAAAAAAAAGAAGTGTAATATTTGATACGAAAAAAATTTCATCTGCATCATGTCTGAAATAAAGTGAACACCTGAGACTACCACAGAACCAAAACACCACCAATCCTGTGGAAGCTACCTGACTTACAGTTTTGAAGGACTTTTGACAGCCATGGGGAGAATTGACCCTAGGGGAGCAGGAATGGGAAACAGAGAGACTAGTAACCGAGGCAAGCAATTGAGGCAAGGTCTGATGGTGGCCTGGAGTAAAGTGGTAGCAGTAGGGATGAAGGAAAAGGGGATATGGTTGAGATGGTCTGTGGGGTGGAAACAAGGCAAAAGTAGTGTGAGGTGGTAGGAGAAAATGAAAGGACCAAGGATGGCCTCTCATTTTGAGATCTGAGCAAATGGTAGGTGGCAGTGACATAAACCAAGCTGGGGAACCACTGGATGTGAGTGGAGGGGCCAGCAAGAAAGGCCAGGGGATGGGATAGAGCTCCCATGTGAAGCCTACTTTCCCTCTGGCAGTGGGAGGAGCAGCACCGAGGTCGGAGCTGTGAGGACTTCCAGAACTGGAAACGCATGAACGACCCAGAATACCAGGCCCAGGGCCTAGCAATGTATCTTCAGGAAAACGGCATTGGTAAGGCCTCCCTACTCGGCCTGTTTGCTCAGAAGCCTGTCATTGCCAGCAGCTCTCTTCCTGAGGGCCTTGAGTTGCAGCGGCAGCTCCAGCCCTGACCTCTTGTCCTTTGCAGACTGCCCCAAATGCAAGTTCTCGTACGCCCTGGCCCGAGGAGGCTGCATGCACTTTCACTGTACCCAGTGCCGCCACCAGTTCTGCAGCGGCTGCTACAATGCCTTTTACGCCAAGAATGTAAGCCCAGAGAGTTGGGGAAGGGGTGGAAGGGTGGGGGGTGCCATTGGCTTTGAGAGTCAGAGGCTATTGAGGAGTGGCCCCGGGGAAGAGAAGAGGTCAACGGGATGTAAAGCACAACTCTCTGTCCCCTTACCCTTTGCTTGCTCCTCCAATGTCTCCATCTCCCCTCACCCTTACACCCCTCACGCAGGGGTTCCTGAGAGGCCAGGACCCCAACAGTCTCCAACTTCCTCTCTCCCATCTGGGTTTCTGCCAGAAATGTCCAGAGCCTAACTGCAGGGTGAAAAAGTCCCTGCACGGCCACCACCCTCGAGACTGCCTCTTCTACCTGCGGGACTGGACTGCTCTCCGGCTTCAGAAGCTGCTACAGGTCAGAGGTGGCCAGGAGAGAAGAAGACAGGGCCCAGGGTGGGCAAGAATGGAAAAGGCTCCGTGCTAGGAATTGCAACAGGGACTTGGCATCAAGGGGAATGTAACACCCATCTGTCTCTCCTCCTCAGGACAATAACGTCATGTTTAATACAGAGCCTCCAGCTGGGGCCCGGGCAGTCCCTGGAGGTGAGTGTTAGGACAAGCCTTTGAGAAGAGGAGATGGTGTGCTGGGCTCCCACCGTGTGATGGGTAAAGGGGAGGCTTGGGTCTGGGGTCACTTGTTGCATGCCCTTTGGCAAGTTAATTGAGACCCAAGGCCTTGTTTCTTCCGCTGTAAAATGGAGGTAGTATCCACCTTGCAGCTAAGCCATTTTACATAAGACATCTTTAAAGAACCTGGTACCCAAGAAGGCATTAATACTAATTTTCTTCTCCCATTCCCAAATGATCATAATTAATTAATTAGTTCAATGAGTGTTTAATGAGAAGTGCTAGTTGCAGGGCACTGTTTTAGGTTCCATGAGGGCAACAGAAAGGTGTTACATATGGTTCTAACCTCTGTCACTTCTTACAGTGTAGACAGAGGTAAGTCTACAGTCCATACCACCCTGAATGTGACTGATCTTTTCTGATCTTGGAGGCTAAGCAGGTTCGGGCCTGGTTAGTACTTGGATGAGAGATTGGCTGGGAATTCCAGGTGCTATAGGTTTTAAATTTATTTTTTAAAAAATAGAGGTGGCCGGCCGGGCACATTGGCTCATGCCTGTAATCCCAGCACTTTGGGAAGCCAAGGCGGGTGAATCACGAAGTCAGATCGAGACCATCCTGGCTAACACGGTGAAACCCCATCTCTACTAAAAATACAAAAAATTAGCCGGGCGTGGTGGCGGGCGCCTGTAGTCCCAGCTACTCGGGAGGCTGAGGCAGGAGAATGGCATGAACCCGGGAGGCGGAGCTTGCAGTGAGCAGAGATGGCGCCACCGCACTCCAGCCTGGGCAACAGAGCGAGACTTCGTCTCAAAAAAAAAAAAAAAAAAAAAAAAAAATGTGGCTGGGCACGGTGGCTCATGCCTGTAATCTCAGCACTTTGGGAGGCCGAGGCAGGTGGATCACCTGACGTCAGGAGTTCGTGACCAACCTGGCCAACAAGGTGAAACCCTGTCTCTACTAAAAATACAAAAAAATTAGCAAGGTGTGGTGGCAGGCACCTGTAATCCCACCTACTCGGGTGGCTGAGGCAGGAGAATCACTTGAACCCGGGAGGTGGAGATTGCAGTGAGCCAAGATTGCGCCATTGCACTCCAGTCCAGCCTGGGCAACAAGAGTGAAACTCCATCTCAAAAAAAAAAAAAAAAAAAACCAGAGGTAGCCAATAGCCAGGAGTGGTGGTGGCTCACACCCATAATCCCAGCACTTTGGGAGGCTAAGGCAAGAGGATTACTTGAGCCCAGGAGTTTGAGACCAGCCC
This sequence comes from Homo sapiens, assembly GCF_000001405.40. Classification (NCBI taxonomy): domain Eukaryota; kingdom Metazoa; phylum Chordata; class Mammalia; order Primates; family Hominidae; genus Homo; species Homo sapiens. The sequence goes on from NW_018654722.1 coordinate 460,460, forward strand.
AAACAACATAGTGAGACCCTGTCTCTATTTAAAAAATAAAAATAAAAAAAAGAGGTAAGATCTTCCGATAATAAGTTAACTAGTCAAGAGATAAATAACAACCAAAAAAAAAAAAAAAAAAAAAACACTATCTCAAGAGGGTATGTGTTTATGAGCCAAAAGCCAGCTTGGATAAAAGTAGGGACAAGGTCCCTGCCTCTGTATCAGATGGTCTGCCGTTGACGGCACCTCTGAGTACCCACCAGCACCACTGGGAAAGCAGGAGTTGCTGTGCTCGGTCCCTTCCTTGGAGGCTGCCTTCCCTGCCTTGTGGATATCCCAGTTCTGGAGCTTTGTGGTCATTGGCCTCCCAACAGAGGCTCCCTTCTTCCCTCACCTTTAGGCGGCTGCCGAGTGATAGAGCAGAAGGAGGTTCCCAATGGGCTCAGGGACGAAGCTTGTGGCAAGGAAACTCCAGCTGGCTATGCCGGCCTGTGCCAGTGAGTGCCAGCAGGACATGGGCATGGTGTTGGGCAGTGGGTAGAAGTGGTGAGGGCATGCCCAGGCAGTAAAATGGGTCCTTGGGAGCAGTAGGTCTTGCAGTGGGTGGGAGGGAGGAGGCTTTCTGGGCAAGGGCATGGGTAGATAGTAGCAGGCAGTGTGGGCACAGGTGGGTTGTTAATCTTGTTCGTCCAGGTGTCTCAGAGTCCAGCTATGTTAGACACACTCAGTTAATATTAGCCAACACAACAAATATTCTGCTCCCTTTTCTCCCCAGGGCACACTACAAAGAGTATCTTGTGAGCCTCATCAATGCCCACTCGCTGGACCCAGCCACCTTGTATGAGGTGGAAGAGCTGGAGACGGCCACTGAGCGCTACCTGCACGTACGCCCCCAGCCTTTGGCTGGAGAGGATCCCCCTGCTTACCAGGCCCGCTTGTTACAGGTATAGCCTCCACCCAGCCTCATCTCTTAACCCACCCTACAGAAGTCACCTGGTGCTGACTGTGTCTGAGCTCCAGGCTTCCAATATCATTACCTTCTCTCTCCTTCTGCAGAAGCTGACAGAAGAGGTACCCTTGGGACAGAGTATCCCCCGCAGGCGGAAGTAGCTGAGGGCAAGGGTCCCGATGAGGGTCCCATGGCCTGCTCCCTCAGGAACAGCTCCAGCACCAATAAAGAGGCATCTTACCACCCAGGCTTCTTGGTGGTCCTTCTTCCTGGTGCCACCATCTAGGGGCACCAGGGAAAGAGCGGGGTGAACAGAGCTTTGCTGAAAAGGGCCCCCTGCAACCTAGTGCCTGACCCTCCCTGGACTCAGGACCAGGAAGGAGTTGACACCCTGGATGGTCAAGGGAGGCCCTCCCCATCCAGCAGCCTGGCCTGGGCTTCCTCCCTCCCTGCCTCCTTTTTTCCTTTCATAGAATTTGACTGGTATTTGAAGTCACCCAATATGTATCAGGTGGGCACTGTGGGGGAATGCAGATGCACAGGTGTACACAGCAGTCCAGAGGTCCCAGGCCTGACTCCAGGAAACTGGCCTCCCTGGGGAAGCCACGGTGTCACCCAGAGGTCAGATAGAAGCAAGAGTATCTGAGGGAGGCAGGGGAATGAGCCAGGCTGGAGCTGAGCCAGCAGGGCAGGGCCCCCCTGCTGCGACAGTGGCATCCTGATAGTGAGATGCTCAGATGCTGCTGCCCTCTAGTGGCCGCCAGTTCCCTGCAACTCAGACCACGTGATTTCTGGGAAAAGGCCCTCCCTGGAGGAGAACTGAAACTTAGGGTGGGGACTGTAGAAAGGGGCGGAGAGATCAGCCGCCCAGCCAGGAGTTAAGCTGAGGTCGTCTGAGCCCTGCGACAGCCTGGACAGCAACTCAGGTAAGATCAGCCAAGGATGGGAGTCAGCCTGGGATCTAGGGCTAGAAAGTCCAGCCAGATTGAGGGCAGGGGGTCCTAGGGGTCGCTCTGTTAGACTGAGGGATAGACAGAAGATCTCTTAAGTCAGGAAGTGGGAGATTCAGCCTGAGAGTGAGACTGACAAGGGCCAGCTCCCCAGACCCTTGTAGGCAAAGGTCAGGAGGACCTACTGCTGGATTGTTCAAGGAAGAAGGCTCCTGGCCCCAGCCTCAGTGGACCATTTGTTTCCTTGCCATCTGGCCCTGCCCACTTCTGCTGCAGCTCCAACCCCACCCCTACTTCCTGCCCCACCTACTCCTGGGGCCGGCAGGGGGTGGGGGTCAGGCTAGGTTGTGTAGGCTGTGGGGCGGTGGGTGAAGAGCCTGATGGATCTCAGCAGAACCTACCTCTGCTGATGCTCGGGAATCTAGACAGGGCCTGTCACCAGGAACGATCACCAAAGGAATTCTTTTGTAAACAATACATCTCTGAAAAGTCCTAAAATTAAGACCAGTGCCCAAGGTTTCCTTCCAGGTATCACAGCTTAGAGTGCTAAAAACAATGTTTTGGGGGGTTTTGTTGTTGTTGTTGTTGTTTGTCACTGCTAGTGATGGCAGAAAGGAAACAATTCTGTCCCATAGAGTGTTGAAATGTGTTTGGAGCTAAAAGAAGATGGATGGGATCTCTGGGACCTGTTGCCAGAATCTAGTCTCAATGGCCAGGGTCTCAGGAGATGTTCCCTCCCAAAGTGTCAGTTCTGATGCATCCTGCTCCTATTATCCCCCAGGATGGCATCAGGCAGGGCACGCTGCACCCGAAAACTCCGGAACTGGGTGGTGGAGCAAGTGGAGAGTGGGCAGTTTCCCGGAGTGTGCTGGGATGATACAGCTAAGACCATGTTCCGGATTCCCTGGAAACATGCAGGCAAGCAGGACTTCCGGGAGGACCAGGATGCTGCCTTCTTCAAGGTGAAAGGGCCTGGAAACCACTGTTCCTCTGTGTGTGGGATGGTGTATACACACTGGTACACTCATCCTCGAGCACTTGCGTCTGCCTGGGTTTCAGATAAGGGACAGATTGGAGAGGAAAACTAGCTGCATCATTTGCAGAGTCCAGTACAAAATGAAAATGTGGAGGCCTTGTTCAAAAATTTTAGGGATATTGGCCAGGCACGGTGGCTCACGCCTGTAATCCCAGCACTTCGGGAGGCCAAGGTGGGTGGATCACGAGGTCAAGAGATCAAGACCAGCCTGGCCAACATGGTGAAACCCTGTCTCTACTAAAAATACAAAACTTAGCTGGGCCTAGCGGTGCATGCCTGTAGTCCCAGCTACTCGGGAGACTGAGGCAGGAGAATCGCTTGAACCAGGGAGGTGGAGTTGTAGTGAGTCGAGATCGCACCACTGCACTCCAGCCTGGTGACAGAGTGAGACTCTGTCTCAAAAAAAAAAAAAAAAAATTTCCAAGGATTTCAAGATGGCAACGCAGAGCACAGACCCTGCATAATCCCTTCTGAGCTCAGAGCTGCACGCCTGTAAAGCCAGTCCTATTGGAGGGGCAGGTGGAGCCTGTAACACACTGCCTCTTCTTCCCTTGCTTTCTTTCCTAGGCCTGGGCAATATTTAAGGGAAAGTATAAGGAGGGGGACACAGGAGGTCCAGCTGTCTGGAAGACTCGCCTGCGCTGTGCACTCAACAAGAGTTCTGAATTTAAGGAGGTTCCTGAGAGGGGCCGCATGGATGTTGCTGAGCCCTACAAGGTGTATCAGTTGCTGCCACCAGGAATCGTCTCTGGTGAGTTTCCCCTTGTCCAACCACTGCTAGACTCAGCAGACTGGGGAGGAAGGATAGATGTGCAGGCTTCCCCCAGGCTTATAGCTCTGCCCTGTCCATGCCCTTGGGGGGCTGCAACCCAGGTTTCCCTTCCTAGACCTGCCCATCCTTCACTGCCTCAGACCTCTCCTTCACCCTCTGTCCTTGCTCAAGACCCTGACCTTTCTCTGTCCCTCAACAATTCCACAGGCCAGCCAGGGACTCAGAAAGTACCATCAAAGCGACAGCACAGTTCTGTGTCCTCTGAGAGGAAGGAGGAAGAGGATGCCATGCAGAACTGCACACTCAGTCCCTCTGTGCTCCAGGACTCCCTCAATAATGTAAGAGATGGAGAGGGAACTGGGTGGGCCTAAGGGCAGGACAGTAACCAGAGGGAGAGGTGGGCCAATGAAAGACACTGTGTCTTGGGAGGCCGAGGCTGGCAGATCACGTGAGGTCAGAAGTTCGAAACCAGCCTCGACCAACATGGTGAGAACCCGTCTCTACTAAAAATACAAAAATTAGCTGTGCGTTGTGGCATCTGCCTGTAATCCCAGCTACTCAGGAGGCCGAGGCAGGAGAATCGCTTGAACCGGGGGGCGGAGATAGCAGTGAGCCGAGATCGCGCCACTGCACTCCAGCCTGGGCAACAAGAGTGAAACTCTGTCTCAAAAAAAGAGAAAAAAAATAAAAAGACACTGTGTCCGCAGGAGGAGGAGGGGGCCAGTGGGGGAGCAGTCCATTCAGACATTGGGAGCAGCAGCAGCAGCAGCAGCCCTGAGCCACAGGAAGGTACCACCTGCCCTGCCTCTTGTGTCGTCCCCCATGCCACACCCTCTGGCCCAAGACTCCCCAGTCCCACTCTGAATGACCAGTGCCTTTGCTTCCCTTCCAGTTACAGACACAACTGAGGCCCCCTTTCAAGGGGATCAGAGGTCCCTGGAGTTTCTGCTTCCTCCAGAGCCAGGTACGTGGCATTTCTGACTTTCTCCTGTGCCCTGTGCCCCTGAGGTCTTCCACCTTTGACTATGCATGCATTATCTAGTCAGTCAGGGCTTACAGCAAACTGTACCCACATTACCATAGCCCTAGGCAGTGGTTTCTAGGTGGCGAGAATTCCATATGCCTGGCCAGACTCCAAAAAGCTTGCTTCCCAAAAATACCACCCTATACACTCTCCTGGAAATCTACATTGAGACATTGATTTCATTGGGCCAAACAGAGGCCCAATCTCAAGGGACCTTCTAGTAAACTACAAGCCCCTGGGCATTGAGCCCTGAGGCCTCATGGTGAATCACATACTAGCTACTTGCCTCAGTGATAGGAAAACCTGAGAGGAAGCCCCCTGGCTGGTGTGGGGAGGGGAGGTGGAGTTGTTCCCCTGGGGAGGGGCTGCTGCCAGCCTGCATGCTCCTCCAGCACCAGGTAGGGCTGTTCTATCCCCAGACTACTCACTGCTGCTCACCTTCATCTACAACGGGCGCGTGGTGGGCGAGGCCCAGGTGCAAAGCCTGGATTGCCGCCTTGTGGCTGAGCCCTCAGGCTCTGAGAGCAGCATGGAGCAGGTGCTGTTCCCCAAGCCTGGCCCACTGGAGCCCACGCAGCGCCTGCTGAGCCAGCTTGAGAGGGGCATCCTAGTGGCCAGCAACCCCCGAGGCCTCTTCGTGCAGCGCCTTTGCCCCATCCCCATCTCCTGGAATGCACCCCAGGCTCCACCTGGGCCAGGCCCGCATCTGCTGCCCAGCAACGAGTGCGTGGAGCTCTTCAGAACCGCCTACTTCTGCAGAGGTGAGGCTGTTCTCTCTGGGCACATGAGCTTCCACCCCCTACCTCTTAGTACCCCCTGGGCCCAACTTGTTGGGTCCTGCTACCTCCCTATCTGCCAGCAGATCCTCCATGTAGCCTATGCATGGCACTCCTGCGCTTGTGTGTTGCATATCCTGTGTGGCCATATGCCCAGCCTGGCAGCTACCTGGCAGCTCTCCTCCAGCCAAGACAATGGAAGAGGTGGTTCAGGTAGAGCCCAGCACAAGAGTGTCATATCTTGGAGAACACCATCACACTGAAGCATGCAGTCACTATGTGAAGGTGCACAGAAGAATTGGCACAGAGATTTTGAGCCTCATGGCCTTCTCCTACGTACACACATTTGGGAGAGCTGGCACACATCACACACACTGGCCCTGGCTGCACCGTCTTTACCACACTCCAGGCATGCCTTAGGGTTGCGCTTCTCTCCCATCCAATTCCAGCTCCTACTCAATTCTAAACCTGACCTTAAGAGTGGGACCAGGTGTACAGGGGGTGCAGAGTGTGGGTGTTCCCAGGGCCATGGGTGCCCTAGCACTGGGAGGATGTGAGCAAGTAGCAAAGGTCTGGGCACATCTGAGTTAGCAGCCAGGGCTGCTACCTGGGAGGACTCTAAACTCTCCCAGCAGAGAGCTTGTCGGGCTGTGCTGTGATCTGCTACTTCTAAGCACTTATATGAGGCAGGGGCACCCTTTCCTATTTGCACATGGGTGAGTAGCACTTAGTTCCAAGTACTTCTGACCTTGCAGCTCCTGCTCTGGCAAGACCCCCTCCTACCTCTCTCCATCATGGGTTCCTCACTATTGCCTCCCTGCCTGTGGCCCTCTCTCTTCTTTTTGTTCTTCGAACCCTTGACCCTTTCTCTTTCAGACTTGGTCAGGTACTTTCAGGGCCTGGGCCCCCCACCGAAGTTCCAGGTAACACTGAATTTCTGGGAAGAGAGCCATGGCTCCAGCCATACTCCACAGAATCTTATCACAGTGAAGGTGAGCTCGGAGCAGGGGTAGAGTACCCATCTAATGAGAGCAGAGACAGTGGTGCTCCAGGAGGCAAAGGGGGTCTCCCAGTGGGGAAGGAGCTCCTGGGGGTGGTGTCTGTCCCTGATGCACGCACTGAGATGCTCTTCTCCATCTCTTCCAATACAGATGGAGCAGGCCTTTGCCCGATACTTGCTGGAGCAGACTCCAGAGCAGCAGGCAGCCATTCTGTCCCTGGTGTAGAGCCTGGGGGACCCATCTTCCACCTCACCTCTTTGTTCTTCCTGTCTCCTTTGAAGTAGACTCATTCTTCACACGATTGACCTGTCCTCTTTGTGATAATTCTCAGTAGTTGTCCGTGATAATCGTGTCCTGAAAATCCTCGCACACACTGGCTGGTGGAGAACTCAAGGCTAATTTTTTATCCTTTTTTTTTTTTAATTTTGAGATATACGCCCTCTTTCATCTGTAAGGGACTAGGAAATTCCAAATGGTGTGAACCCAGGGGGCCTTTCCCTCTTCCCTGACCTCCCAACTCTAAAGCCAAGCACTTTATATTTTCCTCTTAGATATTCACTAAGGACTTAAAATAAAATTTTATTGAAAGAGGAATCAGTATCTGATTTTCTGGGAGAAGAAGGTAGCAGTGGTCACAGATAGAGATGTAAACTTAAGAGTGGGGCACTGGGGTTCTCTTCCTGCTGACATCTCCAGCCTCTTTCCTCTCCTCTGCCCACAGGTTCTGGCTAAGATGCTGCCTGGGCCCTGTGGGTCCTGGGCCTGGCACTCTACAGAGGTACCCTCTGGGCAGATAAGATTAGGGTGTGGGTTGGGCACCAAGCCTTCAGCCAGGCACTATAGCCACCAACTTCACATGGTAAAGTCTGGGCTCCACAGTTCTTGCTAGAAGGCCCCAACATCGGGCCTGAGGTTAGTTAGATTGGAGGTCTAAATGAAGAGGAGACACTTGAGGGTGACCTGAAACTATGGTCTAGAGGCCCTGGGACCTGAGAACAGAGGAGTCAGAGAGAAGAGTTGCTGAAACTGTACCTGCTGTTACTGGCACCTCTTCCTCCAGCACAATTTCACTGTCACCCCAGCAGGGTACTCCCAAACTGGATTCCTTGCTCTATCTAAGCCCCATAAAAGACACTCTGGCCGGCTGGGCGCAGTGGCTCACACCTATAATCCCAGCACTTTGGGAGGCCAAGGTGGGTGGATCACTTGAGATCAGGAGTTCGAGACCAGCCTGGCCAACACGGTGAAACAGCGTCTCTTCTAAAAATACAAAAATTAGCCAGGCCTGGTGGCGGGCACCTGTAATCTCAGCTACTTGGGAGGCTGAGGCAGGAGAATCGCTTGAACCCGGGAGGCGGAGGTTGCAGTGAGCCAAGATCGTGCTATTGTACTCCAGCCTGGGCAACAAGAGCGAGACTCTGTCTCAAGATTAAAAAAGAAAAAAAAAAAAAGCACTCCGGCCTAGACTGCCATGTCATGCTGTTCATGAGACTTGAGGGCTCCAAATTGGCTGACACTCTTCTTTCCCCCATGTTCATTTTACTACGAAACTGGAAGTTTTTCCTTCACCACAAGGCCACTTGTCACCTACTTTTTTGTACACTCACTTCCAGCAAACTAGTTCCAACCCAGGCCACAGCCTTCAGCTTCCTTCTTCCTGCATATGACACCAGCTTAGCTTTCCAGACTTCCTTCTGTCATTTCACCCTTCAGCCCTCAATGGTTCACACACATGATCAAATCTGGATGCCTAAGTCTTCCTAGGACCTTCTTGCTGCCTCATTTGACAAGCTTCAGTGCTGCCTTTGAGCCTCCCTGCCTCCATGGACCTCCCTTCTTCCCTTCAGTCTTGTCCATCATCCCACTGGGAAGCCAAGCACCTAGACATTCTCTGCACTAGCAGTGAAGAAATGAGGTACTGAATGCAGAGGTGTACAAACCCTGTTGTGCCCTCAATGTGATGCAATGTGATGAAATCCTTCCTGGACCTTCTTTGTACAAGGTCTAAATTATCTCCTTGACTTCCATTTTATTTTAATTATTTTGATTAAAAACAAAAACTTGGCTGGGCATTGTGGCTCACACCTGGAATCCCAGTAATTTGAGAGGCCGAGGTGGGTGGATCACCTGACGTCAGGAGTTCGAGACCAGCCTGGCCAACATGGTGAAACCCCGTCTCTACTAAAAATGCAAAAAATTAGCCAGGCGTGTTGGTGGACACCTGTAATCCCAGCTACTTGGGAGCCTGAGGCAGGAGAATCGCTTAAACCCAGGAGGCGGAGGTTGCAGTGAGCCGAGATTGCACCACTGCACTCGAGCCTGGGCAAAAAGAGCAAAACTCCATCTCAAAAAAAAAAAATTTTTTTTTTCGGCTGGGCGTGGTGGTTTATGTCTGTAATCCTGGCACTTTGGGAGATCGAAGTGAGAAGACTGCCTTAGCCCAGGAGTTTGAGACTAGCCTGGGTGACATAGTGAAACCCTACTTCTACAAAAAATTCTTTTTTTTTTTTTTGAGACAGAGTCTCACTCTGTTGCCCAGGCTGGAGTGCAGTAGTGCAATCTTGGCTCACTGCAACCTCCACCTCCTGGGTTCAAGTGATCCTCCTGCCTCAGCCTTCTGAGTATCTGGGATTACAGGTGCGCACCGCTATGCCAGGCTAATTTTTGTATTTTTAGTAGAGACAGGGTTTCACCATGTTGGCTAGGCTGGTCTCGAACTCCTGACTTCAGGTGATCTGCCCACCTCAGCTTCCCAAAGTGCTGGGATTACAGGCGTGAGCCACTGCACCTGGCTCCCAAAAATTCTTAAAAATTAGCCAGGTGAGGCCAGGCATGGTGGCTCACACCTGTAATCCTTGCACTTTGGAAGGCCCAGGTGGGTGGATCACTTGAGGTCAGAAGTTCGAGACCAGCCTGACCAACATGGTGAAACCCCATCTCTACTAAAAATATAAAAAAAATCAGCTGGGCATGGTGGCACATGCCTATAATCCCAGCTACTTGGGAGGCTGAGGCAGGAGAATCACTTGAACCCAGGAGGCAGAGGTTGCAGTGAGCCAAGATCGTGCCATTGCATTCCAAGCCTGGGCATCAAGAGCGAAACTCCATCTCAAAAAAAAAAAGTGGGGGAAAAAAAAAAGCCAGGTGTGGTGGTGTGTGCCTATAGTCCCAACTACTTGACCTCCTAAAGTGCTGGGATTACAGGTGTGAGCTACTATACCTGGCCTCCTTCCGTTTTCTATCATACCCCACATCCAATTCATCAGCAAATCCTGTCGCTCGCTATTCCTTCAATATGTATCCAGGGTCTGACCACTTCTCTCTGTTCCCATCAGCAACACTTTGGAACAAACTACCACCATCTCTCATGTCTCCTCCTCTGCTTCCTTCACATCTGTTTCCACACGTGTCTACCTTAAGCTATTCTCAACACAGTAGAGATTCTTTTCACATGTAATTCTGATCATGTCACTCCTCTGCTCAGAACCTTCCAGTGGGTCCCAAATCACCCAGGGTAAAAGCCCAAATCCCCATAAGGACCTCTGAGGTCCTGTGATGCGACCCTACCCTCCTCTCTCTCTCTCTCTCGCCCCTTGCCATTCTTCCCCTGTCACTTTGCTCCAGGCTCCTTGAACCCACCAAACACATTTCTACCTCAGGGTCTTTGCATTTGCTGGTTCTTTTGTCTAAATTACTCTTCCTTCAGGTAGGCACATGACTTACCCACATTCTTCAAATTTTATCTCTTAAGAGAGGGGGCAAGGCTTCCCTGAGTACCCTCCCTAAATAGCAGCCGTCATTATTCTATCCTCCTATGCTGCCTCATTTTCTTCATAGCACTTACGGCCACTTCATGTATTTCTTTTTTTCTTTCTTTCTTTTTTTTTTTTTTTTTGACAGAATCGCCCATGCTGGAGCACAGCAGTGCAATCATGGCTCACTGCAGCCTCGACCTTCGGCTCAATCGATCCTCCTGTCTCAGCCTTCTGAGTAGCTGTGACTATAGGCATGTAATTTGAGAGGCCGAGGCGGGTGTCACCTGAGGTCAGGAGTTTGAGACCAGCCTGGCCAACATGGTTGAAACCCTGTCTCTACTAAAAATACAAAAAAATTAGCCAGGCATAGTGGCACATGCCTGTAGTCCCAGCTACTCAGGAGGCTTAGGTAGGAGAATTGCTTGAACCCAGGAGGCGGAGGTTGCACTGAGCCAAGATGGTCCATTGCACTCCAGCCTGGGCGACAAGCAAAATTCCATCTCAGAAAAAAAAAAAAAAAAAAAAAAAAAAAACTCTCAAATTGAAGGGGACTGTAAGAAGATAGGGTCAGCTCAGCTGCAGTAAGATATAAGTCTCAGGAAGAAGCATGCTCTGGAGTCAAGGCAGAGAAGGACATTCTAGGCCAAAGAAATGGCTGTGCAAAGGTAGGAGGCATAGGGACAAGGGTTATTATTACAACTGTACCTCTTAAATTTACACAATAATTGTTGAGAATATGGCTTTTCCAGGCTAGGAAGTTGTGCTGCATCCAAAAATGCTAAAGTCTATTTCAGCCGGGAGAACACTGACAGCTGGGAAAGGACCACACGTGGCGTGCCCATAACCTAAGTTGTTCAGATTTAGGAAGTGACCCCAGTAAGTCCTTTCGGAGTTTCGTGTAAGATTGACTTCTTCAGCTGGGGGCAGTGGCTCACGCCTGTAATCCCAGCACTTTGGGAGGCCAAGGCGGGCGGATCACCTGAGGTCAGGAGTTCGAGACCAGCCTGGCCAACATGGTGAAACCCCTGTCTCTACTAAAAAATACAAAATTTAGCCAGGTGTGGTGGTGGGCGCCTGTAATCCCAGCTACTCGGGAGCCTGAGGCAGGAGAATCCCCTGCACCGGGGAGGCGGAGGCTGCAATGAGCTGAGACTGCGCCACTGCACTCCAGCCTGGGTGACAGAGTGAAACTCCATCTCAAAAAAAAAAGAAACCAGCCTGGCCAACATAGTGAAATCCCGTCTCTTCTAAAAATGCAAAAATTAGTTGGGTGTGATGGAGGGCGCCTGTAATCCCAGCTACTCAGGAGGCCAAGACACGAGAATCGCTTGAACCTGAGGGGATGGGGGGCAGAGGATGCAGTGAGCCGAGATTGCCGAGATAGCGCCACTGCATTCCAGCCTGGGCAACAGTGAGAGCCTCCATCTCAAAAAAAAAAAAAAAAAATGGACTTCTTCCTCATTGACCTGTGGTGGCTCCAAGGCCATCAAAAAAAAAAAAAATGGACTTCTTCCTCATTGACCTGTGGTGGCTCCAAGGCCATCATCTCACAGCCTTTTTTTTTTTTTTTTTTTTTGAGACGGAGTCTTGCTCCCTTGCCCAGGTTGGAGTGGAGCTGCATGATCTCGGCTCACTGCAACCTCCGCCTCCCAGGTTCAAGCATTCTCCTGCCTCAGCCTCCTGAGTAGCTGGGATTACAGGCGCGTGCCACCACGCCCAGCTAACTTTTGCATTTTTAATAGAGACGGGGTTTCACCATATTGGTCAGGCTGGACTCGAACTCCTAACCTCATGATCCGCCCGCCTCGGCCTCCCAAAGTGCTAGGATTACAGGCGTGAGCCACTGCGCCCGGCCTCATCTCACATCTTTCTTCCTCTGCAGCACACGACACGCCCTAGTTGGAAACAAAGTCGGAGTTTGTGGATTGGGGGAAGGGCGGGGTCTAACCTCAGGTCAGGCGCCGTGCAAGGTACATCTTGGCACCCGGAAGAGGCCCAGTACAGTTGCCCCCGAGGTGACCCGACCTCCCCTACCAATTGAGGCGCCCTTGTTGCCAGGCTTGCGGCGGGGGAGCGGCGGGGGAGCGACGGGGATGCGCTCATTGGTCAAGGAAGGGGCGCCTGTTACTAGAGGCGAGAACCGGAGCCCATTGGTCGGAACACCTCACAATGGACCCCAGCGGCGCGCAAAATCCTTATGATTGGTTTGCTGGCTGCCTCGGGAGACCCTGTTGCCAGGATACTTGGCGTTCCCGACCCGACCCCCGTTCCCCATTGGCTGTCAGGGCAAAAGCCGCCATCTAATGAGGAGCGAGGTGCGGTGCCCCGAAGCGCTCGCTTCCCGCGGTGCGATCTAGTCCTGCAGTAGGCGGCCCGGGGCCACACCGCGGCCGCCCAAGCCAGTGCAAGGCCCAGGGGCCTGACATCGCTCCCAGCGCTCGAGGACCGAGGCCTGCTGTGGAGGACACCGTGCTCCCTCGGGACCTGCTCTGGATTCCGGCCCGGACGTCCCCTTGGAGCTCTGCATCTCCAACCTGGAACCCAACCCAGAAGTCTCAAGTTTGACGCATCACGTGGCGTGCGGATCCACTGAGGGTCCACAGAGAGGGGCGCCCATCTCCTGCGTCTCAGTTATCCTGGTAATTGTGTATCTGCCCATTGTTCGTTGCCTCATTAACTTGGCTTTCTAGGTGCACCCACCTTGCCACCAGAGAAGTCCAAATCCTGACTTCTCTCCAAGGTGTTGGGAATTCTGTGCCCTAAAGAATTCCGACTCAGATCCGAACGGGGATCTGGTGGAATCGAGGGTGAAAGACCAGAGGGACAATGTTCTACTATCCCAACGTGCTTCAGCGCCACACCGGCTGCTTTGCCACCATCTGGTAAGGGCGGGGCCCGTTGGCGCGCGATGGCGGACGCTGCCCGGGATCCCAGCCTGACAGCTCCCCCTCCATCCCCATTCTCCCACCTTCCCCACCCACTTCAGGCTGGCGGCGACTCGCGGCAGCCGGTTGGTGAAGCGCGAATACCTGAGGGTGAATGTGGTGAAAACCTGGTAAGGCCCAGAAAAGGGAAGGAGGGCCTGGTGCGGGGGGTGAGTTAGGGGATGGGGTGGCCAAGACTGTGGGCCCACTCCTGGACGCAGCGGTAATCAGGGCGCATTGTTCCCCAGCGAGGAAATCCTCAATTACGTGCTGGTACGAGTGCAACCCCCGCAGCCCGGCCTGCCGCGGCCCCGCTTCTCCCTCTATCTCTCAGCCCAACTTCAGATCGGTGTGATCCGCGTCTATTCTCAACAATGCCAGTACCTCGTGGGTAAGGCTGGGAACCCTCAAAGGTGGGGCGGGCTGAGCAGCTGTCTGCTAAGCTGGCTGTCTACCTCGTCCTCCCTGCCCACAGAGGACATCCAGCACATCTTGGAGCGCCTCCACCGTGCCCAGCTGCAGATCCGAATAGATATGGAGACTGAGCTGTGAGTGTGCCCTGGGCCTTTGATGGAACACCTGCTAGCTTGGCCTCAGCCTGGCTCAGCCTCAGTCCTTCACGGCCTACATTCTCTCCCAGACCCAGCCTGCTGCTTCCTAACCACCTGGCCATGATGGAGACCCTAGAAGATGCTCCAGATCCCTTTTTTGGGATGATGTCTGTGGATCCCAGACTTCCTAGTCCTTTCGATATCCCTCAGGTAGGGCTCATTCCCCAAGACTCGTGAATTGGCAATGCAGAAGGGGAGTGCTGTCCCTGTGTCACTCTGACATTGGGGTTGGGGAAGGAAGCTTACCACAGCTCTCTCCCACAGGAGATGGTGCAGGGGGACTGCCAAGGTGGACCCATCCAGGCGAAGCCCCCTGTACTTACCTACTCAGGGCCAATCTGATCAGACGGTTTCCCCACTGGAGGCAGCTCTTGTCCCCACTTGTCTCCACACTGTTTTCACTGCCAAGGCCCTAATCCAGGCTCTCATCTCTCTGCACTGGGCTTTCTTACCCCTGTCCTCCTCCATCTATTCCCAATACTCCTACAGCTTAATGTCACCCCCTTCCTTGGTTCCCCATTTGAACAGTGGCTCCTGCTGCAAACAGATTACTAGCATTTGGGGCTCTCCATGCCCCATTTATTTCTTTTTTTATTTTATTACTATTATTATTATTATTTTTGAGACAGGATCTTGCTCTGTGGCCCAGGCTGGAGTGCAGTGGCACGATCTCAGCTTACTGCAACCTCTGCCTCCCCGGTTCAAGCAATTCTCCTGCCTCAGCCTCCCGAGTAGCTGGGACTACAGGCATTTGCCACCATGCCCAACTGATTTTGTATTTTTAGTTGAGACAGGGTTTCACCATGCTGGCCAGGCTGGTTTCGAACCCCTGACCTCATGATCTGCCTGTCTCCTCCTCCTGAAGTGCTGGGATTACAGACATGAGCCACAGAGCCCGGCCCAATTTTTTTAGGGTTTCGCCTTATCGGCCAGGCTGGTCTCGAACTCCAGACCTCAGGTGATCCACCCACCCTGGCTTTCCAAAGTGCTAGGATTACAGACGTGAGCCATCGCGCTGGCCTATTATTATTATTTTTTGAAATGGAGTCTCTGTCACCCAGGCTGGAGTGCAGTGGCATGATCTTGGCTCACTTCAACCTCCGCTTCCTCTGGTCAAGCGATTCTCCTGCCTCGGCCTCCCGAATAGCTGGGATTACAGATGCCTGCCACCATGCCCGGCTAATTTTTGTATCTTTAGTAGAGATGGAGTTTCATCATGTTGGTCAGACTGGTCTTGAACTCCTGATCTCAGGCACTCCACCCGCCTCGGCCTCCCAAAGTGCTGGGATTACAGGTGTGAACCACCGTGCCTGGCACATACCCCAGTTTAGAACTAGTCATCCCCAGACTTCTCTCTCAGTCCTCTGGGCATCTGTGGCTCCTAAACACTAGTTTGGCCCTTATGCCTCAATGATGCCACATTCACATCTTTGCTTGTACTGTTTCCCTAGCCCATAATGGTCACCCCTCATCCTCTACAAGTCGGGTTCTACATATTCTTACAGACCTGGCTCAAATGCTGCCCTTCTCTATGAAATATTTATCCCAGTCTTAGCCGGAACCAAATGCAGTTTGGGAACTCAGTACTTTGCTAGGGCCTTGTTTTACCCTTTGCCTTGACTCTTGTGGGGTTACATACAACCTTGTCTCCCCACTAGACTTCCTTAAGATCAAGAATCTTTTCTGTTCACCTCTGTCAACCACAACACTTGCCAAGGATAACGATGCACTGCTGCTTGCACAAATTTTTTTTTTTTTTTTTTGAGACAGAGTCTTGCTCTGTCACCCAGGCTGGAGTGCAGTGGCTCAATCTCAGCTCACTGCAATCTCTGCTTCCCAGGTTCAAGCAATTCTCCTGTCTCCGCCTCTCAAGTAGCTGGAATTACAGGCACTGCTACCAAGCCCGGCTAATTTTTGTATTTTTAGTAGAAATCAGGTTTCACGATGTTGGCCAGGCTGGTCTGGAACTCCTGACATCAAGTGATCCACCCACCTCAGCCTCCCAAAGTGCTGGGATTACAGACATGAGCCACCGAGCCCGGCCTTCTTGCACAAATTGATGAGGGCTAGATAACTGGGGTGCGGGTTGGGGAGGGAGGTGAGAACAGGAACTGAGGAAAGAAGACCAGAGGGCGGGTGAGTTTACTGCAAGCTGATGTCAATGCAACAAGAATTAGGCATAAAAGGAGATTACCGTGCATTGTTGAAGAAGGCTGTGAAAAGTGGGAAAGCAGGGGGCTGAAGCTGAACCCTATCTTTTGTTTCCAATCCCTCTCCAAAGATTCGACACCTCTTAGAGGCTGCAATCCCAGAGAGAGTTGAAGAGATCCCTCCTGAAGTTCCTACAGAGCCCAGGGAGCCAGGTCAGCAGAGAGAACCTTCTTTCTGGTGAGAGGCATAGGCAGGCCCAAGAGCTGTAGAAATGACCATTTTTGAGCTTAAGAGCCAGGCCTTGTGAGGGGCGCTTTTTTTTTTTTTCGAGGCAGAGTCTCACTCTGTTGCCCAGGCTACAGTGCAGTGGCACGATCTCGGCTCACTGCAAGCAATTGTCCCGCCTCAGCCTCCCTAGTAGCTGGGATTACAGATGTGCACTACCATGCCCGGCGAATTTTTGTATTTTTAGTAGAGATGGGGTTTCACCATGTTGGCCAGGCTGGTCTCAAACTCCTGACCTCAGGTGATCCACCCGCCTCGGCCTCCCAAAGTGCTAGGATTACAGGTGTGAGCCACCGTGCCTGGTGAGGGGCATTTTATGTGTATAACCTCATCAGTACCTCACAAGAGTCCTCTGAGGTCAGATTTCTTATCCTTTTTTTTTTTTGAGAGATGGGGTATCACTCTCTAGCCCAGGCTGGAGTACAGTGGTGCACTTTAGGCTCACTGCAACCTCCGCCTCCCGGATTCAAGCAATTCTCCTTCCTAGTAGCTGGGATTACAGGCATGCACCACCACGCCCAGCTAATTTTCGTATTTTTAGTAGAGATGGGTTTTTGCCATGTTGGCCAGGCTGGTCTCAAACTTCTGACCTCAGTTGATCCACCCACCTCAGCCTCCCAAAGTGCTGGGATTACAGGCGTGAGCCACCATACTCGGCTTTTTTTTTTTTTTTTTCTTTTTTTCCCAGGCTGGAGTGCAGTGGTATGATGATCATAGGTCACTGCAGCCTTGACCTCCAGGGCTCAAGCAATCCTCCCACCTCAGCCTCCAGAGTAGCTGGGACCACAAGGATAAGCCACCACACCTGGCTAGTTTTTAAATTTTTTGTAGAGACAGGGTCTCGCTATGTTGCCCAGGCTGGCCTCAAACTCCTGGGCTCAAGCGATCCAAAGTGTTGGGATTACAGGTGTGAGCCACTTCGCCCAGCCTCCCCACTTTACCGATGAGGAAAGTGAGGCTCACAGTGGTTAAGCAGTGTACCCAGGGTCAGGATGCCAGAGATTAGCCTGGGTCTGATTAGAATCCAGGTTACCTTGACTTCAGAGTCCATGCTTTTCCTTAACTGCATGGCTGTGGGAATTTGGAAAGAAGCAGAGAGGCTAGTGACTCTCTTGTCCCTCCAGAGAGGATTCCGGTCACTGTGCTGCCACCTGAGGCCATCACGATCCTGGAGGCAGAGCCCATACGGATGCTGGAGATTGAGGTGAGTTCCCCTGCACACAGGGCCTGAGGTCCAGCCCCCTTGCATGTACTTCTCTCTGTCCCCAGAGTCCTGCCTTTTCTGTCTCCATTTCCCTATTCTCTGTCCCTGGCACTTGAGCACCCAGTGGCTTCCTTGAACCTGGCCCTGTGGCATGCCTCTGGGATCCACTCTCCTGGATCCACTTGCCTTTTTCAGAAATATTATTGAATCCCCTCCCCTTGCTCTTCCTCTCTGGACAGGGTGAACGGGAGCTCCCAGAGGTCAGCCGCCGAGAACTGGACCTGCTGATCGCAGAGGAAGAAGAAGCTATCTTGTTAGAAAGTAGGTGTCTCCGGCAGCGTAGGGCCCGCCTGGAGCTGGATAGTCAGACCCCTGGCGTGGGCATTCTGGGACTGGGCAATGCTCCCATTTCTCTTTTTCTGTCCTCTGAACTCTGATTCTCTCTCCACAGTCCCGCGGCTCCCACCTCCAGCTCCTGCAGAGTAAGGGCAAGAACTCCTAGACCAGGTAGGGTGTCAGTGCTGGGAAGGGTCTCCTCATTTCTCTTGCCCATTTCCCCTCAGGGTGGAAGGAATAGGAGAGGCACTGGGTCCTGAGGAGCTGAGGCTGACAGGCTGGGAACCTGGGGCCCTACTCATGGGTGAGTGCCCACCATGCCCCAGGGGCTTTTCTGGGAGTACCTGGATACTGCTGCAGACAAGGGCTTTATATCCCAACTTGCTAAAGGGAGGACCCTGCAGTTTCTTGCCCTGGCATCTGCAAGGGGTAAGGGGCTTATGGGACAGAGCCCCTTGGGTGTTGTTGCAGAGGTGACCCCCCCGGAGGAGCTGCGTCTGCCAGCCCCACCCAGCCCAGAGGTGAGTAGCCTCCCTTCTAATCCTCCTCCTCCTCCTCTTTGCCCTCCCCCACAAGGACTGCCTCCCCAAGCCCAGGGCCACTGCTAGCTTACAGGGGTCCTTAATGCAGATGATAAAAGATGCCCCTTTCTACGCCCCATCGTATCTGGCCTACGCTTCCCAGATGGGTACCCTTATGCAAGGTATGAGCTGCTCAAGTGCATGGAGACCCCGCACAAGCCCTCTCCAGGTTCCTCTAGGGGCGGGTGTGGGGTCCTGTTAGCAGTCCACCAGAATGACAGGAAAAGGAGTAATGGGCAGCCTTGCCCCTACCTGCCCTCCCCACTCAACAGAGGAGGCCCCCAGTCCCCCCACCTCCTCGCCGCCGCCGTCGTCGCCGGTTACTGTTCTGGGACAAGGAGACTCAGATCTCCCCGGAGAAATTCCAGGAACAACTGCAAACCAGAGCCCACTGCTGGGAATGTGTGAGTGCAGCCCAGGCTTTGCCGGGGAAGGGAGGGAGGCAGGGATGACCAGGGGCACATGCAGGCTGAGCCTTCCAAACTCCTCAGGTGGGTGGGGGGAGGATTGGGAACTTGATGAAAAATCTCCTCCATTCTCCAGAAAATGCAGGCGATGTGGGTTTGCACATATACAACTCTTCATGCTCCTTTAGTGACCCACCTGTCATACCCATGGGCACCAGGTTAAAAAGTCCTTCTTTTAGCAATGAGCAGGGCAGGCAGGGTCATGAGCGCAAAAGCTGGGGAAGTCCAGAAGCCCCAGAACAGTGCATTGCAAAGAGGCAAAGGGGCCCTGAGGAGTGGCTGCTTTATAATGGGGCTTCTGACCTTCCCCCACTACACAGCCTATGGTGCAGCCGCCCGAGAGGACCATCAGAGGCCCTGCGGAGTTGTTCAGAACCCCAACTCTCTGTAAGAATGGTGGGGGTTGGGCACGAAGTATCCTCAAAACCAATTCCTCATTCCTGGTGCTCCTCACGCCTCAAACCCCGTGCCTACTACCCTCTTGTCCACAGCTGGCTGGCTACCCCCTGAACTACTGGGTCTCTGGACCCATTGTGCCCAGCCACCCCCAAAAGCCCTCAGGCGAGAGCTGCCTGAGGAGGCAGCCGCTGAGGAGGAAAGGAGAAAGATTGAAGTTCCAAGTGAGATTGAGGTAACTGCACCACCTGTTTACTGCATCGCCCCAGTGCCAGGGTCTGCCTGACCAGCTGGCTGCCCTCTCCTGCTATGAGAGCCAACAGCACAGGCTCACTGGCCTTGTGCCTTCTGAGGCCCAAGTCCCAGATGCTTGGGGTCTTAGTTCTACTTCTCCCATCCCCAGGTCCCGAGGGAGGCCCTGGAGCCCAGTGTTCCCCTTATGGTGTCTTTAGGTAAGCACCTAGAGAAGAGGCGCAGTGGGACCACACCCTAACCACTGTCCCAGGAAACTAGTATCCCAACTGCTGAAGCTGTTTTATGAGTGAAGGCGTGTGTGTGTGACATAAGGAAGCACGGACTGGTCCTCCTCAGCTCTCCCACCTATGTGCTTTTAACAAGTCACCGCACGGCTCTGCCATCTACTTACACCAGGTGGCCACAAGGCCCTAACTGCCACCCAAGCAGACACCCACTAGCGCCTTTCCTCCCCCAACAGAGATCTCCCTAGAGGCAGCTGAAGAGGAGAAGTCCCGCATCAGCCTCATCCCACCAGAAGAACGGTGGTAAGCGGCCAGGCTCCGTGGGAGCCAGGGCCCACAGCCCTTGGCCAGGTGGTGGAAACAGCTGCTGGGATGGGTATGCCCCTTGTCACTGTCACAGCTGCCACCTTCCCTACTCTCTCATGTCCTCCTAGGGCCTGGCCTGAGGTGGAGGCGCCAGAAGCTCCTGCATTGCCCGTGGTGCCTGAACTCCCTGAGGTGCCCATGGAGATGCCTTTGGTGCTGCCCCCAGAGCTCGAGCTGCTCTCACTGGAAGCAGTGCACAGGTACCAGGGAGGTGGCACCTTGATGGGGTGGACCCGGGCTGAAGCCTCTGCTAATGGTTCTTGATCCCTATAGGGCAGTGGCACTGGAGCTGCAGGCTAACAGGGAGCCCGACTTCAGCAGCCTGGTGTCACCTCTCAGCCCCCGCAGGATGGCTGCCCGGGTCTTCTACCTGCTCCTGGGTGAGTGTATGCATGTGTGTGTGTGTATGTGGGGCAGGGACACAGAGACCAGAGGCCCGTACAGGGACTCCCCCGACCTGCCCTCTCCTCGCCTCTTGACCAGTGCTCTCAGCGCAACAGATTCTTCACGTGAAACAAGAAAAGCCATATGGTCGCCTCCTGATCCAGCCGGGGCCCAGATTCCACTGAGGTTAGAGTCCATTTACAAAGCTGCCAGGAAACCGGCCACTTCTAGTAAACCACGTCGTGCCTCACTGGGTCCTGCTTACCTCATTTCTGAATGTGCATTTCCAGCCTTCTTGCTCTCAGAGCTATTGTTCAAGCAGAAAACAAGCTGCTTTTATTACAGTATGATGTCATGACTCATTTGTAACAGATCCAGCCTCAGGGACAGCCCTGTAAGGCAGCAAGTGGGGCTGGCTCCAAATGGGTATGAGTCTCAGAATCTTTGGTAAGGCAGAACTGAACTGGGCTGAGAGGTGGTCTTAAGGCCTGGGCAGGCTCTATTCTCTCTGGACTGGCTGCAGCCTGCAGTCTAGGAGAGGCCCAGTACAGCCTGGAGCTCCTGAGCCTTGTCAACAGGCAGTGAGCCCAGAGCTGCTTGAAAGCTGTCGGTGTGCTGTTTGGCCAGGAACGTCAGGAGCAGCAACAGTGCGGCCTTGGTGTCTGGGTGGAGAGGGAGGGAGAAAGGTCGGGGCTCCTAAAGCCTCGCTGCCCCAGGCTCTCTGAGCCCTGCCACTCCCAGCCTCCCGCAAGCCCCTGCCTATGACTCCTACCCTCACCTGGTGGGATCTTGTTGTCAGCCAGAATGAGGCTGCAGATACGCAGAAGCTCGGGAGCCACATCTATAACCTGTGAGGAAAGAGTGGCTGACTCAGGGCAGCAGCCCCAGACCCCAGGTCTAGGAGGGTGGTCAGGACCAAGGAGTGGCAGAATCTCTTATCAGGGGGGTGGTTGCACCTGGTACTGATTCACAGGCATCCAAGACAACTATGAACATGAGAAGAACCAATGAAACTTGGTGCTAATGATTTTTTTTGGAGGGAATGGGGGATGTGGGACAAGATGATTAAAGTCATAGCCTCAAGACCTAAAGAAACCCAGACACTCAGGAGCTTCACCTACACAACAGTCTCTAAAGGTATAAGACAAGGGTGACACAAACACTCTGACATGACTCCAAACCTAGCTACTTGGTACAGGCAAAATCTCTTCAGAGAGCAGAGCTGATCTGATTGAAATGTATGGTGTGGTGGCCCAGAGGTACCCTGGGCTCCACAGAGCACAGTTTGAAAGGGCCCCGGTTTAGGAAACCAGCCTAGGAAAACTGCAACTTCTGGCTCAGACCAAAGGGTAGAAATGGAGCTTCCTCAGGAAAAATGCTACGTGGAGAAAGGAAGTCCCTCCTGTCCCATCACAGGACTGGCTGCCAATCCTTGCAGACAAATAAGAAATGGTGCAGGGAGTACCAAAAGAACAGCTGAAACTGTCACCTTGCATCAGGTGCAACTGACAGCCTGGAGCTCCCGAGCCTCATCAGCAGACAGTGCCTATCACTGAGTGGAGCGGCACGTTCCCCTCTGAGGGCTGCCAGCAGCAAGGTTACCTGGTCAGGGCTGCTCTGGTACAGGAAGCTGAAGAGGCGCCCAATGGTGACCCACTCCTCCAAGTCCTCCTTCAGTGGCAGGGCATGCAGTAGGGCAGCCAGCACCTGGGCACACAAATGTCTCAGGCCAACCTGCCCTGCCCTCCACCACCCTCCCTCCTCAGCTTCCAAGCCCTGCCTGATGTCTCCCTCCCTCACCTGGGGCTCTGGTTTCCTGGTGGGACTGGCCATCAACAGGCGGGCAAGTGCCCCACAGATGTTGTCACGGACACGATCATGTCGCTCCCGCGCCAGGAGGGGAAAAAGGAGCCCCAGCAGCTTGGGGAAGTGTCTGGTCCACAGTCAAGGAATGGCCACACGCTCAGGTAGACCTTGCCCACCTGCAAGCCCTGGGGACACTCCCCCAACCTCCAGTCCCTCCCGTCCTGCGAGCCAAGGATACTCCTGGGCAGGGTGGCCCCCATGCTCTGCCAGCACGCCCATCCCGAAGATGGCATTGCTTCGCACCTCGGGGTCTGCCTCTTGGGCGGTGCTCAACAGCACAGGGAGCAGCCGAGACACAAACTGGGCTGAGGCAGCACCCAGGCCCTGAATAGTCTCTGCCAAGGTCCCCACTGCAAAGGACTTCTCTGCCACTGTGCAGCCCTGTTTCTGATGGGGGAGAACAGGAAGGAGTACAGATCAGCCTGGGCCAAGGATAAAGGCTGTGGTGGGCACCGGGTGCACGAGGGGACTAGGGCTTGAAGCCAGAAGATGGACACTCACTGTCTTGCACACCAATAATGGCAGGAAACCGGCAAAGAATGGGGCAAAGGAGTCTCCCCCAGCCGCGGCTGCCAGGGCAGGGATGGCCTCTCCAGCGTGCTCCAGCAACATGGCGTCGTATTCAGCCTGTGGAGCCAGGTCAGGGGCTGGAGCACCAGGGCCAGCTCAGTGACTGTACACCTCCCTCCCACGCTCTGCCACCAGCTGCAGGGGTCCCTGGGGCTGCCCTTGGTTGATAGGGCTGGCCCCTCTCAAGCTGGGTGTTTCCATGACCCAGCTTCTTCCCCTGGCTCTTCTGCTCCTACCTATCACTCCAAGCACACCCCAGTCCACACTGCTCTCCTTCCCTGAACTCCCACTGGCTTAGTGGGATCAGGGTTGTATCCCTCTGGCCATTACCAGTCTCTTTTAGTGGCCCTGGCTGCCCCAGGCCAAGCCCAAATACACTGTCCACCCCTGTCCCTGTGGAGACTGCCTGGACCGCCTGGTCCCCGTTTTTATCCCTGGCTCTCACCTGATCATCATCTTCCTCTTCCTCCTCCTCGTCAGTATCCTGACAGGCTGTCTACAAGAAGTAGCTCAACTTAGCGGAGCTTTCACGCCCCTTCTCTTTTCATGGGGGTAGGGGGTGGACTTGTAGCCAGTCCCCAACCGAGGCCCAGCACCTCTCCTTCCCGAAGCCCACCTGCCCTGCTCACCTTCCTCTGCAGCACAGCCTTGAGCACGCCACAGAGCTCAGCGAGGCGCCCAGGGGGCTTCAGTGTGAGGGTCCCACAGCTGCGGAGCACCCCTGTCAGGGCCTCCAGCACGGCCATCACCACCTGGCGTTCCCGCTCCCTGTTCACTGCCTGCATGTAGGATGGCACGACTCGGGCCAGGGCAGCCTGCAAAGCTGGGGACATTATTGGCTGAAGCACCAGTCAGGCCCTGCCCCTCCCCAAGAACCCCCAGCCTGGCCCAGCCTCTCCTCACCAGCAGTGTTGGGTTCCGAGGGGCAGCTTTGACAGGCCTTGTGCAGTGCACAGCAAAACTGACCCAGAGCCTCATGGGCTGCCTTCCGCACATTCAGGTGAGGGCACTGCAGGATGAGGAGGGGCGGGATATGTCTGCTATGTGCACCGTGAACACAGGGCCCCCAGCCTGAGAACCCCACCCACTCCACCCGCCGGCCCGCTCACCTCCAGCAGTTTAAATACTTCTTCAAAGACACTTTCCATGTATGGAAGGAAGGCCACACTACAGAGAGAGACACAGCCGTGGGTAAGGGGCCCCCAGGCAGGGTTTTCAGTGCCAGGGAAGGGCGAATGCTCACCTGGTGTTCACAGAGATCTCCCCCACGGCAGCACAGGTGTCTTCCTTCTCATCGAAGAAGGCATTCTCCACGCTGTACCTAGAGTAAGAAGGGGAGGCAGTGGTGATCAGGCACCAAGAGGAGCAGATCCAGCACTAGGCCCTTGTCTAAAGCCAAAGTCTAGATTCCTGATCAGAAGAGCACCCCTCCGCACCCTGAGATCTCTGAGTCATCCTCTTCTTCCACATCCTCATCCATGAGCTCCTCCTCTTCTTCCCCATCACTCTCATCGTCAAACAGAAGGAAGGAGCTGCTCCCGTCATACTGAGGCTGGAGCGGAGGCACGGCAAGGACTTTGGCTCAGCTGGGCCCAGGAGATAAATCCCATTGCAGGGCAGGCCTGGCCCAGCCCACCCACCCTTTGCTCACCACAATGCCCTCGGTGGAACGCAGTGACAGCAGCATGAGCGTGGTGATCTGTTCCAAGTGGGGCGCCAGGCCCTCACCCATCAGACCCGATAAGGCTGCAAATAGGCTGTACCTGGTCAAAGCAGGCAGAAGAAGCTGTAAGGTCCTGCCTGCTACCACCAGGCAGGATGGGGGAGCCCGGGAACACCTGGCTATGGTCCAAACCAGACGACTGGAGTCTGGGGTGGGGATTCCAGTGGGTCCAGTGGGAAGACAGGAGGGGAGGGGACAAGGGCAGAGGCAGGGTGAGGGGTCACTCACGTGCAGCGCCGCAAGTCAGGGTCGTCTACCTGGTCGCAGAGGCCCAGACCCAGCTGGCAGCATTCCTCAGCCAGCGGCCTCATGGGCTCCCCCACTGCTCGTGCCAGCACCCCCAGTGTCTCTGTGGGGGCAAGGGCTCCATTAGCACCAGGAGGTGGAGGTGGGCTACGGGACCAAAGGTGGTGGCTGGGAGGGATTCAGAAATCCCGCCCCACCCCTTGGTACAGCATGAAGCACACCCCTTTGATGAGAAGGAAGACATCCGTGCTCCTGTGGGGGCAATCTGTCAACACCAGGTGAGCACCAGCCCTTTGCTGGCACTGGGAGCCCCACCTGGGAACCTCTCACTCACCCAGGCTCTGGATCTGCACAGGCTGAAGGTCCTCACGGCCTGTTAACAGGAATTCCCGCAGGTGCTCCATGATGGCAGGGAAGTAGGGCAGCAGCGAGGCCTGGGCAGCCGTAGCTGCAGGATGGAAGGACAGAATCAGAGCTGGAGAGGGCAGGGACCACCAGCCACAGGGCCTTTGGGTGAACCCCACATCCCTGCCTCCTGCCTCTCTCCTCACCAATGGCTCCCAGGGCGCTCACAGCCAGCTCCTTGGCCCGGGGACTGCTGGGGTTCCTCAGAAGCTGCAGCATGCATTCCATAAGCTCCGGAAGGTAGGGCTGCACCTTGGGCCCTGTGGGAAAGGATGCTCCTCTACCAACCAACCCAGGTCTGCTACCTGCACGCCCACCTCCCTCCAGGCGGAAACCTTTTTTTGGCACCATCACACCCTTTCCCCTACCACAGGCAGCAATGCAGGGAGATGCACATCCTGTACATTCAGCCAAAGCCGCCGCCTCATCCCCCTTCCCCAAGCTCCCCACTGCCATCACTACCTAGGTTCTCCACAAAATTCTCCAGGGCATAGCAGGCCTTGGCTAGGTGGTGTGTGTGTCCAAGAGGCACCGACTTCAAGTAGGCGAGGAGCAGTGGCATTACCTCCCTTGAATAGCTGCTGATATGGGGCTGGGGGAGGGAGCAAGCAGGGCCTGAGTCAGGTTCACCTGCCGGGCACACACAAGAGTGCTGATGGCAGCAGGGATGCTTGAAGAGATGAAAGATGAGGGGAAGGGGACATTCAAGTGGTGGCTCCCACATTCAGCCTGGTTCACCTGTAGGTTTTCTGAGAACTGGCCCAGGGCAAACAGCGCAGCATTGCGTACAACTTGCGAGGGGTCCTCCAGGCCCTTGCACACAATCTGCAGCAGTGGGGGCAGCAGTCTGGATGGGGCAAACAAGAGGACATAGGCTGAGAAGCTACACCTGAGAGCCCTAGGCTGACCTGTTCTCTTCATTTTCCCTGGAAAAACCAAGGCTTTTCCTGTCACCAGAGGGTGGGCAGCAGCCCCTGGTCCCTATAGCTGGTAAGCCATGTCATTTATCTTCCAAGCCAGGACACTTTTGATAATGGGGGGAAACGCTGTTGATAAATAAGCTTGAACAACAAGCGTAAACCAGGACAGCCATGGTCCTCCCTGTGGGCAACCCTCACCCTGGGACAGGGGAATACATACCTCTGCCTGATGTGGTCGCCAGCTCCGTCAGACAGCACGGCCAGCACCAGGAGTCCAGCTTTGCGCTGGTATGGGCTCTCGCTCCGCAAAGCCTCTTCCAACATGGGCATCTAGGGAAGCATGTGGCACGCTTCTGAAACCCCAGCAAGAGCCTGCCCATTCCTGTGGTAATAGGCCTTCACACCTCCCAGGGTCTAAACGTCGTTGGCCTCAGGGGGACTAGGCACACTTGGAGGTAGGGACACCAGAAGGACAGAGCCACACTTACCAGCTGGGGACAGAGCTTCTCGGGGGGCAGGTGTAGTGCCAGCATGTCCACAACCTGAGATGGGATGGGGAGACTTACTTTGCTTGACTCCATCTCTGCCTCCCCAACGTCCCACAGCCACCTAACACCTTCCCCCTCTGTCCTGCCCCACATCTCACTTGTACAGCGAAATGCTTGGGAGTCTCCCCCATCAGCTCAATCTCCAACTCTTCCTCTTCTGAATCCTGGTCCTCGGGATCCAACTGGCCTGGTGGGGGCTCAGCAGCCACAATGGGGAAAAGGGTGTGCAGCAAGGGTGGCAGGAGACGATTCTTCAGTAAGGCCTTGACAGAGAAGGTGGAACAGTGTCCCTAAGAATCTGCTCCCAGGATGGGCTCACATTAAAAATTCCAGTCTTCCAGGCCATAAGGGGTCTGACAGAAAATTCCCAACCTCCCAGGCAGGAGCTGGGGTGAGGCCAGGCCAAGGCTTGAACCCCCACAGTACTTTAGATACCCTGAGATGGACCGAAAGCCCCAGGAGTGAGACTAAGGGTGGAGATGGGGGTGGGGTGATGTGTGTCAATGGGCACTCACTTACCTTGCTCTTGACTTTGACCAAGAAAGTGAGGCAGCAGAGAATACGTATGCGTATCGCATTGCCCAGGGCCACATTTCTAGCTACCTGTCCACAGAATAATAAAAATCAGCGACAGGGAAGGAGAGTCCCAGCAGAGCATGTAGCAGGGGCCATGTCCACTCCAGGCTCACCTCCAGGCAGAATGTGAGGACTTCAGAGAGGTAGGGGGTGATGACCGGCACCTCTGACTCCAACAGTTCATCCAAAGCCTCAAGGGCCTCACAGGCCTTTGCCTGACAGACAAACAAGGCACAAGGTTACCATGCTCTTCTTCAGTGGGCCAAACTGGACACTTCTGCACTCTCCTTCCAACAGAGCTCCTGCCCACCTGTCCTCACCTCATCTATGGGGATCAGAGTCTGCATGGCCATGATCAGCTTGGGCACCAACATCCGAGCGAGAGGCTGAGGGACACATCACAGAGAGCATGATGCAGCCCAATCTCACACCCCAGCAGCTGGCAGCTTCCTCACAGCCTGAATTGCGAGGAGGAGCCCAGGCATAACAGCCAGGCCCACCTACAGCATCCCCTCTCAATTGTCAGGAAGGGCCACAGGCAGGTAAAGAATCCAAAGCAGCTTTGTAACTTTTACGGGTGAGGACATGAAGGCATGAGGAAAGGGAGTCAAAGATAACGAGGGCCCACATCTCACCACATCTTCAGTGCTGAGGTAGGGAGCCATGGTGGTCAGAGTGCGCAGGGAGTAGAAGAGCAGCCCAGGAGAGCCCACCTCACCAAGAGTCTCATTCAGAAGCCGAAGAAGCTCCCGGTGGTGGGGTTGGAAGGCCTCGGGCCGGGAGGTCACCACCACACTTAGCAGCAAAAGCCCCATCTGTCCAAGAATAGAGGATGGGAGAGCAAGCTTACAAGGTCTATCCAGCCTCTCAGGCCCTCCCTCCTGCCAACCATGTGATGGTACCTCTCTCTCTGGGCTGTGGGGGCTGTGGGTACTGTGCTGAAGCAGCTGCAAAAGCTGTGGCCAGGCCTCCAAGCCTTCCTTTCGAAAAATGGTGGCTGAGAGCTGGGCCAGGCTGAGGCTCACACAGTGCCTGCAAACAGGAGAGATCTCCTCCAATCACCCTTCAATACCTTCCTCTGCACACAGTGGCCAGGCTCAATGGGGCAGCCAGGACAGAAACTTTCAGGAGGTGTGGGCACAGGGTCTTTGCCAAGTTGGGACACATGAGACAGCAGCTCAGAGGGAGCCCAACAGCACTGTGGGCATGTAATCTGGTAAGTTCAGTCTAACTTAGCCTGAATTTCAGTCTTATTCTTCTGACTTGGGTTTGGCAGATCATCATCACCCTTCCTCAAGAACTTTAGTCTTCAAAACAGCCTTAAAATCCTCACTCCACCTTGCGTCTAGAACTGAAGTCCCTGCCCCACAAGTCCCAGCCTGGAGCCGAAAAGGAAGGCAGAAACCTAGACAAAGTCGTCAAGATCCCGAGAGAAGTGGGTAGGTACTTACTCTGTTTCTCTCTGCAGGGCCGTCAGGATCAGGGACTTGAGGCTGGAACACAGGTGGCAGGTGTTTGGTACCCAGCCTGCCCAAGAAAAGTCTCCGCCTGGCCCCGCCCCACCCCAGGCCCAGCCCACCTCTCCCGTTGCTCCGCCGCCAGCCGTCGCCAGCGGGTGTTCAGTCGTCTGCGGGTCAGCACGGCCGCAAACTGGCGGATCTAGGACGAGGAAGCAAGCACGTGGGGGTCCGGGCAGGAAGGTGCTGAGCGGACCGCAGTGGGCGAATACTGGGGCTTGACCGGTGGCGTACAGTGGGAAGCTCGGAGGGGAGAGTCAGGGGTCTCACCTGGGGGTCGGCCGCCGAGGCTAGCAGGTCGCAGAGAGCCGGCAAAGCGGCGGGGGCCCGAAGAACGATCTGGAGCTGTTCCGTGGCCTGGGGGGAAGCTAGGGGTGAGAGTTGGGCCTTTCCCGCAACCTCCCGCTCGCCCTGGCCCGGTTACGCCTGCTCCGTACCCGACGGATGCGCTCGGTGTCCGGTAGCAGCAGCTCCCGTAGGAGCTGCTCTAGCCCGGCTGACTCCATGGCAGCAACTGAGCCGCCGCTACTGGGCCGAAAAGGGGAGGGGGAGGGACAGCACGTGGAGGTTCTGACACCCACTTCCGGAGGAAAGGGCGTTGCTGCACGCCCCGCGGGTTGCCAAGGTGATTCAATTCGCTTCCCACAAAGAGGTCCGGCTCCTCCACTTCCGTTAGGCTGAGCACCGGCTGAATCGCGGAAACCCGACTCTGGCAATGTAGGTTCCCCACGCCGGGAGTTCCCAAGCTGGGTTGGAGAACTCGAGCTTCGGGCATTCAGTGGCCAGCTCGGCTTTATAAAGGACCGTGCCCTTAACAGCAGGGCTCGAGTTCCTATATCCAGACCAAAACCTCCAACTGCATGAGCCTTTTTCTTAATAAATTTTATTTTGGTAATTGTAAAAAGAAAAATCAGGACCAAAACTAAAGGCAACTTAAAAAGTTCAAATATATAATCCTTATGTGATAGAGATTTATAATTTCCAGGCCCTCTCTGGGGAAGGAATGCCCAAAGGGCAAAAGGGAAGGCAACAATGCCATCACACAATTCAGTCAATCAGAAGAGAAGCTGGTAGGAGAGTTCAACAGGGCATGAAGAAAGGGAGAGAACAGCAATAGTTCTGCCATACAGAACTCAGTCCATCTTGAGGTTAACATAGATATACCGGATGAACTTTAGGGAAGAAAAAAAGGAGATGGTGCCCAGCATGAGGAAGAAGACATAACCAGTGAGTAAGGAGTAGCCGAAGAACTCTACTGTCTGTACTGCCCCAGACATGTTGGAGCGCCGGGCATAATAGAAAACTGAGTAGAGGAAGATGAAGAGGCCGGTGGAGCCAACACTCAGCACAGATCGCCACCACCAGCGGTAATCCTCCCCAGACAACTGGAAGTAGGTGAGTGCAATGGAGATGCAAGCCCCCACACTCAGCAGGATGGCGAAGACAAAGAAGAGGATGCCGTACAAAGTGTACTGCTCCCGACCCCATACTGTGGCAAAGATGTAGTACAGCTCCACAGAGATGGCACTGTGAAGAAAAGAGATGATACACAGCATTAAAGGGCTGTGCACCATCAGCACAGTGGCTGGGCTGAAATCCAGCCCCCACCCTCTCCCATGTTGCTGGGTCATTGTGAAAAGTGAGTTCACTCCACTCTCTGCCCCAGATCTCCTGGCTTCATGGGGATTTTTTGCCTATGATTAGCCGCTCTCACTTCAAGAATATCTTCCCTAATAGATTGAGGGCAGGGATCTTGTCCATTTTATTCCACTTTATTCTTTGCCTGGCACAAAGAGGTATTCAACAAAGTAAATGGGTCATCAAATGGGCTTTAAACCCCACATGATGTCCATAGGCATTAAAGTCAGAAACCAGGAAGGTGAAGGGGGAAATGTCTCCGGAGAGCTTTATAAGTGAGACACTCTCATATCATTCAAGCTCAGTCCTGCTTGGGGATAGGAGGAACCATTTAATGATCTCTGAATGGTACCACTGAACCAGGGATCAACGGGTTGGGTTAGGGTACTGGATGAGTAGGGACAGGAAAAATTGAGGTCAGGAACCTGACAGTAATAGCCATGGAATAAAGGGAGGATACCTGAAAGGCAGGAAGCCTCCAACAGTCATGTGGATGACAGTAGACTTGTACCAGGGCTGGGGTGGAATCTCCCGGGCGATGTTCTTGGTGCGACAGGGTGCATCAAAGGGGCTGGCGTTGTTCTTCCCAAAGATGCCTCCAATGACAGTGAGGGGAAAGCCCACCAGCAGCCAAACCGTCAGAAGCAGCAGGATGGTTGTGGCTGGCAGAGCCTGTGTCGAACCATTGGCCCAATGCACTGAGTTCACCACACTCCACGTCAGGAAGAAAGGCACTGCAGGGATGGGCCCCCGGAGGGAGGGTCAACACTAGGAGCTACATCTCTAAGGGCACCCACTTACATCCAGGACCAAAAGGGGAGGGGGCTGAAGCAGCCTGCCACTCTAACGGCAGACTCATGCTCCTGGATGTCCCTGCAGAGTCGACTGCCTTCACCTCCACCCTTTCAGGTCCCATTATTCTTTGTTCTGTGTTTTTTTTTTTTTTTTTTTTTTTTTTTTGAGACAGAGTCTCGCTCTGTCGCCCAGGCTGGAGTGCAGTGGCGCGATCTCTGCTCACTGCAAGCTCCGCCTCCCAGGTTCATGCCATTCTCCTGCCTCAGCCTCCCGAGTGAGTAGCTAGGACTACAGGCGCCCGCCACCACGCCCGGCTAATTTTTTGTATTTTTAGTAGAGATGGGGTTTCACTGTGTTAGCCAGGATGGTCTCGATCTCCTGACCTGGTGATCTGCCTGCCTCAGCCTCCCAAAGTGCTGGGATTACAGGCATGAGCCACCACACCCGGACTCTTTGCTCTTTATCTTACCAACACCATCCCCCAACCCGGTGTCATTAAGGATCCAGGTAGCTACTACATAATCTGAGAGTAGCACAAATCCATCTGCCTCCAGGGGCCTGTCTTGCCTTGGAGTTGGTAATTCCTAGCATGAGACATTCCTTTGGATTAAGGCCCTGTTTTCAGAAAGCCTTGGTTCAAATATAAATGTGATGGGATAAAAATCAGACACACAGAATTGGGAACAAGAAGGGTTCAGAACAGAGACTACTACTGCCTTTGAAAGGGCAATCTGGTTTGAAAGCCTAGAGTGGGCCCACCTTCAAAATAAAAATTCAAGGGTGTTATTTTAGTGTAATGGGTGAGAATACAAGTCAGACTGCTGAAACCTAGTTCACTACTTTTTAGGAGTGTAATCTCAGACAAGTTACTTAAGCAGCCTTTAGTTCAGTTTCCTCATCTGTGGAATGGAAATATTACCTACTTCACACAGTTATTGCTGAGTGCTTTCCACACTGCCTAGGACATTTTGAGGGCTTAGTAATTTTAAACTATTCAAAAGAAATGCATTCTTGTTTTTTTTTGGTTTTCTTCTTTCTTTTACAATATTCCTTCCCTTCAAGCCTCATCCTGACTCTATCCCAAGTTCTATGATGTGTTCTTTTTTTTTTTTTGAGACAGTCTCACTCTGTCAGCCCAGCTAGAGTGCAGTGGTGCAATCATGGCTCACTGTAGCCTCAACCTCCCTGGCTCCCCAGGCTCAAGCAATCCTCCTGGGTCAGCCTCCCAAGTAGCTGGGATTACAGATGTGAACCACCATGCCCGGCTAATTTTTTGTTATAGAGAGAGGGTCTCACTATGTTGTCTAGGCTTGTCTCAAACTTTTGGGCTCAAGTGATCCTCCGGCCTCGGTCTCCCAAAGTGCTAGGATTACAGGTGTGAGCCACTGTGACCAGCCACAATGTGTTCTTCATTCCTAAGTCCAGAAAGGCCCACCAGGGAAAGGAAAGTCCTCACCAGAGAAGAGACTGGTGGTGAGAATGATGTTCCACACCCAACGCTCGCCTCCAATCTGCCGGTAGAAGTGGCTGGACACGTAGCCAGAGATGCAGCAGGTCAGGGCATACAACAAGATGGCTGCTGAGTTAATGGCCCCATGACGGTGCACATTGAACATGCCCAGCAGTGCCATGACAATAATGCCTGCAGGACGGTAGCGGAAAGCCCAAGTTAGGCCTCACCTGTGTCTCTTCTAGCAATTTCAGAGGAATCAGCCCCCCTTCTCCCAGACCCAGGGCCTCCAGCAAAACAATCTCCCCCAGTTTTGCTATCCAGAAAATCTACAATAGAATACGTGCATTCTTGCTAGAGCCACCCTATCCCTTAGGTCTGCCCCTCTGGATAGAAGAGAAGATCCACAGACCTTTTCTGAACAAACTCCCTACCTAGTTCTATCCCATGAGATAAATCCCCAATTCATTTTTATCACCTCACCAGTGCCAAGGGCCAGGAACTGGGCACCCACGCCAAGCACAGCACAGAGCAGACCACGGTATGGGGGGAAGCGGAAGACATCTGTATGGATAATTTTCCAGCCATTGTCACCCTGGTCAAAGTCATCACCAGAACCTGCAGAGGTGGTCTCCTCATCTAAGTTGTACCGAGCCAGGTCATTCCGAAGCACACGCATTAGAATGACAGCCACAAAACCCACCAGTAAAAACACAAGCACCATGGAGTTGATGATGGACAACCAATGGATTTCCAGTGTTCGAGGAAAGAAACCACCATCGTCACCACGGCGCCTGTCACTCCGACGCTCCACTGAAGTCTCAGACCAGCGCACGCTATAAGTGTGGGTAAGGCCTAGGAACTCGTCAGGTCGTAACCCATCCAAGCTGTGGGGCTTGACGTCCCGCACTGAAACATTGGCAAATATAATTCGGTCTCCATGGAATTCTAGGTGGAAGTCCAAATGGGTCCAGAGTCCTATCTTGTGGCTGTGTGGCAGGAAACCACTCTCCTCCATGTAGCCCACAAAGCCCCGGATTGGCAAGTCATCTACCACAAATTCAAAGTAGTACAGTTCTTCAATGGCCTGGCGCAGCTGCTCCACCTATAAAGAGCAAGTCAGGAGTTGGTCACACAAGATCTCCCCAGGCGCAGAGTTACAGCAAAGTTTCTCACCTTCAGCACTACTGATATTTTGGGGTGGATAATTCTTTTTTTTCGAGATGGAGTCTTGCTCTGTCACCCAGGCTGGAGTGCAGTGGTGCGATCTCGGCTTACTGCAACTTCTGCCTCCTGGGTTCAAGCAATTCTCCTGCCTCAGCCTCCCGAGTAGCTGGGATTACAGGCGCCCACCACCACACCCAGCTAATTTTTGTATTTTTAGTAGAGACAGGGTTTCACCATGTTGGCCAGGCTAGTCTCAAATTCCTGACCTCATGATCTGCCTGCCTCGGCCTCCCAAAGTGCTGGGATTGGTCGGGTGCGGAGGCTCATGCCTGTAATCCCAACACTTTGGGAGGCCGAGGCGGGCAGATCACGAGGTCAGGAGATCGAGACCATCCTGGCTAACACGGTGAAACCCCGTCTCTACTAAAAATACAAAAAATTAGCTGGGCGTGGTGGCGGG
Organism: Homo sapiens; assembly: GCF_000001405.40. Classification (NCBI taxonomy): domain Eukaryota; kingdom Metazoa; phylum Chordata; class Mammalia; order Primates; family Hominidae; genus Homo; species Homo sapiens. The sequence continues at coordinate 494,770 of NW_018654722.1, forward strand.
CGCCTGTAGTCCCAGCTACTCGGGAGGCTGAGGCAGGAGAATGGCGTGAACCCGGGAGGTGGAGCTTGCAGTGAGCCGAGATTGCGCCACGGCACTCCAGCCTGGGCGACAGAGCAAGACTCTGTCTCAAAAAAAAAAAAAAAGTGCTGGGATTACAGGAGTGAGCCACCACACCCAGCCTGGGTTGGATAATTCTTTGTCATAGTGGGGTTATCCCGTGCACTGTAGGATGTAGCTTTCCTGGCCTCTTCCCATTCTATGCTGGTAGTACCCCCCCAGCTGTAACAACAAAAAATGTCTCCAGACATTGCTAAATGTCCCTTGGGGGACAAAACTGTTCCCTGTTGACAATCACTGGGTTAGACTCTAGTATGTTGAGATTCTCCAAAAAAGAGCAAGTATGGCTTGACAGGGTTAAGGCCTAGAAAAAGGAGAGCGGTGAGGTATAAGGAGGTCTGGAGTGGACTAAGGAGAAGTACCAGGATTCACTAAAGAAAAAGCATGACAGGGAAGTTTAGGTAGAGACTACAGGAAACAGCTAAGAAACAGCCAAGAGGTAGGCATGGAAGGAAACAGAACTATGTGGGACTGATAGTTGGGACCTCATGACCAACAGAGAAGCTTGCAGTAAGAAACCCTGGGCTCTGATATCAGTTCTGCAAATCACTGTCCATGTAATCTTGAAAAAAGTAACTTCTGAGCAAGTATGTATCTTAGTCAACTGAATTAGAATAGCATCACCTAACCTGCCTGCCACACTGGGTTGTATTGTAGTTAGAATCAAATCAGACAATTTCCATAAAGGTACCCTGAACCATAAATGTAAGGCACTGTTAGTCTCTGGGAAGGAGGGCTACGTGATAGCCAATGTGGAGAGGCTGACCTGTGCAGAACTGAGCTGCATGTGGCACAGAATTCTCTTCTCCACGTTTTCCCGAAAGCGGATCTCATACAAAGACTCAGCCATTCGGTCCCCATCCAGCACTTCACCCAGGCTAAGGCTTTTGTGACGTATCTTCTCAGGGCAGCAGACTGGAAGCTGATAGTAGTGGTAAGTTTCCTGAGGGTTATGGTAGGGTCCCACTTTGTTGACATACAGAATAACAGGGTCGCCGGCCTTGTAGTGTGTCACGCCTTCCACCCCTGGCCCATGGCCTGTGCCCAGCAACAGTATCAGGATTGGCAACCACTGGCAGCTCCAACTTCGAGGGTTCCCTACGACTGTCATCCTTAAGGCAGTGGAACCTGTTTGGGGGAATCCTGAGGTTATAGAAACCAGGGAGGTTACAGAAACCCCAGGTCAGGTGCCTCGAACTGAGGTCCCCTGGCTCCACTTGCTCCCATTGGCCCCCTCCCCGCCTCACCCTACCCCACGTCTCTCTATCCCAAAGACCCCGCTCCACCTCTGCTCTCTCATCCTCCCAACCTGGGGTTCACCCCACCCGCAGCCCGTCTGGCCCGGGGCCTCTACTACGCGCCCTGGCCCGTTTCCATGGCAACGCCGCTCGGTCTCGCACCTCGGGTCCCTTCCCGCCACAGCCCCGGGGTCCTCACCGCGCGGGAAGGGCTGGCCGAGGCGGCGCCAGCGGCCTTCGCGCCCCCGTAGCTGCCTTTGGGCTCCTGCTGGGGTCTCTCCCACAGCGGCGCGGTAGCGGCGGGTTGGAGAGGACCTGCCGACCGACTTCTACGGGGTTGCCCGTTGCTGCGCCTGACAGCGGCGGCTGCGGCTACACCGCGCTGGACACCGCTCTGGCTTACTCAAGAACTCCCCGTTGCGCCTTCTCCATCTGGAGGCCCGGCCCAGCTCCGGGGACCCCGTGAGGCTCGGCTTGCCCCGCCCGTCTTCGGCGAGGCGGGGGTCCTCCCGGCGATCGGCAGCGCGGCCCAGGACACGTCAGTCTTACCACTTCCGCCCTCACCGGCGGCGACCTCAGCCTGGCGGAAAGCTCCTTGCCTGGAACGCAGAGGGCCTTCGCTGCTGCGGCCCCTGGGGACTCCTTCGCGACGGCTTCCCGGGGAGGGGGCTGAGGCCTGGCAGCGAGGACCCTGACACCCCTTCGGGAGAGGAGTGGCTGCTAGGCCGCTCGCTTGCTCCTGGAAAGATTTGGGGTTTGAGAGCTCTTGGCCAGGAGGCTCGCGCTGGCCGAGGCCCGAGAGCTGTCCCCGCGGGACGGGACTAGCGAGGGCCGGGGAGATGGAGCGCAGGCGGCGTCTGGGTTCGAAGCACTTTCCGGCTGAACCACCTGCTGCTGAGGCTGAGCCCTGAGAGGCGGTTCGTGGCCCCCAAACCGGGGAAGGGGCGAAGCTTTGGGCATCTGTCCCATGCAAGGGTCCCAACATCTGAATCTCACCTCACTCGTCTCCCACCTGTCACGAATGGCCAGCGCCAAAGTGATAAATATGTAATAGGAATGTCTTCCCGAGGCTGTGCTGGAGACTTCCCTGGCCGCACAGTGACCGTTCAGAGCCCACGATAAGCAAGCCGAAACCCGGTTTGGCGCAGAGGCGCGCAAGGAGAGAGGTCTGTCCTTTGACTCTGTGAGTTGGGCAGCCTAACATGGTTATTGTTAATTGACGGTAAAGTATCTCGAGGTCCGTTAGTCTATGTTTTTGTTCTTATTTATCACTGTGTATGTCTTTGGGCTTCTCTTCACTTTGTATGGCAGATTATTTTGAAAAAGTTTACCCTTGTGTTTGTCTCAGCTGTTTTAAAGGGGATCTGCCGTCTAGGGAGTTCCCCTTGAAAATCGGACCTTTGAGCAGTGACTTCTGTTTTGCCACCTGGGAGCAACGTGTAAGGAAGTGGACTTAAGCTTCTCTCTCCCCAGGGGAAGAAGCACAGTGGAAAAATCACAAGTGACTTCTGGCCTGAAAAGCCCTTAATTTACCTGCTTCTACAATTACTGCCCTTTCTGACCCAGTTCTTTCCCTGCAGATATAGGTGAGGTTCAAAGAAGCAGATGGTGGAGTTTTGTTAGACAATCAGTGAATTTTCTAATTAGAAAAAGAACTGAGGTCGGGCGCGGTGGGCTCACGCCTGTAATACCAGCACTTTGGGAGGCCAAGGCGGGCAGATCACCCGAGGTCGGGAGTTCGAGACCAGCCTAACATGGCGAAACCCTGTCTCTACTAAAAATACAAAAAAATTAGCTGGGCCTGGTGGCGGGCGCCTGTAACCCCAGCCACTTGTGAGGCTGAGGCAGGAGAATAGCTTGAACCTGGGAAGCGGAGGTTGCAGTGAACCGAGATCAGGCCATTGCACTCCAGCCTGGGCAACAGAGCGGGACTCCATCTCAAAAAAAAAAAAAAAAAGAAAAAGAAAAAGAAAAAAGAACAAGAACTGAGAGTGGCTTAGAAATAATCTCTAACTGACAACCACCTGGTCTCTAAAGCCAGAAACTTGGGCCTCTTTCTCTCTATCTTCCCGCTCAGATATCAGTGTCACCAAGCCCTCTCCACTTATTTCCTGAATATCTTCCAGATGCTTGCCTCCACCTCTTTGGTTCAGGCTCCATCTTCTCTCACCTAAACTACCATGAGAGCCACCTTGCTAGTCTCCTAGTCACCTTCCCCCTGGGTCATTTTTCACACTGCTACTGGAAAGTTTCTTTTTTAAAATCAGGATTCTCAGGGGAGGGGGTGCCTGGTCATCAGCATTTTTTTTTTTTTAAAAAAAGCAAGCACTGAGGCCGGGCGTAGTGGCTCACTCCTGTAATCCCAGCACTTTGGGAGGCCGAGGTGGATTACCTGAGGTCGGGAGTTCAAGACCAGCCTGTCCAACATGGTGAAACCCCGTCTCTACTAAAAATACAAAAAAAATTAGCCGGGCATGGTGGCTCATGGCTATAACCCCAGCCACTTGGGAGGCTGAGGCAGGGTAATCGCTTGAACCCAGGAGGCGGAGGTTGCAGTGAGCTGAGACTGCACCATTGCACTCCAGCCTGGGCAACAAGAACCAAACTCTGTCTCAAAAAAATAAGCACTGATTTTGATGTATACCCAGATTATATGAGCATACAAGGTAGAGTCAAAATAGCCTGGCATATGAGACTGCTCAGACCTGGATCCTAATTACTTCTCAAGGTACATTCCCCTTCTGGAACCCTATTCTGTATTCAAATAGAAATACTGAATATCATATTCTCTCAAGCCGGCAAGCCTCATATTGTTCCTCCTGCCTAAACCACCCAATCTCCTATTCCCTACTTATCTTTTTTTTTTTTTTTTTTGAGACAGAGTCTCGCTCTGTTGCCCAGGCCGGAGTGCAGTGGCGTGATCTCTGCTCACTGCAAGCTCCGCCTCCCAGGTTCACGCCATTCTCCCGCCTCAGCCTCCCGAGTAGCTGGGACTACAGGTGCCTGCCACCACGCCCGGCTAATTTTTGTTTTTGTATTTTCAGTAGAGACGGGGTTTCACAGTGTTAGCCAGGATGGTCTCGATCTCCCAACCTCATGATCTGCCCGCCTTGGCCTCCCAAAGTGCTGGGATTACAAGTGTGAGCCACCGTGCCTGGCCTTTTTTTTTTTTTTTTTTTTTTTTTGAGACAGTCTCACTGTCAACCAGGCTGGAGTGTAGTGGTGTGATCTCAGTTCACTGCAACCTCCACCTCCGAGTTCAAGCGATTCTCCTGCCCCAGCCTCCCGAGTAGCTGGGACTACAGGTGCGCACCACCATGCCCGGCTAATTTTTGTATTTTTTAGTAGAGATGGGGTTTCACCATATTGGCCAGGCTGGTCTCGAACTCCTGACTTCGTGATCCGCCCGCCTTGACCTCCCAAAGTGCTGGGATTACAGGCATGAGCCACTGCACCTGGCCTTATCCTTTTTTTTTGAACAGTGCAAATGTCACCTTCTCTATAAAGCCTTCCCTTACATCTCCTCCCAGGTTTGTTTATAGCATATCTCACTGTAGTGTTATTTTACTTCTTATGTGTCTGTCTCCCTTGCTAATTTCAAACTCCTCAGAGGAAGACTGTAATTTATTCATCTCTGTTTCCTCAGGACCTAGCAGTGTTTTTGTATATGTTAGGCAGCTTAATACATGATCTTCGCATGAACTGGTTTACCCCCTGTACATGATGAGAGACTAGAGTTGCCACCAAGTTACCTATCCGGGGGCCAGCCTGTGGGATCAGATGGGCAGGATTGGGTGGGCCCCCTTACCATGGTGTGCCCTGGAAAACTGCTCATCTTGCTAGATTGAGGATATAGAGCTGGCTTCCAACAGAACTTTGGAACCATCCTGCCAGCAAGGTCAGACTGTCAATAAATGGGAATTTATTGCATGCCTGTGGCATAATCTGTTCTTGAAGTATTCTGTTTTGGAGGATGGAAGATATGAGAATTTGGATTCTTCCCTTGTTCTTTTCTCTGCCCCTCTGTCCCCCACTGATATAGTTTGGATAGTTATCCCTGCCCAAATCTCATGTTGAAATGTAATCCCCAATGCTGTAGGTGGGTCCTGGTGGGAGGTTTTTGGATCATGGGGGCGGACCCCTCATGGTTTGGTGTAGTATTTACCCTATGAGTTCTCACAAGATCTGGTTGTTTAAAAGCGTGTGGCACCTCCACCACAACTCTCTCTCTCTCACTCCCATTCTCACCACGTGATGTCCCTGCTTCCCCTTCACCTTCCGTTTTGATTATAAGCTTCCTGAGGCCTCCCCAGAAGCTGAGCCAGCACCATGCTTCCTATACAGCCTGCAGAACGGTGAGCCAATTAAACCTCTTTTCTTTTCTTTTCTTTTTTTTTTTTTTTTTTTTTGAGACGGAGTCTTGCTCTGTCGCCAGGCTAGAGTGCAGTGGTGTGATCTTGGCTCACTGCAACCTCCCCCTCCCAGGTTCAAGTGATTCTCCTGCCTCAGCCTCCAGAGTAGCTGGGACTACAGCCACACACCACCATGCCCAGCTAATTTTTGTATTTTTAGTAGAGATGTGGTTTCACCATGTTGGCCAGGATGGTCTTGATCTCTTGACCTTGTGATCCGCCTGCCTAATTTGGCCTCCCAGAGTGTTGGGATTACAGGCGTGAGCCACTGCACCCGGCCTAAACCTCTTTTCTTTACAAACTACCCAGTCTCATGTTTTTGTTTGTTTTTGTTTTTGAGACAGGGTCTCACTTTGTCACCCAGGCTGGAGTGCAGTGGTGCCATCTTGGTTCACTGCAGCCTTCACCTCCCAGGCTCAAGTGATCCTTCTGAGTAGCTGAGACTATAGGCACATGCCACCACACCTAGCTAATATTGGTATTTTTCGTAGAAATGGGTTTTTGCTATGTTGCCCAAGCTGGTCTTGAACTCCTGGGCTCAGGTAATCCACCTGCCTTGGCTTCCCAAACTGTCAGGATTACAGGCATGAGCCACTGTACACGGCCTCAGGTATTTCTTTCTTTTTTTTTTTTGAGACAGAGTGTTGCTCTGTCACCAGGCTGGAGTGCAGTGGTGCGATCTCGGCTCACTGAAACCTCCGACTCCGTGGTTCAAGTGATTCTCCTGCCTCAGCCTCCCGAGTACCTGGGATTACAGGCATGCACCACCACGCCCAGCTAATTTTTGTGTCTTTAGTAGAGACGGGTTTCACTATGTTGGCCAGGCTGGTCTCGATCTCCTGACCTCCTGATCTGCCCGCTTCAGCCTCCCAAAATGCTGGGATTACAGGCATGAGCCACCACGCCCGGCCTGGTATTTCTTTATAGCAATGCAAGAACGGCCTAATACCCACCACACAAAATCTTTTTTGTTTTTTTGGTTTTTTTTTTTTTTTTTTTTTTTTTTTTTTTGAGACAGAGTCTCTGTCGCCCAGGCTGGAGCGCAGTGGCGCGATCTCGGCTCACTGCAAGCTCCGCCTCCCAGGTTCATGCCATTCTCCTGCCTCAGCCTCTCCAAGTGGCTGGGACTACAGGCACCCGCCACCACACCTGGCTAATTTTTTGTATTTTTAGTAGAGACAGGGTTTCACCGTGGTCTTGATCTCCTGACCTCCTGATCCGCCCTCCTCGGCCTCCCAAAGTGCTGGGATTACAAGTGTGAGCCACCGCACCCGGCCGGTTTTTTGCTTTTGAGACAGAGTCTCGCTCTGTCACCCAGGCTGGAGTGCAGTGGTGCAATCTCTGCTCACTGCAAACTCCACCTCCTGGGTTCACACCATTCTCCTGCCTCAGCCTCCCGAGTAGCTGGGACTACAGGCGCCCGCCACCATGCCTGGCTAGTTTTGTATTTTTAGTAGAGACGGGGTTTCACCATGTTAGCCAGGATGGTCTCGATCTCCTGACCTCGTGATCTGCCCACCTCAGCCTCCCAAAGTGCTGGGATTACAAGCTTGAGCCACCGTGCCTGGCCTTTTTTTTGTTCGTTTAGACAGAGTCTTGCTCTGTTGCCCAGGCTGGAGTGCAGTGGCATGATCTCGGCTCACTGCAAACTCTGCCTCCTGGCTTCAAGAGATTCTCCTGACTCTGCCTCCCAAGTACCTGGGATTACAGGCGCCTGCCACCACACCCACCTAATTTTTGTATTTTTAGTAGAGATGGGTTTCACCATGTTGGTCAGGCTGGTCTTGAACTCCTAACCTCAAGCAGTCCACCAGCCTTGGCCTCCCAAATTGCTGGGATTACAGGCGTGAGCCACTGCGCCCGGCTACAAAATCTTAAATCTAAATAACTCCTCTGTGACCACAACCTCCTGTTCTTCTCATTCTCTCAATTCCTACCAAACTTGTTTTTCCATTCCAGTGACACCTGCAACTCCTCCTTCTGCCCCTTTGGCCAGTTTCTAGCTTGTCTTCTGTGTCAGCTGCCTTGCTATAAAGAAATACCTGAGACTGGGTAATTTATAAGAAAAGAGCTTTAATTGGCTGTGGTTCTGCAGGCTGTACAGGAAGCATAATGCTGGCATCTGCTTCTGGGGAGGCCTCAGGAAGCTTACAATCATGGCAGAAGGTGAAGGGGGAGCAAGTATCTCACATGGTGGGAGCAGGAGCAAGAGGGCAAAGGGGGAGGTGCTACACACTTTTTAAAATGACCACATCTCATAACTCACGGCAAGAGGGTGGTGCTACACATTCATCAGAAACCCACCTCCATGATCCAGTCACCTCCCACCAGGCCCCTCCTCCAACATTGCAGATTACAACTGACCATGAGATTTGGGTGGGGACACAGATCCAAACCATATAATCTTCTGTTGCGGGAAGTCAGGGACCCCAAACGGAGGGACCGGCTGAAGCCATGACAGAAGAACGTGGATTGTGAAGATTTCATGGACATTTATTAGTTCCCCAAATTAATACTTTTATAATTTCTTATGCCTGTCTTTACTGCAATCTCTAAACATAAATTGTGAAGATTTCATGGACACTTATCACTTCCCCAGTCAATACCCTTGTGATTTCCTATGCCTGTCTTTACTTTAATCTCTTAATCCTGTCATCTCGTAAACCGAGGAGGATGTACATCGCCTCAGGACCCTGTGATAATTGCGTTAACTGCACAAATTGTACAGCATGTGTGTTTAAACAATATGAAATCTGGGCACCTTGAAAAAGAACAGGATAACAGCAATGTTTAGGAAACAAGAGAGATAACCTTAAACTCTGACCTCCGGTGAGCCAGGCGGAACAGAGCCATATTTCTCTTCTTTCAAAAGCAAATGGGAGAAATATCGCTGAATTCTTTTTCTCAGCAAGGAACATCCCTGGGAAAGAGAATACGTGCCTGAGGGTGGGTCTCTGAAATGGCCCCTTTGGGTGTGGCTGTCTTCTATGGTTGAAACTGTAGGGATGAAATAAACCCCAGTCTCCCATAGCACTCCCAGGCTTATTAGGAAGAGGAAATTCCCACCTAATAAATTGTGGTCAGACAGGTTGCTCTCAAAACCCTGTCTCCTGATAAGATGTTATCAATGACAATGGTGCCCGAAACTTCATTAGCAATTTTAATTTTGCCCCGGTCCTGTGATCTCGCCCTGCCTCCCTTTGCCTTTGATATTCTATTACCTTGTGAAGTACGTGATCTTTGTGACCCACACCCTATTCGTACACTCCCTCCCCTTTTGAAAGTCCCTAATAAAAACTTGCTGGTTTTGCGGCTTGTGGGGCATTACAGAATCTACCGACATGTGATGTCTCCCCCGGATGCCCAGCTTTAAAATTTCTCTCTTTTGTACTCTGTCCTTTTATTTCTCAAACCGGCCGACGCTTAGGGAAAATAGAAAAGAACCTACGTGACTATCGGGGCAGGTTCCCCGATAATCTTCCTTATCCATGCAGCTTAGATTCCGCATTCCATTTCAGCCACATTCTTGCGTATGTTCTTGATGCCCCTCTCCCATTGTTTCATTGCAGCTGCCAAGCAAAACCCTAAATCATCCATCAACATTCAAGTACCTATAACCAAGATGCTAAAAGAATCACAACACTATATGTGTCTATGGACAAGTTGTTCTCCAACCTCAGTTGGGCCCTCAATGCTGCTCATTTTCTAAACCAGCTCTTTTCTATTCTCCACACTTCATCTGTCTTCTCATCATTTGACCTCCCTATATAGCTTAGTGGGAGATGCAAGCAACAGAAGCAATTACAGACACTATGTTAGGTGCTGTGACAGACAAAGTATTGGGCCTGTGGGAGCACCCAGGAAGAAGGAATATCTAACTGAAGCTTGAGCAGTCAGTTAAGCCTTCTTTAAAACAGCTCCACTGGGCGCGGTGGCTCACGGCTATAATCCCAGCACTTTGGGAGGCTGAGGCAGGCAGATCACCTGAGGTTGGGAGTTCGAGACCAGCCTGACCAACATGGAGAAACCCCGTCTCTACTAAAAAATACAAAATTAGCCAGGCGTGGTGGTGCATGCCTGTAATCCCAGCTACTCGGGAGGCTGAGGCGGGAGAATGGCTTGAACCCGGGAGGTGGAGGTTGCGGTGAGCCGAGATTGTGCCATTGCACTCCAGCCTGGGCAACAAGAGCGAAACTCCATCTCAAAACAAAAACAGACGGGGCGCGGTGGCTCATGCCTATAATCCCAGCACTTTGGGAGGCCAAGGTGGGCAGATCACCTGAGGTCGGGAGTTCAAGACCTGCCTGACCAACATGGAGAAACCCTGTCTCTACTAAACATACAAAATAGCTAGGCATGGTGGTGCATGTCTGTAATCCTAGCTACTAGGGAGGGTGAGGCAGGAGAATCGCTTGAACCCAGGAGTTGGAGGTTGTAGTGAGCCAAGATCGTGCCATTGCACTCCAGCCTGGGCAACAAGAGCGAAACTCCATCTCAAAAAAAAAAAAAGAGAAAAAAGGTCCTATGCCAAGTTCTCAAGGAAGATTTGGAGTTTGCCACAAATACAGAAAAGCAGTTGTGGATCATTACGTGTGTGTTAAAAAATAAAATTGGGGAGGTAAGCAGGATCAGACTTAAAGCTGTGTGAAAGAATTTGGATGGACTTGATCCTAAAGAGAATGGGGAGACACTGAATTGTTTCAAATGGAAATAAAATCAGATTTATGCTTTGGACTTGGGATGGACAGACTGGAGTGGAGCAGAAGGCTGGCGGGGGCCATCTGTTCGATGATGGAGGCGTGAACTAAGGGATTAGCAGTGGGCTCAGAAAACCATGAGAATATTATCAAAGAGAGAATCAGGAGGTATAAGAGATAGGATTTCGTGATAGATTGAATGTAGGGACTGAGGCAGGAGGGTCTGGGATGACATATGAGTGTCTAAATTAAGGGTGATTAGTGTACAACTCACAGAAAAGTCTGAGAGAAGAAAATAAGTTCAATTATTGATATGGTTAAGTTTGAGATGGATATGGTAAGTTCCATGCCTGGGGCAGACATGGCCACGTAATACTGGCTGCTCTATCTAAACTCCAGATATATGGGATGGAGATGAAATTAGGAGCAGTCAGCATAAATGTAGTATTGACACCATGGGTATGGACAAGATTAAGGGAGGATGTGAAGGTTTGAGAAAATAAAGCTTGTGATGTAACACTTGGGATATGATTAAGGGATGGATAGAGAAAGATATAACTTCAGTGAAGGCTGAGGAGTGACCAGAAGGATGTGGAGGAAAACTAGAGAGTTCTGGCTCATAGAAGATAAGGATGCATTTCAAGGTTAGATTTTCCTAGAACATGTTCAATACCTTACAATGGTAATACTTTCACACTCGTATTTCTCATGCTGCATTATAAGCTTTAGGATCATAGTGTCTCTATTGGCCTTATTGAACTAAGGGGGCTGCAATGGGCTCGGAAAGCCTTGAGTGTATCATTAAAGAGATAAGTAGGAGATAGCAGAGACAGGATTTGATGAAAGATTGTATGTAGGGATTGAGGAAGGAGGAAGGGTCTGGCATGACATTTGGGTGACATTTTATCCAAGTATTCAGCACAGTGTCTGGTACTTAGTAGGTACTCATATATCAATGAAAGGTCTGATCTTTAGGAGTTTCACCAGACTGTGGAAGGTGCCTCTGGGAATGAGTACGTTTCCAACTGCACTTCATTCTCTTTTTTTTTTTTTTTTTTTTTGAGACGGAGTCTCGCTCTGTCGCCCAGGCTGGAGTGCAGTGGCGCAATCTCGGCTCACTGCAAGCTCTGCCTCCCAGGTTCACGCCATTCTCCTGCCTCAGCCTCCCAAGTAGCTGGGACTACAGGCGCCCGCCACTACGCCCGGCTAATTTTTTGTATTTTTAGTAGAGACGGGGTTTCACCGTTTTAGCCGGGATGGTCTCGATCTCCTGACCTCGTGATCCGCCCGCCTCGGCCTCCCAAAGTGCTGGGATTACAGGCGTGAGCCACCGCGCCCGGCCGCACTTCATTCTCAAGTTTTGTGGCCAACGATGGATAGGAGGTGGATTGTGATGTATTCGGAACATGGGACCTTGAGGAGTTCCGTAACCAAAAGGAGAAAGTAACAACAGCCAGTGGAGACAAAAAGAACTGCTTCTCTTTCTTTCCCCCTCCAAGTTCCTAGTGGAGGGCTGAGTCCAGCATCCCAGACTCGTGTGACTATATAGGCAAGCATTTGGGGACCTACTTCACTTTGATACCCTAGCCTTCAGCAGCTCAAGGTGTTGGCCTTTGGATAGGAGGCTTCCAAGTAGTAAAGCTCCCTGCTCTCAGCAAGCCCAACACCATGGGGAAGGGAGATGTCTTAGAGGCAGCACCAACCACCACAGCCTACCATTCCCTCATGGATGAATATGGTTATGAGGTGGGCAAGGCCATTGGCCATGGCTCCTATGGGTCGGTATATGAGGCTTTCTACACAAAGCAGAAGGTTATGGTGGCAGTCAAGATCATCTCAAAGAAGAAGGCCTCTGATGACTATCTTAACAAGTTCCTGCCCCGTGAAATACAGGTTGGAAAGGGGGCTGGAAGAGGGAACTGGAGCTTGGTACTAAGCTGCTTGAGGTTTCTCAGAAGGGGTATGGCCAGGAGGGGTGGGGCCAGAAACCCCTAAACCAGAACTGAAATGTCTCACTAAGCAGCTAGGAAACTTTATGTAAGTTAAACCTCTTTCCCATCCACCCACTCACCTTCAGTCCCCAAAAAGTAAAGGCACAAAACATAGCATTTGCCCACAGGCCACCAGTTCTCTGGGGTTGAGGGGCTGATCCTATTGCAAAGTCCTAAGTCAGTAGCTGAGGGTAGGAGACGGCTGGGAGTGCAGTCAGGGTTCTCCCTTCCCAGGTTTGATGGGTCCTTCTTCTGGGGTCAGGTAATGAAAGTCTTGCGGCACAAGTACCTCATCAACTTCTATCGGGCCATTGAGAGCACATCTCGAGTATACATCATTCTGGAACTGGCTCAGGGTGGTGATGTCCTTGAATGGATCCAGCGCTACGGGGCCTGCTCTGAGCCCCTTGCTGGCAAGTGGTTCTCCCAGCTGACCCTGGGCATTGCCTACCTGCACAGCAAGAGCATCGTGCACCGGTGAGGGCGCTGCCACCCAGACTGGGGCCTTTGCCCTCAAGGGGGTTTTATGCACATCTCCCATTTCCTGTCCTTTTTTCCTCTTTCGAACTCCCTCCTCAATATCTAGCCTATTCATGCACTCTATTTTAATCATATGGTCAAGGATACTGATAAAGTACTCACTGTATGCAAAGCATTTTATGAAATACAATGGTGAGCTCCCGGTGGTCCTCAGATACCATCCTCTGTCTCTCTCCCTACTTTGGGCTCTGCTCACAACTCCATGGCTTTCCTTCCTCTCTACCTTGTGCCCTCATAATGGTTTCTACCTCCCACTTCCTCTGTCCTCATCTTTACCCTCTGACCCCTGGCCCTTCAGCTCCCAGTCTAAAACTAAGCCCTCTCCCCAGCCTGATGCCCAGCCTTTCTGCTGCTGGTAGGGACTTAAAGTTGGAGAACCTGTTGCTGGACAAGTGGGAGAATGTGAAGATATCAGACTTTGGCTTTGCCAAGATGGTGCCTTCTAACCAGCCTGTGGGTTGTAGCCCTTCTTACCGCCAAGTGAACTGCTTTTCCCACCTCAGCCAGACTTACTGTGGCAGCTTTGCTTACGCTTGCCCAGAGATCTTACGAGGCTTGCCCTACAACCCTTTCCTGTCTGACACCTGGAGCATGGGCGTCATCCTTTACACTCTAGTGGTCGCCCATCTGCCCTTTGATGACACCAATCTCAAAAAGCTGCTAAGAGAGACTCAGAAGGAGGTCACTTTCCCAGCTAACCATACCATCTCCCAGGAGTGCAAGGTACTGGCTACCTAAGGAGGGCTGAGCCTTCAGGGATGACCCACAGGGAGGGGTGAATATCCAACCTAGGTCACCCAACCTAGGCCTCCCAACCCTGGGGAAAGGCTCTTCCCACACCAGAGCCATCTCACACACTAGCTCCTGTCCTATAATAAACAGTATGGAAGGCATAAAGGGCCAACCACTAGGCTCCAAACCTTGCCTGATACACAGGTTCCAGCTTCTTTCTCTTTAGGCCAGAAGGGAAATATGGAAAGCATTCCTCCCAAGGAACTCTTCCCTTCCCCTCCAGGGAGTTAACTGCCTGGGTCTCCAAGATAAAATCAGAGCCACACCCACTTTGACCAGAGTGGTATGATGGGCTATCCTGCTTCTTTCTTAGGTCCAACTGCTCATTGCCTGTGTGGCACAATGGAGAAAAACTCAGGCAAGACCTCTCTCTCCCCTGCTCTAGAACCTGATCCTCCAGATGCTACGCCAAGCCACTAAGCGTGCCACCATTCTGGACATCATCAAGGATTCCTGGGTGCTCAAGTTCCAGCCTGAGCAACCCACCCATGAGATCAGGCTGCTTGAGGCCATGTGCCAGCTCCACAACACCACTAAACAGCACCAATCCTTGCAAATTACGACCTGAAAATGGCTGAGGGAGGGGGCTAAGAGAGGAGCAAAGCAGGAGGTCTTGGGCTAAAAATCTTTTTTACCAAAAATAAATCTAAGTCTGATTTAGTTTCATCAACTAGGGTCAAAGACATTCTTTTCTCAAGGCAATCTTATAGCAGGGAACACTGCTGGAGTAAGAGATAGATTTCTGCCCAGAGCCTGTAACCAATAATCTTGACACTGTGTTAAATCAATAGTGTAATTCATGATGTGGCTCTTAGGGGATGGGGTGCTCAGATTAACGCTCTATTTTGGGAAGCTTTATTATTCAACTCAACATATGCTCATTATTTTACATCTTTGTGCTGTTTAAATGCTCAAGTAGTGGGGTAAAAGCCCTGGTTCTTCCACTTTGATTATGGCTCTGCCTGTCTATAGTCCAAAGTAATGGCACTGTTAGTTCTTTTAGAAATGGGTATTCGAGCTGGGTGCGGTGGCTCACGCCTGTAATCCCAACACTTTGGGGGGCCGAGGCGGGCAGATCACTTGAGGTCAAGAGTTCGAGACCAGACTGGCCAACATGGCAAAACCCTGTCTCTATGAAAAATACAAAAATTAGCCGGGCATAGTGGCACCTGGCTGAGGCAGGAGAATCACTTGAACCCGGGATGCAGGGGTTGCAGTGAGCCGAGATCGCGCCACTGCACTCCAGCCTGGGCGACAAAGTGAGACTCTGTCTCAAAAAAAAAAAAAAAAGAAAAGAAAAGAAATGGGTATTCGGGTGTATGAAGTACCTTGGTTCCTTTTCCCTCTTCCAGTGTCACCTTAACCACTACTGACACAATAGCAGGGAGACAAGGCTTCTCACACAATTGTTCCCAGACACAGAATTCAAACCAAGCCTTCTAGTAGTGAAAGCTACTAACTATGGGTTCTGGATAAAGGAAAGCTACTTGCTCCTTCCATTCCAAGTAGCAAAGCTACTTGCTCCTTCCATTCCAAGTAGCAAAGCTACTTGCTCCTTCCATTCCAAGTAGCAAAGCTACTTGCTCCTTCCATTCCAAGTAGCAAAGCTACTTGCTCCTTCCATTCCAAGTAGCAAAGCTACTTGCTCCTTCCATTCCAAGTAGCAAAGCTACTTGCTCCTTCCATGGTATTCTCCCTCCTTGTCCTTGAAAATGGGCTTTGTAAAAGAAATTTGGGGCTGTCTTGGCAGAGGCACGACCAGGGGAAAGCAATGAGGGAAGACTCAGAGATGCCTCCACGTGGTTCTAAGTGGTAGATGGCAGTTTCTTCAGCCTCAGCAACTAGGCAACTCTAGGACAAACCGGCTTGAAAGATGAAATAATGTTTGCCTGGAACATAGGTTGAGATACTAGGAATGCCCATTTGTTCTATGTTCCAACCCCCCTTCTTTGCTCTAATTATTCATTGCTTGAAATAAGGCTCCAAGGGCCAGGGGAACAGCTTCAGGGGTAGACAAGGCAGTATAGACACTAGGATTCCATCTGCCCAGTTTTATTGGGAACAAGGGCATTATAACTGCTATCAAAGAGAAGGGAGCCCAAGGGCTCCTTCTGTAGCAAGATCCTTCTTCAGAGTTGAGCCAGGGCTGGGAGGGTAAGAGACCCTTTTTTCAGGCAGGGTCACACTACCACCCTCAGCATGACTTCCCCAAAAAGTTATCCTCCTTTAGCTCAGCACTTGGCACTTAAGGAAGAAAGGACCAACAAAGGTAGCATTAGGAAGACAAGCCCAGATTTATCAGGATACCCACTCAGCCAACTGCTTTAGTGCTTCTTCATCTTCATCCACTTTGGGAGCTTTGAGGACAAAGATACCCAGAGAAAAGAAAGGAGAAGCAGTAAGGTCTCAGCAACTCCAACCATCCCCTGCTATGACATTCAGAGCCTGCTGAATTCTGTCTCCCCAGCAAAAAACCTAAAGGTATGGTCCTTCTGCTTGCTAGGCTGCTGTTCAATCCCACAGCACCTTTGTGCAAATTAGAAAAATGGTGCCTCTTGCTCCTGCCATTTGCAGCCCTAAACCAGGGTACACGGCTTGTTGAGTGAAGCACAGGCTAGGTGGGTGCCTATATGCAGTCAACAACCTGCACAACTGCAGCAGCAGCCCTTTCTGTGTGGCTCCTTTGAGGCAGGATGGATGAGGAATAATCTTTCCCCATATCTCTCCCACCCTCTTAAGTCCTCAAGACAACAGAACAACCCTGCATACCTGGCCCTGCCGGCAGATGAGTAGAAGGTACACTAGGCAATTTGACTGAGGGTTCTTCTTCCTTGTCGCCCACATTTAACAACTCCTGGGCCAATTCCTCCTGCTCCAGCTCCTCTAGCTCCTCCAGCAGTTCATCCTGGATAGGGAAGACAAGACCACTTTAGATGAAGAAAAAAACTTCTACCTCCAAAAACATACCACTTTTGAAGTTCCCTCCCAAACTTGTCCCAAGAGCCTCTCTTGGGTGTTCCTTCTGGCCAGTCCCATACTTTCTGCAATATTCCCTGACCCTTCACCCCCAATCACCTCATCCACATCATCTCCAAAGCCCATAGGCCGAGAAATGGCATCTGAGATCTGCTGGGCCACCTCCTGTTGTTCCGTGATGTCAGTCATCAGTTCATCTACCTTGTCAATGTCCCTGAGAATGAGATAGATAGCTAAGAAATCACGCAACAATGCCCCCTTGACTTTCTCATCTCACATGAATGAAACCCCTCCTGCCTTGCAGGGTCACACTGATAAGCCCATAACTATCAATCAGAAGAGATCCCTGGAAAATTGCAAAGATGCAAGTTGTGATCCCAGCACTTTGGGAGGCCAAGGCAGGTGGATCACCTGAGGTCAGGAGTTCAAGACCAGCCTGGCCAAAATGGCAAAACTCCATCTCTACTAAAAATACAAAAATGAGCTGGGCACAGTAGTGCACACCTGTAATCCCAGCTACTCAGGAGGCTGAGGCAGGAGAATCACTTGAACCCAGGAGGCGGAGGTTGCAGTGAGCCGAGATTGTGCCACTGCACTCCAGCCTGGGCGACAGAGCAAGACTCCATCTCAAAAAACAAAACAAAACAAAACAAAAAAAGAATTAGAGAAGGCATCTTTCCTCCCTAGAATGCCCCAGGCAGCGAAAGAATTTTATAGGAAGCAAGGGGCAGATGGATGTCTAGCCATCACAAGTATCTATACTGCAAATTCACATTCTGAGAGGCTTTAAAGTTTAAAGTGTGATAGCAAGCCACTCTTCCCAGTGCCTGGGTCCCCTCCACCCCTCCCCCCGTACCCACATGTCCTGGTAGGCCTTCTTCATGCTTTGGGCAGCAAGCTCCATGGTACGAAGGACTTCTGCATTGGTAGTGGCATTCTCAATGGCCTCACGCTGAAACTCCAGGGTGGATAATGTCCCGTCAGTTTGTGCCAGCTGCTGTTCGAATCTTTTCTTCCTCCGCAAAGCCTGTAGGGCAGCTGACCCAGCCCATACCCTGAACATCAAGAGTCAGAAGCACCTGCTTCCCATCTGGGCCCTCCCCATAGGCTTGTTTCCCTCATTACCTCTCTTATTCTTGGTCCCATACTTCTTGGCTGTTTGTAGCTCCTGTTGAATCTTCTGCTCCAAAAATTCCTGTTTCTTGATCAGTATCTTCTCTGTCTCCTTCAGTTTCTGTATTGCTTCTTCAGGGGTTGGCCCTTTCTCCTTCTTCCCTGAGGAGTCCAGTGGAGTAGGCCCAAATTTTGTGAAGGAAAAATATTAGCCACCAATCATTGAATACATAGTATGTGCTAGAGACCTGACTGTGTTATTGCTAATCCCCAAATCTCTACAATGAACGTGCTATCTCTTCACTTTAAAAATGTGAAAACAACCACAAAGATGTTAAAAATCACAACTAATAAGAGATTGTGCAGGAATCAAGATGTGGCAGTATGAGTTCTAAAACCAATATTCTTTTTACTATTCCTAGCTGCCTTTCTTTTTTTTTCTTTAGGCAGAGTTTCAGTCTTGTTGCCCAGGCTGGAACGCAATGGCGTGATCTCAGCTCACCTCAACCTCCGCCTCCTGGGTTCAAGCAATTCTCCTGCCTCAGCCTCCCAAATAGCTGGGATCACAGGCATGTGCCACCATGCCTGGCTAATTTTTTGTGTTTTTAGTACAGACAGGCTTTCTCCATGTTGGTCAGGCTGGTGTCGAACTCCCAACCTCAGGTGATCTGCCCGCCTCGGCCTCCCAAAGTGTTTTGATTACAGGCATGAGCCACCGCGCCAGGACTTCTTTTTTTGAGACAGAGTCTCGCTCTGTTGCCCAGGCCAGAGTGCAGTGGCATGATCTCAGCTCATTGCAACCTCCGTCTCCCGGGTTCAAGTGATTCTCCTGCCTCAGCCTCCCTGAGTAGCTGGGACTACAGGCACACACCATCATGCCCACCTAATTTTTTTTTTTTTTTTTGAGAATGGAGTCTCCCTCTGTCACCAAGGCTGGAGTGCATTGGTGCAATCTTGGCTCACTACAACCTCCGCCTCCTGGGTTCAAGCGATTCACCTGTCTCAGCCTCCCCCAGTAGCTGGGACTACAGGCGCGTGCCACCACAACCAGCTAATTTTTTTTTTTTTTTTGTATTTTTAGTAGAGACAAGGTTTCACCATGTTGTCCAGGCTGGTCTCGAACTCTTGACCTCAGGTGATCCACCCACCTCGGCCTCCCAAAGTGCTGGGATTACAGGCGTGAGCCACCGCGCCCGGCCAATTTTTATATTTTTAGTAGAGACGGGGTTTCACCATATTGGCCAGGCTGATCTCAAACTCCTGACCTCATGATCCACCCACGTCGGCCTCCCAAAGTGTTGCGAGTACAGGCGTGAGCCCCCGCGCCGGGCTAAGAAGGCAGTCTTTCTTCTTCACCTTAGATCCCTCTTGCCCAGCACAAAGTATTATAGAACAAGGTTTTGAAAATGGCTGAAGACAGCAGGAAACTCGTCTTCAAGCCTGAACAGTGGGAGTCAGCACGATCGCCACGCCCTCAACTCAAGTCCCCTCCCAGATCTTGAGTTCTTCCCTCTGAGAGTGGGGGAGGACGGCGGACGGGAACAAGGCGCCCCGACATGGTGTGCCTTTTGGCACCGGCGATGAGCCTTGCTCCGCCATCGGCCGCCGGGGTTTTCCAGTCAGCCTGTCTCCTGATTCTCTTCCCCTGCCCGGCGCAGCGGTCCGGCCGAATCTCGCCGGGGTCTCCTCTTCCCCTGCACCAGCCAGCGCCTCCTGGCTGGCCAGTCCCACCCTGGCTCACCCTTCCCGAAGAGCCTGCCGAGACCACTCATCGCGAGCTCGCCTCTCCCGCCTCCGCCCCTCAGCGTCCTCCAGACTTCCGCCTTGCTCCTGGGAGGGTGATGTCTCATCACACAGGGACCAGCCTTGCCCAATCCGTCCTCAGGGCGCCGCCGCGACATCAAGAGGCGCAAACGAGACCACCGGTGTCACGTGACCCAAGCCACCAGCCCCAGACCGACGCGCTCCTCTTAAAGCTGCCACATCATTTTCTATTAAGTAAAAAGACAGTTCTATCTCCACCTGAGTACGTGCTTGTTCTCCGGAAGGAAATGTGCAGTGTGATGGCACCTCAGTGTATGGGGTCAGTGGGAAAACTTCATGCTCTTTACAGAGCTCAGGAAAGTGGGGTGGTATAGGTTCAAGCACTTGGGGTTGCCCTAAGTTTAGATGGCAAACCTGATGCAGTCTAATGTCTCACATTCTGGTCTCTGCACCTCAGGACAACCAACCCCATTTCACAGGCTAGAAAAATAGAAACTCCCCACACTGTGGGTAAAATCTCTTCTGTCACACACAGATGAACTTTAATAAATTACAAATGCACCTGAAAATGCCTTCTTGATTTCCTTTCAGTTTAGGCCTCAAATGGGCTCTCCTCAAGGCTGGACCTCAAAGGCCCAGTTTGGGCCTTCGCAAATGTCTCTAACCCTTGACTTAGAGTTTGAAGATTCATTCCATTCTGGATGTGAATGCAGGTAACACCTAGAAAGATAAGAAGTCACATTTCATTAAGCTTTCAGGGTTCTCCATTATTACTCTGACCTTTGTGAGTGCCACCTATAGGGCAAACTATCCAACCTGTATGTATCTACCTAATCCCTCCTAGGGACCCCAAATGGCTGTTCCTCATCACTCAGTACCCAGTTTGCTGACGTCTACAATATTCCGCCTCTCATCATCAAAGAAGATCATCTGGGAGAAAGGAATTCCAGTCTTCTGCTGCAACCTATTCAAGACAGGGCAGGAGTAACCAAGCTAGTATCTTGGTTTCCCAGGCCTCTCTGATACTTTCTCACCCTGCTCCTCCCTTATCTCCGCATACCTCTCAAAGTGTGTGATCTTGCTGCCTGGATAGATTTCCCGATGAACAAAGTACCTGAAGAGGTCAAAGAGCTCCAGTAGCTGGTTGGCCCCTTCTATCTCACTTGTCCTGCAAAACGGTGTAAAAGATGGGATTAGCAAAGTGAAGGGCCAGGGCTACGTTAACTTATTAAGCAAAGTTAGTAAGTATAACCAGGGAAATCAACTTGCTGTTTTTCCGGGATGGACAGGCATCCTCAGCCTCTGTTTAACTCCATTGCCTTCCTATTTGACACAATTGGTGCTGGGCCAATGTTTTAGCTTTTGTTTTGAGACAGGGTCTAGCTCTGTTGCCCAGACTGGAGTGCAGCGACCCAATCACGGCTCACTGTGGTCACGACCTCCTGGGCTCAAGTGATCCTCCCACCTCAGCCTCCCAAGTAGCTGGGACTACAGGTGCACGCCACTACAATTTTTTTTTTTTTTTTGGTAGAGATAGGGTCTCCCTCTATTGCCTAGGCTGGTCTCAAATTCCTGGGCTCAAGTGATCCTCCCACCTAGGCCTCCCAAAATGCTAAGATTACAGGTGTGAGTCACTGTGTCTGGCCCCACTTTTTTTTTTTTTTTTTTTTTTGAGACATTGTCTCACTCTGTCACCCAGGCTGAAGTGCAGTGGCTCCATCTCAGCTCACTGCAACCTCCGCCTCCCGGGTTCAAGCGATTCTCCTGCCTCAGCCTCCCGAGTAGCTAGGATTACAGGTGCGTGCCACCACGCCCTGCTAATTTTTGTATTTTTAGTAGAGACGGGGTTTCACCATGTTGATCAGGCTGGTCTTGAACTCCCGATCTCGTGATCCACCCGCCTCGGCCTCCCAAAGTGCTGGGATTACAGACGTGAGCCACCGCGCCCGCCTGCTGGCCCCACTTTTTAATAGTTAAAAGGCACAGGAGAGCGTTCAAGGGAAAAAATATGTAAATACTTGGAAACTTGCACCGCCCCTATTTTTGTAGACCAGGGGTTTCACTGTCTCTTGCATGCACCCTTCAGCATTACACTGTCAGTTGTCAGTCGCTCTTCTTACCTTGAAGCAGCCGCACCGGGCACCCCAAGGCTCTGCAATCGTTTTAGGACCTCAGGCACCTCTGGGTACAGTCGGACGTCTTGGCCCCGCCTATCTCGTACAGTTCCATCACTGGAGAGGGCAAGAGTGCGCTCAGCCCTGGCTGGGTCCTATCTCGCCCCCAGTCTTCCCTGTCCCTACCTCACCTGCTCTTATGGAACGGAGGGTCTACGTGCGTGTCGACCCAGAAAGGCCAGAGAGTGTAATCTGCGAGAGGAAGGAGAGGGAAGGTTCAGCCTGGGGCGGGAGATGCAGGGATTCGGGAGCTGCTGTTAGGGATGTGGAAAAGGAGAGCACCTTACGAAATTCTCCCCTTCCCGTCCCTCACCCAAATCAAAGACTGCCAGCTTCGGTAGCCGCGCCATGACCCGCACCGCAGGCTGCGCGCAGCAGAGGTGGGGCTTCACCCGGGGCCTTAGAGAGTGCGGAACCTCCGGCAGCTAAGGCAGCCACCCTGCCTGCCATAGACAAATGGCGACTAGAGCGTCGCCACTCGGGGCGTCATCAGCCTGGAGATGGCGCAAGAGTGCCATCTGATGCTGGGCGGGGAAGAGGATTGCAGCGAGGTACCAACACGACCACACATGCAACCACAGCAGTCAAGTCTTTCTAAGGCATTGGCCACGGGCATCCTCCCTACTTCTCCACTCCACCCAGCCTTGCCCGATTCTATTATACTAAGAAGCCAGGGAAGAAGGAAAGCCTTTTCTTCTAGCACCTGCCTCTTCTTGAGACCCAAGTGATACATCACAGCTTGTCACTCAATCTTTCTGCATTATCAACCTCCTGACAGTGTAGAACCCAAAGTCCTCAGTAATATTCCAGCCATAGAGTACAGTGTCAGCCAAACCCTTGAAGGCGTTCTCCAACCAGGCCTAAATGTCCAGTACAGCCACAGTCAAGAGAGAATTCACTCTCCGAAGGTTTCACCATCCATGTCAGCACTACACTGGTAGATGTATAACAACCAGTTTGTGGGGAGGAACTGATCTGTAGTGTTTGCTAGTTTCTGTAAATAATCCTACCATGGCCAATTTCAAGCTACCAACATGAAGTCACTTAATAGAGTTGGAAAAAGGTGCCAATAATTGGCTCTCATTAGCCACTAGGAACTGGTTCCAACACACCACTAAGTAGGTTTTCCTAGAGTCTGATAATCCCCGTAAGAGCACCATTCCTTCCACTGTCCGATTCCTTCAGCCTGCTATAACTGAGTGAGCATTAGGTCCATTTTTATTTCAGTCAACTTGTGCAACAGAAGAAAGATTCCAGGAGGCCAGGAAATATTTTATTGACAACCAGGGACACAGTCATAAGAGAGGGAAGCACACAGGACTGCAAACTAACACCCAGTAGCCAGCAAGGGCCCTCTGGGCCAGGAATACTGAATCCTGGGATCCTCACAGTCTCCCACCAGTAGACATACATTACTGGGCATCCAGGGGAGGGGGCAGTGGCTATGGTGTCCCAGAGAGTGAGAGGATATATGATGCCTCATTATGAGCGACAGGGTAAAGAGGTAAAATGGAGGGTCCATCACTGCCTAAGACCACCTCCTCCTCTCAGAGCCAACACCAGGTGAAGGACTGAACCACCTAAAATCTTGTAATCAGCTGCTGTCTTCTCATCATTCCTGCAGGAAAAGGAAGCCAGAAAAAAAAGAAAAAGAAGACTTAGGAGTTTTTTGTTGTTGTTGTTGTTGTTGTTGTTGTTGTTTTTGACAGAGTCTCGCTCTGTCATCTAGGCTGGAGTACAGTGGCACGATCTCAGCTCACTGCAACTTCCACCTCCTGGGTTCAAGCAATTCTCCTGCTTCAGCCTCCTGAGTAGCTGGGATTACAAGCGCCCACCACCACGCCCAGCTAATTTTTGTATTTTTAGTAAAGATGGGGTTTCACCATGTTGGCCAGGCTGGTCTCGAACTCCTGACCTCAGGTGATCCACCCCCTTCAGCCTCCCAAAGTGCTGGGATTACAGGCGTGAGCCACTGCGCCCGGCCAGAACAGGAGTTCTTGAGTTTCCTGGATCTCTTTGGGGGTCTGTGAACTTGAATGAGAAAAAAAATCCCATCTTTATTTTTACTAACCCCCAACTGAAATTTAACATTTCTTCTAACTTTAAACATAGCCCAAAAACCACAGTAGTATTAGCAATATAGGTAACTTGTTAACAATAGCAATTAACTATTTTCTATCATGATCATTTATAGGTATCTTGAAAATATTTCAAAATTATGGTCATATTAGACCTACCATTAGATCTTATGCATTAATAAAAAAGTACATATATTACTATATCACAAATTTGTTTTAGTATTTTAATAACTATTTCAATATAATTAGTTTTCCTTTAATTCTATATATTTTGTTTTATGCCTGAAAAAATCTTATTCTGAGAAGGGGCTTAGAGGCTTCACCAGATTGCCAAAGAGTCTTAGGCACCAAAAACAAGAGGCACCCCTGATCCACCTCAGTACGTGCCCCCTCTCCTCTTCTCATCTTCACATAAGATCGCCATGCTGTCATTCTCACTCCAAACTCACATCTGCTTGCCACTGTAGATGAGCCTCTGCTGTTGTGGGGGGATTCCCTCTTTCTCCTCCACACGCTCCTTGATTCGCTCCACCTTTAGAGAGACAAGTAGTCAGGGGCTGCTGCTTAGGGGTAGGACCATGGAAACGGAAAGAACAAGGGCTATGCAGACAGCATGAGAGCAAAAGGACCAAGTTCATAAGCATATGCAAACAAATACACATGGCAAGAAGTACATGAAGAGGAGTTGGGCATGCATCACCTTGTCTGTAGGTTCAATGTCAATCTCAATCTCCTTTCCGGTCAGCGTCTGAAACAGGCAATGGTTTCATGAGTCCTTAAAGCCCAATGTACAATTTGTCTTCTAGGTAAAACATCCTATGTTGGTCTTTGGGATCTACTGCCTTCTAAAAGATGCATATTCTCAGCAGCACTGCTTTGGAGAATGAGAAGGCTTTGAACATACCTTCATTTATCAAATATTTTTAGGCTGTAAACAACTTTGATAGGGCAAGATTCTTTGAACCATCTGATCCTCTTAATTCCATGAGTCATCTTCCAACATCAGTCCCCCAAAATCAGTGAGAATATTGGCATTATTTTAGATGATACGGCAATGAAAGGATTTATTTATTTATTTTTGAGATGGAGTTTCGCTCTTGTTGACCAGGCTGGAGTGCAATGGCACAATCTCGGCTCACTGCAACTTCTGCCTCCCAGGTTCAACCAATTCTCCTGCCTCAGCCTCCCACGTAGCTGGGATTACAGGCATGCGCTACCAGGCCTGGCTAATTTTGTATTTTTAGTAGAGACAGGATTTCTCCATGTTGATCAGGCTGGTCTCAAACTCCCAACCTCAGGTGATCCACCCGCCTCAGCCTCCCAAAGTGCTGGGATTACAGGGGTAAGCCACTGCACCCAGCCTGAAAGATATCTTAAAAAAAGTCAGAAGGACCTTGTTCTAAATATCAATGCTAGAAATTAATATTCAGATAATTTGAAGAATTCTCAAGGACACCAGAAATCATCTCAGCAGTTTTTTAAAAAATGCTAGAATTGGCTGGGCATGGTGGCTCACACCTGCAATCCCAACACCTTGGGAGACTGAGGCGGGAGGATCACTTGAGCCTAGGAGTTCCAGACCAGCCTGGACAACACAGCGAAACCCTGTCTCAACCAAAACAACAACAACAACAACAACAACAACAAAAATTAGCTGAGTACAGTGGTGCATGCCTGTAGTACCAGCTATTTGGGAGGCTGAGGTGGGAGGATCACTTGAGTCCAGAAATTAGAGGCAGCAGCAGTAAGCCACGATTGTGCCACTGTACTCCAGCCTGGGCAACACCCTCGCAAAAAAAAAAAAAAAAAAAAAAAAAAGAAAGTAAAAGAAAAAAGAGAAAAGAAGACAAGAAGTCAACATTACATCTCCCATATCTTTCCAGACTTCTACCTAAATCCTAAATTGCAGCTCTTGTCTTCTTCCGTAAGTTAAGGGCTGGTGATATCCAAATACAATAATTATACTGATTATGCAGTCATAAATGTTGTGTCTTCTCCCATCTGTCCTTGCTCTTAATAGCTCTATCTGTATTAGTCTACAGTGATCCAGGCCACAAACACACCATGCTCATTCTAATTTATGGGCATTTCTTTGCTTCCGTTATTTTCCTTGTTGCAATATCCTCCCCTTCTTCTCCAAACTTCAAGACCCCTTAAATGTAAGATCTCCTCCTGGCCGGGCACAGTGGCTCATGCCTGTAATCCCAGCACTTTGGGAAGCTGAGGTGGGTGGATTACCTGAGGTTGGGAGTTCAAGACCAGCCTGGCCAACATGGAGAAAGCCTTCTCTATTAAAAAATACAAAATTAGCCAGGCGTGGTGGCGCATGCCTGTAATCCCAACTACTCAGGAGGCTGAGGCAGGAGAATCTCTTGAACCCAGGAGGCAGAAGTTGCGGTGAGCTGAGATTGTGCCATTGCACTCCAGCAATGTATAAAACCTCCTGTATGATGTGTAGACCTGTTCCCAGTGTACTTTATTAATACTTCCAATATTAATATACCAATTACAGCTAGTTGTTTAAGTGTTAAACTTTCCTAGTGTTTGACACACAAGCAGTCAATGAATATTTTTGAAGGGCTAAATATACTGATGATCATATTATAATCACAGCTAACATTTACTGAAAACTATTTTTTTCCTTTTATTTTTTTAAGAGACAGGGTCTCACTGTATCAAGCAGGCTGGAGTTCAGTGGTGTGATCCTGGCTCACTGCAGCCTTGACCTCCTGGGTTCAAACAACCCTCCCACCTCAGCCTCCTAAGTAGCAAGGACTACAGGGTGTGTGCACCACCACACTCAGCTATTTTTAAGATTTTTTTGTAGAGACGAGTTCTGTGTTGCTCAGGCTGGTTTCAAACTCATGGGCTCAAGTGATCCTCCTGCCTCGGCCTCCCAAAGAGCTGGGATTACAGGCATGAGCCACCTTGCCCAGCCATTGAACACTTTCTAAGGGTCAGTAACTATGATCAGCATCTTACATGCATCACATTTAATCCTCCCAGTATTTATGAGATATGGACTATTACTATTTCCATTTTATAGATGAGAAAAATAAGCCTTAGGTTAAAAACACATCTACGCAATCAAAAGTAGAGATTGGATCCAGATTCCCTGGTCCCAGAGCCTGTGCTTTTATTTCTGTACTCCGTCCTACCTGAGTCTGGCTGGTCTAGTATTGGGACCCAATGTACACTCCTATAGTAGCTCACAAAATAACATATGGTTTCTCCTTATGGTATTCACATAGAACAGCACGAAACAAGAACTCAGAAAATTTCCCAACAAGGAGAATGATTTAGTACTAGTATGTTTCCAAAAATACAAGAACAATTCCTTTGGATTAACCTGTTTGGATATGAAAGAATAAATTACAGCAGTGATTCTCAAGCTTCTACCCTAACCTATGCTGGTCTGTGTGAAAATTTTCAGCAGCCTATGGTAAAATGAGAAAAGCAGTGTTAAAAGTGAAATTTTCATGAAACTAAATATATTCAGGTGTTAATGTCCTTTCAGAGAATGGTGGTGACAATTTGTGGTAACTTTAAAAAGACAAAATAAAAAGTTTGTAATTCTGTGTTGTCCACAAATTATTTCACTTTCTTTTTTTTTTTTTTTGAGACGGGGTCTCAGTCTCACCCGGATGGAGTGCAATGGTGCAATCATGGCTCACCGCAGCCTCGACATACTGGGCTCAGGTGATCCCCACCTCAGCCTCTTGAGTAGCTGGCATCACAGGCGGGCACCACCACGCCTGACTACATTTTGTATTTTTAGTAGAGATGGGGTTTTGCCATGTTGCCCAGGCTGGTCTCGAACTCCTGACCTCAAGTGATCCACCTGCCTCAGCCTCCCATAGTGCTGGGATTATAGGCATGAGCCACCGTGCCTGGCCGATAATACAAATTTTTATTTATTTATTTATTTTGAGATGGAGTTTTACTCTTGCTGCCCAGGCTGGAGTGCAACGGCACAATCTCAGCTCACCCTGCAACCTCTGCCTCCCAGGTTCAAGCAATTCTCCTATCTCAGCCTCCCAAGTAGCTGGGACTACAGGCATGCACCACCACACCTGGCTAATTTTGTATTTTTAGTAGAGAAGGGTTTCTCCATATTGGTCAGGCTGGTCTTGAACTCCCGACCTCAGGTGATCTGCCTGCCTCGGCCTCCCAAAGTGCTGGGATTATAGATGTGGGCCACCGCACCCGACCACAAATTTTTAAAGAGTGAAAAAAGACTCTCAGAGAAGACCTAGAGCTGCTCTCCCAAGAGCAAAATGCTTGGACCTTATATTTTTAAAAAGGATTATTGGTTTGTAAATTCTAAAAGTCTAGAGCTGGCCCTTTGTTTCTGAAATCGACTGTAGAGGCCCATAAATATATCTAGAGAGCAATTTGGCAATATGGTGTCCCAGCAACAATACTTCCAGGAAAATACTCATGACTATGTCCAAAAGTATACCTACAACAATGGTTATTGCAACCTTTTGATACTGTAAAATTAGAAACACAATCTAAATATCAAACAGTTGAGGGTTAAATAAATTATGGTACAATCATAGAAAAAAAATTACAAATCCCTCAAACAATGTTTAGGATAACTATTTGTAATATATTAACAATATGCTGATAATTTAACAAAAAAGTTATAGTATATAGAGTATAATTAAAATTTTGTAAAAACAACACATGCATCTATATGCTCTCCAAAAAGCTTGGAAGGGTATATACAGTATATTAATGCTTTAACTTGAGCAGTGGAATTATGGGTGATTTTAATTACATTATTATGCTTTTCTGTATTTTCCATTTTTTATACCACAAATGTGAATATGCTGTAATGAGAACAAATTATTTAAAAAACAATGTCCTTGATAAGGGTAAGATTTTGTAAAGCAGCACTGCCTTGTAGAAATATAATACAAGCCATACATGCAATTTTTAAATTTACTAGTAGCCATATTGTAAAAGTTCTTTAAGAGGTAAAATTTTAATATTTTTAAACCCAACATAGCCAAAATATTATTCACATGTAATCAATATAAAAATTAATATATTTTATGTTTTTTCTAACCAAATCCTAAAAATCCTGTATTTCATATTTACATCACATGTAGAGATGGGGCTGGGTGCGGTGGCTCACACCTGTAATCCTAGCACTTTAGGAGGCCGAGGGGGCGGATCACGAGGTCAGGAGTTTGAGACCAGCCTGGCCAACACAGTGAAACCCCATCTCTACTAAAAATACAAAGATTAGTTGGGCATGGTGGTGGGCGCCTGTAGTCCCAGCTACTGGGGAGGCTGAGGCAGGAGAATCGCCTGAACCCAGGAGGCGGAGGTTACGGTGAGCTGAGATCATGCCACTGCACTCCAGCCTGGGCAACAGAGCAAGACTGCATTTCAAAAAAAAAAAAAAAAAAAAAAATAGAGATGGTAGGCTGGGCATGGTAGCATATGCCTGTAATCTCAACACTTTGGGAAGGGGATGTGGGAGTACTGCTTGAGGCTTGGAGTTTTGAGACCAGCCTGGGCAACATAGTGAGATCCCCATCTCTACAATAAAATTAGCCAGGCATAGTGGCACAGGCCTGTAGTCCCAGCAACTGGGTACTCAGAAGGCTGAGGCAAGACTGCCCAAGCCCAGGAGTTCAATGCCGTAGTGGGCTGATTGTGCCACTGCACTCCAGCTTGGGTGACAGAGGGAGACCCTATCTCCAAAAAAAACCCAGAAAAACAAAAAAATTCAAATGGTAAATTTTCATCTGAAATACTTGACATATATTTAAGTTTCATAATTTACAATAGAAAAAGTAGATTTATACACCCAACTTGTTCTAAACATACTTAAAAGTTTTTTATATTTATTTATTTATTTATTTATTTGAGATGGAGTCTTGCTCTGTGTCCCAGCCTGGAACACAGTGGAGTAATCATGGCTCACTGCAGCCTCCAACTCCTGGGCTGAAAGTATCATCCCACCTCAGCATTCTGAATAGCTGGGACTACAAGCACACACCACCATGCCTGGCTAATTCTTTTTTGGAAAAAAAAAAAAATTTTTTTTTTTTTTGAGGCAAGGTCTCAGTCTGTCACCCAGACTGGAGTGCTGTGGCATCATCTGGCTCACCACAACCTCCGCCTCCCAGGCTCAAGCAATTCTCCTGCCTCAGCCTCCCAAGTAGCTGGGGTTACAGCCGCGTGTCACTACGCCTGGCTAATTTTTGTATTTTGTATTTTTTATTATTTTTATTTTTATTTTTTTGAGACAGAGTCTCGCTCTGTCGCCCAGGCTGGAGTGCAGTAGCACGATCTCGGCTCACTGCAAGCTCCACCTCCCGGGTTCACGCCATTCTCCTGCCTCAGCCTCCAGAGTAGCTGGGACTACAGGCGCCCGCCACTACGCCCAGGCTAATTTTTTGTATTTTTTAGTAGAGACGGGTTTTCACTGTGTTAGCCAGGATGGTCTCGATCTCCTGACCTTGTGATCCGCCCGCCTCGGCCTCCCAGAGTGCTGGGATTACAGGCGTGAGCCACCGCGCCCAGCCAATTTTTGTATTTTTAGTAGAGATGGGGTTTCACCATGTTGGCCATGCTGGTCTCGAACTCCTGACCTCAAATGATCCACCCGCCTCGGCCTCCCAAAGTGTTGGGATTACAGGCATGAGCCACCATGCCCGGCCTGAAAATTGTTTTGTAGAGATGGGGTCTCGAAATGTTGTCCAGGCTGGTCTCAAACTTCTGGCCTCAAGTGATCTTCCCACCTCAGCCTCCTAACTCACTGGGATTACAGGTGTGAGCCACTGTACCCGGCTAAGTTTCAGTTTTTAAATTTAATTAAAATCAAGTACAATCAAAATTTCAAATCTTCAGTCTCTCTAGTTACATTTCAAGTGCTCAATAGCCAAATGTGGCTAATGGCTACCATTTTGGACACTGTTCAAATATTCCAGCTAATATATGAAGCAACAAGAATATTAGAGTACCTCCAGCTTGTAACCCCCAATGAAACAATGTATCTAGGAAATGACTAACATCACAGAAAGCAAAACAATCTGATGGAAGTACATACCACATCACCACCTATGAATTCTTCTCACATATGAACATACAAAGATTAATCAAGCCTCTAGATCTAATTACCAGCTGACAGGAAATACAGAGGAAAAGAGGAATACGTCAAAAGACAACATGGGAGCCCGTTGTGGTGTCTCATGCCTGTAATCCCAGCAATTTGGGAGGCCGAGGTGGGCGGGTCGCTTGAGGCCAGGAATTTGAGACCAGCCTGGCCAACATGGCAAAATGTCATCTCTATGAAAAATACAAAAATTAGTCAGGCATGGTGGCGCATGCCTGTAGTCCCAGCTACTCAAGAGGCTGAGGCACGAGAATACAAGAATCACTTGAACCCTGGAAGCAGAGAAGTTGCAGTAGTGAGCCAAGATTACACTGCTGCACTCCAGCCTGGGTGACAGAGCAAGACTCTGTCTCAAAAAAAAAAAAAAAGAAAAAAAGAAAAACATGGGAATGTAATCAGCAAAATTCAAACTGCAGGAAACTCTATTCAACAAGAAAAAAATGGGAAAAAGGAGAATCTACGGATTTAAAGAAATTGAAAACACATAAACCAATGGCAATGTATGGATCTTAATTGGATCCAGATTCAAACTGTTAATAAAAAAAGAGAGAGAGACAATAGGGTAATTTGATGATAGTAAGCAATCAGTTAAATTTTTGGATGTAAAAATTACGGTTATGTTAGAAAAAAGGTTATCTTTCACAGAAAAACACTGAAATATGTAGGAATAACATATGCTATGCTAGCTGGAATTTGCTTTAAAAAAATCAGGTAAAAGGAGTTGGTGAGTTTAAATTAAATAAGATTGGCTATGAGATGATAATTTTTGAAGCTGGATGAAGGGTGCATACACCCTTCTCTTTCCTGATGTATGTCTTTGAAATTGTCCATGAAGTTGTTTTAAAGCAGTTGAACAATTTTAGAAGATATTCTTGATATATCACACTGTAACCTGACAATACATTCAATGCTATTTAAACAAGTATAAGATGAACCTAGACAGGGCGCGGTGGCTCACGCCTGTAATCCCAGCACTTCGGGAGGCCAAGGCAGGCGGATCACCTGAGGTCAGGAGTTCGAGGCCAGCCTGGATAACATGATGAAAACTTGTCTCTACTAAAAATACAAAAAAATTAGCTGGGTGTGGTGGCACGCACCTGTATCCCAGCTATGCAGGAGGCTGAGGAGGAGAAATGCTTGAACCCAGGAGGTGGAGGTTGCAGTGAGCAGGGATCACGCCACTGCACTCCAGCCTGGGTGACAGAGTGAGACTCCATCTCCAAAAAAAAAAAAAAGATGAACCTAAACCTAACATACTGCCCTAGGCACTGGAGGAAATACAAAAGAAATGTGATCCAGCCCTGCCAACAATCTTTATCAAGCGAAGATGTACAACCAAGAAACAATTAGACATAAAATTAATAGAATAAGGCTGTATACAAGGAAGTTCTGGCTGGGCACAGTGGCTCACGCTTGTAATCCCAGCAGTTTGGGAGGCTGAGGCAGGTGGATCACTTGAGGTCAGGAGTTCGAGACCAGCATGGCCAACATGGCAAAACCCTGTCTCTACCAAAAATACAAAAAAATTAGCTAGGCATGGTGGACGCTTGAACGAAGGTGGAGGTTGCAGTGAGCCGAGATCGTGCCACCGCACTCCAGCCTGGGTGACAGAGGGAGACTCCATCTCAAAAAAAAAAAAAAAAAATTAAAAATTAAAAACAAATCAAAACAAAACAAAACAAAAGGAAGTACTATATTGTCCAAACACAAGGGGCAATGACTAAGTGCTATGGTGAATGAAAATCAATGTTAATCAATTTAAGCCTTGAATGAGATAACATTATATAACACTAGATATAGTGTTTTAATTTATATAACATTATAACACTATAATAGCCAAAATAAAAATGACTGACATCAGCATTTTTATGGTGCTACAAGGGTACCGTCTAGTAAGGGTACAGAGCAACTGGAATGCTCATACACTGCAGGTGGGAATATAAAATGGTACAAACCCTTAGTTTCTTTTTAAAGTTACATATATCTACCACATGACCTAGTAATTTCATTCTTAGGTATTTATCCAAAGGAAATAAAAACATATGTTTACAAAAACACTCGTATAACAATGTTCATAGAAGACTTTTTCATAATAGCCAGAAACTGGAGATAACTCAAACACCCATCAACAGGAGAATGGATAAACAAATTATGATATAATTCATCCAATGGAATACTATTCAGTAATAAGAAGGAATAAACCACAGATTACAGTAGACATTATGCAGAATGAAAGAAGCCAGATACAAAAATTGTACATTCAATAATTCCATTTATATAAAGTTCTAAAACAAGCAAAACTAACCTATGAAACTCTTGAGGGGGTAGGAATACAAATGTTTAGATTTTGTAATTACATGAACGTATGCTATTGTCAAAAACTCACTGAACTAAACCCTTAAGAACTGTGCATTTTACTGTATGTTAAAAAACATGAATGAGAAAACTGATTCACACAGTAAAGACAGTTGCCAAAGTAATCTGCAATGAGGAAATCAATGAAGGATCTGGGGTTAGGGAGTAATATAATGAAAAAGAAGCTAAAGGAAGACCTGCACATTATGGTTTTGTACGTCATGTCTTGGTTTAGACTACACTTTAGAGGGGATATGACGGTAGGAAAACCTGGTTGGATGTATTACAGAGACATAAACATATAAATGAGTAAGACCCGAGACCAGAATGAGGGTAATGGAGATGGAAACAAAAATCAAACAGAAAGAGCTTTTAAGTGAAAAATTAGATCTTATAAAAGGACCACGTAATTTTAAATGACTCTAAAGAATTGTATTCCAGACACCTGAATGATTGATGGGATTAATACACGAGATGGGTATTGGGATATGGCTTATGACAGAAGATGATGCATTTAATTTTAGAACCATAGAGACAAGGTAACAAGATTTAAATCAGGAAGAATTTAATTGTAAAATCTTATAGAAAAATATGGAAGAAGTCAGCTACACAGAGACAGCAGTTGAAAATGAATCATTCGGCTGGGCATGGTGGCTCACGCCTGTAATCCCAGCACTTCGGGAGGCCAAGGCAGGTGGATCACTTGAGCTCAGGAGTTCAAGACCAGCCTGGGCAACATGGTGAAACCCCACCTCTACTAAAAATACAGAAAATCAGCCAGGTGTGGTGGCATGTACCTGTAGTCCCAGCTACTTGGGAGGCTGAGTTGGGAGGATCCCTTGAGCCTGGGAGGTGGAGGTTGCAGTGAGCCGAGATCATACCACTGCACTCCAGCCTGGGTGACAGAGTAAGAATGTCTCAAAACAAAAACAAAATGAGGCCAGGCGCGGTGGCTCATGCCTGTAATCCCAGCACTTTGGGAGGCTGAGGTGGGTGGATCACCTCAGGTCAGGCGTTCAAGACCAGCCTGGCAAACATGGCGAAACCCCGTCTCTACTAAAATACAAAAGTTAGCCGGGTATGGTGGTGGGCACTTGTAGTCCCAGCTACTTGGGAGGCTGAGGCAGGAGCATCGCTTGAACCCAAGAGGCGGAGGTTGCAATGAGCCAAGATCGTGCCACTGTACTCCAGCCTGGGCGACAGAGTGAGACTCCATCTCAAAAGCAAAACAAAACAAAAATAATAATAATTCAAAAAGGGGTCAGATATGGTAGCTCACGGCTGTAATCCCAGCACTTTAGGAAGATGAGGTGGGAAGATCACTTGACCCCAGAAGTTTTAGACTAGCGTGGGCAACACGATGAGACCGCATCTCTACAAAAAAATAAAACAATTGGCTGGGTATGGTGGTAGCACACGCCTGTAGTCCCAGCTACTCAGGAGGCTCAGATGGGAGAATTGCTTGGGCCTGAGAGGTCGAGGCTGCAGTAAGCTGTGATGGCACCACTGCACCCTAAGCCTGGGCGACAGAGTGAGAACCTGTCTCAAAAAAAAAAAAAAAAAAAAAAAGGAACTGTAATAAAAAATGTCACTTATATGGTAATTAACAGCTCTTTTTTTTCTTTTTTAAATTAATATTTTCTTCAGATCAGATTAACAGCTATCTCATGTGTAACTACTTTCCTATGTATTTAATTAAGAAATGCAACAAACAAGAGGGGATGGGGCGAGAGGGGGAGATAGAGAGAGATGGGGCACAGAGGCCTGTTTGAAGGCAGAAGGGTGTTGCAGGAAAGAAGACTGGCAATTTTAGAGAAGTACCACATAAATATGGATTCAAAGAAACAGAAAAAATCTAGAATCTTGCTATTCAAAGTGTAGCTCTCAGACATTCAATATCACCTGGGAGTTTGTGAGAAATGCAGAAACCTGTGCCCCACCTTAGACCCACAGAATCATAATCAGCATTTTAGCAAGACCACAGGTGATAGGACACTGTATTTTCAAGTTTCCACACACAGCATTGATTTTTTTGTTCAAACAGTTATTTTATTTATTTATTTTTTGAGACAGTCTCACTCTGTTGCCCAGGCTGGAGTGCAATGGCACGATCTTGGCTCACTGCAACCTCTGCCTCCCAGGTTCAAGCAATTCTCCTGCCTCACCCTGTCAAGTGGCTGGGACTACAGGTGTGTGCCACCACACTCGGCTAATTTTTGTATTTTTAGTAGAGACGGGGTTTCACCATGTTGGCCAGGCTGGTCTTGAACTCCTGACCTCGTGATCCGCCCGCCTTGGCCTCCCAAAGTGCTGGGATTACAGGCGTGAGCCACCACGCCTGGCCTTTCAAACAGTACTTTTTAAACTGCAGGTCTCAACCCATCAGTGGGCAGGTCTCAACCCATCAGTGGGTTATGAAATCAACTTAGAATTGAAAGTCTGAGAGCATATCACAAATAGCAAAGTTTTTGTGCCTTATGGGTTGTGACATAAAATTTCTTAATGTGGAGTGAAATTTTCAAAAAGTGTACAAAACACTTAGCATTAGTAACTTAACTTCTTTGGACCTAGTGGACATGAGAACCCATATGCATTGAAAAGCCAACAGAAGTATTCAACAGGCCGGGCGCGGTGGCTCATGACTGTAATCTCAACACTTTAGGCGGAGGTGAGCGGATCACTAGGTCAAGAGATCGATACCATCCTGGCCAACCTGGTGAAACCCCGTTTCTACTAAAAATACAAAAATTAGCTGGGCGTGGTGGCACACCCTGTAGTCCCAGCTAGTCAGGAAGCTGAGGCAGGAGAATCGCTTGAACCCGGGAGGCGGAGGTTGCAGTGAGCCGACATTGCGCCACTGCACTCCAGCCTGGTGACAGAGGGAGACTCCGTCTCAAATAAAAATATTCAACAGTTAGTGTTTCTCAAGATTTTGACAGTGATCCATTCTAAAAATTAGTATGAACTAGTAACACCCCCTGTGTAATATACATATAAAATAAAATAAAAAATTTCAGGCCTGGCAACAGAGTGAGACTCTGTCTCAAAAAAAAAAAAAAAAAAAAAAAAAAAGGCCAGGCACGGGGGAGGGTGGCTCACACCTGTAATCCCAGCACTTTGGGAGGCAGAGGCGGGCGGATCACGAGGTCAGGAGATCGAGACCATCCTGGCTAACATGGTGAAACCCTGTCTCTACTAAAAATACAAAAAAATTAGCTGGGCGTGGTGGCAGGCGCCTGTAGTCCCAGCTACTCGGGAGGCTGAGGCAGGAGAATGGCATGAACCCGGGAGGCGAAGCTTGCAGTGAGCCGAGATGGCGCCACTGCACTCCAGCCTGGGCGACAGAGCGAGACTCTGTCTCAAAAAAAAAAAAAAAAAAAATCATAAAACAATATCCTTACCTAGCACTATATTATTTCCTATTTTCTCCCCCTCTCTCTTTCTTTTTTTTTTTTGCAGGGGGAGATGGAGTTTCACTCTTGTCGCCCAGGCTGGAGTGCAATGGCGCCATCTCAGCTCACTGCAATCTCCGCCTCCCAGGTTCAAGGGATTCTCCTGCCTTAGCCTCCGAGTAGCTGGGATTATAGGCGCCCACCACCACGCCCGGCTAGTTTTTGTATTGTTAGTAGAGGCGGGGTTTCACCATGTTGGCCAGGCTGGTCTTGAACTCCTCACCTTAGGTGATCCACCCACCTCGGCCTCCCAAAGTGCTGGGATTACAGGCGTGAGCCACTGGGCCCGGCCTTTTTTTTCAGGCAGGGTCTGGAGTGCAGTGGTGCCATCACTGCTCACCGCGGCTTCGACATCCCAGGATCAATCAATCCTCCCATCTCGGCCTCCCGAATAGCTGGGCCTACAGGCATGCGCCCAGACCCTTGGCTAATTTTTTGAATTTATTGTACAGGCAGGGTTTCGCCATGTTGCCCAGGATGGTCTCCAACTCCTGGGCTCAAGCGATCGGCCTGCCTCGGCCTTCCAAAGTGCTGGGATTACAGGCGTGAGCCACCGCGCCCAGCCTATTTTCTCTTTTTAATGGCGCCAGTGACCCATTCACCTATTAAATTGATGTTACGACTCTTATATAGGCCGCTACTCAACGTTAAAAAAAATCATCTTTAACATACTATTTTAATACTAGACCTCAAATCTTAGCTAAGAAGTAGTTTGGAAGGACTGGGGAAGAGAAGGTTAAGAATGACTATTATGTACGGTAAATATGCTAAGAAGCTGATGAAATAACGATAGATTTACTTAGCTACAAAAAGGCCAAACTAGCATTAGACTTCACTTGTCAGCAGTTTTGTTTTTTTGAGGGGGGCGTGGGGGGGGGGGTCTCTGTCTGTCTGAAGGCACAAAAGAGGAAACAGCAGATAGGACTAACGAGGGCTGGAAATTGGTGAAGAACCACCACGGGAGTTGAGAGATGCAGATGAAGGAAACCATGGCTAGTAGCAAGAACTAGGGCAGCGGTAACTAACCTGCCTCAGCCAAGGAAGTGAGGCTGGTCCAGGATGCCAGGCTCAGAAAGGCAGGTACTGACTGAACACACTCCCCGCTTTGGTTCCTGTAGGACGGGTGAGATACCACACCTTGGCAACCACCAGTAAAGGCTCATAGTCTAGCCCTTGGGAGGCCCCGATTTTAGGGCTGTGCTCGGAGGCGACCTACGTTAGGGACTGGGAGAAGCAGGTACCCTGGGAATGAAGAATGGAGAGCAGCGCTTACTCCAAGAATCTGAGAGACGGGGGAGTCAAGCCGCTGCTAGGCCTTCTCTATGACTGCGGGGGTTCGAATACAGTGAGACCCGACAAAAGCGACCCCATTCTGGGTGATAGCACAGTCCTGGCAAAAAAGCAGGCATGGCAAAATACCCCAGGGTCGTCAGGTGGGACCTGGGCCCCGCTCTCAAAGCCCTTCTGGGTCCCCCTATTTCCCACCACCCCTCGCGCGGAGCCCTGAGGCAGTCAGCGTCCTCCAGGCTAGGGAAAGGCGTGGTTTTCCTTCCCCACGTCTCCCGTAAGGCACTGCTGCCAGCCCAGTACTACTGCGTCTTGGCAAGGCTGGAGGTGCTCCCACCTTCACTTTAATTAGCATCTTCTTTCCAGTTTGGGGCTGCACACGGATAAATTGCTGCTCCTACCGCTCCGGTCGCCGCTGCCGCCCTCCAGCACTCTTGCCTGCAAGGGCCACTTCTACTTCCGGGTCACTGTCTGGCTCCACCCCCCCCCCCCCCCCCACTGGGTTCCGGAAAGGCTCAGGGTTGCTCCCGCGTTTCGGTTCAGTGACGTCGTAAATTGGAATGAGGCATCCAGTTTAGCAACAGCAGAGATGACGACTCTGCGATTCTGAGAGTCCCTGGCGAGCCCGGGCTAGCGAAAAGTGGGGGCAGAACGAACTACATCTCCCATCGTGCCAGGAGGCGGTCCCGCCCGTTTCCCCCTGGGAGTTGTAGTCTAACCCCCTCGGATCCAACAGCAACCTCAGTGCGTGAACTCTGTTATCCAGAAGGCCTCGCCCTGCCGCCGCCGAAGCTGGAATTCGTCGGCTAGTAGTTCTCGCCGGCAACTAGAGGAACCTGTTGGCGTGGCCCAGAAGGCTTAGCGGGATTGCACGAGGTTAGTTGCTAAGCAAGGTGGTCTTTGGTCAACTGCCGCCTGGACCAAGGCAACAGGAAGTGAGTACCTCTATTCCGGAAACTAGTTATGAACCCTCCCCGCCCCCCGTCGCCAACATTCCTTCGTTCCCCTAAATCAGCCTCTTGCCCCATTGCTCTTTGCAGGGGTAGAAGAAGGAAGTGTAGCGGGGTAAGGAATGCACCGTCAGGGTCTCTCACAACCCTTTCCCAGCTCTCCTCCCCAACAAACAGTACCTGGGATGGAGCCCTAGGGTAATCGCAGCCACGGGATGGGTCGAGGTGACAGGCTTCAGGGACCACACTTCGGCCTTTGCCCGACCTTCCACAACTTAAGCGAAGAGAGGCCACCAGCCGTAACAGGGCGTTAAAGCCCAGGGGAAGATTGGTCCTTATGACTTCCTGCCTTCCAGCCCTCAGATTCATCGCTACCCCGAGGCTAAGCGCCATGCCTCATATTGACAACGATGTGAAACTGGACTTCAAGGATGTCCTTTTGAGGCCCAAACGCAGTACCCTTAAGTCTCGAAGTGAGGTGAGCAAGCTTCTCTACTTGCTGTTTCTTGACCCCACGCTCCCGGTGGGCCACAACCAAGAAAGATGCCTGTCCTTGTCCTAATATGGTACGTTTTTTGGATTAATGAAATGGTCAATTTCCTGTTCATATCTGCAGGTGGATCTCACAAGATCCTTTTCATTTCGGAACTCAAAGCAGACATACTCTGGGGTTCCCATCATTGCTGCCAATATGGATACTGTGGGCACCTTTGAGATGGCCAAGGTTCTCTGTAAGGTAGGGCTTTCCTCATGCCCCATCCCTATTGGTGTCCAGTTAGCCCAGCTGACTGCAGAGGTGTTTGCATCCCCACCCCCATGCCCAGTCAGTTCTCTGGCAGTTAGCAGTCAGGATGCTCTGATTTACGGTTTTTTCCACTACTGAAGCCCTTTATCTGATAAGTTCAAAAGGCCATCTGAATTAGTGAGATTCAAAGCTAAGTTCTGCTCCGATATTTCTGATATATGAACAGAATTTTCCCTTTTGTCCTGTTTAGCAGTTTGTACACCTTGCCAACTTTTCCCACCACCCAGGTCACCCCCTCACAGTCACATGCATCCCTTCAGTTATGCGATTGTCCACATTAAGCATTCACTGTTTTAGTCCAGAAACTACAGTTTAAGCATTCAAAAATCCTAACTAGAAGATCCTAGGAGAAGCAGCTTATTAATTTTCTTTAATAAGAACAATTCATTAATAAAAGAATACTTCTGCCATTCTTTTTTTAATCTTCCTCTTCTTTAAGTCCTAGGTTCCTGGGAGTTTCTGGGATGTGCCCCAAATGGGATGTGTTTTTCTTATATACAAGTTGTTCACTTTGAAATGGAAGATGCTGCTCCTGTCAGTACTATTACCTGCCTCTATACTTGTTGCTGAGAAGGTAGAGAGTTATCTGGGCACTTTGAGAACATATGCACTCTGCTGGTTGATCCATGTAGCCCTGGTTGATGAATTCTGCTATTGTTTGTGGCTCCATTAGTCTTAAGGACTTCATATCCTTTTTCTATTTTTGATTGCTGTGTCTTTGTGGAATGTCTTGTCATTTCTTTAAGGTTGATAGTTATGCAGTTTTATTTTTACTTTATTTTTATTGCCATTCAGTAACTGCTTAGGAATCTTTCTGTTGCCCACTGTCCATCTGCCCTGACCAGTAGAGTTCAGAATTGGTGACTCTGACTG
Source organism: Homo sapiens (assembly GCF_000001405.40). NCBI lineage: Eukaryota > Metazoa > Chordata > Mammalia > Primates > Hominidae > Homo > Homo sapiens. The sequence continues at coordinate 535,519 of NW_018654722.1, forward strand.
CAGAGTTAACAGGCGTGCTGTAATACATGAACCTTTTTGGGGACTGTCTTGATGCTTTATGTGGAGCCTGGCTTTCAGTATTGCTGACGAGAGGTAAAGAAATCAGGTTTTAGAGATAAGAGCCAAGTCTTACTGTAATAAAAAGGTTGGATGCAAGCAAACATCTTTTTCTAAGTTTGGTATGTAATCTGATGTGCTCATCATGCCACACTCTGCCAGTATATCTCCAACATCTGCTGACTTCCTATCCTATGGTGACTTTTCTTTGCTTATCAGTATGTTGATGATAGAGTTGTTGAGAAAGCAGAATTCAATACCAGCTTTAGCTAGATATTGTTGATCTCTGAGTACGTATGTAGAGCACTTGTTGCTAGCTAATACATGACTTCCTTGGGTTTCTTGTTAGTTGCAAGATTTGTGCTGTTTCAGCCAACTGCTGTCTCTTGTCTGTTTGCATGTAGACATGTAAGGCACAAACACCAGCATACACAATGGCCTTTGAATGCCTTCCTCAAAGTATTGGGATATTGTTTGCAATCTGTTGAGCTAGAGAATATGAGTTTGATGAGTCATTATGTCCTTGAACTTTATTAAAATGGACTGAATGAAACAGATTTTTTAGCTTGATCCATGTCCCCAACTAGGAAATTTGTCCTTTTTTCCACTAGAGATGGAGACAGGGTAGGGTAGCCCCTTATCAGCTCTTATCAACCTTAAGGCATTACCTTTGGTGAGCATCCAGATCTACTGAATTACTGCTGGTAAATGAACGAGAACATAACCAAAAATAGTTTAGTACTAGGTTACCTTAGGAGGAGGGGCTGAGTCAGTGCAGAGAAACACAGGCTCCATCCAGCTTCTTCATGGTTCTTTCATGTCTGCTGCCTGTCCCACTGCACCAGCAGCTTGTCACCTTTTAAGTCAGAAGCAGTGAATGTGCTGGCAGATGAAATCCAACCCAGATCACTCAGTACTTTGGTGGGAAATCTGACAAGTACTAGCTTATGGTAAAAAGCCCTACTAGTATTTGTAGAGAGAAGAAAGGTTGAACTCAAATCCCAGCTCAACCTGAGTTCTTTGACTTGTTTCCTCCCCAACTTCAATCATGTCCTCCCTCAGATAGAATAGGTCTGTTTCTAGAAAAGAGACCTTAATAAAGTTTTCTCCCTTTTGATGCTTCTTTGTCTTCTCCCCAGTTCTCTCTCTTCACTGCTGTCCATAAGCACTATAGCCTCGTTCAGTGGCAAGAGTTTGCTGGCCAGAATCCTGACTGTCTTGAGGTAACACTGGGCATACCCTGCTCCCTTCCTTATCCCAGTTTTCCAGCAATTATATTTTGGCTTTCTGGGGACCAGCACTCACCAATGACCCACTGGCTGCCCACCAGATCATCTCTGATATGCCAATGACTCTGTTTCTCCCACAGCATCTGGCTGCCAGCTCAGGCACAGGCTCTTCTGACTTTGAGCAGCTGGAACAGATCCTGGAAGCTATTCCCCAGGTGAAGTATATATGCCTGGATGTGGCAAATGGCTACTCTGAACACTTTGTTGAATTTGTAAAAGATGTACGGAAGCGCTTCCCCCAGCACACCATCATGGTATGTTTCTATTACAGTCGGTACCTTTTTATCTTTCCACTTTCCTGCCACTCCGTTTTGCTACATCAGTCCATTTCTCCTCTGCTGCATTATGATATTCCTAGTTCATTTAATCATGATACTGGATGATTATCCATAGTTCTAAGCTGAAAATGTCTATTTGGTCAGTGTAGTATCTCTGACCCTTGGTTCATAGTCTTTGTAAATCTGATGTCCCTGATGTCACTCACCAAACCATGATGGAACATCTGTGCACTGTACATACCTGTGGTACATAGACATCTGCCCACTGAAATGGACACATACTAGTCACATAAAAAGGGGTCACATGAATAATGATTTATCTTTTTACAACCTTAGAAGAGTGGCCTTCATTTTCTTCGCAGCATTGAGGGGTGTGTCTACTGATCATCAAAAGCCAATCAACTGGTCAAATGGGTCTTTAGCCTATACTACCATGCCTTCTCCCTTTCCCTGAAGCCAGACAGGTTCTATGACAGAATGGCTTAAGGACAGAATATGTTTGGGTCTCTTGAGGAAGGGGAGCTAAATCTACTGTAAATCAGATGTGAGCCTGGTCCAGTAGTTCCCTTTGCCTCACTGAATGCTCCTCCATGCCACTTCATGTGTCCCTGTTGATCATAGCACCTTGTTGCCTTAGAAAAGTGCATCATGGACCTCGGCTTTACCCTAGGTTCAGTGGTGACATTGGCCACTCACTCCTACCTTGGCTTGGTGTTGGGTGGATGGGTAGGGAGCAGGGTTCTCTAAAGTGGCTAGTGTAAAAGCCCTCAGAGGGCCCAGTAGAGGGGACCTAGTTATCCTTTCTTTGTAATAATGTTGGAAAGTCATGGTCCATGCATACCGTAACAATACATGACCTCCTGTTTCTGGCCCTAAGGATGCTGTATTTCAATTGCTCTGTCTCAGGCAGGGAATGTGGTAACAGGAGAGATGGTAGAAGAGCTCATCCTTTCTGGGGCTGACATCATCAAAGTGGGAATTGGGCCAGGTAAGCTGGTTCATTGGGGCCACTGGCTACCCCCCTTCAGTGGCAAACACCTGTGGAGCACGTCATTCTTACCCTTATCATGTTCTTCCTAGGCTCTGTGTGTACTACTCGGAAGAAAACTGGAGTGGGGTATCCACAGCTCAGCGCAGTGATGGAGTGTGCAGATGCTGCTCATGGCCTCAAAGGCCACATCATTTCAGTAAGGCTCAAGGGCAGGGTAGGGTATGAGCGGGGTTTCTGCAGGGTATGGAGGTGGCAGAGATGGATTAGAATTCCTGGGTTCTTGTTGGCTTTGAGTTGGGCTGTTGGGACATCGCTGAGGGCTTGGGAAATCCATGTTGTATTCATAGTGCTCCTTACTTTGCAGGATGGAGGTTGCAGCTGTCCTGGGGATGTGGCCAAGGCTTTTGGTAAGGAGCTTGAGGGCACAGAAGGATGATTCTATACAAGAGGATGAATCACCTCTGAGGGTCTAGGGTCAGGCTAAGAGAGGCTCAGGAAGTCATTCAGATTCTTTCATAATATGAATTAGTGACTCCGAAGTCTATGGTATCATCTGGGGCAGCCAGCAGGGGACATCTGAGACTCCAAGTGTGGGCCAGGGCCATCTGACCATCTCCTAGATTGCTGCACAGTGCAGACTCCTGAGCCCCAGCCATACCTAAAAATAGGCTCTGAGGAATGGGACAGCACATCTGCATTTTTCATTTTGCACAGCTTCCCAGGAGATCATTACTCCCATTAAAGTTGGGGATCTTTGCTCTTGGGACACATGAAATGAGTCTTATTTAGCTGGGCACAGTAAAATCAAATGACCAGACGATGATGGTAAAAACAGCAAAAGGAGAAAGCAAAAGCCAGGCAGGGACTCTCCAGAGGCTCTTTTTTAAATCTTGGGGAAATCATACCCACTGAGGAATAGAGGCCAGGGCAGATCAGGCCTGCGTGGATTGTGGGTCAGCTAGGGAAGCAGAAGGAGGAAGACGCTGGAATCATTGTCAGGACTGAGAATATGGTGTGAGTTGCTTTTGAGGGTGGCCATGTGAGCACCTTGGCCAGATTAATCTCTTTCCCCCCTCCATGATGGTGGCAGGGGCAGGAGCTGACTTCGTGATGCTGGGTGGCATGCTGGCTGGGCACAGTGAGTCAGGTGGTGAGCTCATCGAGAGGGATGGCAAGAAGTACAAGCTCTTCTATGGAATGAGTTCTGAAATGGCCATGAAGAAGTATGCTGGGGGCGTGGCTGAGTACAGGTATGTGTGGAGGCCCAGGAGCTTAGTAATAGTATGGAGGCAGAACTCATGGCTGCTGAGAGGGGGATGGTACAGTTCTCAGAGAAGCATGGTGAACCGGGGCTCAATGCTAGGGTCTGTGGAAAAGTCCCTGGGCTTAAGGAATCCAGAAGGAGAAGATAATAAAGTTTTTCCTACTTTAAGAGCCTCAGAGGGAAAGACAGTGGAAGTTCCTTTTAAAGGAGATGTGGAACATACCATCCGAGACATCCTAGGAGGGATCCGCTCTACGTGTACCTATGTGGGAGCAGCTAAGCTCAAAGAGTTGAGCAGGAGAACTACCTTCATCCGAGTCACCCAGCAGGTGAATCCAATCTTCAGTGAGGCGTGCTAGACCTGAGCAGTTCTACCCTCCCAAGGCACCAGTACTCTACCATGGGGCATCCCAAGTGGGGTCCTCACCCATCCCAGCTACTGCAGCTCTGTATTACTTTGTCATTTCCTGTTGTCTCACTCCTGAGGGCTCCTGCAGTAACTCTGTACTTCTCTATCTGCACACACAAAATGCCCAAGGCACTCACTGGGGAGGAAGCAAGGAAGCAAACAGTCTGAGAAAATGATGCAAGAAAATCAAATGGGAATCTGGGGACCCAACACAACATCCTGAAGATTATTAAAAGGAAAAGATGCTGATTGGTACATAAATCTTTTACATGGCCTTGGTCTAGAGGAGGCAGGCTTTTAGAATCATGTTTTGTTAATCCGCTTCACTAAATTGGACCTTCACATATCTAAAAAGCTCTGAAGTGTTTGTATATTTGAAATACCTCAATAAAGAGAGAGCTCATTGACTGTAAAGAGATGCTGGGGCTTTCTGTACAAGGCTAGCATCTGGGTGCTGCTGCAGAGTGGGTGGTGGTAGGGTCAGCACTGACCCAGTGGGGTCAAGAACAATGAGTATTATTCCCATGAAGTATCTCCATTCTAGTGCCACCACACCCAGATAATCTGGCAGCATGAGAATTTACAAAGTATATTCTGGCCTGAGGACACATATTTCCAGAATACCAAAGGACATTTCTCTTCCAGGCTTTCAACCCTGCTAACCCTTTTAGGCACAGCTGAACAACACTTAGCAAGGGAAGTAAAAAAAGGCAAAGGGATCCTTTCAGTTTGGAAGGGCCAGTTCTGTTTCTAAGGAATGACTTATGCTGACCTTATGGAAACCTTAATTCCCCTCCTTCACATCAAGGCAGTATTTTAACAAATCCAAAGTTTAATTATTAAGGATTACAAATATTTTTAGCAGTGTAGTTAGGCAATCCAAGCCTGGACTTCCACTTCATTCCTACTAAACTACTTGCAGAGCTGAGGAGGCAGGAGACTAGAGTACAGAGAGCATTTTAGTTCTATCACAAAGGTCTAGAACTGTCTCTACAGTCACAGGAAGAAACAGGTATGGCACCGTGGCCAGAAGGGGGTAGGTATTCACAGAGAGTGGGTATCAAGGTGTCAAACTTTGTCTTCTGATAGTTTTCCAGAGATTCCTGTAGAGAAGGGAGCAGGGAGAGCCTACTATCCGAAACCATTCCCTGAACCCTCTGAATTCTGAAGCATGTGGATTTCTCAGTCTTGTTCTACCCATCCCCTTTCCCAGCTTTCTGCTCCTTCCCACTCACCTTTCCTTCCCCCTGGCCATTTTCTTCCTCATCAGAGTCTAAAACCAAGTCCCCTATGGTAATGACGGAGCTGCACAGAGACGGAGGACACACTGTAGGAGGGAAACCAGAATCAAACTACTACTTCTAGATGAACACAGGCTCTTGAGAGTCCCCAAGAGAGGAGGCTGTTGATCCAATCCTGACTCAGACTACCTACCTGGCTTCCTGGCCCTAGGAGGTAATAATGATAGTCTCAGGGGGTCCATGTAGCAATCCAAGCAATTCCTGAGGTGAGAGCAAGCAAAGAGGATAGGATGAAGGGAAGGCAGGCAAAGAATGTGCTCCTAGTAAGAAGCAACTCTGTTCCACTCACTCCTTTTGCTCTGTGGCAGGCAAGTCAACTGGGTTCTCCTTCAGAGCCCTTCCCCCCAGGGTCTGGCATGGACTCTTAGACTTCCCAGTGGAGGCTGCTCTTGTGCCCATGGCTAGGTCTGCTGTGTATATCGCATGTTCTTCCTTGCTCTCAGGCTTAGATATGACCTGGGTTGGTGAGCCGAGATTCCTAAAGGGAAACAGCATGACTGTGGGGCGCTCCTTATGGCCTCCCCTAGTGGAGGCCCATTGGGACTGAACTCTTCGTCGGCCTAGAGGGGCCAGATTGAAGTGTCGGCCAGCTAGAGGTTCTGGGTGCGTCCTTGAAGATGGTCCCTGAGGAAGATGTGTGCCAGGCTTGGCTTTTGGCAGGGGATTGTGGAGTGCTAGTCTTTGTTGCTGAGGAGGATTCTGTTCCATGGGCTCAGCCAGGTTCACTGAGTCAGTAACAGAGCACTCTGAAAAAGAAAATGAGGCCCCTTATAAAGAGAACAGATAGTAACAGAATAACTGGTTTCTTATGCCCGGAGCCCATGGAACTATTCCAGTGGACTGCCTCAAAAGGTCTCAGGCTAAACACTACACCTCCAAATTCCTAGTACCTGGAAGCAGCCACCCCATGTCCACACCATATTGTCTCCAGGCAAGAGAAGAGGTGATAGAGACTCCAGGCTGCATCCAACTCAGCACATCCTGAAGCTGTGGGCAGGGACAGAGGTATGAAGACCACAATCCTTGAAACAGCCACCCCACACTCTGCCCTTACATGTTTTGCCCCAGCGAAACCTGCTGTGCCTGCGGTGTAGGCAGTGCTTTCTCCAGCTGACACAAGTACTCAAAAAGCAGCTTTTCCATGGCAGCCAGAAAGGGTTCCCCATACTCTTGTTCAAGTTCCTACAGCAGGGGAGATTAGGTCAAAAGTGGGTTAGTGGCCAGGCACGGTGGCTCACGCCTGTAATCCTGGCCATTTGGGAGGCCGAGGTGGGCGGATCACTTGAGGTCAGGAGTTCGAGACCAGCCTGGCCAACATGGTGAAACCCCATCTCTACTAAAATACAAAAATTAGCTGGGCATTTGTAATCCCAGCTACTCGGGAGGCTGAGGCAGGAGAATCGCTTGAACCCGGGAGGCAGAGGTTGCAGTGAGCCGAGATTGTGCCACTGCACTCCAGCCTGGGCGACAGAGCAAGATTCCTCAAAAAAAAAAAAAAATGGGTTAGAGAAAATAGCCACATAATAGCCTTCAAACCAGTCTCACCTGCAGCTTCGAGGCCAAATCCACAGGAGCCTCTGACAGCTGCTTCACCTGCTGGTAAAAAGTTTCCTGTGCCTCCAAAATCTTCCTCAGATCCTGCTTTGTCTGTTGAGGATACAGAAGACAGAGAAGTTAGCACCAACATCCAGTAGACAGGAGGAGCAACTTTGCTGCACCAAGTGTAACTGGGGTCAGGGCTTGTTCCGGGGATTACTCACAGCCTTGGGATCCCGCACTATAGGTCCAGATTCTGGAAAGTGGTGATTCAGGGCTTTCAGGACTTGGGCCCAAGGCCGGCCCTGCAGGATCAGCTCCACCACCACCTGTACGGTACTGAATTCAGAATCCCCACTTCGGGGCAAGCTGACCTTTTCCAACTAGTCTCATCCCCAAGCTGTGGGCCCTTGTCAGGTGCTCGCATCCCGCCCCTTTCTTTCTTTCCCCTTCCAGGTCCTACTTGCTCCAATACCTTGGCCTTTAGGCCCATACAAAGGCGTTCGTGGTGCCGGTAGCGAACCAAGCCAGGGGCAACAGCGCGCAGAGATCGCAGAAACTCCAGTACTCGCGGAAAATGTTCCACGCAGCGTCCGCGCACAACCTGCCAGCTAGCCGCGGCGGCGAAGCGTAGAGCTGCGGGACCCGCCACCAGGGGCGTAGCCATGGTCGGCGGGCTCCGCCCGGAGGCGGTCCCTCCGGGTTCCTCACCCGGATGGGTGAGGCTTTCCGATCACTCCTAGGGGCGGGGCTTCTGGCAACTCCCTGTCGCTCCGGTCTGTCGGCTCTGGGTACCTCGCGATCTGACTCGGCTCCCTTCCATCGGCCCCCAGAATTCTGGGGGAGGGGGTCTTCTGGCTCGGGCTGGAGGAGCCTGAGTGGAGAAGCTGACCGTCTCCAGTGGCACTGGGTCGCTCAGCTTTAAACGTCGCCGCTGTCTCGAGCCCGAGGGTGCCTCACTTCCGGCTCCGCTACTAGCTTCCCTTGCCCCGGAAAAGGGCGGTAAGAGGGAGCCAATGGGCGGCCACAGAGGGAACCGTGACGGTGCGTCAGAAGGCCACGCCCCAGCGGAGCTGTAGCTGCCCGCTTCCTGCACTCTCTGCCGGCTGACATGAGTTGGCGGCTGAGGCTGTCGTGGCCGCTGAGGCTGTTGTGGCCGTTCGTCTGGGTCCTCCCAGCCTTGCTTTCTTCGCGGAGCCTGCGGAGAAGCCCCGTCACTCCCGTGAGGCTCGACTTCCTAGTCTGTAAAACGAGGATCATGCCACCGCCCTTTCCCACTGTCTTCACCCATCGAAATTTAGTTCTTTAAATTCCAGACCCGAGCCGGCGTCTACAAAGCCTTCCCCTCTGCGCGCGTCGCTTCCAGTAGGAATTCGACTGTTCCTTTTATAAAACAGAAGAGGGCGCCCGCCCTTAAAAAATAAAATACAGGCTGGGCGTGGTGGCTTGTGTCTAATCCCAGCGCTTTGAGAGGCCGAGGCAGGAGGGTCACTTGAGCCCAGGAGCTCCAGACAAGCCTGGGCGACATGGTGAAACCCCTTCTCTGCTAAAAGTACAAAAATTAGCTGGGCGTGGTGGCAGGCGCCTGTAATCCCAGCTACTCGGGAGGCCGAGGCAGGAGAATCGCTTGAACCCAGTAGACGGGAGGTGGCAGTGAGCCGCGATCTTGCCTCTGCATTCCAGCCTGGGCGACAGAGGGAGAATCTCTCTCAAAGAAAAAAAAAAAAAAAAAAAGAGGAAGAAGAAGAAATAGAATACAGGCTGGGGGCACGGTGACTCACACCTGTAATCCCAGCACTCTGAGAGGCCGAGAGGGGAGGATCGATCCGCTTGAGCCCAGGAGTTCCAGACCAGACTGGATCACATGGCGATAACCTGTCTCTACTGAAAATCAAAAAAACTAGCCGGGCGTAGTGGCACGCCTGTAGTCCCAGCTACTCAGGAGGCTGAGTTGGGAGGATTGTTTGAGCCAGGGAGGTTGAGGCTTCAGTGACTGCACTCCAGCCTGAGTGATAGAGTGAGACGGGGTCTCACACACACACACAAATTAGTTTCTTGTTTTAGGATTCTGTTGTGCACTGAACTTGTCAGCCCCCTAATGTAATTGACTGCTCTCCTTGACTGTCTCTTCCACAGGCTTCCTGGTGCCTCTCATTTCCATCAGCAAGCACAGAACCTAACACACAGCTTACACTCCTTAATTGTTGGCTGGATTAGTTGCCTGCCTTGACCACCTTACAAGGATTTAGTGAAACTGCTCCGTCTTTAGCCCATGTCTTCCATTCCCAGAGATAATGGTTCACACATCCTTGTCTCCGCCCCGGATCAGTCTCAGCTGATCCGCACATTCGACTGCCCAAGAAACACCCAGTCCCAAAGTACCCCAAATTGGATATGTGTGAAATTCTAGTTATCTTCCTTTTTCCCTTTATTTATTCCTTCTCTAATGTTCTTTCTTTCTTATGTAGATATGAACTTCTGTTGTTTTACTTTTTTTTTTTTTTGAGACGGAGTCTCGCTCTGTCGCCCAGGCTGAAGTGCAGTGGCGCGATCTCAGCTCACTGCAAGCTCCGCCTCCTGGGTTCACGCCATTCTCCTGCCTCAGCCTCCCGAGTAGCTGGGACTACAGGCGCCCACCACCGCGCCCGGCTTTTTTGTATTTTTAGTAGAGACGGGGTTTCACCGTGGTCTGGATCTCCTGACCTCGTGATCCGCTCGCCTCGGCCTCCCAAAGTGCTGGGATTACAAGGCGTGAGCCACCGCGCTCGGCTCTTTTTTTTTTTTTGAGGTGGGGAGACAGTCTCGCTCTGTTGCTCAGGGTGGAGTGCAGTGATCTTGGCTCACTGCAACCTCTGCCTCCTGGGCTTAAGTGATCCTCCTGCCTCAGCCTCCAAAGTAACTGGGGCTACAGGCATGCACCACCATGCCTGGCTCATTTTTTTCTATTTTTTGTAGAGACAAGTCTTTGTTGCCCAGGCTGGTCTCGAATTCCTGGACTCAAGCGATCTTCCCACCTCGGCTTCCGAAAGTGTTGGGATCGCAGGCGTGAGCCACTGCACGCAGTCCCTGGCTAATTTTTTAAAAAATCTTTTTTGGTGGGTGTGGTGGCTCATGCCTGTAATCCCAGAACTTTGGGAGGCTGAAGTGGGAGGATCACTTGAGGCCAGGAGTTTGAGACCAGCCTGGGCAATACAGTGAGACCCTGACTCTACAAAAAAAAAAAAAAAGAAAAATATGTTTTGTAGAGAAGGGGTGTCTCTCTGTGTTGCCCAGCCCAGTCTATCTTCATTTTTTGTTTTTTGTATTTATCCTGCTTGCTGCTCTCTGAGCTTCCTGGATCTGTGTTTTGTGTCTGTCATTAATTTGGGGGAAATTCTCAGTCATTATTGCCACATTTCTTATGTTCCTTTATTTTCTTCTCTGCCATTCTGATTATGTGTATGCTACAGCTTCTATAATTGTCCTACAATTCTTGGATATTCTGTTCTTTTTCATTTTTTTTTCTCATTGCATTTCAGCTTTGGAAATTTCTGTTGACATTTCTTCAAGCGCACCATGTTCTTTGGCCATGTCCAGTCTATTGATGAGCCCATCACAGACATTCATCATTTCTGTTACAGTGGGTTTTTTTTGTTTTTTGAGACAATGTCTTGCTTTGTTGCTCAGGCTGGAATGCAGTGGCTCAATATCAGCTCACTGCAACCTGTGTCTCCCAAGTTCAAGCGATTCTGGTGCCTCAGCCTCCCAAGTAGGTGGTACTACAGGTCGTACACCACCACGCCCGGCTAATTTTTGTTTTAGTAGAGATGGGGTTTTGCCATGTTGCCCAGGCTGGTCTCGAACTCCTGACCTCAAGCGATCCACCTGCCTTGGCCTCCCAAAGTGCTAGGATTACAGGCGTGAGCCACCGTGCCCAGCTGAATTACTCATTTTCAGCTGCTATCTCTGTGTAGCTGACTTCTTGGGAGTCCGAGGCAGGTGGATTGCTTGAGCCCAGGAGTTTGAGACCAACCTGGGCAAAATGGCGAGACCCCCGTCTCTACAAAAAAAATTGAAAAACTAGCCAGGCATAGATGTGCACACCTGTAGCCCCAGTTACTCAGGAGGCTGATGTGGAAAGATTGCCTGAGCCCAGGAGGTTGAGGTTGCAGTGAGCTGTAATCCAGCCTGGTTGCAATGAATTGCACTCCAGCCTGGGCAACAGAGTGAGAACAGAATGCAATGGATGTATTTCAAAGTGGCTACTTTCCTCCTCCCCTTTGCCAGAATCACGGGGCAGGGGGTTCTCCAGTTTTCACTGTGGGATCCTGGTAAAACTTGTGGCCATGTGCCATGGCTCACACCTAGGATTGCTTGAGGCTAGGAGTTCAAGACCAGTCTGGGCAACATAGTGAGACCATGTCTGTACAAAAACAAAACAAACAAACAAAAAAATCTAAAAGTTAACCAGGTGACTGGGCGCAGTAGCTCACACCTGTAATCCCAGCACTTCGGGAGGCTGAGGTGGGTGGATCACAAGGTCAAGAGATCAAGACCATCCTGGCCAACATGGTGAAACCCGTCTCTACTAAAAATACAAAAATTAGCTGGGCATGGTGGCGCGTGCCTGTAATCCCAGCTACTCAGGAGGCTGAGGCAGGAGAATCACTTGAACCTGAGAGGTGAGGTGGAGGTTGCAGTGAGCTGAGATCGCACCACTGCACTCCAGCCTGGTGACAGAGCGAGACTCCATCTCAAAAGAAAAAAAAAAAAAAGCCAGCCATGGTGGTACACACCTGCAGTCCTAGCTATTTGGGCTGAGGCAGGAGGATTGCTTGAGCCCAGGAGTTGGAGGCTGCAGTAAGCTGTGATTGCACCACTGCATTCCAGCCTGGGAAAAACAAAAACAAGAAACAAAAAATAAAAAACAAAAACCAAAAAAAGGGTAGGGTCCCCCCTAAGAATGGGACCCCTAGATGTTTTGTTTTTTTTTTTTTTTTTTGAGACAGTCTCACTGTCGCCCAGGCTGCAGTGCAGTGTCGTGATCTCGGCTTACTGCAGCCTCAACCTCCCCAGGCTCAGGTGATCCACCTCAGCCTCCCAAGTAGCTGGCATTACAGGCATGTGCCACCACACCCGGCTACTTTTTGTCTTTTTTGTAGAGATGGGGTTTTGCCATGGTGCCCAAGCTGGTCTCGAACCCTTGAGCTCAGTGATCTGCGTGCCTCAGCCTCACAAAGTGCTGGGATTACAGGCATGAGCCACCATGCCTGGCCACTATAGATTTTTTAGCTCTCAAATTTGTCCACCCTAAGCCTCCAGCTATGAGTCAATTACACTTTAAGTTTTCCTACCCTGGTACTGGCTCCCCAGAAGTTTCTGTTTCTGTTTCTGTTTCTGGGCTTCTGCTGTTAAGTTGTGATTCTCTGTATCTGCCTTTTTGTCTCTCCAGTTTTAGGGGCAGCAGTTTGCCCTGTGCCCTCAATTCTCTGATAGATCCAACAAGAGTTGCTGACTTTCAGTTTGTTCAGCATTTTTCTTTGTGAGGACAGGAGTGAGGACTCCTAAGCTTGTTACAGGCCAGACTAAAAACCAGAGGTCGTTATCTTCATTTTTTTTTTTTAGATGGAGTCTCACTCTGTCGCCCAGGCTGGAGTGCAACCTCCACCTCCCGGGTTCAAGCAATTCTCCTGTCTCAGCCTCTCGAGTAGCTGGGATTACAGGCATGTGCCACCATGCGTGGCTATTTTTTTTTTTTTTTTGTATTTTTAGTAGAGACTGGGTTTCACCATATTGGCCAGGCTGCTCTCGAACTCCTGACCTTGTGATCCACCTGCCTTGGCCTCCCAAAGTGCTGGGATTATAGGCGTGAACCACCGTGCCTGGTCTACCTTCCCTTTTATAATATGGTCTTCCTCCTGAGCTTCGAATTTCTGTGCATGGCACCTCTCTTCGTGGCACCCATGAGTCAGAAACTCAGGCCACCACCCTTATCTCTGCCCTCCCTCCTCTCCAAATTGAATCTGTTATCAAGTCTAATCAGTTCTATTTCCTATACAACGTTCAAACCCACCCTTTTTTTTTCATTCGTACTGCTTCTACCCTAATTCAGGTTCTCCTATCTCTCATCCCAAGAGGACTCTATCTTCCTACCTCCAGCCCAACCCCTCTAATTTCTTTTCTATGTTGCTTTCATTATGAATCATGTGAAATGCAAAACTTGATCATATCATCCCTAATTGAAAGCTCCCCCTTACTTTCAGAAGAAAGTCCAAACTCCTAAATATGGCAAAAGGATTTTTAATGAACTGGCCCAAGCTTACCTCTTCATGCACATCCTTTGCCACTTTGTACTCATCATGCACCCATATGCCAGTCCTCATCCAGCTGTCTGCATTTTCCAAACATACTGTGTTGTCTCACATGTCTGTGCTTTACACGTGTTGGGTGATTCCTCTGTCCTTTGCCTCTTGGACTTGACTTTTTCTCATCTTTCATGGGTCATCTGGTAATCACCTTCATGAAGACTTTCTGTATCAGCCCAGGCAGAATCACAGTTCTCTGGGCCCCTCAGCATCCTGAACATCCCTCTACTACCATGCAGAACCTATCTCATAAGGTTATTGTAAGGATTAAATGAATTCATAAAGTGCTTGGAGCCTGGTTCCTGGTAAGTGTGACATACGCATTTACTGTATTTAGAATGTTTGCATGTCTGTCACCCCCACTGGACAGGAGCACCTTAAGGGAAGGGCTTGTTTCTTCTTGTGCATGTTACACTACTGATGCCTCAAGGTGTGCACCTTGTTCATGTGTTTACAGCTAGTAGGAACAGCTCAATTTTAGCTCTCTTTTTCCTGCCCCATGAGCCCTTTGTCTTGAAAGCCTTCTAAACTTAAAGGTTCAAGAAGACATGCGTTCAGGACCAGAATATCAGGTACATGATCTCATGGCTACTGCTAGCCCAAGAAGAATGCAGGCAGTGGGAATGCAGAAAAAAGAACAGCTGAGAAGAAAAATGAAAGGGCATCGTTCTTGATCTTCAGTGTGCACAGGAGTCAAACTCTTGGTGAGTTTGTTCTGGGCCTCTTCCACGGGGATTCTGACACATGAAGTCTATGGTAGGGCCCATCTATCTGGATTATTAATAAACATTTCAGTGATTGTAATAGAAGTGGTCTAGAGACTACACTTGAAAAACCCTGAGGTAAGGGAACAGTTTCATTCAAACCAAAGCCAAAATCCTCCAAAACTCACCCACAGGAAAATTTCCAGGTAGAAGAGAGTTATACAAAGAGTATCGACTCTGTCTCTCTGAGCCTCAACTTCCCTTGTGGTTCCCTCTCTCTGGTGAGGGACACCAGCCCCTATCAGTGGATGATACAGGAAGGCCATGTGCAGCCCTGGGACAAACCATGGCTCCATCCGTCTTGGTGTGGCATGGACTGAAAGATGGACAGAGCAGCAGCTTCATTAAAAAACAGTTTATTAGCATCTGTTCCCCCAGTGCAAGTGAAGACTGACTCCCTCTCCGGGAGCCCTGGACTCCCCCTCCGGGAGCCCTGGACTCCCCACCTGAGCTCCTGGGGAGCTGCTCTGTAGTGTGCCCCTATCTTGGGGCAATGTCCTTGCTCATCTGACTCCAGTCCCATTGCTCCTGGCACGGGGCTAAGCTCCACCTCGAGATGCCATAGGGATGGTCTCTCCTAAGTGACTGTCACCTCCAGCGTCTGAGAAGAAGCCCCCATCCCCAGGGGCTGGGGCCACATCCACCTGGATGACACCGTGCACCTGGGAGAGCTGTGGGCTGTCCAAGCTGGCAATGAGCTGGCGGGGGCCTGGTCGCACAGGCACAAACGACTGGCGCAGTGTCACTGTTTCATTGCCTCCAATGTCCCTGTGGGCAGAGACAAGGTCATGGGCCTGGAGTAATTGGGGGTGGAGTGGGGAGTAAGAGCTGATCCAGGGCAGTCAGGAGGAAGAAGCAGGAGGTGGACCCATTCAGACAATTCCAGGCTTACCTGAAATTTCCACACCCAAGACCAGGATCCCCAGGGCGCCTCTGCATAGCCAGCTCAGCAGCCACCCACCAGCTGCCTGTGCTGGAACTCTCCCCATCGTCTGGGACTCCTCCCTCCCTGCTCCCACATCCACCTGGACAAAGACTGCTGATGCCACCGCAGAGGCCTCTCATGCCATCCCCTCCATCACCACTGCTCCTGCCCCAGACAGAACATCCTCATCTCACCTGGGGTTTCCAAAACCAAGAAAACTTCAAAATGAGACTTTGGGGGCCCAACACAATATTTTCAAATACTTTCAGTTTTGACAAGAGCATAGGTTGAAGAAAAGTAATCACTCTCTGCTATGATCGTCGTTCCAAAGAGAAAAGAGCATTTTCACACACCAAAACATTAGAAGGATGTTATCTTTGAAAAAAAAGGAAAATCCTTCCCAAGAACAGACAACAGACATCTTTAAATGGACATAAACCCTTATGTCTCTGTGTGTGTGTGTGTGTGTGTGTGTGTGTGTGAGAGAGACAGAGAGGTGGGTGGACAAACACACACACACACACACAACCAGTGTTTTCATTTTCTCCTTTCCACATGGGCCTCTGAAAAATTGATTCCCAGACCTCCCCTGGGAATCATGATTTCACTAGTCCTCTAACGGGACTCCTTGCCTCGCATCCCACTTTTGTATTCTGTTCTGCTAACCACTCAGAGGTGAACTAAATCCTTCAAGGATTTAGTGCTCCTTTGGTGCTTGTGGCACACGATCCTGGCTCTCTAACTTGACACACAGGCTCACTCTGACCCAGTCCCTGCTACTTGCACAGCCTCATCACCCCCCATCATTCCTCCTGCTGAGCAGCCCTACCGAATGCCTTCTTCCCCAGACTCACCTCCACAGTCATGCTTTGCAGTCTTTGCCTTGTGTGGAATGAGCACCCAGCTCTGCCTCCCCACCCTGGGTGTCCTTGTGAAGGCCTACTTTTCCTCCAAGGCCTGGCACACCACTTCCTCAGTGACGGCTCCCCTGAGCACCTCCTGCCTCTAGGAAAAGGAAACTCACCCTTCTCTGAGCTCCTCCAGCAATCTGCACGTTTCATTTTATACACTGAACATGACTGCATTTATATTGCATTTGCTCGTGCCTGTGGGAATTTGTCCTTCCTGCCTTTGCCTAAACCTTACCTCTGGTGCCCTATTCAACCCAAGCCTGCCGCTGGGGACCCTTTCCAGACATAGAACCTGTGCATTAACTATTGTCCTCTAAGAGAATGAGCCAACATCCCTAACTCCAAGGATGAGTTTTTTTCAGGGCAAAGCATTTGGCTTGGAACCTGGTTCTGAGGGGTTTCCCTGGACCACTCTACTCCCTTTTCTACCACTTGTTAGCTGTGAGGCTTATGAGAAGCTATTTAACTTCTCTGTTCCTCACTTTCTGGGTCATAAAATGGAAGTGAAAGTAAAAGGAGGAGTGGGATCTGATTATCTTGAAGGTGTTTCTGAGCTCTCTGAAGGAGGGAGGCAGGGATATATAATAGAACGTAGTATGATAGGAAGTCTATAAATTAAGTCTATAACTTAATGGCTAGGCTATGTCCTGACTGCTTACAAATTTGCACTCTTAATTTTTGCTAACTTTTCATAGATACAAGATTCAAGGTTGTTCAAGCTCAGACCAGCCCTCAGAAGTCTATTTACTCTATACCATAATTGAACTATAATATTTCAGAAAGTAACCTTTACATTGCAGTAACGGATTATTTTCAAGAGAAACTGTTTTCTAGGTGGAAATGTCAAGATCTCTCCCTCCCCTGGTCTCATTGTGAGGTGGGGGACTTTACCACACCTCTTTTGTGAGCTGAAGCTGAGTACAAGCCATCTGCTAAAGCTGGGATGTTCCTGGAACTGAGTGTGGGTCATGAAACCAACTCCCCAACAAGGACACCAGAACTTAGACGTCGAAACGAGCATTGTCCAATTGTGTACTTGTTCAATCGTATTGCCTGGGCTTGAAACATGTTTAAAACTCCTCCTGGACTCTTCTTCAGAGCCATTTAAACCATACACACAGGCGTGTGCTCAGTGATGCCACGGTCAGCCTGTCCTTCCTTCCACAGCATGCCTCGGTTCTGATGGAAAAGGGCAGTTACCCACTTGTTCACTTATCTTATTAATTAGTCTTAGCTCTTGATGACTTCAGGTTTCTCTGCAAAGTCAAATCTACCCCTAAGAAGGCAGACTGACCACTCTGAGGACATTCTAGAGAATATGATTCAGACTCTGAGGGAAATTCCCAGGAAGGGTTTGGAACAGACTTCCAGCCTCTCTGGTGACTGCTTTTGGTGGTGACAACAGCCATCTGGAGGAGTGAGTTCTGGAATGTTTATTAAGTGGCCAGTCACCACAGGGGGGTGGCACACCTTATGCTATAATGGGGTTCCATGCCACAGCCTCTGATGTGCGAATGAGAGGCAAAGTACACCCATCTTGGAATCTTAGGTACCTGAACCAACAGCTCAGAGATGTCCCCCTGGAGGCTCCCAATTGTACTGGAGGCTCTGGTCTGGGCTCACAGCAGCTAAGGAGCCACAGACTGTCCAGGGAGGATCTGCCTTAAGAAACCATCATCCAACCCTGTCTTTTACTGTAGGGAGACTCACATAAACCCTACAGCTAAAGACAGGAAACAGGTCCCCCAACACTCAGCACAGTGGCCCTTTCCTTACTTCCAGGCAGGGCCAAGAGGCAAAGGCCTGGTGGGGCTGCTGAGGCAAGTCCAGCTCTGCGGATCCCTTAGGACGAGGAACCTCCCCCCACCATGGTGGGGGTGTGGGTAAGAGATGCCTGCTGGGCAAGACTAGCAGAGCAGGCTACCCGGGGGGTTCAGGCTCTGTTCACTGAGCTGCCAGAGACCATGGTATGGTGACATGAGGAAAGCCCTACTTTGTGACACATCATAGCATTCCCAGGGGCCCAGGCTGGGGCAAAGATCAACATAGCTTCCTTCTCAGCTTTGGCCTAATGGCGAAGGTGGCAGCCACCACCAGGAGAGCTGCTGTGTGTGAGGGAGGGGTGGGCAAGTGGGCAGGGGGTCCTCTGCTTCCTCCCCTCAGTTTCCCCACCCCAAGCCATTGTTCTTTCTCAGGAACTCGCTGTCTGAAGATGAAGCCTGCCCCTGTCCCAGAAGGCTGATCTAGAAGGCCAGGCTCTGGCCTGCTCTGCTTTCCCTCCGTGCTTTTCCTAGGCGGGGACGGGGCAGCACGTGTAAGTCTGTATCAAAGATGACAGCCGCAGGCCCAGGAACACAGCATGTGTGTGCCCTCACTACACCCAGGGGCTTGCCCAGCCCAGGATCAGGCCCAGACGGGCTGGGTAAGGGCCTGAGGGATGGAGTTCTCTCCTCTGGAACTGCTACTTGGCCCTCATGGCACAAAACAAACAATGAGTTTGAGAGCCTGTGCATGGTATGCACCACAGTGGGAAGAGCAGAGTTTGCCCCCTACGAGCTGTGAGACCATATGAGATGTGACCGCCAGCTTCCCCATCTGTAAGTGGGGGTAATAATGGCAATAATAAAAATAACAACTACCAATGGAGCACTAACTTTGTGCCAAGCAGTGCACTAAACAACCCTAGGTCCAGGGGCTATTGCTATCCCTGCTTTACAGGTGAGAACACTGAGGCTTGAAGGAGAGAAGTCGCTTGCCCAAGGGCATATAGCCAGTAAGTGCTAGAGCTGAACCCGTATCATTAGGATTCCAAAACTTCGCTTGTGTGTGTGTGTCTCTGTGTGTGTGTGTGTGTCTGTGTGTGTGTGTGACAGAGAGAGAGAGAGACACACGGGGTCTCACTCTGTCGCCCAGGCTGGAGTGCAGTGGCACAAACATGGCTCACTTCAGCCTCAACCTCTCCAGGCTCAGGTGATCCTCCCACCTTAGACTCCCAAGTAGCTGGGACAACAGGCGCACAGCACCAAACCTGGTTAATTTTTTAAAAATTTTTTGTAGAAACAGGGTTTCATCATGTTGCCCAGGCTGGTCTCCAACTCCTGGGCTCAAGTGATCCACTCACCTTGGCCTGCCAAAGTGCTGGGATTACAGGTGTGAGCCACCACACCTGGCCTTCTAATGTACTTAAATTAGAGTTTTTGTGTCCAAAGGAGATAATATTCCTGAAAGGGCCTGGTCAATTCTTCAGTGCTGGGCAAATATTAGCAATGAGTTACTAATGATTCCTATGTGGGCCTTCTGCTCCCTAATTAGATAGTGAGGCAGGGCAAGGACATGGCATAGCACCAGGTGCCCAAGAGGTCTCCCTAAAGGCTGGTGGGACTGAGCTGGGCCGGGAGGTATTGCTAGCTGGCCCCAACCTGCTTGGTTGGGTCCTGACAGAACATACTTGTCCAGACAGAGAGGGAGCAAAGCTGGGAGCCAGGGCAGCCTGTGGGGAAGGCCAGAGTGGAAGCAGGGGTAGGGGGAGAGGCCAGACTCACCCAACGTTGAGGATCTTGGGCCTCTGTAACCCAGAGCCTTCGAGCCGGAAGACGACATTGGTGAGGGTGACGGGAAGGGGGTTCTTGAAGACAATCTGTACTTCACACTCCTGGCCAACCACTGCTGCTCCCAGTAACTGAGAGAAAAAGAGGCCCATCCCCCACGTCAGAGACCCTGGCCAAACACACGGGGACCGTACACTGCACCAGAGAGGGGAAGCTGCTTAGAAGCAAAACCTCCCCGAGTCCCACATTTATCCTCCTGAGAGAAGATTCCCCAGAAGTCAGAGAAGAAACTCCAACCTATTCCTCAATAAAGGCTGTCACAGAACCAGAGACATAAGATCCCATGCTACAGATGAGGAAACTGAGGCCCCAGAGCCGGTCCTTGACCTTCTCCTACAAAGGCTCATCAGGCCAGCCTGCTGCTGGCTTAGCGCCCACCTCTGATGTCCTTATCCCCTGGCCTTCACTCTCTGACCACCCCTCATGCCCCAGCAAACTGCATTCACCGTGAGGGAGAGGTCTGGGGTGCGCAGACGGAAGGTGTGCTGCTTGGCCAGCACCTGCCCGCTCTCCTTGACGTGGCCTGAGACATTGAGCAGCATGGCCCCCTGGTCCACAAGATGGGGCCGGTATTCCTTGTAGGCCACTGGCATGGTCACACGGTCCGCTGTGGAGAAGAGGCATGGCGTCACTGAGGCCTGCTTCCCTACATGAGGCTTCCCCCAGGGACTCCCCACTGCTCCTGGGGTCTCCATGTCCACAGCCCTGAGGTGCCCAGCCATCCAGGGGGCAGGGCTGGGTAAGGAGCACTTACAGGCCCCTGGTGCCAGCTCCACTTCCTTCTTGGTCTCCTTGAAGATGGTACCACTGACACCAGTATAGAAAGTGACTGAGAGGTAGAGGTGCAGTTTCACTGTGCGGCGGCTGCTGCTGTGATTGATCAGCATCACAGAGACCATCAGATCCTGCCCCATCACCGCGTCCTGTGCCTCCACCTGCATGGCCACATCCTCCGCTGAGCCCCGGTTGGCATACACATTGGGTTTGCTGCCGTGGGCTGCTGCTGTCTCTACTGCCTTCCGCTCTGCGTCTGAGCCTGGGGGTTGAGGGTCAAGGGTGAGGTTCCAATTCCCACGTGGGTGGCCAAGCACTTGGCAGGAACACTTGTTGTGGGGCCCAGAGCTGGCTGGGTTGGGGGAATGGTACCTTCTGGGTGCTTATAGAGGTAGGTGATGTCCTCCCGCATGTTGGAGCTGATGGCCTTTGTGACAATGAGTGTGCCGATGGCCTTCTCCTCCACATAAACAATCTTGAAGCTGCCATCATCCTGCCGCTGCCAGTACACCTTGTCACTATTCACCTGTGGGGGGTGGGGGTGAGCAGGAATGAGTGAGCCAGAGGGTCTGAGGGTGGCCTGACTCCCGGCCTCCTTCCCCTGATCCCAGGAGCTATGGGACAGGGCTTGGTCCCAAGGGTGGGAGCTTCCTGGCAGAGCCCAAGGGGAGACTTTCCAAGACGAGCCAGACGAGGCCAGAGTGCAGGGAAGAAGCTGGTCTGGGAGGCTCCTGGCAGAGCACTTTGGCAATATCAGTAATCCCTCACACTCAATGGCTGACTTTACGACTAGTGAAGCAGTTTCATACCCGTTATCTCTTCTGATCCCGAGTATAGGAAGCAAGGCAGCCTTGATTATCCCCTTTTACAGGTGAGGAAACTGACTTGTATAATGAGTGACTTGCCCCGGGTCGCAGAGCTGGTCAGTCAGCGGTGAAGTTGGGACCAGAGAACCCATGACTGAAGCCCAAGAAGGCACCTGGAGCCCAGCCCTCACCTCAGCAAAAATGAAAGGCGTGTCGTACTTCATGTAGACCAGGCCATTCTTGATGGACTCCACAGAGCAGGGGCCGCAGCAGAAGATGCCTAGAGAGTGAGGCGGGACAGAGGCAAGAGATCTGAGAAGGCGGAGAGGGCTCTTCAGACCCTGGGTAAGGTCCACACAGGGCCCCAGCCCCACCCACTCAGGCCCGGTCCCACTGCCTGGTGGCCTCTGGAACAAGGTCATCAGCCCTGACCCAAACACTTGGGGGTCAGTTGACAGCCAGTGCAACACAGGTATGGAAAACAAAGAGAGAGCGGCTCCATTTGGCTCTCAATCTGCTTTCCTCAGCCCAGGCTGCTCTGCTGGAGGATGGGGGCAGGGTACAGATGTGCGGACCAGCCTGCCTGATAACCAAGTCCCTGACATACTCTTTCATGGCTGGCTGACACTGGATGTCCACCATCTGTGACCCCCAGAGGACAGGACGCCCCATCCTTTATCATAACCAACCCAGAGTCCACAGTGGCCCTGCCTGCTGGCTGGGAGAGCGAGGACACCACCGCCACCACCATTCCAGAGAGATGCGGAACAACCCTCAGCTCTGCAGCCTGCTGCCCTTTCTACTGGGGGGAGCTGGTGGGAAATAGAGTCTGCCCTTATCATACTCAGGAGGCTGTCTAGAAGAGATAGGCTGACAGGAAGAGGCCTGGCAAGAGAGGACAGAGTGGTAAGTGAGTACCATCCAACCGGAAAGAATCTTAGACAAGACATAACACTACACACTCCTTTACAGACGGGGAAACAGCAAGGTGAAGTTCATGCCAGGATCTCACAAGACAGGTGGTGCAGGGAGAATGAAAGGAGCTCAGACTTTTTGAGTAGCTGCTACACTCCCGGCATGCTGCTGGTCCCTTCAGATACAGAATTTCTCATTTAATCCTCCCAATCACCATATATGGTATCTATTACCCCAAATTACATCCAAACCACCAAAGCCTAAAAGTTCGAGGTGCTTGCCCAAGAGCATACATCTGAGAAGTGATCAGGCTGGGATCAAGCCCCAGTCTGGCTGGCCCTGAGCCCCCTGCCTGATGTCCACCCCACCACTTCCCAGAGTTGGGGGCCAGAGCTCAGATCTGCCAGCGTCTGGGACAGGCTGTTTCAGCATCACAGGCATCACCGGGTTGCACAGCTCATGGGGCTGTGTTCACATATCTGAGTGAGAGGGAGGGCACTGGGAAGAGGCCAGGGGAGGAATGTAGGCTAGGGAGGACTCTCTGACCTGGGGTAAGGGAGAGGCTGGACAGAAGGTAGCTGGCAGGGCAGGCCTGGTGGCCTGGGGCTGGGGTATCACGGTAAGAAGGGGTGGGGGTTTGTTTGAGAACAGAGTGTATGGTAGTTCTAATTTCTGCAGAAACACATGTATGTGGACACAGAAAAGAGACCCGTTGGTTATATTAACAGTAATTATATATTAAGGCAGGGTCATAAGGGCTATTTTCTTCTTTGAACCTATCTGAGCCCTGATTTTTTTCTATGCTGTATATATAACTCACAGTGAGCAATGGAACAGACAGGAAGGAACTCGTTGAAAGCAAGAGTATGTGCTTAAAAGGACTGGACTTGCTCTGTCACTGACCTACCACTCTGTGCCCCAGAGGAGGTCACTCCATCTCTCTGGCCACCCTTTGGAGTGGGTCAAAAAATCCGGCTGATCGTCAGAATCACCAGAAGAACTTTCAAAAATATACATTGTTAGCATCTATCCTGGGAAAGTCTAATGTATCAGGTTTGGAGTAGAACCTAGAAATTTACTTTAAAAATATTTTTGAAAAAAAACCCAAATACCTCCTGAGAGAGAATAGGGAAGCTTTACATTTTGTGTTGTTCAATTCTATACTTTTTTTTTCCTTCCAAGCATGTATTACTTATAAAAATGACTTTAAAATGGTCCTTCAGTTAATTATCTCCAGGATATGTAAGTTAAAAAGCAAGTAAGAATAGTGAATATGAATTCTTTCTCTGAATACTCTTCCAGCTTTTGAATTTTGAACCTCCCTTGTATATTAACCATTATAAATAAAATAAACCATTATAAATAAGTAAAATGTAGGCAAATAGAGAGTTATATAGAATGGTAAAAATAAACTAACATCCACGTGGTGGTTCAGCTGACAAACCCGTTTAAGAAGCCGCGGGGTTACATGGCTTGGCTCTCCGGCCCGGCCCAGCACTGACACTCTGGACTGTGTTAATCAGGTGGGGGAGATAAGCAGGGGCATGGTGGGGAGTGGGGGGCCCAGCTTACCACTGCTAGTCTCTTGGGGTGTGGCATCCACCACCTGCCACCCATCAAAGCCCGAGGGCAGATCCGGCCTCTTCATCCAGCAGTCGTTCCACACATGGAAGTTCCTGGATGGACATGGAGGAGGGGCTGGGTCTGAGCCCCAGGGTCAGGAGTCCTCAGTTTCCCCAGCCTCCCCAGCCCTGCCCACCCTCCACCTCCAAAGCTCAGGTCACCATTCTTCAGCACAGATGGGCAGTCCACCCCAGCTCACCAGACAGAATCATGGTTCAGGTGCTCCAGGGGCTTCATGTTCTCGTCGAAGTAGATGTCCATGGTAAGGGATGTGTCTGTGTCGTGGGCGGAGTTGAAGTTGGTGACAGTACGGGTGGCCAGACCCAGGCAGCGCAGCACTGTGGAGGAGCGAAGGTTGGGGTTCAAGGCATGGGTTGGGGGCAAGTGAGGCATCGTGTCAGGAGTATCAGGGGGAGAAGGGCAACTAGGATTGCCAAGCTGGGCATAGACTGCCAGGGTCAGGGCCACGGGGGCCACAAGGCCTTTGGGCTACAGAGCACTTGGGGTCAGGGGAAGCTAGGCCACCTGCCTGGCTCAGTCCTTGCCTGTCCCTTCTCCCTCCTTTCCCTTAGGCCTCTCTCTGTTGTTAACACTAATTAATGATAATTAAGGCCAGCCTATTACCCACCCCCGCCTGCACCCTGCACTGTAGCCACATCTGGGCAGGGCTGGGTAAGCCTGGCTTTCCTCCCTTCTCCCTGTAGGGCCCGGGCCACTCCTGTCCCAGTCCCTCCACTACCTGTGGTGGTCACGCCAGCAAAGACCCAGCACTGGCCATAGGGGACGGAATATCCCGTGCGTAGGTAGCTAAGCAGGATCTCCACGCTGCCCACCCACGCTGATGGGTTGGTGCCTCGGGAGTAATCACCAGACCAGTTCCCAATCAGGACTCCATTGTCATCCAGGGAGTTCACCTGCCCAGGACAGGATGAGATAGGGCGGAGGTGGAGGAGGGGCTCAGGACCTGCCATGTGGTCCATGGGGACCAGCCGGGCCCCGATCCTGCAACCACCCCTTACCCCTAAATGCCTCAGGATCCAGACACCAGCCTGAGCTCCACCCAGCCCTTCCCTCAGCCATCTGCCCCCCTCCCACCCGGGCTCTGACACAGGAATGTGAATCCTGGGTGTGCCAAGTTTTGGGTTTGGCCCTACATTCCACAGGAGCTGGGACAGGAGCCAGGAAAGGCGGGGTGGGGGGCAGGCAAGGGAGAGAAGAGGAGGGAGACCCCTTCCTGAAGTATCCTTTACGAGGGCAGGGACAGGGCTGGGGGTTCTTGAGGAATCCAGAAAGGGCAGGAGGAGGGTGGGGGTGTGGCGAGGCAGCAGGCACACACACAGTAGGACTCAGAGATGTGAGGGTGCTCACCATGGCAGAGATGACCCGGGAGACATTGACTGGGTCTCCACGGCCTCCATATGGCATCCCCCGCCGGTCCAGGATGTATAAGCAGGCATCCAGCACCCCGTGGTCAAACTGGAAGGAGGGATGGAGGGCAGAGGTGACAGCCTGAACCCTAGGCCAGCACCCTGCTCCAATACCCCAGCCCCCACACCCACCCCAGCTCCTCTGGGTGTATGTGACCCTGGCCAGCCGCACCATACCTGGCCGTAGTTCCAGGTCCGCTCACCAATCTGTGCTTCGGTCCCGTAGTAAATTCTCCCAGACTCATTAAGAACATACTCCTGCCGCCAATCCTCATGGTCCACGTACACAATGTCCTCTGTGTCCCCAGAACACACAAAACTGGTTCCCTCCAGTTCTCTCCCTGGGCCTCACCTACTTCTGGCCAGTTCTGCAGGACTCATGTCCACAGAAGAAAATGCGGGGATGCCCCTAGCCTGACAGGACTGCTGTGGGAGGACACGGGGAGCATGACAGATGGTGGAGGAGATTGGCTGTAGCCAGGGGCCTTTGCCAGGAGAGGTGTGGCTGGCTGTGTGACCCTGGGCTGGCCACCTTTCTGCACCAGGCCTCGGTCCTCTCATCTGCCCAATGGGAGGCTGGCTTCTCCTGGGGTCAGGCACCTAGGCACCCCGCCACATCCGAGGGCAGGAAGCCCTTCCCTGTCTTTCCCTCCCATCTACCCTCTGCTCCAGACCCCAGCTGCTCACCTGGGCACCAGGGGTTGAAGAGGATGTAGATCTCATTGCGGGGGTCAAAGGGCAACTGGAACTCCCCAGCGTCTGATTGTGTGCGGACTGTGAACTGAAACTTGCCGATGATGGCGTTGGGGGAAGTGTGGACCCGCAGGTTCAGATTCTGCCCACTGGCCTTGACCACCTGGGCTTTCCAGCCTCCACTGCCCCCCTTGCCCACTGGGATGATCACGTGCGTGCCCTTGCCCACCTCGGGGTTGTTTCCTAGAGTAGGAAATCAGCAATTAGCTGGCAAGGCCTCCCTGAGGAGAGGGGATGGAGCCTGGGACTTCTCCCGGCCCCACCCACAATGTGTATGAGCCACTGTGTATGTCCCTACGTTGGGCCATCACCTTATTCTCTGACAGTCTCCCTTAGAGCAGCTCTGTCTCCACCCAATGCTTGCCCACATGTTAGGGCAGTGCCGCAGTCCAACATCCCAAACCTGTTCCCCTGACACTGAACTCTGAGGTGGGGAGGAGAGACGAGGGCTCCTGTCACCTTCTGCCTGCCTGACTATCACAGTGCCTGGGCTGGAGGGGCAGATCCACCTGCCCCGTATGAAAGGGCAGTCCTGATCCTGAAGGCCAACCCTGCCTGCTTCCTGGGGCTGCAGCTTCCAGAGCCCAGGGCATCCCTGGTGGAGGTGGTAGGGGTTCCTGGGAAATTAAAGGATGAGGTGGGCAAGGTTAGGCCCTAATCAAAGGGTAAAAGGAGTCACCTGCCCCAGGCAGCAGCATAATCACCAGCCTGAGAAGTCAAGCTACACCAAGCAACGCGGTAAGGGAGGCACCTGCCTTGGGTCATGGGGACAGAGGGACAGAGACAGAGAGAGACAGAATTGGCAGAGATGGGGGACATGGAAGGCAAGAGGGAGAGAGAGAGATAGAAGAGAGAACCAGCCACATCCTGGGGAATGAGAACAGATGCACAAAGGACAGAGCAGCAATGCCGAAGGAGGCACCGAGGCAGGCCCTGAAGAGGAGTACTCTGAGACCGATGCCCCAGGAGGCTTGAGGAGGATGGGCTTGGGAAAAACTGCAACACCAAGACCCTCTCTGAGACACAACCCCAGGGGCACACCCACACACTTGCACCTGCCTTATCTGGCAGAGGTGAGGAGTGGGGCAGGGAGGAGCCTAAAGACCTCTCTGACCCTAATGCCAGCCTCTCCCCACCAAACATAGGGCCTTCACCCGTCCCAATCCAAGCCCCACTGACCGATGAGTAACTCAAGGGTGATGCGATCAGAGGATTCATAGGTCCGGGACAGGAGGAGGAGCATATGGAAAGGCTGCCCGCGGCGCACTATCAGCTCGTCGTACTCATACTCGTCTGTGTGGTGCTCTCGGCGGTTCTGGTCCGAGCGCGAGCTCAGCAAGTCCACACCGTTCACTACTAGCATGCCCTCTGCAAGGACACAGCTCCGTGTCAGTGAAGCCCCATGAGGAGCCCAGGCCCTTATCATTAGCTTCCTATCCCCCCCAGAAATGCCAGGCTGAGTCTCTGGTCCCATTAAAGCCTTTTAGCTCTCAGCTGAGGAGGACAGACCGGCCTCACCTCGGATGGTGCCATCTCCAGCTGCATTGACACCGCTGCCCCGGGATACAGGCCGGCGGGAGTCTGAGCCCCGGGAGCCAGGTCTTCGAGTGCCAGAGCTGGACCCTCGACCCCTGGAGTCAGAGGGTTCAGGTCCCCAGTCGTCATCTGCCGCATTTCGGCATGAACAGCAGCCACAGCAGCGAGCCCAGAAGGAACGGCCTCCTCCTCTGCGAGAGCGTCCGTCTGGCTCTGGCTCTGGCTCTGGAGATGGCGTGGTAGGGGGCTGCAAGGGGTTGCCACCCCAACGGCCCACATCGGAACGTGGCCCATCCATCATGCCTGTTAGGAAGAGGCAGGGTGGCTCCTTAACCCAGGTAGTCCCAGCCAGTTGACCCAGAAACCCTCCATCCAGACAGCTGATTCAGTCCCACCCGATGACCGAAACAATCCCACCTTGGCCCAGAGATTCTCCAGACACATCCAGAGACCTTCCGCGAAGACCATTCAGACTCACCCAGAGAAGCTTCTCATGCTGCAGAGAAAAGCCTTCCCCTCACCCCCACCAAACAACATCCGAAAAACTGCCCAATGAAGAAACCCACTCAACGATCCATCCCAGGAAATCCACATAGTTCCCTGCATGGACACTTGTCCCAGCCTCAAGACCCAGCTGCACACACATCAGAGTGCTCCAGCATCCCTGGGCCTGGTCCGTCCACCTGCTAGCTCTGCAGTCTAGAGGTGCACAACACTGACAGCTTCTAGAACTCATTTCTTAGCAGAAATCCCCCAACTCAAGGTTCCTCACAAGACAGACAAGTGACCCCGGGGCCTGTGGTCCTTGGCATTCCCAAGTCAGGGAAGACCCCACTTGGGGCTGCCAGGAGGGGTAGGGCATGGCAGGTGCCCGGAGCCTGTGCACAGGGAAAGCAGAGTCTTGGTGTTGGGAACAGCCTAGCTGGGGCTGACAGGTACACAGCTGGCCCACACCCCACCTTGCTGGATCCAGGCACGGCCTCTGATAGTGTGGGCCGCCTGGACTCGGCACCACAGTACCCGTGGGAGCCCCTCACCTGGCAGCAGTGTTGGCAACCGCAGTACTGAGTCCTGGGGCTGAGATGGAACAGGTCAGGATGGATGGGACAGGACCCACAGACTGGATGCCGCAGGGACAGACCTGGTAAGTGACTTATGTGGGAGGGAGGGGCCAAACTGCTGTAGGGGGCGGAGAGAAGAGGCCAGGCCTCTGGGCGGGAAATGGGGAGAAGATGCTAGGGAGGGAGCAGGGGTGAGGTCTGGGGGCTTAGGCTGGGCTTTGGTGGGAGCCACCGCTGTGATGGCCCCTGGCACCAGGCTGATTCCTACCAGACTGGGCATGTGAGGAGCCCCTTCTCCCGGATGAAGAAGCTGCAAGGGCAGTGGGGCAGGCAGGCCCTTCCACCCACAGCCCTGTCTGGCCGACCTTCTGGTCCCAAGCTTAGGCTGCCTACCTCTGCTCTCACAGGCTCCTGCTGCCGAGTTCTGTGCAGCCCAAGCCAGGCTCAGCCCTATGAAATTGGCCCAGGGGCCTGGTCCTGGAACTCATCCTGCCCAGGGAGGTCCTGGGATCCCAGGTTGCAGACTGGTGACATCAGCAGCCAGGCCCTCAGACTGGCTCCACCAGCTAACCCCTGACCTGCTGGCTCTACCAGATATTCTGACTCCCTCCACCCCCAAGTCTGTCCCTTCTTTCTCAGCTGCTCTACAGCCCCAGGCATGAGTGAGCTGCCCTCAAGTTTGGGATTAGGGAGATCAGAGTAGGAGCAATCTCATTTCACGTCCCCCACCCCCGCTGTAGCCTCGGGGGTTAGGGGATGTTTAGGCCTTTCCACTCAGGCTTGGGTGGGAACTGAGTCCCCCTTCCAGGGGTACAGAGTACCTTTCTCTCACTGAGAGGAGTCTCTGCTCAGTTGGACTAGAGGATTCCCTTTTCTCCAACCTGGAATTCTTCCTGGGAATCCAGACCAACCGGCTCAGGCACCTGTGCTGTGTGCATCCTTACTCCACCCCGTCACTGGGGAAACACTGAGGATGGCACCAAGGCGATCCCAAGGTAGAGAGGAGGAGGCTAGGCATCTTCAGGGAGGCTCTCCTTGGGTCTTGTCCTCAGGCCCGTCAGCCAGGGCCTTCTTCCTTCTTTCCTTCCTTCCCACTAGTGTCCCAGCTCTGCCCATGGGCCGCCTAGCAGAAGACAGTAAAAACAGGCCGACAAGAAGACACAAGGAAACAGAATCCAGGAGGGGCTGTTTGGTGATGCATCAGGCAGGGAGGTGCCGTGGGGAGTGGGGACAGAGAGGCCCCAGGAACTGGCAGGGAGCCCTCCACACCCACACTGCCTTTTCTTGTCCAGCTCCAAGCACCAGAACCTGCCCGGGGGTGGGGGCAGGTGCCCCACCTCCAACACCCTCAGTAGACACACCAGTGGATATAAACTTCCAGGCAGGTCAGCCAGAGGGCTTTGTGCAGGGGCTGCGGATTTGTGCATCACTGCAGATACGGGAAGGGGCAGGGCCCTGGCTGTCCGGACGTGTGTGAGCACATGTGGGCCCAGGCAGATCCCAGAGAACCAGTAGGATGCCTTTGTCACACTCTCTCCCTAGCTTTAATCAATCTTTCTCTCCCCACCCAGCCAGGTTTGAGTCAGTGCCCTAACCCCTGAGCCAGTCCCCTCCCCCCACCACCACTCAGGACTCTCTAGGTCAGGACAAGGTGTGTACATGGTATGTGTGGGGGGACACCATGGGAGCAGACACTCAGCTCAGGACCTCAAGGAGCTGAGGCCAGGCCGCTGCCCAACCATTCCTTAGCAATACAGAAGCAAGAACATGAGTCTAGAATCCTAGACCAAGGGTAGAGACAACTTTGGTTTCAGTGCTGAAGCGCTCCGGCCAAGAACCTTGGGCAAGTCTCAACAGCAGTTTCCTCATCAGTACACTGGGCCTAAAAATCTCATCCCTGAGACTCTGTGAGGATCAAATGGTATCAAGTATTCTCAAAGGTACTTCAACCGTAGAATGCTACTCATGGGGACCGATAGTGTTGTTCAGGCAGGACGGAGCAAGGACACCCTGGCCCATTCCTGGGAACGTGGAGCCCTTGAGCCTCCCCAGCTATGGTGAATGGGGGCCAGGGCAGGGGGAACATGTGGAAGGTGCAGGGGTCATGGGAAAAAATTGTATGATGCTTCCAGCTGGAGAAACTCACAGCTGCTCTGTAGCTTACCAGAGCCAGAACCTGAGCCCAAGCCCTATTCCTGCTTGGAATCTAGACCCAGTCCCAGCCCCCACCCCAAACCAGAAGGTAAACAAAAGCTCAGCCTTCACCCTGAATTCTGCCCCAAACACTGAAGCCTTGGCTCTCTCTGAGAGGAAACAATAGGATGGCGCAGAAAGAAGGAGCTGGCAACACCCCATGTCTCTTCCCTTTCTTTTCAAAAAATAAAAGTGATGAAGGTGGTGGTGTAGTGATAGCAGCGACAACAGCTTGGTAGCCTGAGAGGGCCTCTCCATTCTTTATTCAGTCCCAATAAGTTAAAGGGCAAGGGTAGGGGGCAGGGCCTCTTAGGTGAGGACGCTGCTAACTGAAGGCAGCAGTTCAGCCAGTTGCTCCAAGATGCCCACCGCTTGGCACAGCGGGTTACCCTGCAGGTTGAGGAGGACCAGCCTGGGGCAGGAGGCAAGAGGCTGGAGCACTGCAGGCTGCTGGAGGCCTTGTTCAGGAGAGTCAAGGAAAGCTTGGCAGGTTCCTCCCAATTTATTTGCTCCTGTGTACCCTCAAGAGCTGGGGACTGCTGCCTGGAAGTCTGTTTGATGGGCATCTCATATGCTCCCTGGAGGGAGTCAGGCTCTAGGCAGGGACTGCAAATGCCTACCCACAGGGTCAGCCAGGAAAGAATGAGCCGCAACACCCCACGCAAGCTGGTGTAGTATCAGGGGAGTGGTGCAGGGTATGATAAGGTGGAAATCTAGCCTGGTCCAAAGAGACATTTACTATTCAGCAATGACCAAGGGCTGCTGAGTGAAAATACCAGTGTAAGGTTGCTCTAACTTCCAATTTTTAAGAGAGGAATTAGAACTCTAGATGTTTTTTAAAGTATGAAAGTTCCTGATTTTCAAAAAACTACATAGACCTGAAGAACAGCTGCGGGCTGCCCATTTGTGAACTCTGACTTGAGGAAGTCCACTCCGCACAACTCCACCAGTGCAGGTCAGTGATAGCCCGACAGCCCCAGGCTCTCCCCCTTCAACTCACACTACAGAGCCCCCTCTCTCCTGCCCTGCAAGAGGGTGGCACATACCCTGCCTGCTGTCTGTCCCTTCCCAGGGTGGCACCTCACTTTACCCACTGTCTGAAAGGCACCCAGAAGGAAGGATACGGTTGTTGCACAGTAGCAGCTCCTGCAGCCGGGGTAGGTTGGTGACGCCGTCCAGGGACTCTATGGCATTATCACTGGCCTGCAGCACCTGGGGGCAGGGAGGGCAGGGAGGCAGGACAGGCGCTGTCAGCCAGGGATGGTTCAGCAACTGAGGAGCTCAGGGTGACGGGTCCACAGAGCACAGAGGGGCTCACAGGGTCAGGCTGCGTGATGGAGGTGGAAGGCACGCAGTTACCTGTTCGGGGTGGAGGGTCCTGCACATCTCCTTGTAGGATGGGCAGACTTCTGAGGGAGAGGAAGAGGAAAAGAACCACCCGTGACAGGGACGGAGACATGGGTACTTTACCTCAAGGCAGCGCAGGGCAGCCAGTGCAGGTGGCAGGGTTCGGAGGCGATTGTGTGACAAGTCAAGATGGGTGACCAAGAGCAGCTGTTCCAGATGGCAGAGCACTGTCAGATCCTGGGGGGTGAAGGGAGGAAGGAGGTGATGGGCTTCCCAGGAGACCTGGGAGAGGGTCCTCGGCCAGCATTTATTAGGCACATGCCCTCTGTGCCCCACAGGCCCTTGGGGACCCCAGCCAAGAAGAGGATGGGAGCATGTGGGAAGCTGACCTTACAGCCCACAGCAGTACATGACGTGGGACAGACAGTGCTGCGAGTGGGGTAACCAGTGGGGTGGGTGAGGAGGAGGAGGCCTGGAGTTCGGAGGTACAGGGGCCAGTGGAGGGTGCTGGGTAAACAAAGACTGGTCCCCCATGGGGACTGGTCCTGATGAGGCAGAGATGAGTTTGGCAGGAATGGAGGTGGGCTGTGGTGATGTGATAAAACTAATGTGTTGGGAAGGACTAGGAAAGTGGAGCCTGGACAACTTCTCAGGAATCTCTGGAAAGTATTTGGCCTTCAGGTATTGGAGGTTGCTCCAGGGTGAGATGTGCTGGAATGTGTGGGAGGAGTGGGCTAGCGGTCACTCTGAAGGAAGATGAAGCTGTGACCAGCCTGGGGAAGAAACAGCACAAGGAGGTCCTGGTGACTCGGGATTTGAAAGTGAGTGGCAAGAAGAAGAATGGGCTGAGTGACAGAAAGGCCTGGAAGAGGAGCAAGCTGGGAGGCAGGGATGAACTCTATCTTGATTGGAAGTCCACAAAGGCACCTGAGACTGGGGGCAAAGTCAGGGACGTGGGGAGGCCAGCGGGATGAGGGCCAGGGGAAGGCATGCATGGCAGCCCATACCTTGTGAGCCAGGTGCAGCACACGCACCTCGGCATACTCCATCTTGAGCACGCTATTCTCCAGCAAGAACTTGCTGCGCAGGTCATCCAGATACGTTGCCCGCATGGGGTCCACGGCCTGGAGTGGATGAGGTGGGCAGGGTATGCATGTCAGCTGCCTGCCTCCTGCCTGCTGGGCCTCCCCCTGGTCTGTTCTGCAGACAGAACTTGCCTTGAGGGTCTGGAAGTACTGCAGGGTCTCCTTCTCATACAGCAGGGGGTCCAGTGCCCGCATCAGCAGGATGATGGTAAGCAGGCACCCTGAGGAGAGGGCAGGGAAAAGGAGGGTTTCTCTTGGAACCTCCTCTGCTCCCATCCTCCTGAGGCCTTCCTGCTGTCCTCTCAGGGCCACACTGGAAAGGGGTTTCCTCAGCGGGCTCTGGGAGCAGACTCTCACGGAATGGGGCCTCACATTTATTCTCAGGCTCCAGCTCCTGCAGCTCCTTACAGGATTCCAGCTCAGACTGCAGCACTGTGGACTTCTCCACTGACAGCTCACACCTGAGGGTGGGCAGGGTGGGGAGGAGTTGAGGCCCACAGCCCTGAAGCACTGGTCAACATTCCCAGTATCTAGACTGAAACAGCTCCTTGAGGCCCCAGCCTCCTGCCCTGGCTGCCTGATGCCCAGAGTCCAGAGCCCCTCTCCTTGTTTTGTGCTTCCCTATCACCACCTGAATAGCTGCTCGTCTGTCGTGGAGTCCCGGCACCAGCCCTCCTGGCGGCCTGGGGAAAGAGTAGGTGGTTGGAGGGTGCACCCTTGAGAGGAAAAGAGTGATGGGGGCTGCTGCAAGGGGTGGAGGCTGCAGGTTCCATCACCTTTTAAAAGCACGCATTCTTTCTGGACATCGCCTGCTGTCCAAATGACGCGAAATGTATGTTGGGGCAACTGGTCGTTGAGGGAGGCAGCAGGCAGGTCACAGAGCTGGGAGTACTGGGTCAAGGAAATGCCCCAGCCTAACCACTTTTTTGACTGTCCCACCCAGCCCTGCCCCAGACCCCAACTTCTGCCCCACCAATCCTGGGATACCCAGACATGGCTGGGCCGGTTCCTGCCATCTGGGGTCCTCCACTCCACAATCAGGGGAGAATCATCAACCATGAGCAGCAAGATCTCCATCCTGGAGCCCACCTGGCACAAAGGACAAAGACTTCAGCCCCATCAGCACCAGGCCCACAGTCCCACAGTGCTCTTGACAAAAGCTGCAGGACTCACTAAGAGGGGCCGAGAGAAGGAGACAGTCAGACAGGCCTCGTCCCGGCTCACATGCAGGCAGCGCAGTGCATCCTGGGGGTCAGCTGCGGGGAGACAGTGTCAGATTTCTTTAAACCCTCTCCCATTCCTATTAAGCGCTAAACACCCAGCCCCTTTCCTCATTGCTCACCTCGGCCTAGGAGCCAACGGTGATAAAACCAGGCACTCTGGTCATTGGGGTCAGTGAAGAAGGCATTCTGCACCAGCTCCAGCTCTGTGGGGTTCCAGGAGGCATGGGGCTGTGGTCAGGACACTGGTGAGCTCCTGGCCACTCCAACACCCTACCCTCTCCTTGGAGTACTTCCAGCCCCCAGTCTCACTTATATGCTGTCCTTGCACAGGGGCTACGTATGTCAGTTTTATCTTCCCCATCAGACACTTAAGCTTCCTTCAGCCAGGGACTGATTCTTAAGCACCCCTGGAGCCACGCATGAAGTAGGTGCTCAATAAACCTGAGTGACAGGTTCAGGAACAGGGTCAGGCATGGGGGCTGGAAGGGTGGCACTGCAGAGTCCTCCTGAGCATCCCTGACCCTGGTTACCTTTGAGCAGCACATCCTCAGGGAGGCGCCCCTGTGGTCCAGAATCCGGCTGGGGGTGCAGCTGGGGCAAGAGACAGGAGCGGTAATGCCAGGAAGAGTAGTTGGAGAAGTTTCGGGTGATGAGGCTGTCAGTGAAGGCTAGCTCTTCTGCAGGGGGCACGGCTGCCTGTGTGGCCACAAACCGCCGATAGTCCCAGCAGTGAACTGGAGGGGAGAGGTGACAGCATATCTTAGAGGCAGGGCAAGAGGAGCTACCTGGCTGGGACCCCTAGAGTCCCCTCAGGAACCCCTAGAAACACCTCAGTGCACTCCACGGAGGATGCATTTGGCTCCAACATCCCTTTCAGCACCAGCTCAGTGGACCCATCCTGGATATCCCTCCCCATTCTGGGCCTTACTGAGGCCCCAGTACCAGAATGTGGGCAGGTGAGGGCTGTGGGGACAGAATCTGCAGCCACGTACAGTTCCGCTCATCCACCTCCAGGAAACGGGCACAGAGCTCCAGCTCTCGGGTCCAGTTGGGCTCAGGCAGGCGGCCTAGCAGCCAGCATCGGTGGTGCCAGGTACCATAAGACTTGGGGTTCACCCGCAGGCAGCTCTCCAGGAAGCCCAGTTCTGCCTTCACCAGAGCAGCCAACTCTTCAGGAGACCTGTACCCAGAAGGGAAGGGGGGGGTCAGGGCTCTCCTACAGTCAACCTCAGCTCACCCCTCACTTTCTGCACCCAGCCCCCTACTATCCTCCATCTATGCCACTGGCTGCCCCATTTCTCCTCCACCCCTAGACCCAGGCAGTGCAGGCGCAGGGCCAGGGCAGTCTTCTGAGATCCTGAATCCCTACGCACTTCTGAGTCTCCAGCTGCTGGAGCACCTCTCGTCGGCAGTTCCAGAGGGTGGCAAAATCAGGGTTGGCTCCCAGAATCTGGCTTGTCAGTTCCAGCACGGACTCATCCAGCTCACCAGCCTGGCGCTAAGAAGATAGGTGGCAGGGTTAGAGATCATATAATTTTCCCACTACAGGACTAAATAACGTAAACTTAAAACCATCCAATATTCTGTGAATCCCACATTATACAACAGGTACTATGAACCATGCTTTATGGCCTTACAGGTATTCTCTCATTTAATCTTCACAACAGCCTTATGCAGTAGGTGCAATTATTAGCCCCATTTTACAGATGAGCAAACTGAGGCCCAAAGAGATTCAGCAACTTGCCCAAAGTCATACAGTTATAAGTGAGATAACCCAGAATTGGATCTAGGCAGTCTGACTCTAGGGACCAGCTCTTGGCCTCTGCACTATACTAAGGGAGCTACTTGGGGTCGGGGCTACCTCTGAGGGCCCCACCTTCTGGAATACGGCCTGGGTGGCTGACTGGTATAGCTTCAGCTTCTGCTCTCGCTCTAGCCTTTTGGCCTCCGCCTGCTCTTCTGACGTCTTCACCTTCAGGCGTCCGTGCTACAAGGATGAACGGGTTGGAAGAGTGCAGGTTGCCTTGCAGAAGCTGACCTGCAAAAACCCCACACTGTGGAGCCCTAGGTTCATACGGGGCAACCATGGCACTGCCACTGGGGGTGAGGGCGCGGGCCTGCGGAGGTGAAGGGCTGGGCTCAGGGTTCTCACCATGGTGCCGGCTCAGGGTTCAAGACAGGGGAAGGGTCCAGTGGTAGCCCTTGAAGTCTGAGGAGAGAAGTGTCAATCACGTAGCCCCGCCCCTACTAGCTCCGCCCACAGCTGTGTCCGGAAGCAGCAAGCGTGCCTGGGCAGAGACCCCCAGAGTGTAAAGAGGTCCTGGGACAGGCTTTGCACGTTCCACAAGAGGTGAGCACCCGGACTAGGACTTCCATCCGTGTGGCCCTTCCTATAGCCCGATTCGCCCGGGCCAGAGCGCGAGCCGGGGCACCTGGGCGTTGGGGACCACTCTGCTCCCCAAAGGTTGCCGCTACCCGCCCGTCCCACGGCTCCCGGGCACCCCCGCCCCCCGCGGGCGGACCCACCTGCGCTGGGAGGAGGCGCGGGGGACGCGGAGCTGCGGCGCCCGCCACAGAGCCCAGGCGCTGGCTAGAGCGGCGCCACGTCCCGGCTCATCGAAACGCAGCGCACTCTGCAGGCTTGGGGAGGGACTTGCGGCGGAAGAGGCCGGCTCGGAGGCGCGTGCGCGGGGGCTCTGCGCTCGCTGTCCGGAAACGCCTCGTACCTGTTAGCCACCTGGTGTGTACGAGTGCGCACGGGCGACTGTAGCGTGCGTGTGAAATGGGGGGAGGACCATGCCAGTTGGTAACTCAGAGTGCAATGTAGTTAGTGGAAGAGGTTTCTCCAACAGCCGGAAACCCGCACCTTCACTACTCCACTGACCTCACCCTGGCCACACCGACAGCCTTCTAGATGTCAAATCTAACAGGGGGAGTTTCCTGTCATTTTCTCTAACCTCTGAAGCATTTGACGCTACCCATTTCTTTATACTTGACACCCCCATTCTGGCTTCTCCTCCTGCACCTCTGCCTCTCTCTTCTCATCTGTTCACCTCCACCCCTAAATGTTGGTGATCTCCAGGGCCCTTTCCTCACCCCTTTTTCACTTCACCCACTGTTCCTGGGAGAATGTTTAAATGTAAGCCTTCAACTGCTTCGAGTTGGAGCTCCTCAGAGCTGTTTTGGCCCACAAATCTGGCATTACACTTTCTCTGGGTGAGTTCATCCACACTCATTGTTTTAATTACTACCTGTAAATTGATGACACCCAAATTTATATCTCCAGCCCAGATGTCTTGCAAGCTTAAATAACAATAAATAATATACATGCACATACATATTCAAACACCTGTTGGATATCACCTGGTGTCCCAGAGACACCTCAAACTCCAAAAGCCAAAAGGTATAAATTATCTTTCATCCATCCTGTCTAAACATTGGCCTTTATGTTTTCTATTGTAGTGAATGGCACTATTTCCTCCTCACTTCTTAAACTCGCTTAAATACTCTTTCTCTTCCCACTGCCACTAGGAGTTCAAACTCCGAATTTCTTCTCCAGATTGTTGAAAGTCTTTTCAGTGTTCTCCACCTCATCCCTTGTTATCAGTCCATCCTCTGTGCTACTGAATCCATTTTTCTAAAATGCAGATTTGACGTCATATCTGTGCCTAAAAGTGCTGAGTGGCTCCTTTTCAGGATAGAATTGTAATCTCTCAGCTCAGCACATCAGACCTATTGGCATTTGGGCTCTGCCTACTCTCTGGCTGTATATCCTGCCTGACCCTGCCAAAAACTCTTCATGACAGCCTACAGAAATACTTGCAGTTTCCTAAATATGTTAGCCTGTTCCCTCTTGACTCTCCTTTCTCCACACTCCTCCTTTGCCACAGTAATTCCTGTTTATCTTTAAGATTTAACTTTTTGAACTCCACAGTACAAAGAAAAAAAAATGTAACTCAAGTGGCACCTCGAGGAAGTTCTCTAAAATGCCCCAGTCTGATTTGATAGACCTTCATATGTACTTTTAAAGACTGTGATTTTTTTCCCTGTGCCTACTGCAAAGAAGGTTTTCTGGTGGAGCCTTTATGAGGTTCAGGGTGGCTAGTGAGTGTGTGTGTACCACACGTACACGTGTGTGATGTCTTTGCGAATAGTGTGTCCATGTGGCATGTGTGTGTTTATAACTCACACCTGGGTAAGAAGGTAGTGCTTTAAATTTTTTTTTTTTTTTTTTTTGAGACAGGGTCTCACTCTGTTGCCCAGGCAGGAGTGCAGTGGCACGATCTCTGCTTACTGCAACCTCTGCCTCCTGGGTTCAAGCGATTCTCCTGCCTCAGCCTCTGGAGTAGCTGGGACTACAGGCATGCACCACCACACCCGACTGATTTTTGTAGTTTTAGAAGAGACGGGGTTTCACCATGTTGGCCAGGCTGGTCTCAAACTCCTGACTTCAGGTGATCTGCCCACCTTGGCCTCCCAGAGTGCTGGGATTACAGGTGTGAGCCACCATGCCCCGCCAGTGCTTTAAATCTTTATATATCCTTCACACCTCTCTCAGCCCCTGGAAATGTATGTAAAGTGTCCATTATATACTTGTCCTTTCCTAGATCCTATAACAAATTCTCGAAAAGAGACATTTTTCCTATCCCTGTGTATTTGTAGTCCCAGTGAGGAAAGAGTTAAGCCATTTATTGGTTCTCTTTGTGCCAGCCACTGTGATGGGAGTTTTGCATACATAGGAGGGATGTGCACACACACAGAATTACAGGTAGGAGGCAGTAAGCAGAGTGATTAAGAACATGGATCCTGGAGCCAGACTGCCTGGCTACAAATCCTAGCTTTGCCACTTGCTTGTCCCAGTGTGACCTGGGGCAAGTTACTTAACTTCTGTATTGCGTTTCCTCTATGTCTGAATTTCTTCAACAGTAACATAGGAAAAATATTATCTAGCTGCTGCAGTTGAAGTTAATCTGTTGAAGTTAAGCTGAAATAAAAGAATCTATGTAAAGTGCTTAGAATAGTGTCTGTACTAAGTAAGGGCTCAGTATAGTAATAGGAAGCTGAGGCTCAGAAAGATTAAGTAACTTGTTGAGGGCCACCCATGTAATAAGTGGCCAAATGGGACCTGTGTCTAGTCTGGTCCAGCCCTCCCACCTCACCACCAGCCTTCTTTTGTTGGTGGTCACCTCCTTCTCTAGCTTCCTGCTCTGTGCACACTCATAGGCGCAACCAGATACTTGGGAACACAGATGCCCTCAAGTGCAGATTTGCCAGGTACAGCCTTGCATCATAGTCACTAATCACATTGTGATTAGCAATCTTGAAACTGGGAAGGTTGAGTCAAGCAGGCTTAAGAGAGGAAGTGAGTCTCATGAAAAAATCTGCATCAGAGAAGGCAGGGCTTGAGTTTTGGAAAGAGCGGGCAGGAAGGGTATTTCAGGTATGTAATATGACGTGAAGGTGGGGGAGAGAAAGCCAAACTAACTTAGCTGGCTGGCACAGAGAGGCTGAGCCAGGTGCCTTTGGAGATAAGAGCAGTGGAACTGATGATAATAAGCCTCTTGCTTGAAGGCAAAAGGAGTTGTCAGGAGTTATATTTGGCCTCCTATGTGGGATAAGTGGGAACCATGCAGGTGTCTGAGAGCCACAATCTTTTTTTTTTTTTTTTGAGACGGAGTCTCGTTCTGTCACCCACGCTGGAGTAGTGGTGCGGTGTCTGCTCACTGCCAGCTCTGCCTCCCAGGTTCATGCCATTCTCCTGCCTCAGCCTCCTGAGTAGCTGGGACTACAGGCGCCTGCCACCCTGCCCAGCTAATTTTTTGTATTTTTAGTAGAGACGGGGTTTCACCTTGTTAGCCAGGATGGTCTCGATCTCCTGACCTCGTGATCTGCCTGCCTCGGCCTCCCAAAGTGCTAGGATTACAGGCGTGAGCCACCATGTCCGGCTTTTTTTTTTTTTTTTTTTTTGAGACAAATTTTGCTTTTGTTGCCCAGGCTGGAATGATGCAATGGCACCATCTTGGCTCACTGCAACTTGTGCCTCCCGGGTTCAAGCGATTCTCCTGCCTCAGTCTCCCGAGTAGCTGGGATTACAGGCATGCACCACCATGCCCAGCTAATTTTGTATTTTTTGTAGAGACAGGGTTTCTCCTTGTTGGTCAGGCTGGTCTTGAACTCCCGACCTCAGGTGAGCTGCCTGCCTCGGCCTCCCAAAGTGCTGGGATTATAGGCGTGAGCCACCGTGCCCTGAAAGCCACAATCTAAATGATGTTTGAAGAAGAGATTTTTACTGCCCTCTATGTATAGAAAGAAACAAACAGTAATTGAGTATCAACAGAGCCCCAGACATCTTATTTACTGCACTCACTACCTATATGAAATAGGTATTATCCATATTTTACAATGAAGCAACAGGGAATACAGTGGGTTTGCAGAGGTTAGTTTCTTGTCCAAAGTCACACATCTTCGAGATTCAGAATTGAGTCGGCTGTATAGGTGAGAGTGACCATTGCCAGAGGCCTGAACCTGAGTTTCTTGAGACCTGGAACCCTGGCGTCTTTCCACCCCTGCCAATTCTTTCTCTACTCCTGCTCCCAACATACATACACAGAAGCACACACACATAGTCACTTACAATGGCTCCAGGACCCTGAGCCCGTCACAGACCAGAGAGTCTGGAGGGAGGAAAGGGGGCCACGAGCCCTGGGTCAGGGCCCTGGGCCAGGGCCCTG
Organism: Homo sapiens; assembly: GCF_000001405.40. Classification (NCBI taxonomy): domain Eukaryota; kingdom Metazoa; phylum Chordata; class Mammalia; order Primates; family Hominidae; genus Homo; species Homo sapiens. The sequence continues at coordinate 576,670 of NW_018654722.1, forward strand.
GGTCAAAGCTTGGCTAGAAGCCATGGTCTGACGGCAGGGGGAGCAAGTGCGAGACAGGTAATGGAGCTGTCTCCGGGCCATGTGCAGTGTGTGGTAGTGTGTGCATTTATTCAGTCTCTTGATGTTCAGCATCAGTGCTGGGCCTCACAGCATGTTGGGTGCCAGGGATCCAGTAGTGGACCAGAAAGACAAGTCTCTGTCTTCCAGAGCTTACAGTGGCGTGTAGCACTGTCCGATAGAACTTTCTGTGACAATGGAAGTGTTTGGTATCTGTGTCATCTAACACGGTTGACAGTAGCCCCATGTGACTGCTAAGCGCTTGAAATGTGCCTAGTGCAATTGAGGAACTGAATTTTTCATTTTTTTTCATTTTAATTAACTTAAAAATTTTTTTTTGGCCACGGGCCAGCTGTAATGCTGTAGTGCTGTAGTCCCAGCACTTTGGGAGGCCGAGGCAGGCGGATCACTTGAGGTCAGGAGTTGGAGACCAGCCTGTCCAACACAGTGAAATGCCATCTCTACTAAAAATACAAAAATTAGCTGGGCGTGGTGGTACGTGCCTGTAGTCCCAGCTACATGGGAGGCTGAGGCAGGAGAATCGTTTGAGCCTAGGAGGTGGAGGTTGCAGTGAGCTGAGGTCATGCCACTGCACTCTAGCCTGGGAAACAGAGCAAGACTCGGTCTCAAAAAAAAAAAAAAAATAGGTGGGACTACAGGCACACACCCAGCTAATTTTTAAAAATTAGCCCATGCCTGGCAAATTTAAAAAAAAATTATTTTTAGAGACAGGATCTTTCTATATTGCCCAGGCTGGTCTCCAACTCCTGGCCTCCAAGCAATCATCCTGCCTCAGCCTCCCAAAGTGCTGGGACTGCAGGCATGAGCCACCGCACCTGGCCTAATTTAAATGTAAATAACTGCATGGGGCTAGTGGCTAGTATTGGACAGAGCAGGTCTCTTGGGTGAGACACGTAAGATGGAGTAGGACAGGGGCCCATGAGGGCCCACAGAAGGGACACCTCACCCAGACTCAGGTTAAGAAGAACTTGTTTTAGATCTGGTGATTGTAACGGTTTACATTTTTTTCTGTTTAACTTTTGATGCTTACTCTATTCTTCTATAAAACTTGTCACTGAGGCATAATGTATTATACTGAAAGTGCACAAATCACAGATGTGCAGCTCTGATCCTCCTATTTTAAAACTCTCCCAGACACAGGTATGGGTAAAAGGTTTAGTGGGGGACGGGAGACACAGAACGGAGGTAAATGTGGGGAAGGAGGTTAGAAAACCCCCTCTTCAGGGATGATCTGGCAGAACCTAGAATCCACATGAATGTCCCTGTGGCTGTGGGGGGGCAGTGGGCATGGAGAGTGAGGATGGAGAAGGACTATTTCTGAGGACCAGTAGGCAGGATTTGGTAGCAGGTGAGACTAAGATGCAGGGACGAAGGGAACTGGGAGGAAGGCTTGCAGTTGTAAAGCTGAGGACTTGAGAATTTGTGGTGTCCACAGAGGTCCTAGAACATGGGCGTGGGGAGGGATGGTTGCATGAGAAGAGGAAGGGCTACTTCTCACATGTTTGGTTTTGATGTGGAGATGTCCTGAGGCAACAAGAAATCCTTGCCTGGAGAGAGGCTGAGAGGTCAAGGCAGAAGAAGTCAGCGTGGGCGTCAGGTGTGCGCAGGTAGTCATTACACCCAGCAGAGAATGGGTGCTCTGGGGAGAGGGGAGGTGAGGGAACCCACAAACAAGCTTTGATAGAGCGTGGTGAGGGCAGGGCTGAGGGTGTGGGGTGGAGAAGCCTCAGTGGAGGGCAAAAGAAGAAATGGACAACGAAGAGAGGAGAACTTCTGTGCTCCCGAAGCCATAATTAATGAGAAATTATAATGACTGAATACTTTATAGCCATGATGGCAAGAAACTGAAGCTCTGCCCGAGGCCGCACAGCCAGAAGCAATAAAGCCTGGCCTTGTGCTCAGGCTGATTCCAGAAGACGCTTTCTTGCTGGCTTTCCCTCCAGCCTTGCCCACCATGCTTTGCTGGAGCCGGCCAGGGCCAGGACTGTGGGAGGAGGGTGGAAGGAGGCATCCAGAGACCTCTGGGAATCTTGGGTGGGGGTGCTGGATGCTGGCCTTGTGGGGAAGCGGGGCCAGCAAGGGGAGGCAACTCAGGCCAGATGGTCTGGATCTAATCTTGGGACCCAGATGAAATCAAATATTGGGAAATCTGAGTCCCAGCACAAGTTGGGGTCAAGAAAATGAAAGGGGAAGAGCAGCGCTGGGTGCCTGCCACGTGTCAGTGATAGCAGAGTTGAAGCTTCCCCATGGCACAAGCAGAAGTGCCCAATTCTTATCTCTTGCAACAGGGACTTCCTCTGCCCCCAGCTTCCTGATTCTTTATAACTCTGACCATCGCAGAGCACAGCGTTATAGCGAGACAGGGCATGATGGATCCCCAGCAGCCCAGAGATACTCAGTGAAGTCACATACCCGGAGGTGGGGCCAGTGAAGTCACATACCTGGAGGTGGGGCCAGGTTTGGAAACCAGGTTTTCAAATGACTATCTTAGTGCTTTTGCACCCATCAGCTCTATCTTAGGATATGTTGAGCAACAAAATGGTGAACTGTGGGGGTGCTGGTGGGATAGTAGATATGGTTGTAACGGATAGGACATCCATCACCAAATAATATGAATTAATGTGTCTTTGTCAACCTGGAGGGAGGTCCCTAGTGATGGCACTTTTTCAGTGACGTGGGATGAGCACAGATGCCACTCTCATAATCGAAGGTCACTTGCACATAATTGGGAGGAATACTGGATGATGGCGTCTGGTGAGATTGTTGGGCCAGATTTGTCATGTGGTATTGAATAGGGACAGAATTACACTCTGGTTCTTTGGTCTTCAGATAATCAGCTGCACAAGAGTGAGATACGTGAGGGGTGGAATAACGATAGTGTATGAAGACAGGAGGACTCTGGCTGATAAGAGATTGGAAAGAATTGACTGTGATCTGCTTGCCAAAAGCACTAACATGACTTTGGGATGCACTAAGAGAGCTTTAGTACCCAGAACAATGGGGCTCATAGGCCCCAGACTCTGTGAGAGTCAAACCCTGTGAGGAGTGTGTGGCCCATTTTGAGAGGGACAGAGACAAACTGTAGAGTCCAGAGGTAGAAATCAGGATGGTGAGAAGAGCCCATGACCACAGGGAAGACATGAAGATACTGAACTGGGAGAGAAGATTCAAGGGGCAGATGATAATGGTCTTTCAACTCCTGGAATAGAAACCGAATTGATTCTGCATATCTTGAGAGCAAAGACCAAAGACCAGAGAGTGGATGTAGATCCTTTATGAGGAAGGACTTTCTAATAATTAAAGCTAATTATTCTACCAAAGGTAGAATGGGCCTCAATGAGAGGTGGGAGGCATTCAAGCATATGTTGGTCAACCACTTTGTGAGAACGTAGTAGTGGACATTCAGAGACCAGAGTCTCTCCACTCTGAAGTTCTGAAAGATGCTGATCCCTGGGATGGAGCAGGGGACTAGAGTAACTCAGAGCCCAAGAAGATCCTCTCCACTGCCCATTCCCCACAACTGACCATTCCTTGGACACTTGGTTTGAATGCTTGCATTCTTTCTCTTCTCCCTGCTCCCCAGTTCCTTCTGAGTCAGGCTGGGGAAATTGCTTGATGGCCCATGGGGGTTGCCACGTGCCTGTAGCACACTTCCTGGCTGGGGAAGAAGACGAAACAGGTTAGCCAGTGAGAAGGGAGGGCAGGTCCCCAAGGTTGCCCTAAAAGACAGAAGGGCCCCAGAGGGAAAGTCCCCACAAGAGCATTCTAACTCTCCCAGGGTGTGGTGGGTACTGACTCAGGTTGGCGTCTCTTGGGGAAGAGTTGAGGGAAAAGCAACCAAGAAATGGTGTTGAAAAGCTGGAAAAACTTCTTGAGCCAGCCAGAACTGAAGCCTCTGTGACAGGAGCCAGGCACTGCATGGTGACTGGTGATGATAATGACATGTTGGCTAAAAATTGCCCAGAGCACTGGTGGAGGTGGGAATGTAGCCAAGAAGCTCACTGCCTGGCAAGGCTGCTGCCCAGCTGCAGGGGGCACCATCACATTCGGTTTTGGGCATATATGATGTGAGTGGTACCAGGAGGCAGAAGCCCTGACGTTCTATGTCAAGTGAGAAGCAGAAGCTGTGGAACAAAGTGAGACTGTGGGTCCTGGGGAAGGATGGGATGCTGTCGCTGGTAGATGAACACAGGGGGCTAAGGACATACTCCTCTAGGGGAGGAAAGAGGAACCGCTCCTTTTGGGGGAGCACTCAGGCCTCGCCCTTTCCCTGTCCCATTCATCCATCCAACAAATACTGACTGAGGGCCCTCTGTGCCTGATCCACGCTAGGGTGGGGGCTGCGACAGTGAGCAGAGCACAGACAAAGTCCCTGCCTCACTGAGCATACAGGCTAGCCCTGGGCTGTTTAATCGAACTTTCTGGATGATGGAAATAATCACATAAGCAAATGTAGAAGGACAACTCTGTCAACTGCTCTGCCTTTATGGAGAGGCATATGGTGCTGGGTGAGCACCTGATGGGGAGCTGCCCTGTCTGAGAATGGGGGTGGGCTTCCTAAAGGAAGTGAGTGGGAGCTGGGGCTGTAGGTGAGCAGAAGCCCTGGCTTGGGGCTCGGTCAAGTGCCTCTTCTGTTCCTCTCAGCACCAGGTCCTGTGGTGCCTGCATTATAGCTCATCCTGTGGGTGCAGCGCCCCACTTCTGCTCCTGCTGTGAACTACCTACCCAAGGGGACTCATTTGACTGCATTTCCTCTCACCTAGCAAGGTGCCTGCACCATGGTGGTTGCTCAACTAACGTTAACATAATTTAGCCAGTCAATTATCAACCAACAATTATTGAGCGCCAGTACAGCTCAATATACAGTGGTGACCAAGACAGACAAGGTCCCTGCTGTCATAGGGCTTACATTATAGTTGGGGAGACAGTCCCTGTAGGAGCAAATACACACCTAAGACAATTTCAGGGAATCTAAGTGCCCCTGAGGGAAATGAAACAGGGTATTGAGACTAGTTGGGAAAGAATGAATGAATGAATAAATGGTGAGCCATGGAGGCACCCACCCACTGGGCTGGGGTGGGAGATGAGGAGGAGGAGTTGGGGATCTTAGAGCCCAGGGCAGGGAGCTTGGTCAGGGGTGGCTGCACTCCAGGCTGTAGGGCCAGGCCTCGCAGCACCGGGAGGGAGTGGACAGGGAGTGGTTCCGAAGCTCAGAATTCAGTGTAAAGGAGAATGCCTGGAACTGCTGACAGGAGCAATGCTGTGTTCCTGAGTCCCCTGTGGGCCCAATCATGACTCAGGCTTGAGCTCTGTGCCTGGCAAAGAACACTGAGGGGAAGAGGGGCAGGGAGGACCTGGAGTAGCCCTACAGAGGCATCCAAGGCTCCCACTGCTGGCAGCCCTGTTGGGAAATTCTCTCTTAGGCCCCTGAGCGGGGGTTTTGAGGCTGAGGTGTGGTGTGTGGGGCCGAGGCCAAGGACCGATGGATAGCAGGGATCAATGAGTCCTTAGAGGGTCAGTCCTGGGATACAGACACTGCCATGGCTGGCCCAGCATACCTCCCCTCAGGGAGGAAGGGTGGAGCTCTCACCAATTGGTCTCACTGGGCCTGTGAGTTCAGCCACACTCTGGGTTTGCCCCAGGTACTGTGCAGTTCTGTGCTGAAGGTTTCAAAGTTTCTGTGCATGGGGAAGGAGACAGCAGGAGAATGGGGGATGAAGGGTTCAAGACCTAATCCCTAACTTTGGGAAGGAGTCATCCTTATCCAGGAAATGGATGAAGACATCTATGGCTCTAACACTAGTCAAGAGCCAAGTGAATTTCATAGTAAGAGGTTCCCTGGAAGCGGGCAAAGCAAGGGTAGAAGACGCCAGGAGAAACTTCTAGGAGGTTGAGATGGGCCTGGCTGGATGAATTCTGGCAGGCAAAATGGGGTTGGGGGCTGGGTGAAAGAATGAGCAGTAATCCAGAGATCAGAACAGCTGGAGCAAAGGCGCAGAGGAAAGGGAGTGTGGTCAAGTTTAGGGAAGAGTAAGGCTCAATGTGGCCAAGAGGAACTTAGGCTGGGTGAGCTTGGGAAAGCTTTCACCATTCTGCCCAGTCCCCAACCCTTCCTCTACCCAAAGTAGAAGGCCTCCAAAGTCAAAACCAAACCAGAGGCCGGCACAGTGGCTCACGCCTGTAATCCCAGCATTTTGGGAGGCCAAGGCGGGCGGATCACTTGAGGCCAGGAGCTTGAGACCAGCCTGGGAAACCCCGTCTCTACTAAAAATACAAAAATTAGCCAGGCATGATGTAATTCCATGCTACTGGGGAGGCTGAGACAGGAGAATTGCTGAACCCAGGAGGCGGAGGTTGTAGTGAGCCGAGATAGCGCCACTGCACTCCAGCCTGGGCAACAGAGTGAGACTCTGTCTCAAAAACCAAACCAAACAAAACCAGACACAAGAAAGCAGAAGCAGCATGATGCAGGGGAAAGAGCTCACACTTTTATGCAGAGTTATACAGATTTGGTCGAATCCAGACTCTCGCTGTAAAGCCTTGCAATCCTGGATAAGTTACTTAGAATTTCTGAGCCTCAGTTTCCTCAGCTGTAAAAGAGTACTTACCTCATGTGGCAGATGAAAAGAGTAGGGCCTAGGTAGAGTGTTTGGGCGTTGCAGGTGCCCAATAAACCTGAATTCTCTCAGCCCCTACAATAACACAGGTCTCTGATGATAGGGTGTTAATGTGACAGTGAAGGGCCAAAGCCAAGGCACCTTTGCTCCCTCTTGCTTGAGGCCCTCTAGGGATGCTCAGGCTGTGTCTGTTCTGGCTTTGCGCGTTTCTTCTGGAACTGCCTCTCTAATGAGGAGGTAGCCAAGACCTCCTTACTCACCAATATGGGGCATATGTGTTGGTACTTGCTAATAGAAATTGCACAAAGCCGGGCCCACTTCCTCCCTTTGCCTACTTCCCAGCATTCCTCATGGGCTCCTCCATTCTCAAGGGTCTACAGAAGGGTCCTTATGTCCTCCAGATTCACCACTATCAAGCACAAGCAGCTTCCAGTTCCTCTCCACTGCTGGCATTTAAGTCCAGGTGGCTGGCGATCCCTTGGCCTTGCTTCAAGCTGAGCCTGAGCCTGCACCTGGACTCTGGCTGAGGAAACTATTCGCCCCCACAGCTGGCCCACTGCTGAGTTCCCCGGGAGGCTTGGAGCAGAGGGCAGTGGGCAGCAGCATCCCACTGAGAACTGCAGAACTCTCAGCACATGACAACTCTGTCCAAACCTCTGAACTAAGAGACTTGACCAACTCTAGATTGGCTTTTAGCAGCACAAGGCTGTATCCCTAGGATGGCCCCAGCCCCTCTTAAAGTGCTGTCTTGAGAAAGCTCAGTGCTGCCAGAAAAATTTATTATTTGTTCCAGCCAACACCTGATGATAGGCCCCTGACCTCACTTTCTTAGAACATTTGGCTCAAAATGGCTTGCCATTGTACATATGTATCTCTTGCAACTCAAAAGCATCAGGTCTTCCTTTAAAATCTAGTCATCAAGGCCAGGCATGGTGGCTCACGCTGTAATCCCAGCACTTTGGGAGGCTGAGGCGGGCAGATCACTTGAGGCCAGGAGTTCAAGACCAGCTTGGGCAACATGCCAAAACTCTGTCTCTACTAAAAATACAAAAAAAAAAAAAAACTTAACCAGGCATGGTTGTACATTCCTATAGTCCCAGCTACTCAGGGGGCTGAGGTGGGAGGATCCCTTGAGCTGGGGAGGTACAGGTTGCAGTGAGCTGAGATCGCACCACCCACTGAACTCCAGCTCACGCTACAGAGTGAGACCCTGCCTCAATAAATAAATAAATAAAGGACAGAGCCCTAACTTAGGTACATGCCAGCCAGAGACAGAGAGACAGCTGGCCTCATTCCATTCACTCTGAGGCTTTGCTAACCCCCTGCCTCCTCCCTTGACAGCTCCCAGATCACCTGTGCACAAATCAGAATGGAGCTCAGCTCTTTCCCCTACTGTCAGTAGTTACTGAATAAAGCCTGCTTTCACTGCTTTAACTAACATCTGCTATTTCTCTTCGATACCACCTGCAGAAGACCCAGCCCGTGCTCCTCCTTAGCCCCTGCTCAGTCCTGAGGTGACTTCTGCCTCTTCTGCTGCTCAACATGGGGCCCATCAGCCTAGTTAAACCAGCAGCCATGGGGCTCTGAGGAGGACCCCTAGGCCAGGGCACCCATGGGCATGTGTGTTGGGGGGAACTGAGTGGAGTGTCAGGCAGGGAGTCAGGACACACTGAGGGGGCAAGGATGCTCTTGGTTGCCTGCAGGCAGGAGCTGAGACAGAGGTGAGGCTTGACAGAGAAAGGCAGGGATAAGAATGTCCTGTCACCCCCCAGGAAGGTGAAACCTGGATGAAACGAGAGTTGTGTCCAGCCTAGGGAGGTGCCTGGCTGTGGCGACCCCTCCCACTCCTTTGAGTCCCCACCTTGGGTCTTGCCATTGTTGCCTAATGTTTTCATGATGCCAACTGGAAGCACTTTGAGAGCTGGACCTTTGTCTCATAAGGCTTGCCTGTACCCGTCCACCCTGCCCTGCCCAGTGCTGAGCACACAGGAGGCTGCACAAACACCAGCTGACCAGGAGATGGAGGGTTAAAGAGGGGATTAGAGCACAGGGGCCAGTGAGCACAGGCAGGTGATAGGGCTGAGGGGTCAGGAGGAGCAGTGCAAGGAGGGGAAGCCTGAGAAGGTGGGAGCAGTAGGGCCCAGGGGAGTGCGCTTGGTGGGGAGGGTGGGCCAAACTAGGAGGGGAAGACCAGGGACTGGAGGTGATGGGGAGGGGCTGCGGCAAAGGACTTCTGAGGTCATGGGTGGGGCTCTCCCTAGGGATGGGGAGGCCAAAAGTGTAAGGGACCAGATGCTTCAGCGACAGTGCCAAGGCCTTTGGCATGGGTGGTAGGAGACAGATGCCTCAGAGACAGGGCCAAGGCCTTTGGCGGTCGTGGGTGGGTAGGAGCCAGGGTGACAAAGGGAAAGGGCAGCCCTGGGCCCAGCCGCCTGCCTGGGTTTGTCCACTGGGCCCTCGTGTGTGCTCCTCACTCTCTGTGCCTGGATCGCACCCCACTGTCACTCACATCGTCTCCTCACTTCCCTGGCCTGCCAGAGACCTGACCTCCCCTTCTACTCATGGGCCCAAAGGGGACTTCAGGAGCTGATGGAAACTCCTCCTCAGTGACTTGTCCGTAAACCTGGAGTCACTGATACCTCGGTCCAGCCCTGCACCCATCCTCTTCCTGTTTAATGTAGGCCAGTTAGTCAAAGCTCACATTAGTGGGGACACCTGGGGATAGAGGCTCCAAAGCCTCATTTTGATACCTCACAACCCTTGGGCAGTTGTTCTAGAAAGAGGCATCTCCATGTGACATGCATCTCACAGCCATGTTTGGGTCCATATCCTTAGAGGAGACTGGGGCTGGGCCAGGCCGCTCAGGCTGGTCTCTTCTAGGCATTCACACTGCTTCTCTGCTGTCATTAGTCTCTATTTAAGCTGTCACACTTTCCTCTTACCCTCTCTGTTGGTGGGGTAGGGAAGTTTCTGGTGGTGGGAGCAGATGCATTAGGACCTGGGAAGGGGTGGGGGCTCTGGGTGCACTTAGAAGTGTTAGACACAAGGGCCAGAGTGGGCCTGAGACTGGAAATTATGACTCCTCTGCTGGAGAGAGAGGCCCAGATTTGCACGCAGCAAATCTCTTCTCTGAATATCTTAGATGTTTGCTTGTAAGGCATGGGCTGTCTCTGTGGCCACCCAAGAATGCAGTAGCACTGGCTGCCTCCGGGCTGAGGGCAGGGATGAGGAGGAGACTTTTCACTGTGCATCCTTCAATACCTTTTGGATTCTGAGCCATGTGAATGTGTTACCTCTGAAAAATATAAATTAACAGGCTGGGCACGGTAATTTATTACGTGCCTGTAATCCTAGTACTTTGGGAGGCTGAGATAGGCAGATTGCCTGAGCTCAGAAGTTCGAGACCAGCCTGGGCAAGATGGTGAAACCCGGTCTCTACTAAAATACAAAAAATTAGCTGGGCGTGGTGGCAGGCGCCTGTAATCCCAGCTACTCAGGAGGCTGAGGCATGAGAATTGCTTGAACCCAGGAGGTGGAGGTGGCTGTGAGCCAAGATCATGCCACTGCATGCAGCCTGGGCAACAAAGATAAACTGTCAAAAAAAAAAAAAAATTAACAATGCAAAACAAAAATCTCTTCTTCTTTCCCTGGGCTCCTTTGAGGAATTAAGCGTCTTCAGGGACCAGCCAAGAACCTTGACTTGCCTCAGTTGGGGCGGGGCTGCATCTCGGTCAGGCCCTCAGTGCCCCATCAGTGCTACGTCTGGCACACTGGCTTCTCCTTCACTGCTCAGGCACATTCTTTCTTTCTCTGTGCCTGTTGCTGGTTTCATGGCATCCCTCAAGCCAGGGATACCACCACCACAGTCCCACAATAGTCCCAGGTCCCTGTTGACTCTGCCTCCTACAATGTCTCGTCTGCTCACACCTTCACTGCATCACATCCCAGGGATACTGATAGCGGGCCAGCCTTCTGGCTACTCCTCTGGTGTCTGCCTCTCTCCTCCCTCTAGTCCATCCTCCCCATACCTCAGCCCCAGTGAACTTCCAAAATTCAAATCTGATGATTTTACGTTTCTGCTTAAATCCTCCTGCAGCTGACAGTGTTAATGCTCGGCCCAGATCCCTCTTGAATTTTCTTTTTCCATTTTTGTGCATGACACCTCACTCTGTCCTTTCTTTTATTATTTTTTATTTTTATTTTATTTATTTATTTATTTTTTTCGAGACGGAGTCTCGCTCTGTCGCCCAGGCTGGAGTGCAGTGGCACGATCTCGACTCACTGCAAGCTCTGCCTCCCAGGTTCACGCCATTCTCCTGCCTCAGCCTCCCGAGTAGCTGGGACTACAGGTGCCCGCCACCATGCCCAGCTATTTTTTTGTATTTTTAGTAGAGTCGGGGTTTCACCATGTTAGCCAGGATGGTCTCGATCTCCTGACCTCGTGATCCGCCCGTCTCGGCCTCCCAAAGTGCTGGGATTACAGGTGTGTGTGAGCCACCGCGCCCGGCCTATTTTTATTTTTAGACAGAGTCTTGCTCTGTTGCCCAGGCTGGAGTGTAGTGGCGCAATCTCAGCTCACTGCAACCTCTGCCTCCCGGGTTCAAGCGATCCTCCTGCCTCAGCTTCCCGAGAAGCTGGGATTACAGGTGCACGCCACCACACCAGGCTAATTTTTGTATTTTTAGTGCAGATGGGGTTTCACCATGTTGGCCAAGCTGGTCTTGAATGCCTGACCTCAAGTGACCCACCCGCCTCTGCCTCCCAAAAGTGCTGGGATTACAGGTGTGAGTCATCGTGCCCGGTCCCCACTCTGTGCTTTCAAGGCTGGCACCTGCAGCCCTTCTTGGAGGACTGCCTTTGGCCTCCTGGACTGCTTTGCCCTGGGTGGCAGTGTACCCAGTGACTGCTCTGTGGTCACTGAGCACCATTTGCTGGTGGTAGTTTTGGTGGGAATAAAAGCCCAGAAAAACCTTGTCCCAGGCTGGAACTATTCTGAGGCCTTACACACCAAAGCTGTTCCCTCGCATCATGCCAGAGCTGCTTTCTGCAGCTGAGAGGGTGCTCGTGCTTGGCTTCACCAACCCTGCTTACTTGTCTCCCTGGGAGTACTTCATAAATCACTCAGGGTCTAAGGTGGATCCTCAGTGGAAACCTATCACCCACAATTTAAGTCTCAGTCATATATCTTTACTCCACTCTCTCTCTGGAAATGTATTCCATACTGAATCTAAATTTAAGCCACATCAAACTTCTAGCTGTTCTGCTACTTTTGTGTCTCAGTACCTGCCTTTAAAAACAAACAAACAAACAAAAAACCCACCTCCACCCCTCGCCCATCCTTTATGTGTCTGGTTAGTCTCGCCCCCTTCCTCAGTTCTCCAGGCATGCTGCTTCTTTCCTCCTGTGTCCTCAGGGCACTCTGGGTAGTTTACTGCAGCACTCATCTAGCCAAATTCAACTAGTCTTCCCTGGTGTCTTGCATGGGGCTGGGCAGAGAGTTTCAAAAAACAAATGTCTTTGAATGAGTATTGATTCCCCAAAATGTCCTAGTGCTCTCTAGTGTCAGGCTTCCCACATCCTGAATCTCTTCTACCTTCAATCAAAAGTGACTGTTCATGTGCCATTCCCTTGGGTGGTGTACTCTGTGGCTTATGTTTCTAAGATGACTGAAACTTGTCAGAGAGAAGCACAGTGGTCTGCTGTGAATAGCACTATTCCTTCTGGTTTCTTGGGATACCAGGACCGAGGTCTTACTCCACATCTTATGGACTCTTGGGGTCCCAGTTCACTCACTGCCTTCAATAAATGGAAGGTCTAGATGACTTCTAAAATCTCCCATGGCTGAAATGAAAGTCTTTTGTGGGCGGGGGCCTGGTCTGTCTTGCTCTCTGTTCTATCCTGAAGCCAAGAATGGTGCCTGGTGCAGAGCAGGCTGTTAGATTTATTTGTTGAGAGAAGGAATTGACAATTTTTTTTTTTTTGAGATGGAGTCTCACACTGTCACCCAGGCTGGAGTGCAGTGGCGCAATCTCTGCTCACTGCAACCTCTGCCTTCCGGGTTCAAGCGATTCTCCTGCCTCAGCCTCCCGAGTAGCTGGGATTAGAGGCGTGCTCCACCATGCCTGGCTAGTTTTTGTATTTTTATTAGAGATGGGGTTTCACCATGTTGGCCAGGCTGGTCTCGAACTCCTGGCCTCGTGATCTGCCTGCGTCAGCCTCCCAAAGTGCTGGGATTATAGGCGTGAGCCACCGCGCCCGACCAGGAATTGACAATTTCGATGGTTATGTATTGCTTGATGCTGTATATATATTATTTCATTTAATTCTCAAGGTGGTGGAGTCAGGATTTGCATGACAGTTTATATGAGTTTGAAGTCCATGCTTCCCTCATAATATCTTGAGAATTTAGGAGACAATGCCATCATGGAAAGTTTTGTTCCAATGGTGGTTTTTGTTTGTTTGTTTTTTGTTTTTTTGAGACTGGGTCTCACTCTGTTGCTCAGGCTGTAGTGGCGTGATCACGCTCACCAAGTCCTCCCACCTTAGCCTCCTGAGTAGGTGGGACCACAGGTGCATTCCACCACGCCCAGCTAATTTTTTTTTTTTTTAGATGGAGTCTTGCTCAGTCACCCAGGCTGGAGTGCAGTGGCACGATCTCGGCTCACTGCAACCTCCTGGGAGGTGGGTTCATGCCATTCTCCTGCCTCAGCCTCCCGAGTAGCTAGGACTACAGACGCCCGCCACCACGCCCAGCTAATTTTTTTTCTTTGTATTTTTAGTAGAGACGAGGTTTCATCATGTTAGCCAGGATGGTCTCGATCTCCTGACCTCGTGATCCACCTGCCTCGGCCTCCCAAAGTGCTGGGATTACAGGTGTGAGCCACTGTGCCCGGCCCCAGCTAATCTTTAAAAAATTGTTTTGTAGAGATGGGGTCTCCCTATGTTGCCCAGGTTGGTCTCAAACTTCTGGGCTCAAGCGATCCACCTTCCTCAACCTCCCAAGGACTGAGATTACAGGTGTAAACTACTACGCCCAGCCCCATTGGTGGATTTTAATGATGGCTGTGGAAGGCTGGAGGTGGTCCTGAGGCCCATCTTCTTTTTATACCACATAGGCAACTGCCTGTGCTCCTCATCAACCTCAGGAGATAACAGGAATTTAGGCTGGTAAGTGGAAGAGGGTGAGCAGGTGCTGAGGGAATCTGATCACTGTGATCTGCTGCCACAGCAAATGGTGGCATTTAGGCACACAGTTCCAAAGGTTCTATACCAGTCACGTACTGATAAGCCAGCCCTCTCTCTAAAAGAAAGCTTTGATTGGTAGCATTTGTGGACTTTCATGGGACATGTACTGTCGCCATGGCTGATTCAAGACACCACATGAAATCACTGAATGAGGACTTAGAAGAGATGTGCATCAGAAGCTCTCAGAAGCTGGTGAGCCACTCCACTTACCACTGGAACAGTAACTGGGGACGGTCCCCAGAAAGCCACAGGAAGACTTCTGCCAATCTTGTGGGCAGCCTGGGGAAGCCTCAGCTCTCACTCTGAAGATTTTGAATAAGTAAAATGATTTATGTTTCTCTGATTTATGGCAGCCATCCCATCACTTTGGATGGTTATCTAGGCTGTCCGGTGGAAGGTTCCCTCAGAATAGCCCTTGGCTCCTCTTAGGAACACACCCCATTGCCTTGCCTCAGGCTAGGACAGCCTCTTGCATAGGCAAGGCAGCTCTATAGGGCTCATGCAATTAGTTCTGCAGAAAGCAATTCAGGTAGAACCATCCCGAGAGGAAGGATGAGAGTTGTCGGTGTCACAGCTATTCCTCTGTCCCTCACTTGGATTCAGGCAGTACCTTCTCCCCAAGTTCCAGGAAATCATGAACACCAAGGAATCTGCCTTTGCTGGACTGGGCCTCAGCCAGAGATCAGGCCCAGCTAGAAGGTAGCAGGCATCCCTGAAGAGATGGTGGAATGGGGGTGGAAAACCAGTGTGAGACTGGATGTGCCCACTTCTAGCTGTGGAGCGACTCTGCTCCTCAGCTGGGGCATGGGAAACAGGTCTTGCAGGGCAGAGCAGGAACAGTTCTGGAGGAAAGGGGTCTTGTCCTGGGGCAGAACCCCTTGAGAAGCTTCACATTTATACATCTTTGAGTCTTTCTCCCAAATTGTTAACATGTTGCTGAGCAGAGAATCAGCAGTCAAAAACACATTGAAAGAGAAATGAGACTTTTATTAGCTCCAAGAGCATTTTTCAATACTAAGGCAAAAAGTAAAAAGAAGGACAAGGAAAACCAAGGCACAAAGAAGGGACCTAGGCGCACCCCAGAACTCACCACGGACACACAGCAGAGGGCTTCTCTTCATATCAAGGGTATGGGTAAACAAGAAAGGCTGCTGTTTCACTGAGACAGGACGAACCACCAAGTCCAAATGAGAAGACAAGCAGAGACGTAGTGTCAGACCAGGAGGGTTAGAACTTGCTAGTGTAGAGGGCAATAATCCACTTGGGCACACGGAGGAAGGAGGGCAGGTAGGAGGCCAGCCAGCCCAGGCCGGACACGTGTGAGAGAACAGAGCTCAAAGACAAATAGTCTTGGACGGGGCGGCCTGGGAACAACAGGAGGAGGAGGATTAGATTCTCATTTCCCACTCCTCAGATACCCTCACCTTGGCTGGAGAGACCGAGGGAGGAGTGGGCAGGGAACAGAGGGAACAGCAGTCAAGGCTGACTGCTGTGCCAGGGTCCTCACCGTCCACATCCCGAAGGCCATAGCGTCGAGCAAGGTCACAGGATGGCAGCACCTTACCACTCAGGCTCAGGATATTGGGATCTGCGGGCACACAGACAGGTGGAGATGGCAGGCAGGGGAGTATGCAGAGTGACAAGGTTTGGGCCCAGTTGGACAGGGCACTGCTGAGAGCCCTGGAGCTCAGGATCCCTGGAGAGCTCTTTCTCTTGGGCCTTGGACTTTTTCCACACTTCCCAGGAGCCTGCTCCTAAGGCTCTCAGACCTCAAACTGGGAATGCTGACCCCTTGGGCCTCAAAAAGCAGAGAAAAGAATGACATGTTCCTCAACCAACTCCCGAGCCAGATCTGGGCACTGGATGCTACCGCACTACACATCCTCCATGCCCTTTCTTATTACCAGCTGCCCCCAAACTTCACCTGTTGCCAAAGCCACCACACATTTGCCACTCAATTCTGTGGTTTCCGCAGATGAGAAGGCTGATTTGAACTGAAACACAGGGGCAGAGAAGTGAAGGGTTAATTTCCAAGAGCACTGCCCAGGTCTCCTCCCCATTTCAACTTCTGTTCCAGGAGAAAAAGACCAAAGACCAAAGAGGCCAAAGACCTCAAGCAGGGCCTGTAGGACCCAAAGTATTGGCAGGTGCCAGAGCCACTCCTCCCCACATCCAGGTGAGCCCTGTGCCCTGGCACCAGGATCTGCTGTCTTTGCTAAGTGGAAGGATCTGGTAGTGCCAAATAGTGTTTGGACCTTCTAAGCTAGCTGGTGTGGGGGTCAAGTGCATGGTCTTTGGAGCTAGACAGCCTTTCCACTTAGGACATATGTGACCTTCAACAAGTTTCTAAACCTCTCTGGGTTTCAGTTTTGCCATCTGTAGAATGGAGCTGGTATCTCCCTTACAGGATTAAAGGAAATAATGTGTGTCCCATGCTCAGCCCTGCACCTGCCACAGTAAGCACCTGGTGAGTGGGAGTATCTGATCTTGTTATTGAGGATGCAGAGGCCGACTCCCCTGTTCTCTGCTTCCTTCGCCCTCCCCTTGCCAACCTGCTTCAACACAGGATCCTGCAGGACCTCCTCCTTTGCCATATGCTCCTTCAGCAGTTCTGTCTGCACAATCCCCGGCCACAGAGACACACAGCTGACCCCATGGCGCCGCAGCTCGTGGGCACAGTCAGCAGCCAGCTTGTCACACTGTGGAGAGGCGGAAGGCAGGGTAAGAGCCACCTAGCCATGTCACTTTCCTGCCCTGCCCTCTCTGCTTCTACTGTGAATGCTCCACCCACCCTGTCCTTCCCAGGAGCCCCAAGGTCTCAGCTGCCCACGCTCCCCAGTGTGATGCCTACTCTAGCCAACCAAGAGGAGCACAAGCAAAGGAACTGTCCATGGATGAGGCAGAGGAGGAGCTGAGAGGAGCCAGCCTTACCATTCTGACCACTGGGGATTGTACCTCCTGAGCTATAGGTAACATCACTGTCTTTTACCTCCTCAGCTCCTATGCCACTGGGTCCTCACCGCAGCTTTGCCCACACCATAGGGGACATTGAACATATACTGCAGGCTTCCTGGGGAGGAGATGACCACGATGAGCCCCTGGCCAGCTGGTACCATCAGCCGTGCCCCATACACTGAGCAAAAGTAGTGGCCTCTAGAAGGTGGGGCAAGGGAAGAAGGAATGAACCGTGTTAGTGCTGGCCTGGGTGCCACAGCCTCTGGCGGCTTCCCCTGCCTTCTGGTGGTTGTTGTCCACTAGGAAGGCTACACAGGGTGGGTTAGCGACCTGAGGAATTAGGGGCTTGAGGCCATATTCTGAGAGGAAAACTGGTCAAAATAACCACTGACAGATGAGAAACAGCAATCTTTGGAAGAAGAAATGGAACGCAAGAGCCCTGTCACAATAACAATTACAAACAAAATTGTTCAGGGGGAGAAAACTTAAGAAATGTATAGTGTCTACATAGAAAAACTATAAAACCATGACAATAAGTACAGACAAAATCTTTCAAAGCTAAGAACTGACATGTAAATCATCATTTCTATGTAAATCAATCCATAGATTCAGTCAAATTGGATTATAGCTCAATAAGACCTTTTGGAGGAATTGATAAAATAATCTAAAGCTCAATGAGAAGAATAAACGTGAGAACAGCCAGAAAAGCTGGGCACGGTGGCTCACGCCTGCAATCCCAGCACTTTGGGAGGCGAGGGGGGCAGATCACTTGAGCTCAGGAGTTTGAGACCAGCCTGGCCAACGTGGTGAAAGCCCATCTGTACTAAAAATACAAAAATTAGCCAGGTGTGGTGGTACGTGCCTATAGTCCCAGCTACTCGGGAGCCTGAGGCAGGAGGATCTCTTGAGCCCAGGAGGCGGAGGTTGCAGTAAGCTGAGATTGTGCCACTGCACTCTAGCCTGGCTGACAGAGTGAGATTGTCTCAAAAATAAATAAATAAATAAAAAGAAAGAGAACAGCCAGGAAAATTCCGAAAAAAGGACTAAAAAGACTAATGTCTTGTGGGTGAGGGGGATTGCTTTCCCTACCCCTGCTGTCACCCATATTAAAATGCACAGGGGCCAGGCATGGTGGCTTATGCCTGTAATCCCAGCATTTTGGGAGGCTGAGATGGGAGAATTGCTTGAGGTCAGGAGTTTGAGACCAGCCTGGCCAACACAGCAAGACCCCGTCTCTAAAAAATAAAATAAAATAAATTAAAATGTACAAGACATAATAGTTAAAAGAATGCAATACAGGTGTTAACAGTAGACTGATAAGTCAATGAAACAAAACAGAGAATAATTAGATACAAGTGTATGTGAGAACGCAATGTATTACGAAAGGAACCTGTCAAATCAGTGGGGGAAAGTTGGATCATTTGGGACAACCGACCAGTTATTTGAGTTAGGGGAATTGGGTCTCTGCCTCGTTTATTATTTTAAAATTAAGCCTAAAAGGATCAAATATTTAAATATAAAAAACGAAAGCACAGAAGTACTGAAAGAAAACATGATCAAATGTGTTTATAAACTTGAGGGAAAAGGCTTTTATTAGCGTCACACCAAGACAGAAACTATAAAAGACTGACAGATTTGACGTAAAATTAAGATACACACACATACACACACAAATACAAAGATACATGTATATTTCTGTGTATATAAAGAGCAGGGCGAGGCTGAGTATGGTGGCTCATGCCTATAATCCCAACACTTTGGGAGGCTGAGGTGGGTAGATCACTTGAGATCAGGAGTTCGAGACCAGCCCAGCCAACACGGTGAAACCCCGTTCTCTACTAAAAATACAAAAATTAGCCAGGCGTGGTGGCAGGTGCCTGTAATCCCAGCTACTCGGGAGGTTGAGGTATGAGAATCGCTTGAACCCAGGAGGCAGAGGTTGCAGTGAGCTGAGATTGCACACTGCACTCTAGCCTGGGTGACAGAGCGAGATTCCACCTCAAAACAACAACAACAACAACAACAACAACAACAACAACAGACGAGTGGGGGGAGTATGCGTGTGAAAAATGAGTGATAAATTGGGAAAAATATTTGTAAAATAAATGCCAAAGTCATTTGTTTCACAGTGATCTCTTATAAATTAATGCGAAAGTCAAAGATGATTTACAAAAGAACAAAGAGCCAATAAACAAAGGGGAAAAAAAGTTCAACCTGACAAATAGTGGAAGAAGTATGAATTAAAACCCCTTTATATATTTTCGGCTTATTATAGTAACAAAGCTTGCCTGAGTGCATGAGCTGACGCTGCCTGGTGTGGTAGAGGACATGGGGAAACACATATTCCCCTTCATTGTCTTGATATAAAAAATTGGTAGGGTCTTTTTGTAGGAGAGCTTGATAATATTTATTAAATCTTTAAAAAGTACATATTCTTTGTTTTCTTTTCTTTTTTTCTATTTTTCCCACAGTCTCTATAACCTAAGGGAAGTACATATTCTTTGATCTAAGAATTCCACTGCTGCAACAAATAAGGGATTAGAGAAATAAATGATCATACATCCTCCCAATAGAATACGTACAAGTATTAAAAAGAATGAGAGATATTTACATGAAAAATCTGAAAGAATATATGCCAGGCTATTAATAGTAGCTATATATCAGGCAAGAGAGCAAGGGATGGCACTGAGGGGAATAAGATTATACTGGTCTTCAGATTTTTTCCATATTTAAAAAAAGTAACACACACATAACTTGGTAACCAGAATAAATTTCTTTTGCATAGGGAAAGAATTAGGACCTTCCAAATGAAAACAAGTAGAGTTATAGTTTTAAAGGAAAGTGCAGCCCAAGGTAATACAGAGGAAAGGCAGTAAATGCGCATGGGGAATGGGTGGGCAGGAGGTGCTGGGGGGCTGTCAGGGGCTCATCAAGGGGCCTTTACCTTGGATAATTCATCAGGGCCCAAGGTCGAGGGTCTGGGCCTCTGCCTTGAATCTCTGCTTCAGGGTCAAAACCCTGGCCAGCAAGAGATGAGGGTGTGGAAGGCACCTCTCTTTGGAGGCTATGGTCATGAACACTGGCCAATTTCCAGCTCTTAACGTGTCCCTTTCTTGCCTTTGGCCTCACCATCCTCCTCTGTCCTAATGATCTTCCTTCCACTTTGGAAATCACAATTGCATTCTAATCCTGCTTCCTTGGGATTGTTACCAGAGTACCAAAATTGGAGCGGTGGGTGTTCTTACATGCTTTAGTCACAGATTTGCCGATAATCTCGTGGTTACTCCCACAGGTGACTGATCACATCCATCAGGCATGACTTGATTATATGAGAGTGTAACATCATTCCAACAGTAACAGAGGCATAACTGGTGTGCATTATGCTAGGCGAATTCTAAATGCTGTGTTTCATCTCACTCCTGGGCTAAATGACCCTGTGTGACCCAGTGATGTACCTGCTCTCCCAACTCTGACCCGGCAGTGCCCTTGCCTGTGGGTGTGGAGTGAGGATGTGGAGACTAAACAGCATTGGTGTTCGCTCCTTCTTCTTAAGCTTCTCCCAGTCTAAAATAAAACAATTTCTCCCTCTAACCATTTTGAAAGTATAGACTACAGGCTGTGCGCATTACTGAGAGGAGGAGGCTTCCTCCCTTCTGGGTCTTGCATTTGGATGGGCAGAGAGTGAGACAGGAGAGAGGCCAAGGGCTTGTTCCAATGAAAATTACTGACAGAGTTGACATTCTCAGGTACAGACTCACCTGGATGGAACTTCTCCAGAGGTAAGTGGGACAAATGGAATGGAAGGGAGAAGAAAGAGATGGGGGAGGCCGGAGGGAAAAGGAGAGGGCATGTAAGGAAAGGCCTGGCCGTCGAGTTGGCTAAGTGAGTGAGGGAACATGGGTCCTGGCAGTGGAGCACCCACCTGAGTCCGACGTTGTTGATATCATCCCACATGGAGGCAGGGGTTTCCCAGAATGCCTTATTCCTGGTGTTCAGGATCGTCTGGAAGGCACAGGGAGGGTGATGAATGATCTGAAGGTAGGGAGGTGTGAGGGGCTGGGTAATGGAAGGGACAATGAGTGGGGATGAAGATGCAGGGGTCTGAGGGGGAGGTCAGAAATGTGGAGTTGGGAACAAAGTTCAAAGGGTACCTGGACCCCTGCATAAGCATTGTTGACCAGCACATCTAGACGCCCTTGCTGTTCCCGATCCACTTGCTCAAACAGGCTTCGCACTTCACTCTCCTGGCTTGAATCGCACACCACAGGCACACATTGGCCCCCGAGGGATTGTGCCTGGAGTAGGACAGGGGATATGAGCTCACATTCACACATGGGTGTGAGTCATGACAAAACTCCCCAACCAAAGTGGGCTTGAGAACTGAGAAGACAATCAATCCTAGGAGAGCCTGCTGCAGAGGCAACATGGCAGGCAACGCTGCCCTCTGGTGTCTGTTTGAGTAGTTTCAGGAATGATAGGCCTCCCCACCACAGAGCAAGGTGAATTGCAATGTAAGTTTTAATAATCTACAAACATTTACTGAGGCCCACCATGTGCACAGCATTGTACTTTGCAAGTAGAGGGTAAGAACAAGTGAGGCATGGAGTCTGCTCTTGAGAAATGAGTAAGCATCCTTTTCCTTGTTGTGGTCATTTCCATCTCTCATGCCCTTAGCTCCCACCCTACACTACTCACCTAAAACCTCTACTCAGTCCCAGTTGTCTTACCCTCACTCCACCAATGCTCCTGGTTGGTAATTGAAAAAACCAAAGCTATCAGCCATGAATGATTTCTACTTCCTGTTCTGTCTCACTCTCTACAAATGCCCACAAACCTCCAACTTCAGAGGAAGAAGAGTCCTTTATCTAAGAACAATCCTCCTATTCTCCAAATTTATGCTCTGGGTCCCCGCCTATTACCCTCCTTGCCTGAACTACTGCAATGCCTCCCAACGACTCACCTGACCTCCAGTCTGTCTGCCTTAAATTAATTCTTCATAATCCAGCCAGTACGACCTATCTAAAACACAAACCCTGTTCAAAATCTCCTAACTGGATCTCCATCTCTTAGAGGATGAAGCCTGAGTTCTCTATTAGGGTCTTCCAAGACCCACTCTTTCCTCTCCAGCCTCTCACTCACTACTCTTCCCTTGCATTATCTCACACATCTACTCTTTCACACAGCGTCCCTATGCTTATGGAGCTCCCTCTGCTGGAATGCTTTTCCTAACTTCCTTTACCTAATTCTTACCTTTCAAAACTCAGTTCAAGAACCACCTACCTCCTCCAGGACGCTTTCCCAAACCACTTTCCCTAGCCACTCTCCTATGTCATCTGGATGCTCCCCAACACCCCTAGAGTATTCTGTGCATATCTCCCTCTTATAATTTACCATATTCACATTACATTGAAGTGACTGCTTTCTGTACCTGACTTCCTGTTGGAATCTATCTTCATTTTTAATTAAAATTTTTTTTTTTAGAGACAGGGTCTCACTGTCACCAGGCTGGAGTGCAGTGGTGCAATCATAGCTCACTGCAACCTCGAACTCCTGGGCTCAAACGATCCTCCTGCCTCAGCCTCCCAAGTAGATGGTACTACAGGTGCAGGCCACTGTGCCTAGCTAATTATTTAAAAAATATTTTTTGTAGAGACTGGGTCTAGCTATGTTGCCCAGACTGGTCTCCAACTGCTGGCCTCAAGTGATCTTGCTGCCTTGGCCACCCAAAGTGCTGGGACTACAGGCATGAGCCACTGTACTCCACCATGGACTGAATCTTTGAAGAGCAGAAATTAGATTTTATTAGTCTTGGTAACTTCAGTGGTTTACCAATGCCTAGCAAATCATGGATACTCAAATATTTATTTAACTGAAGTCTAGTAAATAAGTAAAAAATGTGCAGTTCAATAAAGTCTTGCCTGAAATAGAGGAAAGCACAGGTCCACAACCCTTTAGTTGCAATTCCAAAATCTCTGCTCTCAAACAAAAAGTTTTTTACTTTTCTTTCTTTTCTTTTTTTTAATACAGTGTCTCGCTGTGTCGTCTAGACTGGAGTGCAGTGGTGTGATCATGGCTCAACTCCTAGGCTCAAGCGATCCTCCTGCCTCAGCCTCCGGAGTAGCTGCTGGGACTGCAGGAACGTGCCACCATGCCTGGCTCAAACACAAAGTTTTTTCATAAAACTCACTTGGCGGCAAAATTCTACCTTACCTGAAGTTATTTACGGGGTTTTTAATTTCCACTTTGAATAAATATTCACATCTTGTTGAGTAGTATTATAGTTTCAGGTAAGGGATTAGGAAAGGAGCTGTTAAGTGGAAGGGCTCTCTCGGGTGGTTTCTGCAACTGTGGTCCCAGAGGAAGCACTCACCTCCTGAGCAACAACGCGAAGGGTGTCCAGATGGCGGCCAGTGATGTAAACTGTGGCGCCTGCTTTGCAGAGCTGCAAGGCAATGCCACGGCCAATACCCCTGGAGGCACCAGTCACCACACACACTTGGCCATTCATGGGAGCTGCCATGACTCACAGGCAAAGGAGGCAGGTCTGTGGAAGCAAAGACTTACTCTGAGGGAAGCCTGGAGACTGTGTGTGTGTTGGGGCGAGGTTGGGGGGTAGGGGAGAACCTCACTAGGGCTAAGAGGAGGAGCCAAGGTAAGAATCCTTTGAGGGGAGAGGAGTCAGAGGCTGACAACTGGGTGCGGGCCTGAGGACAAGGCTGACTGTCTTTTGGGAGGCCCAGAGAGTGAAGAAGGGGCTGAGTGGGACTGTCCAGAGGTGGACAACTACTACAACCCTCTGAGTGTGGCTGCCTGGATATGGGAATCTGGCGCGGCAGCCCCTCGGGGCGCGTCCACGCAGAGTCCTGGGCTATCTGAAGCTCCGGTCCCTGGCCTGACCCAGTCCGGCTGAGCCAGAGGCGCAGCTTCCGGGCCGGGGATGAGCGCGAAGCCTGGAGATCCTAAGCCCTAAGTGGGACGAGCGTGCGCCGCTTACCTGCCACCTGCGCTGCCGCTGAGGTCTGCAGATTGCGGGGCTGCGGTGGAAGTCTGGGTTCTCGCCCAGATTGAGCCGGCGACGTGGAGGCAGTGTTCAAGGATTGATTCTGTAGTAGGACCCGGGGCGATTCTGTGCTGAGGTAGAGGGGCAGAGTCCCAGGCCAAAGTTAGAACCTGCGGATGGGGGCGGAGCGATCTGGGTGACACACCCACCCCGCCCGGCTGGGGCGGCGCGGAACTATGACGTAGTAGCTGCGTCAGGAGCGCGCCCGCGTTTCTAAACTTTGTCTGGATAAGGCGCACGCTTGGCGACGTCGAAGGTCCGTCCGCAGTTAAGGAAGCTTTTGCAGCCGGACAGGTCGCGAAGCACACATGGGGCAGGGTCCGCGCTCTCCACACAAGGTGGGGCGCCGGTTCCCAGCTGGTGGCAAACGGGGGCGCGGGGCCAAGGGGTCGGGGCGCCCCTTACCAGGCCGTAAGCGGCAACCCTGGCCGCCTCCGGATGGGCGCTCGGAGCCGGCTCCAGATTCGCACCCGCACCTGAGCCCGGAAGCTCTGGGATATTTCCGCCGGGCGCTGTCAGCATTGAAAGAGGCTCCCGAGACTGGGGAAGAACGAGGTAGGCAGCAACTTCGGGGTTTAGACCAAGAGCATCAAATCCAGGGCAGGCAAGGAAACTTTCTAGGGTCGGCAGGGCGTGGGGACTTAGTTTCATTTCCCATGTCCTCTTCCTCGGCCTCCGACCCACGACCCTTGGTTAAGCGAGGGTACATAACTGTATTCTCTACTAAGTCTCTTCAAAGTGTGTCTTTCTTCCCTTTTCAGATCTGATGGTGCACAATATAATGAAGGAAGTAGAGACTCAGGCCCTAGCTTTGTCCACGAACAGGACTGGCAGTGAGATGCTGCAGGAACTGTTGGGATTCAGTCCCTTGAAACCGCTTTGTCGCGTGTGGGCTGCTCTGCGCTCTAACTTGCGCACTGTGGCCTGTCACCGATGCGGGGTCCATGTATTACAAAGTGCTTTGCTACAGCTCCCTCGATTGCTGGGGAGTGCTGCAGAGGAGGAGGAGGAGGAGGAGGAGGATGGAAAGGATGGTCCCACGGAGACCCTGGAGGAGCTGGTCCTGGGACTAGCCGCTGAGGTGTGTGATGATTTTCTTGTCTACTGTGGAGACACACATGGCAGCTTCGTGGTCAGAACTCTGCTTCAGGTGTTAGGAGGGACTATTCTGGAGTCTGAGAGAGCCAGGCCCCGTGGTTCCCAATCATCTGGTAAGTATTACAAGAGGAAAGTGGACCTAGGGGGAAGAAGAATTTAGAAAGTTCAGAATGAGACAGTAAACAGAAGAGTAAGTCTTCATGGGGGAGCTTGACCGGGAAGAATTAGCTTGACCTGTCCTAATCTGAACAGGGCTTAGCAAGCCAAAGATTAGTGTGTGCGGAGGCCCAGAGGTAGGGATGTACAGTTGTGTTTGGGGAAGGCTATTAGAATGGACGCAGGAGGAGAATTTTTTTTAAGCATGACTTAATATACAAATGGACTTAAGCAAAAGTAACATACACACTGGACTCAAGCAAAAGTTCAGGAAACTATACCCTTACTACATGCAGCCCACTCTGTTATTTTTTTTTCCTTTTCAAAACTATTCTGCTCTATTTCATTTAAAAAAAATGCTAGTTGAGACCACTAACTTGATTTCATGGTACAGTCTTGAGCTGTGATCCACATTTTGAAAAACTAGGAAATAAAGTTAGCGAGTTTAAATGAGGCTTTATTTTGGAATGGCTTGAATACCTGGCTGAGGAGGTTGAACTGTCTTCTGTGGACCATGGGGAAGCTGGTTGAAGTTTCTTAGAAAAATTAAGACAGAAATGTAGTCTCAGTTCAGTCATCCAGAAGAGACATTTAGTTGTACTACATCTGTTCTGCATCTCCAAGCGGAATCCTTGTTCATCTGTGAAATTTTTCTCTCCTGGATGGCAGTTTGTGATCTCCCCACTGCACATGTTCTTAATCTTCCTTCAGAAGCACAGAAGACCCCAGCTCAGGAATGTAAGCCAGCTGATTTTGAAGTCCCTGAAACCTTTTTGAATCGCCTTCAGGACCTGAGCTCCTCCTTTCTGAAGGACATTGCAGGTAAGGAGGGAAGTAGGAGGATGGTCTCGTATCTACTTGTCTGGAGGTCATCTTACCACCAAGCAAGGCCCTTACCTCAGGTTATTCCTCTTCTTTTCAAACCTGGTCTGGTTTGACGTTCAGAGCACTTTGTATAGTCCCTTTGTGTCCATAGTGCCCTGTATCTTGTTGCCTAAAGTTTGAGGTTACGCAGGTTGTCTGGATTTTGGGAAAGCCGCTTTATTTCTGCCCTCTCTCCACAGTGTTTATCACTGATAAGATCTCCAGCTTCTGTCTTCAAGTGGCTTTACAGGTTTTACACCGCAAACTTCCCCAGTTTTGCGCTCATCTCTGCAATGCTGTGATTGGCTACCTGAGTACTCGCGGTTCCTCAGTAGATGGCAGGTATGGTCAGGGCCTCAGGATCGACCCAAGTTGGCGGGGCTGTGTGAAATGAATGAGGTGATGTAGTGCAACTGTATTTTGCATGAAATGGAGTTAAGACTGCCTGATGCCCTTCTTGTCCCTAGTCCCCTACTGCTATTTCTCCGAGATCAGACGAGTTCCAGACTCCTGGAGCAGGTCCTGCTGGTGTTGGAGCCCCCAAGACTCCAGAGCCTCTTTGAGGAGCACTTGCAGGGGCAGCTGCAGACCCTGGCTGCACATCCCATTGCCAACTTCCCTTTGCAGCGCTTACTGGATGCAGTCACTACCCCTGAGCTGGTGAGTTGGAAACCTGAGCTGGATCTGTTTCTGCTAATTCTTGATCACTGGACCTTATTTTATGGTCTGTCTGCCTCTATATACCTTTGACATTGTGCTGGCCATTGCCCTTGAAAAGCTATTCTTTGAGGTTTTCCAGAGCTTAGGATAAAGGTGCCCACCTTCTAGTGAGGATTTGTTTTGACTTCTCTCAGGTATGAGGACCAGCAAGAAACTGGCTTTATTCAGGTTTACAGCTTGAGGTTCCATGGCCCACCCAGACTCTGGTACTTGGCTATAAGCCCACATGAGTGCTAGAGCTGTTGCCATAGCTTCTCTTTTCCTTTGCTGCTTAGGACTAAGGTGGGCTTCCCTGTGGTCTCATGCATTGGGTGTTAGAGTGGAAGTGCAGTTTAATTTTAGTCTCCCCTTGCTCCTAGTGCTCCCTTACACATAGGGAAGAGCCACTTAAAGTTCCTTCCTGTGAGGTGGCACCTCTAAGACTGCCCCCTTATCCTGGGCCTTATCTAGCCAAACAAAAGTCCTGATACTGGCAATGCTTTTTATGTTTTATCTAGCATTTTTAGTTGTTTTCGTTGGGAAGATTTCTCTGAATAATGTGGTCCGCCATTACCAGAATGCCAGAGTTACATTCCATGTTTCCCATCAGCTGTCCCCTGTGTTTGAGGAGCTGAGCCCTGTCTTGGAAGCTGTATTGGCCCAGGGCCACCCAGGGGTAGTCATTGCCCTGGTGGGGGCCTGTCGCAGAGTTGGGGCCTACCAAGCCAAGGTCCTACAGCTCTTGTTGGAGGTGAGTGGATATTACCCACAATCTGTTTATGCCCTCAGTTCAACTTCTACCTTTTAGGACTTATCTAATCTTAAGTTTTTGTACCTCTGGACTCAGGAAGTCTAATGCCCAAGGAGTTCACAGGAATGGGGGAAAATGAGGCCTATAGGTGCCCGCCACCATACCCAGCTAATTTTTTTTTTTTTTTTTGAGACGGAGTTTTGCTCTTGTTGCCCAGGCTGGAGTGCAGTGGCGCAATCTCAGCTCACCGTGCCCGGCTGAGGCCAAATGTTATTTCACAGTCCTGGAACAAAAATTGTCTCCCAGAACTAAGAGAGAAGTTTATTTAAGGGATAAACATTTATTAACCCCTGTATGTGATAGAGGCTGGGGATACAGCAAGGCATGACATCTGCTTTCATGGAGCTAACATTCTTGTGGAGTTGGGCCTTCTTTCCTTTCCTGAAGGTGTTCCCTTAAAGTTGAGGTAAGGGACGGAGAAGTTCTCAGGTTCATCATATTCTGTCTTCTCCTTTAGGCATTCCACTGTGCAGAGCCCTCATCCCGGCAAGTGGCCTGTGTGCCTCTCTTTGCCACTTTGATGGCTTATGAGGTGTACTATGGACTGACGGAGGAGGAGGGGGCAGTGCCTGCAGAGCACCAGGTGAGGTAGGGGAGAGGCCAAGCCAGTGACTAATTGGGAGTCAGGCCTCCCAGGGTTTAGCAAGCGTCTGACTTCTGAGGTGAGAGTGGTGACTTCATCCAGGTGGAGGTGGCAGTGTTCTGGGGATGGGCTCATCCACCTGGCTTGTTGGTGCCTCCTAATTTCTTATCTCTGCGCTGCCAGGTGGCAATGGCCGCAGCCAGAGCCTTGGGGGATGTGACAGTCCTTGGGTCTCTACTGCTCCAGCATCTGCTGCACTTCTCCACTCCTGGTCTTGTACTTCGAAGTCTGGGTGCCTTGACGGGACCACAGCTTCTGTCCCTTGCCCAAAGTCCCGCTGGCTCTCATGTGCTCGATGCCATCCTGACCAGCCCCTCTGTGACGCGCAAGCTGCGCCGCCGTGTGCTGCAGAACCTAAAGGTTAGATTTCTGGCTTTTGCCTTGATTCCCCACCATCATCCATTTAGAGAATATGAGCTTTCCCTGGACTGTACCTTCAGACTCAAAAAGGCTATGTAATTCCTAGACTATTTTAATTCAGCCCTTAAACTCTTCAGAAAATTCACTCTCCACAAGCCTCCAAAATACTTTTGTGGATTTTGCTAGGGAGACCTACTTTGCTTGTCTCCATACAGGGACAATATGTGGCTCTGGCCTGTAGTCGCCATGGCAGCCGTGTGCTAGATGCCATCTGGAGTGGAGCAGCCTTGAGGGCCCGGAAGGAAATTGCTGCTGAGCTTGGTGAGTACCAGCCCCTCTCTTTGATGTTTCCAGACTCTCCCCTCTCTTACTCCAGATCACTGGGTAGCTGGGAAGTCTACTGAAATTCAACAGTCTTTAGTTCCAAAGGGTGGTCTTGCTCATGGGTTCTTAGCAGTCTGCTTTCCCCTTCCCTCCCGCTGACTGATTGTGTAGTCCTCTGCCCTCACCCTGCCCTCTGACTTCTGTTCTTTGGAAAGTGAAGTGTTCACTTTATCCCAGTGGCAGTCCCAGGGTCTGGGGGAAATGGAGGGATCTTTACGTCAAGTAGAGTCTGTCTTTGAGCATGGTAGTACTAAACATGAGTGGTTCCCTTTGCAGGGGAGCAGAACCAGGAGCTGATAAGAGACCCTTTCGGCCACCATGTGGCTCGAAATGTGGCCTTGACTACCTTCCTAAAGCGGCGAGAGGCTTGGGAACAGCAGCAGGGTGCGGTGGCCAAGCGGAGGCGGGCATTGAACTCCATACTTGAAGACTGAGGCTTTGGATCTGGGACTGGGTGTTGATGGGGGAGGGCAAAATGGGGTATCCACCCCATCCCTTTCCTGGTTTAAATTGGAGTCAGAAGTCTTAGTGGTAAATATTTGATATTTTTATTGGAAATGTTTTTGTTAGTTTGAGGGGAAGGGTATGAAGACAGATCTCAAGGTAAAGTCAGAGAGGGCTGTCATCAGTATGCTGGGGAGTTTAGGGACAGGAGGCATTGGTAGGGGATTAGATGTAGCAGCAGTCAGGCTGGGATCAAGATGCCTGGGGGACATCTTGATCTTGGCCTTTCAGGGCAAGTGGGAGGCCAGAAAGGTGGCTAGGAAAGAACAGCATTCTTCAGGTAAGGGTATAGACTTGGGATGTGAGGCGTTATGCTGAAAGGTTCTGTCACGAGGGGATCAGAGGACAGTGGGGAAATTGGGTGGGTTATCTAGCCTGTACTGTCTGCAGGTCCTGAAATTTGATGCTGTCATAGTCTTTGCAGTGGGTCGGTTGGAATGATTCTGGGGGCAGAAGCTCAGAGCCCCTTAGTAGGAATGGAGGCGGCCCTTCTGCTGCCACTGCTCAGCCCCCTCCACTGCATGACGAAGGGTGGAGGAAATTCCCAGCAACATATGGCCCAGGCCTTGCAGCAGTGTGGAGGTCCAACGAAGGAGCTCCCTGAATGGCAGAGACAAGAGGAAATCAGATGATTTGGAAAACTTGGGAGGAAGCCATCAAGCTGGGAGATGAGGACTTTCCACAAGCAAGAGCTAACTAGGGGTAGGTGGGTGCAAGAGGACGAATTATGGGGACTATCCAACTGTAGGGGATGGGGCAGTATGACATGTTGATTTCTGACCTGAGTACTTTCTTTGGGCCAAGTCCTTGAAAGTCACAACTCATAGAGTAGAGCCCGTAGAATGTGGCTTTGACATTCAGGCTGCCAAAGAGGTCTCGAGGGTTTTGCTTGTACACGTCAAAGGTGAATCGGGCGATGTCCTTGCTGTGCTTGGGCCTCTCCCGTCCCAGGCCATATGACAGCACTCCACTCTGTAGGACACCCTTGTCAGTGCAGTAGATCCTCATACCAGACACCCACCACTAATCTCCATCAGCACTGGGTCAGACCCTCCCTCGCTTGGACTTTCTGTCCACTGTGTGACATCCTTGACAATTCCACAACTCCTCCTGCACCTGGTCCCCAGGATCAGGGTTAAGCTAGAGAGGAAGCCCGGGAAAGCTCTAAAGGACAGGCATTGGAAGCAGCCCCAGTATAGGCCTCTTACCCTTGTAGGGCTCCAGCTCTGACCAGACTGCAACACCATCAGGCACGTGTCATCCTCCAGCAGCTGGAAGAAGTCCTCACTGTCCACTGCAGTTCCATCCTCCTCTAGCACCAGGGTTAGCACTCCATTCAGCAGTAGGGTCTCCAATGCCTGCCCAATGGCAAGAAGCAAGAAGGGCAGGTCTTATCCCATGCCCCTTCCCTCTTTAGCTGCCCAACATCCATCAGTTGGCTCTAGACATTGGTCGATGTCCCACTTTGACTTTCCGGCACTTTGATACCTCCTAAAGGTTGCAGCTCTCCGTGTTCTTCAGTTTTTGGGGGATCCTAGCTAGAGGCTGACCTTTTTCCTCTTTGCTCCTACCATGTCATTGGCATCTCCCCTTGCTCCCCTCCAAGTCACTTCTGGTTTGGAATTGGAAAGCAAGCCAGGTTCTCACGAAGTCCACCCTTCTGTCTTATCTACAATGCTGCACCTCACTTCCCACACCCTCAAGAGTTCTCCAGAAGTGTTTTCAGTAATAGTGTTTAACCTTTTTGAGTCCTTACTCTGTGCCAGGTATGAGGACTTTACCTACATTATCCTCTTACTCCTTTCAACAACCCTAGGAGGTGATGTATTATTATTGCCTTTTTATAGTTGAAGAAACTGAGGTTTTGGTAGGTTGAACAACTTCCCAAGGTTTGACAGGCAGGAAGTGGCAGAATCAGAATTTGAACTTGATTTGTCACACAAATCACCTTTCCATACTAGCTTCTGAATTCTGTCCCTCGAACTCTCCCTATCTCCTGCTAACCCCTGCTCCCATAGAAAAGCTCACTCGGTGGAAAATGAACAAATTGACCAGAGCTCATTAGGCCCACTCCGCTGCTTTTAGCCCTCAGAGGGAGGGGCAGCTGTGTGACTTCAGCCCTCTGCTCCATCATCACAAGTTGCCACTGTTGTGGAGCCCCTTGGCTACCCCTGCTATAGGAACCGAGGAACTTGGCCTACTTACTTTGGCTAGCAGCTCCTGGCGGGTGGCAGCTGTCAGGCCTTTCCGGATGGTCCGCTTGTGATCACAGACACGGAAAGGTCGCTGGGGTGGTGGAGCTGAGGTCCAGACCCTCCGTCCAAACTCCGAGCTTATATTAGATACTGACCTGGTAGTTGAGAAGAAAAGTCAAGAAGGGGCGAGGAGGGGCTTGGTGAGTGTAAAGGGCATGATGAGGGTAGAGTGGCTAGAGGGCTAGGGAGGGAGAGATCTAGGTTTATCGATTAGGGATGAGGGAGAGACCATGGAGTGCAGGTGGGGGCGGGTGGCTCAGGAGCTTGACAAGCCCACTGTGGAGTGGGGAGCAGGAGAGGAAGGGGTACTGGTTAGTCTCCTAGGGGCTGAGTGGAGTATTGTTGCCCTGCCTATATCCCCTAAAGGTGGAGGGTAGAGCGGAGGGTTAGCAGTCACCTGAGTAAGTCACTGGGGTTCAGAGCTGAGAGGTACTCCATGGTGGACCGGAGAGTTCCTTCCCTGGAACTTCTGGGCTGGGTGGTTCTCTCCTGTGCTGGGGCTTTAGTGGTGTTTTCTGTTACAAACCTGGGATCTCAGCCCAGGACAAGGTGGGAATGAGTCAAGCCTGGACTCTGGCCCCCCTGCCTGGCCAGTAAGAAGGGCAAAGTCCAAGGGGAGGGATGAGGGAGGGGCCAGATGGGGTCCTGGAGGAAGAATTGCCTGGCAAAAGCCATTGGAGCTTGTATGTGTGTCTTTGGTGATGACATGTGTTGTGAGGGTAGATGGGAACCATGTAAAAGGATGAAATGTGACTTCTGGTGTTTTTTTATTTCTATGGAGGGAATTTCTGGGGACGGTTTCTGGCTCTCAGGCTCTGAGAAGCTGCAGTTTATGAGTGGCTCTGTGTGTGCTGCCACCTACTGGAGAAGCCATAAGCTGCAGCTTTAGGAAAAGGGAACCCGGGGCAGAGTGTGGGGAAGTGGGATGGCAGCATGGCAGGGCTTTGGAAAATGAGAGGTGAGACTGTGTCCAGGAAGGGTGTAAGGAGAGGATGGATCCTGATACATGGATTCAGGATCATTAGGGTCCTGTCTGGGACACTGGCCTTCCTGCTTACCTGCTCTTTCCTTCCTCCTTGGTCGGAGGAGGGGCTGGCTCACTGCTCTGGCTTCATTTTCCAGAGCTGCCTGCTGCAGTCACACTTAGGTCATCTTCTCTCACTTTTCTCCTTTTGCCGATTAGTGGACGTGACAGAGATGTGAATGGGGCAGGGATGTCCTTTGATGGCATCAAGACTTTAGCTTCTGGTGCGCTGTGTCCCAGCTCTGATTTCAGTTGCAGCCGTGATGGACAGTTGCATGGAAGCTGAGACTCTCACTGACAGTGAAACCCTCAAATGAACACAATCCCTGCTTTCCTGCCAAGGATCCTTGTAGGGTCCCCCAGCTTCCCCACTTTTTTTCTGTGTCCTGACAAAGAAACACAGAGTAACTTGATTGCCCTGTGACCTGGCCAGTTGCATTTCCCCTGCAGGCTTGAGCCCAAGCCAGAGCCTTGAAAAGGTATTCAGGTTGTTGCCCAAAACACTGAAAAAAACTGGCCCTGGCCCTGAACCAAATACCTTGAACCCTCGTAAACTCCATACCCTGACCCCCTTGTTTTGGATATACCCAGGTAGAACAACTCTCTCTCACTGTCTGTTGTGAGGATACGCTGTAGCCCACTCATTAAGTACATTCTCCTAATAAATGCTTTGGACTGATCACCCTGCCAGTCTTTTGTCTTGGGCAATCTATACTTTTCTCAGAGGTTCCCAAGGCCTACTGAAGGGACTTAACATACTCTTAATGGCTTTCCTCTCTCTTGTTTTACCTTATGCCCTCACTTCCTGAGTTAACCTCCCAAATACAGGATCACCTGTACCCAAGCCCTTAGCTCAAGAATACAGGATCACCTGTACCCAAGCCCTTAGCTCAAGCTCTGCTTTGGAAGAACCCAAACTAAGACAGTGCTCCTGGTGCCCTCCCCAAGCAACCTCAAGTTCTGGCTGTTACTTGAGCAGAGGCCTTTCTTTTCCCTTCCCCCAGCTCTATCCATCTGCCAGGCCCCCCTCAAATCTCTTCATTTCCAAGTTTTGCTTGACTTTTCCAAGAGGAGAGGGCTGCTTCTTAGTATGTCCCTACTCATCCTTTCCTTTCTTGTCTTGTATCCTGGTGCAGCCTGGTAATGGGGCCTCTTCATGGTTGTGTGTCATGACTCCCTAACCATTATGCCTCCATGCATCCCCTGTTCCTCCTGGAACCTAGCACCATGCCTTACATGGAAAAGCTGTCATTGACAGCCCGGTGAGAGCCCTGAGGGTGGAGTGACTGGGGCAGGGCCTGAGGCAAGAGGTGGGAGGAGGTAGGAGGCCAGGGGCTCAGCCGGACCAGGAGACTGGAAACAGGCAAGGATAAGGCAGGTGGGGGACTGAGTTGTTTGGGTCACCTCTGCAGGCCAGAGAGACCAGGCAACATACACACTGCAGAAGGTGGGCTGGGAGGATTGGGGCCAGAGCTGGGGGAGGGATGAGAACAGAAGCAGGACCAGGATTCAGCAGAGTCCTCCTATTTCCTTCCACCACCAGGGAATCTTACTGCCCCACTTCAGCTTGTGCTGTTTCCTGGCAAGGCAGGCTCTCACATGCCTGGACGCCTGGGTGCGTTGGTGATGGGAAGGAGCAGGGTGAGGGAGGGGCCCCAGGAGAGGCCCAGGATGAGCCTCATCTTGTCCCTCCCCATTCTTGTCTTACCCTCTGCAAATGTGATAGGCACAGGACAGGAGTAGGCACCTCGCCTACTGCTGCTTAACCTTTCAGCTTCTCCAGGCCCCCAATCCTGCTTGCTCCCAGCTTGGTAAGTAGATCTGTGCACGTCCCTTTACACCCCACCATCCAGTTTTGCCCAGATGTGCTAGAATGGGGCTGGACAAAGAAGGAGGGGCCAGACTAGAGGAGTGGTGGTAGAGATAGTGACAGCCTGGGGTGATGACTTTATGCCTGTTTACCACTGAGCTCTGGGAAGGAGGCCAGGAGTGGGGCAGGTCAACTGACTGGGAGCAGGGGATCTGGGTTCCAAGAAGGAGTTGTGTTTGAGGTGGGGTCTGGGTCCTCGTGGAAGTCAGGACTCCCAGGCAGAAAAGAGGCAGGCTGCAGGGAAGTAAGGAGGAGGCATGGCACCTTCTCATCGGGCATCACAGGTGGGGTTTTGCCCCACCCCTGAACGCCCTCTGTGGCGCCTTCCACCCACCTGTAGGCCCAGAAGGATGTCGGTCTGCTACCGTCCCCCAGGGAACGAGACACTGCTGAGCTGGAAGACTTCGCGGGCCACAGGCACAGCCTTCCTGCTGCTGGCGGCGCTGCTGGGGCTGCCTGGCAACGGCTTCGTGGTGTGGAGCTTGGCGGGCTGGCGGCCTGCACGGGGGCGACCGCTGGCGGCCACGCTTGTGCTGCACCTGGCGCTGGCCGACGGCGCGGTGCTGCTGCTCACGCCGCTCTTTGTGGCCTTCCTGACCCGGCAGGCCTGGCCGCTGGGCCAGGCGGGCTGCAAGGCGGTGTACTACGTGTGCGCGCTCAGCATGTACGCCAGCGTGCTGCTCACCGGCCTGCTCAGCCTGCAGCGCTGCCTCGCAGTCACCCGCCCCTTCCTGGCGCCTCGGCTGCGCAGCCCGGCCCTGGCCCGCCGCCTGCTGCTGGCGGTCTGGCTGGCCGCCCTGTTGCTCGCCGTCCCGGCCGCCGTCTACCGCCACCTGTGGAGGGACCGCGTATGCCAGCTGTGCCACCCGTCGCCGGTCCACGCCGCCGCCCACCTGAGCCTGGAGACTCTGACCGCTTTCGTGCTTCCTTTCGGGCTGATGCTCGGCTGCTACAGCGTGACGCTGGCACGGCTGCGGGGCGCCCGCTGGGGCTCCGGGCGGCACGGGGCGCGGGTGGGCCGGCTGGTGAGCGCCATCGTGCTTGCCTTCGGCTTGCTCTGGGCCCCCTACCACGCAGTCAACCTTCTGCAGGCGGTCGCAGCGCTGGCTCCACCGGAAGGGGCCTTGGCGAAGCTGGGCGGAGCCGGCCAGGCGGCGCGAGCGGGAACTACGGCCTTGGCCTTCTTCAGTTCTAGCGTCAACCCGGTGCTCTACGTCTTCACCGCTGGAGATCTGCTGCCCCGGGCAGGTCCCCGTTTCCTCACGCGGCTCTTCGAAGGCTCTGGGGAGGCCCGAGGGGGCGGCCGCTCTAGGGAAGGGACCATGGAGCTCCGAACTACCCCTCAGCTGAAAGTGGTGGGGCAGGGCCGCGGCAATGGAGACCCGGGGGGTGGGATGGAGAAGGACGGTCCGGAATGGGACCTTTGACAGCAGACCCTACAACCTGCTGCCCTTCCCTGTCCCTTTCCACCCCCCACCCACCCTCCAGAGGTCAGTGTTCTGGGACATTTGGGGACCCTTCTTTGACTAGAGTTTGGATCTGGCTGGGTAGGATTACTATACACTTGGGGCAGGCCCAGGCTCCTCCAAACTGAGGGATTATGAGGGTGGTGATGGTCCCTGTTAAGGACTATTGTGTGCTTGCAAGTTGGCATGTACCCATGTGCCAGCATTGCTTACTTGTTGCCAATAGCTGTTATTGTGAAATACACTGGGAAGCCATTAGATGATGACTTAAGTGTGCTTCCCCTGGTGGTTCTTCATGCCTGAGTTGTACTGAAGCCACCTAGTTCCCTGCTGGGTCAAGCCAGGCTGGGCAGTGCCAGCCTTCAGTGGCATCTTGACCTGCCCTCCTCAGCCCAGGTGCCCTGGTTCCACAGGCCAACCCATAGAACCACTCTGGAAATAAAGGAGAAAATGGAAGGAGAGGTATGGGAGCTTGGATGAGGGGTAGGAATGGGATCCATTCTCTGAGGCTTATAAAAGCCTCTGAGGAGGAAATGGCTCTGAAGGGGAAAATGAATCTGTGGGGTTTGAAAAGGAAGTTTTCCTGCCTGTCTTGTATTTGGTCCAGTGAGTATGAGACAGGCACACAAGGAGTGGACAGTGGTGTAGGGGCCCTGGGAGTCTGAGACTTACCTTGCCCCCTGACCATCTGATCCTCCCTGCAAAGGCCACCTGACGTGAAAAGGAGCCAGGAGCAAGCACTCAGTCAGGGAAGTTTGGAGGTTGGCCATTGGGGTATGAGGAATGGCAGGAATATTTAGAGGACAGGAATAATTTTTCAGAGAAGTGCCACATATTCTTTTTCTCTTTGCCAAGTCTGGGCTCCTTCTAAGATGCTGCTAGCTATTCCTAGCCCGTTCCCCAATACTTCTCTGCCCCCACCTTTTGGAATCCTTATCTAGGTCTAAAAACGGTTCTAGATCCTGACCCCTTTGATTGGGGGATGTAGAATGGGATTCTTTTCAGGGGACATCCACAAGTACACATCTGTGGTCACTAAGGTGACCAGCTCATCCCAGTTGGCCTGGAACTTTCCCAGTTTAAGCACTGAAAACTCCTTGTCCCAGCCCTGCCGGTTTCCCAACAAACTGAGATGGTTGGCCGCTCAAGTGGCTACCCTGACCATCACCCCAGGCTCTACTTTAGCGACTGCTCACACCTCCC
Organism: Homo sapiens; assembly: GCF_000001405.40. Taxonomy (NCBI): domain Eukaryota; kingdom Metazoa; phylum Chordata; class Mammalia; order Primates; family Hominidae; genus Homo; species Homo sapiens. The sequence goes on from NW_018654722.1 coordinate 613,962, forward strand.
TGCTTCCCAGACAGAAGTCAAAACAGCAAAAGAAACCCAGTCCCCAGGGTCATGCTAGGGCTACCAAAACTGGGATGAACTAGCACCTGTGAACTAGAACAGCAGGGAGTATGCTTAGAGTGCCTGGTCCTGGGTGTGGGGAAGAAAGGCCATCAAGGTAGATGCGGGTGGGGAACAGCTTGAGAGAGGAGGCAAGGACAACCCAGTTTCTGTCTGAAGGGGCCTCTGGTTGACCCTGGAGTTTCTGTCCCCAAACACAGGCCTCACGGGATTCTTTCTGTCCTCATGCACTGGGCAGAGGTTCCTTAACTTCCTTTGTTGCACATTGCCATTCTCTCACATCCCGTGCGGTCAGGAAGCCCTTCCTGAACTCTGACTTCAGTTCTTGCTGCGGTTTCTGCCCATTTTTTTCATATCCTCTGACAGCTGCGAGGTCATCTCTGCTCTGGCTTTTCTCCAAGCAGAACAAGTGGGGGCTCTGGAAAGGTTAAGGGACCTCAGTGGCCACCATTATACTTTGCATCTTTCCTGAGAAGTGAGAGTTGAAAGGGAAGCAGGAAGGCCCATGGTCAGATTGAAGGAAGGACTTTTTAGTTTCTTTTTTTTTTTTTTTTTTTTTTGAGATGGAGTCTCGCTCTGTCATTCAGGCTGGAGTGCAGTGGTGCGATCTCAGCTCACTGCAGCCTCCACTTCCTGGGTTCACATGATTCTCCTGCCTCAGCCTCCCAAGTAGCTGAGACTACAGGCACATGCCACTACACCCAGCTATCTTTTGTATTTTTAGTAGAGACGGGGTTTCACCATGTTGGCCAGGCTGGTCTCAAACTGCTAACATCAAGTGATCTGCTCCCCTCAGCCTCCCAAAGTGCTGGGATTACCGGTATGAACCACCACAACCTGCCAGGAATTTTTAGTTTTTAGCTTTTGCAGGAGACTTCAAGGAAAGGAGACATTCCTCTGTCCAGGAAACGGGTAAGGGGACCATTTCTGCATTGCTGGTTTCCCCTCTTGGCAGGGTGGGCATGAGGCATCACTGTTCCTGCTCCCTCACTCCTGCTCCTCATGCTCAGCCTGCCAGCTCGGCCTCAACTTTGTGTGTCTAAAGTGGAACTGAATAGTAGGCTGTGAGAAGATAGGAAAGAGGTAGTGCCAATCTCCTTGCCCAGATCATAAATCCAGACTCAGCAGGGTAACCACATGGGCAAGCACAAGGTAGGTGCTTGGGGAAAGGGGAAGTAATTGGCATTCTGTGTGATACCAAGGAGACCATTTGGATTTTGGCTTCTACCAAAGAGAATGGAGAATTGGTTGACCTAAATGGAACCAGTCCCTTTAAGTAAGGGGAGGAAAGGGGGTGCTGGAAGATGGCCCTCTTCCCACCACCTAGATCATAGCTTGAACTGAAGCCAAGGACAGAGTGCTGCCCCCTTCGGCATTTACTGATGTGCCCTCTTTAAATCATGATGTTATCTAACCCAAACCCAGACCCAGGACCTAGTCACAGCTCCAACCTACACTTCCTATTAATCTTAAAACAAAGCAAAACAAAACAAAAAGATATCAGCATTGTAGCCTCCAATCTGAGCCCATTTCCCTTCTCTGGCTACCATACCTCCTTCTCCTATATGATACCATTCACTACTTTGTTCAATTATCCAGTCTAGACCTGCATCTTGAGGCCACACCCAGCCTTCTCACTCCCCACACCCCTCTTTCCTCTCTCACTGCTCCTTCCTGGTCTCTTCTCATCTGGCCCCACCTCTAAGGAGTCCTCCTGCCTTCTGGGTTGCCCTGGAAAACAGACTATCCCCCCTCCTAGTGAAGGGAGTGGGTAGGGGTTTCAGCCCCACCCTCAGGAAGATGCGTCTTCCCTGTCCTCTGCTCTGTGGTACTTCCTCTCTGGCTGATTTAGCAAACAGCACCTAGACCTGGGGCCAGGCCTTTGGCAGTGGGACAGATCCAGGGATAGGCTACACCACCCTGCCCTGACCCTGGGATTGGCATCAGCTTCCAACCAGTTCCTGCCAAAGCTTGTAAGTAAGTTTCCTGGGAGCGGCCGTGGTTGTGGTGGTGGTGGGACAGTGTGCAGCCATGAAAGAAGGTGCAAAGGAATCTCCAAAGAAAGCCTGACCAGCGTAAAAAGTTGGGAGGCTTTGTCCTTGTCACTTGTCCACTAAACTCCTCCCCTCCCTGTTATTCCTGGTTGACCCTGGGCATCTCTGGGGACAGTAGGCAGGTGATTGGGAAAGTTAATGGGATTGAGGGGCTGAGGGCCTGGCAGGGGGCAAAAAGACTGGCCTTTCAAGGGGTGCAGCATTGGTAGGAACTCTGTTTGGTTCTGGGCTTTAGGGTCTCCTAAGGGGAGGAGACTGAAAAGGTCTGGAAATGCTGCTGCTGCTGTGGTCACTGTATATTTTGCAATTGGGTCTGTGGACAGGAAGGGGCCGCATGACCCAGTTAGGAAACTAGTCTTTGTACTCAACCAGATCCCTTTAAGTTGTCAGTCTGCAGCGATGGGGGCAGTATATTTCAGGGGGACCTCTGATGCTGCTGACCCTGGAGATAGACTAGAGTTCTCAGCCTAGGTGTGTCCATGGCGTCAGGAAACCCTTGGTCCTCTACTCTCATGCGTGTGTCCGCCCTCACTCTCCAGGTCCTCCCGACGGCCATGAACACTACATCTTCTGCAGCACCCCCCTCACTAGGTGTAGAGTTCATCTCTCTGCTGGCTATCATCCTGCTGTCAGTGGCGCTGGCTGTGGGGCTTCCCGGCAACAGCTTTGTGGTGTGGAGTATCCTGAAAAGGATGCAGAAGCGCTCTGTCACTGCCCTGATGGTGCTGAACCTGGCCCTGGCCGACCTGGCCGTATTGCTCACTGCTCCCTTTTTCCTTCACTTCCTGGCCCAAGGCACCTGGAGTTTTGGACTGGCTGGTTGCCGCCTGTGTCACTATGTCTGCGGAGTCAGCATGTACGCCAGCGTCCTGCTTATCACGGCCATGAGTCTAGACCGCTCACTGGCGGTGGCCCGCCCCTTTGTGTCCCAGAAGCTACGCACCAAGGCGATGGCCCGGCGGGTGCTGGCAGGCATCTGGGTGTTGTCCTTTCTGCTGGCCACACCCGTCCTCGCGTACCGCACAGTAGTGCCCTGGAAAACGAACATGAGCCTGTGCTTCCCGCGGTACCCCAGCGAAGGGCACCGGGCCTTCCATCTAATCTTCGAGGCTGTCACGGGCTTCCTGCTGCCCTTCCTGGCTGTGGTGGCCAGCTACTCGGACATAGGGCGTCGGCTACAGGCCCGGCGCTTCCGCCGCAGCCGCCGCACCGGCCGCCTGGTGGTGCTCATCATCCTGACCTTCGCCGCCTTCTGGCTGCCCTACCACGTGGTGAACCTGGCTGAGGCGGGCCGCGCGCTGGCCGGCCAGGCCGCCGGGTTAGGGCTCGTGGGGAAGCGGCTGAGCCTGGCCCGCAACGTGCTCATCGCACTCGCCTTCCTGAGCAGCAGCGTGAACCCCGTGCTGTACGCGTGCGCCGGCGGCGGCCTGCTGCGCTCGGCGGGCGTGGGCTTCGTCGCCAAGCTGCTGGAGGGCACGGGCTCCGAGGCGTCCAGCACGCGCCGCGGGGGCAGCCTGGGCCAGACCGCTAGGAGCGGCCCCGCCGCTCTGGAGCCCGGCCCTTCCGAGAGCCTCACTGCCTCCAGCCCTCTCAAGTTAAACGAACTGAACTAGGCCTGGTGGAAGGAGGCGCACTTTCCTCCTGGCAGAATGCTAGCTCTGAGCCAGTTCAGTACCTGGAGGAGGAGCAGGGGCGTGGAGGGCGTGGAGGGCGTGGGAGCGTGGGAGGCGGGAGTGGAGTGGAAGAAGAGGGAGAGGTGGAGCAAAGTGAGGGCCGAGTGAGAGCGTGCTCCAGCCTGGCTCCCACAGGCAGCTTTAACCATTAAAACTGAAGTCTGAAATTTGGTCAACCTTGTGAGTGGGGTACATGTGCTGTGGGTATCGGGGTGCTCGTGGGCGCCCTGGTGGGGCCCCTCTCGGTAGTTGAGAGTCACGTCCTTTAGTTCCCCATGATTTACAATTTTGGAAGGGACACAAAGAAACATAGACTTCCCCCATCCCAGATGATTCCGAGTACATAGTCTGCAGATAATACTTAGCAAAACGCAGTCTACAGACTCCTAAAGCAGCTTGTCTAGGAAGACCACCCATGTGGGCTTATCACTCCAGGTTCTGTGACCCGGGACCTTCTGAGAAAACAGCACTGCTGTGAAATATCTTCCTTGAAGCCTGTGATAAGTCTCCTTGTTAGAATGACTCCAACTTCCTGCCAATAATCTTTGTCCTCTCCATAGGAGATGTTCTAGGGGATGCCTTCCTTCCCTCCATTTCACAAAGAGGCCAGACTTGAGGACTAAGTCATTAGATCTTATCCCTTAGAATTTTGCATATCAGCATCTGCTAACCTCCACAACACACCCTGGCACAGGGTGGGGCTGAGGGCCCCAGGAAACAAAGATTCCCAAAAGTGAGAGGGATGAGTCATTATTTCCTAGAGATGACTGTTGTTTTAGAGAACCTTGGTCCAACTCTGTTCTGACAAGGTTTTAGGAAGATGGCAACAACAGTGGCAGCAGTGTACTTTTTGGATCTTTCTCATAAAAAAACAAAAGAGCAAGTAAGAGAGGGAAACCAAATATCCACATGCAACATCCGCAACAAATCTAGTATGTCAAGGTTTGACATACTCCCATGGACCCCAAAGTATGAGCCAGTGAGAATGAGTCATCAATATCTCAAGACCCATATACCAGCATCTGTGCAGAAGGATGCAGAAGGAAGCAAAGGGATGTTGGATGGACCTAAGAAGAGGAGATCCCCAAGCTGTCTACAGATCCTTACTGGAAGGTATGGTGCACCAATTTGAGAACAGCAGCTGAAACTGGGAGGGACCTAACGGAGTATTTCCCAGTCCTCTCGCCCATTCTGTATGGTGAGCACATAATAGGTACTTATTTAGTGTTTGTCGAATTAATAAAGTTCAAATGACATTTCCCTGGAGATTCTTCCGGTATTTTTGAGTAGGGGGCAGGAAAGGGCAAATTTTTGTTTTGAGTCATGTGGCTAAATTCTTTATGCTTCCAAGGTGTACAAAATACTATAATCAAGTTGGCAGAGAGGCTGAGGGAGTTCTCTTCCTGAGCTTGTGAAAAAAATCACTCCCTTTCAAAATGCTTAGTCTCACATGCATGCATGTGTGCAGGCATGTGCACACACATTCACACACACACTCGCACTAAAATTGGCCTGGGAAGAAGAAGAATTCCCACTGAAGGGCAATGAGAAGGTGATCCCCAGCTATATCAGCAGCTTCAGACATCAATGGGCTCCAGACACCCCAGAGTCTCTTTATTGAGGTTCTTAGAAGGCGAGTGCAATCTCAGCCTAGGGTAGCTGAAGGAGGTCCAGTTCGTGTCAAGTCTGTGTTCAGGAAGTAGGTGCAGAGCTGCCCTTTGCCTTTCACCTTGATGACACCCCGGCTGTAGCAGGTGTAGCCCAGGGACTGTAGGGCCCATGCTGTCTCCTCAGTCACCTACAATTGGAGGGGGGCGAGGGAATATGGAGGTGGCCCTATTCTTAGTCCCCCTCCCCCTATGCCTCCAATGTGGTTCCCTCACTTGGATTTTGCCAAGGACTCCTGTACTCTCCATGCGGCTGGCCACGTTCACTGTGTTGCCCCAAATGTCATATTGCGGCTTCTGGGCCCCAATAACTCCAGCTACTACGGGTCCATGGTTCAACCCTAATGAGGGATGTGGTAATGACAGACTTGGAGAAGGAAGAGGGGAAGAGGAAGCCACAAGGAACTGGAAGGAAGGGAGAAGAGCCTGGGGGGCCCTAGAGGAGAGGAGGGGTCTCTAAGGGCTGGAGGAATGTAGCTTAAGAAAAAGAGTGGGAGAGCCTCGTACCTCCTTGCCCAGCACCTTCACACCCCATCCCAGGGAGTGAGTCAGGAAAGGGGCTTCAGGATGAACTGGGAGCAGCTAACAAAGGACTTGGAGTGGGGCAAGCTCAGGAAGGTGAGGAGGTACCAGACTGCTGCAGCAGGGGAAGTCTCTCACCCACTCGCAGGCGGAAGTTGTTGAATGAATGCTTGTTGATGACGTCCAGCTTAGACCCCAGGGCCACGGCAAATTCCACCATAGTGCCAAGGTGGCTGCAGCTCCGTTCAGCATCCTGGCAATGGGCCCGCCCACCAGGGTGGGCCAGTGAGGGCACAGGAATAAGTCCCACTAATAAGCCCATCAATGAGAGCCCAGAGGAGGATGGTAGGTAAGGAAGGGTTGCCGTACCTGTTGTGCATCCTGTCCAGAGGTGGCATTTAAGCCTGTGGCTGCCATGTAGGTGCTGCCGATGGTCTTGATCTTCTCCACCCCACTGAACTTGGGCTTGGAGAGCAGCTGTATATAGAGAAGAGTCCTGTCCCCAGTCTCTCTTACTCTCTCCATCACCTCTCCCAGAAGCCCAGCCCCAAGCCTTTGGAGTTAAAGGATCAGGCTGTGGGAGTGGAGATAGTGTCAGGAAGGAGAGGGTTGGTGGTGGGCAGTGTTGCTGGAGTGGGTAGATCTGGGGGATCAGAGGAGGTGAGGGAGTACTGTGGAGGGGAGGATTGACTTCATGGCCAGAAAAGCAAAGTGGAAGGAGGTACTGGTGGAAAATTCTAGAATCTAGGACATAGGGTCTGGGAGACTCTTGGAATTTTCACCTCATCAAAATCAGCAATTATCTCATTGAGCAGCCTCAGACACTCTAGGCCCTCATGATTGATGTTGGATTCAGAGTAGAACTCCTTGAAGTCTGGGACTGAGGCGAAGAGGACACAAACGCATTCATAGGACTGGTGGTAGAGATCCTGGGGGAACAGGAGACTGGAGTGAGGGGTGTGTGTCATGTTCCTCTCCCTTCTAGAGGTCTGCGTGGGGCCCTCCTCCCCATGTCCACACTCCTGGTCTCCCTGTTTAAGAAGAATTGGGAAGGAGGGAGAGGAGTAGGGCCAGGCTACCCCAGGGAAGTGACTTAGGAGTCAAAGCTTAGATCTCATTGTAATTCTAGAAGAGACAGAGGTTTGGCGTTAGGATCACCTCACAGCAACACGAAGGGAGTCACTCCTAGAACTGGGATCCTGTCAATGTGAATTATTTCTATATCCTATCTTATTGCTGAAAGGTGTTTAAGTCAATTAAGCCGGCTACAAAACCAAGGGTAAAATGTGTTTAAGTGTTTAAGTCAGTTAAGATAGGTACAAAATGAAAGATGAAGTAAGCAACAATAGGGACTATGAGGCAAAGGGAAAATAAGGGTAAGATAATAAAGATGGAATCAGATCTGAGGGTGGTTCACAAAATGAGTGCCATGAAATCCTATTTAGTCTTAGATTTTGGCTCTCAGCTTTCTAGCAGCCAAAGTGAAGAGAGAAAAGGATCGATTACAAGATTCCTTGTGTCTGTAAGAGAAGAAACCAGAAAAGAACTACTGATCTTGAGAGCAGGGAGCAGGCGGTGGGGGCATAAGGCTGTGAAAGAGCTCCTGAGCTGTTTCTTTTAACATCCCTCAATATGAGCCAAGAGCATTTCCACAGCAGAGGGCCAGCAGATGATACAAATAAGATGGTACAAATATGTGGGTGAATTTCTGATGGTTTGGCGCTAGCAAGATTTTTGAGGATCTAGAGCAGCAGCATCCAATAGAAATTTTTGCAATGGAAACATTCCCTATGTGCAGTGTCCAATAGGGTGGCCACTAGCTACGAGTGGCTGTTGAGCCCTGGAAATGTGGCTGGTGCAACTGAGGAACTGAATATTTTATTTTAATTAATTAACATTAAAATTTCATATGGCTAATGGCTACCATATTGGATAGTGCAGGTCTAGAGAGAGGGGTGGACTGTATCCTCTAGACCAGCAGTCCCCAACCTTTTTGGACCCAAGGATGGGTTTCATGGAAGACAAGTTTTCCACGCACCCAGGCTGTGGTGGGGGATGGTTTTGGGATGAAACTGTTCTACTTCAGATCATCAGGCATTAGTTATTAGGTTGGTGCAAAATTAATTGCATTTCTTTTTTTTTTTTTTTTTTGCCATTAAAAGTAATTACTTTTAGGCCGGGTGCGGTGCGCCTGTAATCTCAGCATTTTGGGAGGCCAAGGTGGGTGGATCACCTGAGATCAGGAGATCGAGATCAGCCTGACCAACATGGTGAAACCCTGTCTCTACTAAAAAAAAAAAATATAAAAAAAATTAGCCAGGCATGGTGGCAGGCGCCTGTAATCCCAGCTACCTGGGAGGCTGAGGCAGGAGAATTGCTTGAACCCAGGAGGCGGAGGTTTCAGTGAGCTGAGACCGTGCCATTACATGCACTCCAGCCTGAGCGACGAGAGTGAAACTCTGTTGCACTCCAGCCTGAGCGACGAGAGTGAAACTCTGTTGCACTCCAGCCTGAGCGATGAGAGTGAAACTGTGTCTTAAAAAAAAAAAAAAGTAATTACTTTTAATTATATTACTTTTAATGGCAAAAACTGCGATTAATTTTGCACCAGCCTAATAGATTTTCATAAGGAGTGTACAACCTAGACCCCTTGCATGTGCAGTTCACAATAAGGTTCAAGTTCCTATGAGAATCTGATGCTGCTACTGATCTGACAAGAGGCAGAGCTCAGGCGGTAGTGCTGGCTCACCGCTCACCTCCTGCTGTGTAGCCCAGTTCCCAACAGGTCATGGACTAGTATCAGTCTGCGGCCTGGGGGCTGGGGACCCCTGCTCCAGACAGCTCCCATCAACGCCTAGGCTTCTGGAATGTATGGAATGGTCATGAGTTAGAGAAGACATGCCTTCCAAGTAAGAATTTGAAATGCAGTTTTGTGCTCACCAAAGAAAGAATCTAAGATGTTGTGAAAACAAAGACGCTTGACAAGCACAAGGGCTTGGGTGACCCTTCTGGGGGTTCTAGAGAAAACGGGCCATAGGTCAAGGCTTTCATCTGAAATTAGGCCCTATGGCATCCGTGGCTCAGGAGTCAGGGGGTCAGGAGTCACCTCGTTGCGCCGGTTCTGGCCAATGAACTGGGGGGCCACGTGTGCAGGGAGCACGTTCTCCAAGAGCAGCCGAGTCAGGTTCTCCATCGTCTCTGTCTCCTCCCTCTCCTGCCTCAGCTTCTTCTTCCACAGGAAGTCCAGGCGGCAGTAGTACTCATTCTGGGGAGGGTCACCCGGGGCCATGGGGAGACACAGAGCAGGGGAAGCCCAGCTCCTGAGTGTTCAGCCCCAACTCCATGATGCCTGAAACCACCCCCACCCCACCCCCAGTTTAGAAGTAGAGCTTAAGGTGTAAGTATACTTGGAGAGAGACTATCCTTGAAATTAGATTCAGACTAGGGATAGAGAATTGGCAGCAGACTTTTTCTAAAGCATGGGCTTTCCCAGATAGGGGTGTGGGAGAAAGGAGGGGCAGGGAGTGAAGGAGAAGAAAGGAAGCAGGAAGGCTCGCTTAGAAGCTTCCAATGGGCATTCAACCCTGGAGATTAGAAAGATCAAGTCACAGATATGGGGGCCACTCATAGGTGGGCCCTGGTGGGGCTGAGCTGGGTGACTTACCTGGCGAGCCAGGACAAGGAGGGTGAAGAAGAAGATGAAGAAGGAGATAGCACCCATCAGTTTGGGCTCCTTCAGCACTCCGGGCCTGAAGGGGCCATGGATCAGGGTGACCCCTTGCTTTCCCCCTTCCTGGCCTTCTCCCTGCCCCCATGTAGGCCTCCGCTTCCCTCCCACTTTGCCCTGTGGGTGATTCAGGTCGGTGAGGCCAGGACAGCTCTGCTGTATCCCATCTCACCCCATCCCAGGGGGCCCGGCACCTCTGTCCAGCAGCTGTGCACACCTGGAGTCCAAGGGGCCCAGATAGAGGCGGACGATGAGGCATTCCGACAGCCAGGCATGGGAGTGCAGGAAGAGGGAGCAGGATGCCGCCAGCCACAGCAGGAGCAGCAGCAGCTTCAGCTCGAAGCTCATGTGCAGAAAGAGGGAGCAGGAGAGGAAGCCCAGCGTGCAGCAGTGCATGGAGTACTGTGGGGCCAGGCAGGGGTCAGGAGTGGGCATGTCCCATAGGCAGAGGGGGGACACCTGAGGGCTCCCTTCCTGTCCCTCCCAGGCCCAGGTCCTATCTGGGAGACAGGGGGCATCATACACACTGATACACACTGGGTGTGACTTATGTCTGTTCTAATCCACAGAATGGAGCGTTCCTCCACTCAGGGGGCTGTGGGCTTGGGCTGAGGAAGGGTGTGCAGAAGGAGATTAAGGGCATGTGGGAACACTCACTGGGACACTGATGAGAGGCAGAGACCCAGGGAGCTCCCAGGAGAGGTTGGAAATCATGGAGGACACATTGGGAGCTTGGAAAGGGCAGTCTGATGATGTTGGGAAGAAGAACTGCAGAGGAGATGAGGAGTTGAAGAGGCAGGTAGCTTCTTGGGCACAGTGGTGGCTTGTGCTGGGTTTCAGCTGACCCAGGGATGAGTCAGGGGAAGACTCGTCCAAAGGGGTGGATCCTGCTATTTCTGGTTGGGAAGGGAACCTCAGCACTGGGGTCCTCACTCGGGGAGGAGTTATGTGAGGGGCGTCAAGAGTACTCCTCTGACTCTGAGCCACTGTGTGAGCTCTTGCCAGCCACTTAGCCTCTCTGGGCCTTAGTTTCTTCTTCTGTAACTTGGCTGGTGGGTGATTCCCAGGTGCCCACCAGGAATAGAATTCTAGGAATGAGTCTAAATCCTGAAGAATCAGCCAAGTGATCTAAGTAATAAGTAACTGCCTACACAGAAAAAAGATAAGAAGGACATTCACCGAAGTGTTATCAACAACTATTATGCCCAGATGGTAGATTGCTGGAGACTGTAATTTTTTTCTTTCTATTTGTACAACATTTCCAGCATCCCCTGGGCTTAGTCCAGCTGCCTGCCCAAATCCAGGGGTTCCCTTTCAGTCCCTGGCAGGTCCAACATGCCCTCATGGGGGTGGATAGGGCCCCCTCTGTCCTCACCAGGCTGGTAATGGCCATGGCAAAGACAAGGAGGATGGTGGCGGTGCCCAAGGCTATTCTCAGTCCTGGTCGTGTGGCCACCAGGCCAGACAGTGCAGGCAGCCAGTGCAGCATCTTGGGGCCTTTCAGGACACACCTCTGTGGAGGGAGCATGGGCATCTTAGCCACGGGGCTGGGGCACCCTCTTCAGGACAGGTTGTGACCAGGGCTCCGGCATACCACTTCCACCCCTCAGCCCACCTCACCATCAGGTCCTCTGAGAAGCAGACAAAAAGGATGAGGAGGAAGAGGAGGAAGGTGATGCTATACGTGATGGCCAGAGCTGGGGGCCTGAAGGGAGACAAAAGCGAGGCCTTGAAGTGCCAGAACAGGCTCCCTGTGTGCTATGAAGGTGCTGTGTGAGCTGGGTGGGAGATAGGGGAAGTGGTTCTGGGGAATCTGGGTTGGCTGGCGATGGGGTCCCGGCTGATAGAAGACATTGCATTCTGATGATCTGGGTTGGCTGGCTTAAGGGTCTAGAGCAGTGTCGAGGTGGAACAGGGACCCATATGGTGGGGAGTGGGGGCTCACAAGAATGGCTGAGGCTACGGCAGACTGATCTCTGGGCCTTTAGCCCAAAGCTCTTTAACTTGGCTGAGTTTTTTTTTTTTCTTTTTTTTTGAGGCGGAGTCTCGCTCTGTTGCCCTGGCTGGAGTGCAGTGGTGTGATCTTGGCTCACTGCAAACTCCGCCTCCCGGGTTTGAGCGATTCTCCTGCCTCAGCCTCCCGAGTAGCTGGGATTACAGGCGCCTGCCATCTCACCCAGCAAATTTTTGTATTTTTAGTAGAGATGGGGTTTCACCATGTTGGCCAGGCTAGTCTTTCACTCCTGACCTCAGGTGATCCACCTGCCTCAGCCTCCCAGAGTGCTGGGATTACAGGCGTGAGCCATCACACCCGGCCACCTGGCTGAGTTAAGAACAAGTCCTCATCCCTCCTAGCAGTGGACTAGGAATGAGGGCCTACTTTCTAAGCTCATGCATTTGCTGCCAGATTTGGGTTTCTCAATGGAAACAAACTGGCCTTCATGGGGATGTTGTTAGAATCAAAAGAGATGCTCATGGGAAAATGCTAGGGCTGTGTAGAAAGTCCACAGGATCTACAAGGTTAAGATAAGGGCCGTGATTATCATTTTCCCCAGAACACATGTTTCCTCTGTGGGTAAGTGCCTGAAGCTAAGGGGAAGGGGTGAAGGAAGAAAGTGTGGCCCGGGGTCATGAGGGCAAGGTGATCCGCTTATGACAGCCAGGGCCTCCTTTGCCTGGGGCACTCTCACCTGTTTGTCACTAGCATCTGGATGATGAAGTTGGAGAGAAAAACCAGGAAGGTGCAGGCTTCATAGTATTTGAAGGCGGGGATTGCAGAGAGTCGGTACTGAAAGTGAGAGGGCCAGAGGTGGAGACAGGGTCCAGTGCTACCCATCACCTTGAAGGCATCACTCCCAGGCAAGGGGTGGGCTCCTCAGCCTCACCGCCCAGGCTCCAGTTCAGTTCCATGTAGACCCTACCAGTTCTCCAAGGAGTTACCCTCCTTCCTCCCCCTACCATCTAGTAGCTCAGTCTACAGAGTGACTTTCCTTTAGAGAGAGGCACAAGCTCCTCACCCCTAGGATCACAAACTGAGCAGACTTGGGGAGGAGACCCAAGGGCTGACCCCTCCCCAGCACCAAGGAACTAAAGTTGGGAAGTTGTTTGGTGCCACCCACACCACAGCCCACCTCTTTCTCCATCTCCTTCTCTCTGAAGTACAGTGTCAGTGGGTTGAAGTCCTTCGACTGCTTCCACTGTCTGGTGGGAGGTGGGAGGGTGGGTGAAAGCACCAGAGAACAGAGGGCACAGAAGGGCAGGAAGAGGGCAGAGTGAGGGCAAGAGGGGGTGGTCAGGCGAGTCTTCCCTCCAGCCCCTCAGGGAGCACCATCCCTTCTCCACCATATGACCTCAGGGCCTGCGGCCCCCCCAGCCCTCTTTGTTCTCCGTACTTCTGCGAGTTGAGCTGCTCAATGACCTGGAAGAACTTGGCATCCCCGGTGTCCAGTTCATCATCTAGTCCCCGGGGGGTACGGCTCCTGCACAGTGAGAGCCAAGTCCATCACCACAGAGACCCTCAGAGCGTCTGGGCAAAGCAGGAGCAGACCCCCAGGGAGGATGGAGGGGGTCATCCAGACAGCCCCACTGGCAAAGACTTTGAGGCCTCCTCACCGATCCAGGCTCCACTGGGTGCTGAAGGAAGCCAGGGTCTTCTCCTGTTGGGAGAGCACAGGGGGAGGTGGGCATGGTGGGTGTTTTCCCTGCAGTGAGGTAGACCATGAGCCACACTGCATGCTCTATACATGTCTTTGACCTTGGGCATTTCACTGGGCTCTTTCTTTTGCCTCTAATGACCTCTCTGTCTCCCAAATCCCACCTGCCCTTGAAGGGGAGGTTTGAATCTCCTTAAAGTTTCCCCCTGACTCTCTAGACTCCCAGGATCTTTGTGTGTGTGTGTGTGTGTGTGTGTGTGTGTGTGTGTGTGTGTGACTGAATCTTGCTCTGTCACCAGGCTGGAGTGCAATGGCATGATCTCGGCTCACCACAACTTCCACCTCCCAGGTTCAACCGATTTTCCTGCCTCAGCCTTCCAGGTGGCTGGGATTACAGGCATGTGCCACCACGCCCAGCTAATTTTTGCATTTTTAGTAGAGATGGGGTTTCACCATGTTGGTCAGGCTGGTCTCAAACTGCTGACCTTAGGTGATCCGCCTGCCTCGGCTTCTCAAAGTGCTGGGATTATAGGCATGAGCCACCGTACCTGGCTGGATTTTTTTTTTTTTTTTTGCAACGGAGTTTCGCTCTTGTTGCCCAGGCTGGAGTGCATTGGTGCAATCTCAGCTCACTGCAACCTCCGCCTTCCAGGTTCAAGCAATTCTCTTGCCTCAGCCTCCTGAGTAGCTGGGATTGCAGGCACGCACCACCACGCCTGGCTGATTTTTGTATTTTTAGTAGAGATGGGGTTTCGCCATGTTGGCCGGGCTGGTCTCAAACTACTGACCTCAAGCTATCCATCTGCCTCATCCTCCCAAAGTACTGGGATTACAGGTGTGAGCCACCGTGCCTGGCAAGATTTCTAATATTTGACTGAGCCCCTGGAACTTCAGGGGCTAAGTGGATTTCTGTGCTAGTGAAGGTCCTGCCTCAGGAGACACCCTTGAACAAAGGGTCCTGCTCTTCCACCCTAATACTCCCTAGCCTGCACACCAGTGGAAAGCGGCAGGAGGTCTAGCATGGGCCCCGGCAGGCATTCCTGCTATGTAATTGTACCTAACACCATCTCACAGTCCCTGGGCTTGTAGCAGTCCCCACACACCACTCCACCCATGCTGGAGGTCTCATCCTGCAACAGTCAGCTGAACCTCAGCTTCTTCCTTCCTCTTCCTCCTGCCAGCTTAACCCTCTGACCTCTCCCCTACCTCATGTTAACACTTGGAATTAAGTACTTCCTGCAACCACTGCTGCCAGTGTCCTTCCCCCACTCCCCAGTGTTGGGGGGTTGAAGAAGAGAGCATGCAGTTTCAGGAATTGAGTTAAACAGAGACATTTCCTGGTGCTATGGGTGCACAGCCCTAGAATCAGAGACAGGAGGAAGTGGGGGGTCCAACTGCCTTTGTGGTGTCAGGGGAAGGCACTCTCCTGAGTAGAGGCTGGGGAGTTATGGACATGGTGTGTGGGTGGCAAGCCACCCAGGCACCGAGGCAAGAGACAGAGGACACGAGCAGTTCCAGTATAATAAAATATAAAACAAGAATTGTTATACCAGATATAGATCTTAGATATGATTATATATGAGTATCATTAATCATTAGTGGGTAGCAATTACTTTTTATTCCAATATTATGATAATCCTCACTCAATAATCATAGCCTAGGAAAAACCAGGCCATACAGAGATAGGAGCTGAGGGGACATAGTGAGAAGTGACCAGAAGACAGGAGTGCGAGCCTTCTGTTATGCCTGGACAGGGCCACCAGAGGGCTCCTTGGTCTAGCGGTGACGCCAGCATCTGGGAAGACGCCCGTCACCAAGCGGATCATGGTCCAGCGGTAGCAAAAGGTGTCAAGAAACAACACCAGCTACTTAGCAGACCGGGAAAGCGGGGTGGGGGGGGGGGTCTCCCTTTCCCTGGGGGAGTTTAGAGAAGACTCTGCTCCTCCACCTCTTGTGGAGGCCCTGACATCAGTCAGGCTCACCCACAGTTATCCGGAGGCCTAACCGTCTCCCTGTGATGCTGTGCTTCAGTGGTCACGCTCCTAGTCCACCTTCATGTTCCATCCTGTACACCTGGCTCTGCCTTCCAGATAGCAGTAGTAAATTAGTGAAAATACTAATAGTCCCTGATATGCAGAAATAATGGTGTAAGCTGTCTTTCTCTTTGTCTCCTCTCCCTCTCTGCCTCGGCTGCCAGGCAGGGAAGGGCCCCCTGTCCAGTGGATATGTGACCCACATGACCTTACCTATCATTGGAGGTGACTCACATTCTTTACCTTGCCCCTTCTGCCTTGTATCCAATAAATAACAGCGCAGCCCGACATTCGGGGCCACTACCGGTCTCCGCGCATTGGTGGTAGTGGTCCCCCGGGCCCAGCTGCCTTTTCTCTTATCTCTTTGTCTTGTGTCTTTATTTCTACACTCTCTCGTCGTCGCACACAGGGAGAGACCCACCGACCCTGTGGGGCTGGTCCCTACAATGGTGTCTGTAGGGATCTTGTATCTTCTCTGAGGTGAGCTGGAGGGCTCTTTCTCTAGAAGGAGGGGCAAGGAAGGGCCTGAACCAGTGACTGGGGTGACAAGACAGTTCGGGACTTTGGGATGTCACAAATCATTAAGTGGCTCACTGGTGGTGGGGGCAGGGAAGGCTGCCAGTGGGGCCTGAGGATACTGGGGGTGGATTTAACTAAGCTCTGGGGCTCAGGATGAAGGTGCACATACCGGGAGAGGGGTGGAGGTGGACACAGGGCTGTCTCCGTGGCTCAGGTGGGCAAAAGGCTTGGCTGCGCCCCAGGACTCCAGGTAACGGGTCATCAGCAGTGATGGACGCATCTTGAGGCCCTCAAGCGAGGACAGCAAGCCTCCTGCAGTGCCCTTCTCATCCTCCTCCTCTGCCTGGGGCACATAAGGGCTGACAGTAAAGACCACAGACACTTCCTCCTTCTCCCTCCACCCCCCACTAGGACCCAGGAACTCAATCTCTGGCACAGAAGAGATCAGGCCTGTTGGCTGTGGGGTGGTTTGTGTAGGCCAGCCCATGGGGTCTGGGCTGGGCTTTTACCCGTGGATCGATGACCAGATAGGTAGGCTCCCCTAGCTCCCGAAGGTAGGGGTCCCGATGCTCCATGCCTGCGTCCTCCACAGCATAAGCCCCTGCCAGCAGGGCCAGGGTAGCCCCTGTGATGTGCACTCGCCTGGAAGGAGGGAGGCAGTAGGGGTCAGCAGGGAGGGCCTTCAAATCTCCTATTTCCTGCCCCATCACCCCCATGGCTCCTAGAACTGACAAACATCTCATGTCTTTTAAAGATCGTTCCTGGATGTCTGACTTCAAGAAAGAGCCTGTGTTACAGGAGGTGCCTCCCAGCTCCCCTCCCTGCACCCTAGGATCTCCCAAGCCCCATATGGGACTTATCTTAAGGTACTCATCTTGTGCTTATCTTAAGGAACTAATGAAAGGATGGCAGCCTGTGGTAGGCCTGGTTGGCCTTCTGCTGTAGCTGCCTAGGGCCCTAGGTCTCACCCTGGTACACCGCCTGCCTCCATGTGGTTAGCCAGTGTGACATCATGTGACCAAACGTCGTACTGCCACTTCTGCAGCCCGATGACTCCACACAGTACGCTGCCTGAGTGCACGCCCACACGCATGTTGATGTCCACGCCAGTGGCTGCCCGCAGTTTCCTGAGCAGTGTGTGTGTGGGACAATCTGAGTCCTACCCTCAGCCCTGCCTGTGAGACACCCCAGATTCTCACAAAGAGGACTTCTGTCAGCTGCCTGCTGCCCCCCACATCCACCCTCAGCATTCCTCTTGACCACCGCCTGAGCTGACCTGATGGCCCGGCACATGTCCAGGCCCATGCGCACGCAGTTGATGGCATGGTCTGGCAGTGAGAGTGGCAGCCCAGAGACACAGTAGTAACAGTCCCCCAGGATCTTGATCCGCATGCATTCATGCTCCTGGGAGTGTGTATGTGGGTGTGCAGAGGAACCTGGTTAGAGGTCAGAAGGGTAGGAGGGAGTTGGGAAAAGTGGGCAGCGAGCGGGGTATTCCTGAAGAACTTCCAAGGTGGGGTAGTGTCTAGATCAGATCTAGGGACTCCTTTCACTTGATATGGGGCTAACTGTCTTTCATACAGATCTCTTTCTCAGAAGAGTTTCCCCAAGGGCTGGATGGCTGTGGCTCTTTCCACTTTTGGCATGTTGAAGGGGGTACCCAGAGTTGAGTACGTGGTAGTGGTCTCAGGATTGAGAGGTTGGGGGGAATCCAAGAATTGGTTGCTTGGAGGCATCCCTGGAGTCTAAGCAGGTTGCTGGGCTGAGGTTGCATAGGGCAGAAATTTCTCTTGGAAGGGCCTCCTAAGGTTAGAATATCAGAACGTCTCTATAGATTTGGTTGTAGTGTCCAGAGACACATATGTGGGGGCTCTGAGCATGTTTGGGGCATTGTACTTGGGACATCTGTGGCGATATTGAGGGATCTCTGTAGGTTTGAGGTGTGTGGTGAGCAGCTTCATGACTGGGAATGTTTGAGAGGGTTTCCTCCTTCCACTGGAATATCTGGGGGCCTGCATGCACTGAAGTGGGCCTGGGATCTTATAAGGTGGGAGTTTCCCTTGGAAGGGGCTACCCAGGATGGGATGTTTGAGGGTCCCTGGGTGGGGAGGGAAGTCTTCTCTGACCTTGGCAATCTGGTCGAACTTGCCAAAGAGCTCATTGAGCATGAGCACCAGCTCCTTAGGGGAACACTCGCTGGCCAGCCGCGTGAAGCCCACGATGTCAGCATACAGCACGCTGCATAGGGCAGACTGTGTCAGCAGGGCCAGGGTCTTAGCCCACAGGCCCCTCCCCTCCAGCCATTCTTCCTCATACCTGACTCCCTGGTGCCTCTTGACATAGAGGCTGTGGAAATTGTTAGTGCTCTCTGGCCGTGACCCCTGTCCTGCCTGCAGCCGTGCCATGATCTCTGCCTTCATCTCTCGGGCCAGGTAGGCAGGAAGGATGGACAAGAGAAGGTGTTCCTGGAAGAGGTCACCATGAACACCAACTCTTCTGCACCCTAAAGCCAGGAGGCCCTGTCCCCCAAATCACTCAGGAGCCCACACTGCCCATCCTAGGTGCTCCCCAGGGTGCTCCCCCAGGTCCTCCCGCTGCACACAGCAGGGCCCCAGCACTCCATCCTACACTGATCACCTTTAGTGACTAAACTCCCAGTATCAACACCTGAATGGGAGTTCACTTAATATCATAATGCTCTAAAGTGCTTTTTATAAGCTTTGGTTTGTTTGAGCCTCACAACCTTCTAAGATGGGCAATACCCACATTTTATACAAAAGAGGAAACAGGTCAAGAAACCTGCCCAGAGTCACTCAACTTGTGGAGGAGCCCCGTTATGTAATCTAAGCAACTCCTCCCTCGGAGCGCTGCTCTGACCTTCCTAGGCCCGGCTGACCTGGTGCTTCTTCTCGGTGTCCAGCCGCCGGCGTGAGTGCAGGGAGCTGAGTGCCTCCCGGAACGTGGCCCGCAGGGCGCGCTCCATCAGCGCCTTGTGGTACACTCCTGCCACGTTCCCGCACAGGAACAGCACTGCGTTTGCTGCCAACTGTGGGTGAAGGCCAGCCTCAGAGGGCGCGGGACCCGGGTGCTTGTCGTGTGTAGTTGGAGTTGGTCTCAAAGACTGGCTGGGGAAGACTGGGCTTTACAGTGAGGGACCTAACTATTGTGGGACAAGTGGTGCCACACTGTGGCATCCCTAGGGACGTTTCCCTTCCCAGATGCTCCCTCCTCCAGACTCTCGGCTGCTTCACCAACACGACCTCTTAGGTCTGGAAACGTTTGCAGGTAGGTTTCTTGTGCTTGGAATACCACTCCACTGTCGCTACCCACTCCCATCGCACAAAACTTTTTTTTTTTTTTTTTCATTCTCTGTCAAGGTTTCATTAACCACATCTGTTGTCCCCGGGGTAAACCACGACACGACTCCCTTCCGTGTGGCCTGGATCCCTCTTCTGGTAACAGCAGGCATTGCATCACACTGTTGTACCAGCTCTGCGAAAGCACGGTTGGGTATCCTGCGCCCAGCGTTGCACCTTGACTTGGAGTCACAGCTCAACAACCCCCTAAAAGGAGCCTACTAGCACGTGGCAGAGCCGTCCTGAGCGCAGCCTGTGCTACTTGCGTGCTCACCTGCGGCAGCAGTGCAGGCCGTGAGTCCGGCTGTGGCCCAAGATACAGCCCGAGGACCAGCAGATGCGAGAGTGAGGAGGCGAGGCCCGCGACGGCGGCGTCCCGCATGCCCAAGGGCAGCATGGCATACGCCGTGAAGATGACGAAGAGAAAATAGGACACCTGGGGGCGGGGCGCGGGAAGCCGAAGGCCCAAGTGGGGCTATTCAAGGCCTGGTGAGGGATCGAAGCCCGGGCCGTCCCCGCTGCCCCGCCTGCCGCCCCTCTCACCTGGTCCCAGGCGCTCACCACGCCCCCGGTGAACAGGAAGGCGTGGCCTAGCGCTAGCAGCGCGACCCATACCAAGCCGGACAGGGGACGCGTCCAGCGCTGCAGTCGCTGCTCCCGGGAAGCGAGGCCCAGCAGCAGCGAGAAGCCGCCCAGCGCGCACAGCACAGTGGTCAGGAAGCTCGGGTCTGAGGTCAGCTCCTGTGGGCAGGGGTGTGTGAGGCAAGATTGTGACAGGGAGAAGGAACGAACCTGATAAAGGAAAAGCCAGCAGCCCAGCCCCTCAGCCCAGTTCTGAAAGGTGTCTCAAGCCTAAGTACGAAAAGGAGGCAAGGCACCTCCGCTTGCCATTCACTTTAGGTTGAACCATTTGAAATTGCTTGTGTCCTACTGCTTTTATCTAGACTCAGCAGTCTCGTATGGTTTTTGTTGGTTGGTTGGTTTGTTTTTTGAGACAGAGTCTTGCTCTGTCGCCCAGGCTGGAGTTCAGTGGCGCGATCTCGGCTTACTGCAACCTCTGCCTCCCGGGTTCAAGTGATTCTCATGCCTCAGCCTCCCGAGTAGCTGGGATTACAGGCTCCCGCCACCACGCCCAGCTAATTTTTTTTTTTTTGTATTTTTAGTAGAAGACAGGGTCTCGCCAAGTTGCCCAGGCTGGTCTCGAGCTCCTGGGCTCAAACGATCTCCCGCCTTGGCCTCCCAAAGTGCTGGGATTACAGGCGTGAGCCACAGCGCCCAGCCTCCTGTTGTCCAACCTATTATCTTGCTGGGACAGCTACCCAGAAGATCTGGCTCCCATCCCCTATTTGTTTCTGAGCCTCAGTTTTCTTATCTGTCAAACGGGAACCAAAGCGTCATGAAGCAAGTGAAAGATAGATCCAAGCTCACAAGGAGGCACTTCGGAATGAATGTCTCCAAATCTGGCCAATTTGCTCGGGAGATTCCCGGAGCCGGGGACCGCGGCCGGCAGCTTGAAGGGCGGCGCGAGGCAGCGCTCGAGCAGCAGGGGGCGCCAGGACCCGCGGCGTCCCGCACCTCCCTGGCCACCAGGGCTGCGATCTCGCCACCTGCCTCAACTCCAAGCAGAAGCTGCACAGCCGTCCCAGCATTTTGTCCCCACCTCTTCCCGGATTTAGGCGTGGACCAGCAAGGATTGGCCGCGCCCGGTGATTTTCCCACCTTGCCTCCAAGCAGTGAAAAGAAAACCAGGGGCAGGCCATTTCTAGAATTGGATTGAAGACCTTCTTCCTCCCCAAACAGAAACTGGACATGGGTTTACTTTGGGACTCAGTGAGAGCCCGGTGGAGGGTGCCTTCTGGGAGTCTGTGGGTACAACTGCTCTACATCCCCTAAGAGGGAGAGAAAGGCAGGAAATGAATTCCCCAGGGGCCTCCTAGAATTTCCCCTTTGGAAAACTGGAAAATCCGGTGATGGATTTATTGTAGAACCCGTAGACCACGGATGTTCATAAAGTCTGTCAGAACCCGGACAGAAACGAGAAGCATCCAGGACTCAGCTTTCTCCCTGAGCAGACCCAGAAGGGTAGAGTGACTTGCCCAGGGTCACTGCAGTTCCTAGCCAGGCTCAATGGTCCTTTCTTTCTCTGCTCCCAGCAACGAAAACACATCGAAAAGAAGACCCCACAAACCCCAACCCCGAAAATGCTCCCCAGGTAGAGACCCTCCCGCAGCAGAGGCTCGGCTCACCCTGCCGCTGGCCCAGGCCACTGCGAGCAGCGCCGCGAGCGCACAGAGCACGATCCCCAGCAGCAGCAGCAGCAGCGGGTACTGCTGGCTCAGGCTGTAGTAGGTCTCGTAGAAGAGGTCTTCGCTGGGGGGCGGCCGGGGGCTGAAGAGGCGGGCCATGATCTCCCCAGCCCCGAGCCCCGGGGCTGGCTAGGGCCGGGCGCCGGGTTACCTCCTTCGGCCCGGCGGGCCCCACCTGAGCTTTTCTCACCCGCTCAAAGCCGCTACCACCCCGCGCCCCCAACCTCGTGGCAATCCCGTCTCCTTTTTCAGGCCCTCCCTGCGGCCTCCCAGCCCGCTCCCAGCTGGCGATGAGGGGATCCCTCAGTCCTTTCCTCCTCCTCCCTCAAACCCGGATTGTAGAGGTGCCCTAGAAAAGCCTCATCGCCAGGAGGGCAGGATTTGGGGTTGGTGCGAGGGAGCCCCGGGTTCCCCTGATCCCCGAACTCACTGCCCGCGGCGCTGGCGCAGCGGAGTGGGCTAGGTCCGGGGAGGGAGCCGGGGACCTGATGGCGGAGTCACGCTCGCCGCTGCGCTCTGGCTCAGAGTCCCGGGCGACAGGCGCTTCCCTCCCGGCGCCGCGGCCCCCTCCCACTTCCCCGACGGGACAGCCCGGCCCCTTCCTGTGCCAAAGCCGGACTCCCCTGGTCTCCTCCCGCACTTGGTTTTGTCTCTCCTAACACCATCGCCTCCCCGCTTCAGCCCCTTCAGGGAAGGGCAATGTGGACCCTGGGAGAGATGCGAAGGGGTGGGCTGGGGTGGACCCAATGGGATGTGTCCAAATGGAGGTGAACGTTTGGTAGTGGGGAGACCGAGGGCGGGGGGCTGAAGCCTGGCGAGAATGTAGGGAAGAATGTGGGTCCTGGTGGGGATCTAGGTCAGAGTTGGGGGCGCTCATTCTCTTGACCTCTCCGCTTGGCTGGCAACCACTACCACCGGGTTTGAACTGTTCATGCTCCGTGGGAGGGGTTGCGCCTGTGTATAGCTTTAGGAGCCATAGCTTTCCACTCCCGAACAGCAACTGGGAATCAAAAGGGAAGCAATGTCCAGGAAGCAACCTGAGTGTGTGGTGGAGGCAGGTATGTGGCGTCATGATCTCTAAGAGCCTGGGGGCACCGTGCGGGGCCAGGTCTGTGATCTTTCACATCAACTCATCCCTCGCCAGAGCCCTGCAAGTGAGTCTTGAGAGCCCGGAAGAAAAGGGACCACAGCCTCTATCCCCAGAGTTTAGGGTTAGGGTGGGGTCGCCATCCTAGGCTTTAGAGGAAGCACTGCCCTGAGATTAGAGAGTGGTCTGGGGAACCAGGCCTCTAGGATTCCTTCCTGTTGTAGCCGGCTGTGCCCTGACCTTGTGTGCCAGGCCATTGCCCACTCCCAGCCCCCAGCATCCCCACTTCCTGCCATAGCAGAGCTGTGGTGCCTCCCTATCCCTCACTGGCAGCTCCCACCCCCATCCCAGTCCCTCCCTGCCCCTGGCTGAGCTCAGACTGACTAGCATTCCATCATGTTTATTGACTCCTGGGGGACAGGTCACAAAGTCAGTTTGTGGGCAGGCCAGACTGCCCTAGAAGGAAGTCAGGGGCCTCAAGGGGTGGCACTCTTCCTTAACTCGTAACTCTTGGAGGCAAGCTTGGAAGGTGCTTTATTTCCCGCTATGATTATACCAACCCTGTGGCCTGCTCCAGGCTTCAGGATCTTTAGGGCCTTCTTGCGAACCTACTGGTGGGGGGTGCTGCAAGCCCCTCCCCTTGCCCGAAGGTGCCAAGCCCCATGTGGGCAAGGCAGTTGTCTGTTGCATAGTCAAGTAGTTGTTGTCTCCAACTTGCACCCCAGAGCAGTTGTATATGTTAACGAGCGGTCGCCCTTTAAGAGAAATAGTGATGGTGGCAGGAGGGTTTAGCTGTCAGAAAGGCCAAGTTGGGGGTGGGTGGGGAGTATGAAGTCTCTACTTGTCAGTGGCTGTGTCAAGGTGTGCCCTGTGCTCCTCCCCTCAGAGCTCCTCTCCAGAATTGTGTTAGCAGAAGCTCTAGAGAGTGGCAATTGACATTTGAGACCCTGATCTTTTTTGCTGGGAGGTCCTCTGGACTGCTGAAACAATGGAACTTAGGGGGCTCACAGAGCTGGTGTTGTGGAAAGTTAGAAGATTCAGGGACAAATCCAAGCTTTGTTGTGTGACCTCAGAGGGCTCCTTTCTCAGGGGGTGTCGGTTTTCCCATTTATGAAATGAGAAGGTTGAGTTAGATCATCTTCTCCCCTCCCCTCCACAAAGTACCCTGAATCTAGATATAGGTCTGGAGGAGGAGTCTGGTGGAAGAATTGAACAGGGAAAAGAAAGAGGTAGAGAATGGGTACCTGTTACTGGATTTGGCTCCGGGGTCCTGCAGGACCAGTTCATGCCTTGTCTCTCAGCCCCCTGCAAACAGCACAGAGCATCCAGTTCTGCCCTGGAGCCTGGCACTCCCACTGCACTCCTCTCAGCCCCAAGTTTTCGCTGGCAAGGGGACAGCATTTATAGGACTCTTAGTGCATCCCCTAATCCTGTCAATGTCTCACCTGATTCCCTCGGGGTCCAGGACTTGGTGTTCCAGTTGAGGTAGGGCTGGGCATCTGGTTTCTGAAAGTTGAGGTCTCTGGAGTCTGGGGAGGTTGGGCCATCGAATCTGAAGATGTGCCTGCTGTCCAGGCTTGTGGAACCTGCTCCTCTTGTGCCCTGCTCCTCTTGGTAAGGCTCGGGCATTTTTTAGGAACAGAGCTGGGAGGCTCCTCTAGATTCAGTTTGTTTAGCCACTCAGAAACCATGACATCATTACGAGAGTGCTGGTTTTCTATGGTTCTCCTAAAGCCATCCATTTCTGTCCCTCCTTGGCCTGACTCTGGGATAGAAAATCTCCTATTGCTGCTCCTGAGCTGAGACAGGAAATCCTTTACCTGCAGGGATGGGAGGAGTTTGCTGGGTATGACTTGGATGAGCCAGAGTAAACCCAAGGGAGTAGTCTCTCGGTCCATAATCTGTTGTCTGGGAACTCAGGGGTGGGCTGGGGACGGTGGGTACAAAGGTCAAGGCATAAAAAGCAGTGGTCAGTGGTGAGTCATTGGATGGCCAGGTAGCCACGCTGTGCCATCCCTGACCAGCTCCTGGGGAGGGGTGATGTTGGCACTCACCGTGGAGACAGCAGCATTCATATTGTTCTCCACCATCTGGAAGACTTCATCAGTTTTTGGTAGGCATTCTAGAGGGACAGCAGAGTGGAGTGCAGGTGAGCAAATCTTCTTTTCCTGAGAAAAGCCCCCTGCTGACAGACCCAAGCTTATCCTAGATCCAGCTAACTGGCCAGCTCACCCTGGAAGGAGGGTCTGTCCTTGGGCTCACTGCTCCAGCAGAGCTGCATTAGCTCCTTCAGTCCTTCTAAGCCGGGAGTCTCAGGCCCGGCTTGGGGCAGCTCAGCCAATGAAGGCCGGTTCTGCCTGTTGCACACTGCTTCGTACACGAGTGATGGTTCGGTTGGCACTGGAGTAGGGGAGGAGGGTGAGAAGAGAAGGCATTCAGGGTAAAAGGGAATTATCTGCTTCATCATGGAAAGAGGCAGGGAGTGTAATGTGGGGGCACGAGGAGGGAGGAGGGCAGTCTAAGTAGGTGAGCGGGAAGGGGAAGCCTTGGGGCTTTCAAGAGAAGGGCACCTGGGGTTAAGGATCCCAGAATCCTCCTAGAGTCTTACACTCAACTTCTCTTCCAGCAAGCACTGCCCACATTAGGATCCCGAAGCTGCAGGAGACACAAAGCTGAGGATCGGTCCAATCACTGGCAAGACTCCTTTCCTATACATCATCCCCTGGGAGGGCCCAGAGAAGTGTAGGAATCCTGGCTGTGTGTTTGGGCCGGGATCCTTACCTGTAGACGTCACTGGCTGTGGAGGCCTTCCGGTTTACGTTAACAAACAGTTCTGGGGCCAAGTAGCCCAGGGTGCCCCCTGGCTCCCCGGACCCTGTCCCTGACTGTGAGCCTCCCTGAAATGTGGACAGGCCAAAATCTGCCAGCTGCAAAGGAAGGAAAGAAGTGGGAGGTAGGGAAGACAAGGGGGCCAGAGAGCCTCCAGGAACCCCCCTGCCCCCAGAAGGTGCAGGTTCAGCTTTGTAAAGGGAGTGTGGAGGTCAAGGGAAGAGGTTCCCTTGGATGGTAGATCTAGGTGCCTTGTGGTAGGGCTAGGTCAAGGTCTGAGTCTCCAGGGCTGGGTCAGCCATGACTCTTTGGAGGGGCTGGTGGGGCAGCTGGTGGAAATGACTCGTGTGGCTCAGGGCCTCTATCACCTGGTAGGCAGGAGCTAAAACTCCTGGCTGGGCTTTGTCCCCTGGCAGCCCTGTGTCCAGAGAGAGAGGCTACGCCTATTCAATAGACAGGGCTCTGGAGGTCTAGTGTCCGGCGGGCCTGGCTGGAGCAGCTCTGGGGCCTTGTCTTGAGGCTGAGAGGGGTGTAGACCAGCTGACCTTGACGTGCAGCTCTGGGTCCAGCAGGACGTTGGATGGCTTGAGGTCCCGGTGCAGGAGCACCGGGTTCTGGTCGTGCAGGTAAAACATCCCAAGCACCACTTCTTTCAGCAGGCGGCAAAGGAGCGGCCAGGGCCGAGGGCACTGGGACTGCAGCAGCCCCGACAAGGAGCCGTTCTCCATGAATTTAGTCACCAGAGCCGGCTTGGGATCTTGGTCCCAGTTCACCTTCTCGATAACCCCTTCTAGGCGCAGCACGAATTCGTTATCCAGACTTGCCATGGCCTTGACCTCCCTGGATATCGCCTTCCTACACTCCAGGAGAGAGCTGGAGTCGCACCGGGGTCGTGGGAAAATCCCTCCCTTCGCCATTCAGGCCCCAGAGCACAGTGGCTCCACCTTTTTGGCCAGATTGCGGCTGGGGTCAACCGGGGTCACTCACGAGTTTACGATCTTGACCGCCACATCGTAGCCCCACTTCCTATGTTGCGCCCGGAACACTGTGCCGAACCCGCCTTTGCCGACGAGCTCCTGGTTCTCCAGTTCCTCGATGGACACCAAGGGGGCGGGGGCACCGCTGGGCCTGAGAGAGGGGTGTCGCCCACTAGCCGGCCGTGCCGTGCCTCAGCGCTGCTCCCCGCGCCCCTGTGACTCGGCGTTCTCACTGCAATCCCCAGCCTCCCTCGCCGGCCCCCACCGTCCCCGGACTCAAAGACGTTCTCTGAGCGAGTCTGTGGGGCTCTCTGGGTGTGAATGTCGGAGGCTGCGATCGACATGCCACTCCCTACTCACCATAACTTGACGCACGACATCAGGCTGGAAGGTGCCAGGGGGCCTCTGGAAATTGCGAGCCGTAGGAGATGGAGTGACTTCTGGGGCTTGGTCCTTTCGCAGAGAGGGGAAGGGGTCTGTCTGTGCAGGGGTCAGTCTCTAGACCAAGACGGTGAGTCTACTTTCCGGGTTGTTACCCTTTTTCCGAGTTGACTGAACAACTTCCCTTATAGGCGCCTCTACAGTCCCGCCCCTGGGGTGGGGCAGGGGGCAGAGCGAAAGCTAGTGCCTTTCTCCTTGACTAGCGTTTCCTGAGCACCTGCCGCAGCCAGATTAGGTGTTGCTGGGCATTGAGGATGTTAGGGAAGGAGTCCTCACCTTCCAGGAACCCACAATCAACCCACTCCTACAGTCAAAGCCTTCCCTTTTCCCACAGGATTTCCTGCTCCACGACCTGCCAGGCCATGAGTGGAGATGGTGCTTAGGAGGGTTTTATGGTTCTAGGGCTCAGCTCTCTCACAGCTGCCCTAAGATCATAGCCAACACGTATATAAAACTTATCATGCACCAGGTATATATATTAGCTTATTTAATTCTCACACGAACCCTAAGGGGATAGGTACTGCTTTTATTACCTTTCTATAGGTGAGGAAACTGAGA
The DNA here is from genome assembly GCF_000001405.40 of Homo sapiens. Taxonomy (NCBI): domain Eukaryota; kingdom Metazoa; phylum Chordata; class Mammalia; order Primates; family Hominidae; genus Homo; species Homo sapiens. Next base: position 641,424 of record NW_018654722.1, read on the forward strand.
CACTGAGAGTTTAAGTACCTTGCCTAAGCCCATATGGAAATAATGGCTCTGAACCATCAAGTTATCCTGTTTTCACATAGGCTTCAGGGCTGTACCACTCAGCTGGTCGTGCAGGTGGCTGGGAAAGGTGTGAAGCATCCAACAATGTAGTGAAGGATCCCTATCTGTATTCCTGCCCAGTCCCTATAGCTGCTCTTGCGAGGCAAGTCTTTGGCATTGATAGGGACTTATATGCCCTTTGAACAGGAGCTCCTGGAGGTGGCAGGCCCCAAGCCCACTCCCAGGGCATTGTGGTAAGGCTAGATTTATCAGCCCATCCAGAGGGTTGGTGACATTGTGGTGTACACTACAGTGGAAACACCTCAGAGCTTTCCTGCCCTCTCCCTTGCATGACAACTCTTGCATGCAAATACCCTAATTAATGTTCCTGACAAGCACATGCTCTGGACACAGTCTTTTGATAACCCAGAAGCATGGAGAGTCTTAAAGATTTAGGGCAGAAAAAAGGTGTCCATATTTTACCTTTCTGAGGTCTGACCATGACTGGAGGTTGTGGGAACCCGATAGGGCCTGCCCTAGGCACTCAATCCTTCACAGGGATACTCAATCCTGTGGGTTGTGCGTTGGCTCTCACTAAAGGTGCTCACCTTGGTACTTGCTTTCCATTTTGTTCAGTGGTCCATGGGCTCTGCTGGTTGAGGCAGAAGTGATCTGTAGTTTTTTCTAAAACAACTCTTGGAGAGCCACACCATGGCTTCTAGCAGGGTCAGTTCATGCTATTTTGGAACTATTTAGGGAATTGTTCAACCGTAGTCTCCTTAAAAGCCAATACATGGCAGATACCCAATAAATATTTGTTGAATTGAATGAATAAATGAACAACCCAAAATATCGAGCCTTTCTTAAGGCACTGATCATCCTAGATGGAGCTCCATACTCAGTAGGAGGAAAGAGGTGATTGGGTTCCTGTAGGGACTGAGGGCTCTCACCTGCACAGTTCATGAAATCCATCTGAAGTAGGCTTTAGTATAGAGATATGGTGGTATCACACAGAATCCAAGAAGGCAAGAAGTGTAGCAGGTCCTCAGAAAAGCCTAGAGTCAGAAGCTGAGAGCCATCAAAAGGGGCAGCCACTCCCTTTGTGATTCTTTTTAGAGAGAATAACCCAGGCTCAGTATCTCCACTTGAAGGGAACAGGCAGAAAGGATTTGGAAAGGTGTTATAACTGGGTTTCTTCAGATTGTGACGAGACCCTGAGAATGAGGGATAAACCACTGTGAAGCACAAAGTTGGGTGTGGTATCAGGGCCTATACTACTTTTTGACTCAAAATAAACAGCCTCTTTAAAAGAAGGAAGAGCAGGGAGAAGAACCTTAGACTAAGTGCCTAACAGGACCCTCAGCTTCCAGCAAGGGGGTATGGGGGTGGACCTAGGCAGAGGCTGATTCTTGGAATTCTGAGCTCTGGTCTTTTCTGAGGACTGATGCCTCTGACCACAGATGTCCCATGCTTTTGGAGCCTACTTGGGTATTTCTTTTTTTAAATTAAATGAAATTTTTTTTTGAGATGGAGTCTTGCTCTGTTGCCCAGGCTGGAGTGCAGTGGTGTGGTCTTGGCTCACTGCAACCTCCGCCTCCCGGGTTCAAGCGATTCTCCTGCCTCAGCCTCCTGAGTAGCTAGGATTACAGGCATGTGTCACCATGCCTGGCTAATTTTTTTTTTTTTTTTTTTTGAGATGGAGTTTCACATTTGCTGCCCAGGCTGTAGTGCAATGGCGCAATCTCAGCTCACCACAACCTCTGCCTCCTGGGTTCAAGCAATTCTGTCTCAGCCTCCCGAGTAGCTGGGATTGCAGACATGCACCACCACGCCCAGCTACTAATTTTTGTATTTTTAGTAGAGACGGGGTTTCACCATGTTGGCCAGGCTAGTCTCGAACTCCTGACCTTGTGATCCACCTGCCTTGGCCTCCCAAAGTGCTGGGATTACAGGTGTGAGCCACCACGTCCAGCCTTACTTGGATATTTCTTATTCCTTCAGTTCCCTGCTCCTGATTGTCTCTAATTACATTCAGTTCATCTCTCCTGTGAGCTCTGGTTCCCTCTCCCTAATTGTTGTAGGGGTAGCGGGTTGTGGGGGATCTATGTGGTCTCCTTGCATATTCTAGTCTTAATTCTTATCCGTTGTTTGATTAAGAGATTCTAATTACAGACCAAATGGTATTAATTGAGGTGACAGTCCCGGCCAGGACTAATTTTTTAAAAAGATCTGCTACCAGTAATTCCACCCCTGAGTATATCCTAAAAGAATTGAGGCCAGGCACAGTGGCTCATGTCTGTAATCCCAGTACTTTGGGAGGCCGAGGCTGGCGGATCACTTGAGGTCAGGAGTTTGAGACCAGCCTGGCCAACATGGTGAAATCCCATCTGTACTAAAAATACAAAAATTAGCCAGGCATGGTGGCATGTGCTTGTAATCCCACCTACTCAGGAGTCTGAGGCAGGAGAATCGCTTTAACTCAGGAGTCAGAGGTTGCAGTGAGCGAAGATCACACCACTGCACTCCAGCCTGGGGGACAGAGCAAGACTCTGTCTCAAAAAATAAAAATAAAAATAAAAAAAAAGAATAGGAAACATGGATTCAAATAGATAACTGTACACCAATGTTCATAGCAGCATTATTCGCAACAGCCAAAAGGTGAAAACAACCTAAATGTCCATCAATAAGTGAATGGATCGGTCCAATACAAACTGTTGTATATACATACCATACAATATAATTCAGCCTTAAAAATATGATTTAACCTTAATAAAATTCAGACACATGCTATAATGTGGATGAATCTTGAAGATATTATGGTAAGTAAAATAAGCCAGTCACAAAAGGACACATATCGTATGATTTCACTTATAAGAGGTACCTAGAATAGTCAAATTCATAGAGATGAAAGTAGAATGGTGGTTTGTAGGGGCTGAGGGAAGAGAATGGAGAGTTACTGTTTAGTGAGTACAGAGTTTAATTTGGGAAGATGAAAGGTTCTAACGATGTAGTAATGGTTATACAATGAAGTCAATGTACCTGATGCCACAAAACTGTACACTTAAAGGGTTAAAATAATAAATTTTGTGCTATGTGTATTTTACCACAAAAGGATCTGCTAAAAATATGATTCTAGTATTAGAAAGGGACATATGAAAATTTATATTAATAAACATTTAGCTGTTTGATTTAACATCAGATTTCACCGCGAAGAAAGAATGTATGTATGTATACGTATATATGCTTAGAAAAATATATGAATGGACAAATAGAAAAATGTTTAAAGGAATTATTCCTGGCTGATGGGCTTATAGGTGATTTTTATGTTCTTATATTTTATAATCATATCTTTTTCTTAGTGTGTGTGCTGCTGAGGTGAGTACTTATAGTCTTATTTTTATCTGCATTTTCTAATTTTCCTGAAATGAGTTCATGAAATGAGTGTAGTAATTCTACAGTTCAGCTTCCTCTTTGTCTCCAAGACATGCCCAGAGATGTAGCAGCTTCCCTCTCCCACCTGCCACTACCCTAGCCCGTCAGTCTATTATTTGCTGCTCCCTCCTGATTTCTTGTAATTGTAAGTAGCCTGCTGGTCACTTTGGTATTTAATGGATGTTATTAGGTCTTGGAGTTTCAATATGGTAAGATTTTGACAGACATAACGTGATAGAGGTGATTCCACTCAGAGAGCATGTTCTGAGTCAAGGGTAAAGTCTACAGTGTGAACTTTCATGAGTCCAACTGCCAGACTGGCTGAGTGGCCTTTCCCTCCCCGCCCCCACCAGCAACAATGATAACAACTGGTCTTTTCCACATGTGATGGTTCACAAAGCACTTTCACAGTAAATCCTCACAATCAAGGGAGGTTGGACTTACTGTCTAAGGTTTACAGAATAAAAAGTTCTCATTTTTTGTCTGGAGGTGAATAGTAAACATAGAGTGATAAGAAATCTCTTATTTATTTATTTATTTATTTATTTATTTATTTATTTATTTATTTTGACACGGAGTCTCACTCTGTCATCCAGACTGGAGTGCAGTGGCATGATCTCGGCTCACTGCAAACTCCACCTCCCGGGTTCAAGCAATTCTCCTGCCTCAGACTCCTGAGTAGCTGAGATTACAGGCGCTCACCACCATGCCCTGCTAATTTTTATATTTTTAGCAGAGATGGGGTTTCACCATGTTGGTCAGGCTGGTCTTGAACTCCTGACCTCGTGATCTGCCCACCTCGGTCTCCTAAAGTGCTGGGATTACAGGGGTGAGCCATCGCGCCCGGCAATAAGAAACCTCTTTTTACTGTGGCAGTGCGGATTCCCGTCTGCCCCCTTCCTTCCACCCCCTGCCGACTCAGGGATGCTCCAGCTCATGGGGGAACCCTTATCCCAGCTACTGAAAACAAACCCTCCACACATGGGGAAAGGTTGCAACTATGTGCAAAAGAACTGTCACTTTTGGGGACTGAGCTATACTCAACTCAGGAAAGTCACCAAACAAACCCCAGGTTTGAGAGAGAAGAGTAATGGGGAGAACTTTCCACTTGGATAGGGACTCCATTCACTGTGGCACCCGCCTCTCCCTATCCTTGAGATGCTTTCTTTTGGGGAGCCTCCTCCAGGGCCCAAGTATTGCTCTTCTCCTTTAGGATTCCAAGCAGGTCTGAAGCCCCCTTTTACTTGCTTTTCCTTAGGAGAGCTGAGGGGCTGATGCTTTCACAAAGAACCACATACCTTTAGCTCTCCTATCCCACCTGCGCTCACCGTCCTAGCAAAATGGAATCCTTGTGCTTAATCTGTTTCCTCACACCGCATTTTGGATCTGCGTCCCAGAGCGTCTCTTTGGCAGAACTTAACGTACTTGTCTGTACCCTCAAGGAAGGGAGGCTGGGCAGGGTAACTATTTTGATTCTACATTACCATGGTGGGACCAAAAAGATTTTGGGCAGCTATAAGTTAAGCGTCCACACACATATAACCGTAATGCCCCTTCTGTCAGTGTGAGTCCTTCTCTCTTTCTTACTGTCTAGTTAATGTCAAAATATAATTTCTGTGCTCTCCCAGCTCCTCTCACCCCAGTGGAGCAGGCCACTGCTTCATGTTGCTTCCCTAGCTGGGTGTCCTGCTGTTTCTTTTTTTCTTTTCTTTTTTCTTTTTTTTGTTTGAGACGGAGCTTCGCTCTTGTTGCCCAGGCTGGGGTGCAATGGTGCGATCTTGGGTCACTGCAACCTCTGCCTCCTGGGTTCAAGCAATCCTCCTGCCTCAACCTCCCGAGTAGCTGGGATTACAGGCATGTACCACCACACCCAGCTATTCTTTTTTTTTTTGTATATTTAGTAGAGACGGGGTTTCTCCATGTTGGTCAGGCTGGTCTTGAGCTCCTGACCTCAGGTGAGTCCTGCTGTTTATTTACAGGGAGTAAAGTATAGCCTAACGGTCAAGGGTATAAGCTCTGGAGTCAGTCTACCTGGGGTTGATTTCTGCTCTGTCAATTACTGGCTGTTTGACCTTTAGCAAGTTACTCAACCTCTCTGAATTTTGGTTAATTATAGCACCTACTGGATTGAGTTGTTCTGAGGGTGAAATGAAATGAGGATGAAAGAACATAGCAAGGCTCAGCATGATAATAGGTTAGACCACAGGAGGCTGGGCATGGTGGCTCATGCCTGTAATCCCAGCACTTTGGGAGGCCGAGGCGGGTGGATCATGAGGTCAGGAGTTCACGACCAGCCTGGCCAACATACTGTAACCTCGTGTCTACTTAAAATACAAAAAAAAAAAAAAAAAAAAAAAAGCTGAGCATGGTGGTGGGTGCCTGTAGTCCCAGCTACTTGGGAGGCTGAGGCAGGAAAATTGCTTGGACCCAGGAGGTGGAGGTTGCAGTGAGCCGAGATTGAGCCACTGCACTCCAGCCTGGGTGACACAACGAGACTCTGTCTCAAAAAAAAAAAAAAAAAAAAGACAGATGGACAGAAAGAAAGAAAGAAGACCGCATAATTCCAGGCAAATATTATATGCCCAATAGGTGATAGGTATTATCACAATAAGCATTGCTGTGTTTCCAATATGAAGAACATATCTGGTTCACAATTTATTTGTAGAGCAGAGAAAATGGATTTAACTACTGTTCAATGAAATAGCTCCCTCTTCCTTCTCCTGAAAATTTCCAGCCCCACCCCTCCGTCCTAGGGCCTTTTTAACAACTCAGCCCTCAGGTCTCTCTCTTCTCTCCCAGACAACTGTTCTGAGGGAGTGACTGAGGAAGGCAGTGTGTCCCTCCCTGCCTGTGGTCTTGAGGAGAGAGGGCTTTAACCGAGGGTCTCTGGTTTCTCTGCTGAGAAGTATTGGATGTCTGTTGCCTGGTGCAAAGGTGCTCAACAAGGTTAAGAGGGTTATGTTGTTGGCGCAAGGATGGGCTTTGGGCCTGAGGCAGCCACTTGGGGTGCATTGGGCTGTGTGTCCTCAGGTTGCCTCTGATTTGAGCTGCATCTGTGGTGAGCCATCCCTTAACCCTGCCAGGATCCCATCCAAGAGGACTTGTCTCTGCCTTTCTCCCTCAGCTGAGAGAAGTGTGGGAGAGGAGAGTAGCATCAGTGCTCTGAGGGCAACCCTTAACCAATGGAGGGAACCAGCCAGTGCCCAGCCTCCTGTCCTTTCTGAGGTGTGTTCTGCAGTTCCTGAGGATCTGCTCTGAGCTCCACCTCAGTAGCTAGCTCAAAATGCACCTTTGTATTGGCATTTTCTCCTTCCCTGACTCACGTTTTCTGCTCCCTCCCTTCTGATTCCTGGGGTCACCCTTCCAGGAAATCTCAAGTCCAGGTCTCAGGGGCACTGTTTTCAGGGAACACAACCCAAGACACACCCTTTGGCCTGTTTCCTTTTCATTGTTTCTCCCCTGAATGTCTTTGTAGCTAGGATCCTGATCTGAAACAAAAGAGGAAAGGAAGGGAAAGGAGGGGAACAGAAAGGAATCTAACCTTCTCAGAGATGGGGCCTGATATATACACACTGGAGCCTAGGATGTGCTAGGGACTCTCTCCCACCTGTCATGTCATTCTAAGTTTAGCAACAAACCTGTGAGGCAGAATATCATTAGCCCCATTCAACGGATGAGAAATGGAAAAGGCCATGAGAGTAGCCAGCCTAAGGTCACACGATGACTTTGTGGCAGAGTGGGGTTTTAAACCCTTATCTATGCTCTTTTTAGCTACTTTCCTTTTTGGGCAAAGTCCTTTGACAGAATCAGAAACAAGAACTTTGAATCAAGTAAGACTATTTTTTTTTATTAAATATTTTAACAGGAGTCTTTCTCATGCCCCCATGATTCGATTACCTCCCACCGGGTTTCTCCCATGACACGTGGGAATTGTGGGAGCTACAATTCAAGATGAGATTTGGTTGGGGACACACCCAATCCATATTAGCATACACTTAACTTTTAAAGAATTTACCAAATCGGCCACTGTGCAGTGGCTCACACCTTTAATCCCAGCACTTTGGGAGGCTGAGGTGGGTGGATCACTTGAGGTCAGGAGGTCAAGACTAGCCTGGCCAACGTGTTGAAACCTGGTATCTACTGAAAACACAAAAATTAGCCAGGTGTAGTGGTACACACCTGTAATCCCAGCTACTTGGGAGGCTGAGGCAGGAGAATCGCTTGAACCTGGGAGGTGGAAGCTGCAGTGAGCTGAGATCACACCACTACACTCCAGCCTGGGCAATAGAGTGAGACTCTCTCTCAAAAAAAAAAAAAAATTGTGAAATAGTTTTTCAGAGTAGTTGTAGTATTTTATATTCTCACCAGAAATGTATGAGAGCTCTAGTTCTTTCATATCTTTGCCATCATTTGCTATGTTCAAGTCCTGTTACTATTAGCTATTTGGATAGGTAGCTCATTGTGGTTTTAATTTGCATTTCCACAATGACCAATAATATAAGCATGTTTTCATGTGCTTACTTGCCATCCATATATCTTTTCTTTTTTTTTTAATTGAGACAGAATCTCACTCTGTTGCCCAGGCTAGAGTGCGGTGGCGCCATCTCTGCTCACTGCAACCTCTGCCATCCAGGTTCAAGTGAGTCTCATGCCCCAGCCTCCTAAGTACCTGGGACTACGGGCGTATGCCACCATGCCTGGCTGATTTTTTTGTATTTTTAGTAGAGGCAGGGGTTTGCCATGTTGCCCAGGCTGGTCTCGAACTCCTCACCTCAGGTGATCTGCCCGCCTCAGTCTCCCAAATGGCTGGGATTACAAGCGTGAGCCACTGCGCCCTACCACCATCCATACGTCTTCTTAGGTGAAGTGTCTGTTCAAATTTTTGGCTCATATTTTAATGGATTGTTTGTTTTATTATTACCGAGTTTTGAAAGTTCTTTATATATTCTGGATACAAGTTCTTTTTCAGATGTATCATTTAAAAATACTTTCTCCCTGCCTATGTCTAGTCTTTTCATTTTCTTAACAGTTTCTTTCAAAGAGCAAAAGTTTTACTTTTGACAAAATCCAACTTGTCAAGTTTTTCTTTTATAGATGATAAAAAATCAAGTTTTTCTTTTGGTGTAGTCTATAAGAAATTTTTGCTTCATCCAAGGTTACAGTGATTTTCTCTTATGCTTCTTTCTAAGTTTTAGAGTTTGGGTTTTATATTTCTACCTGTTATGATTAAAAAAATAGATCTATTCATTTTTAAAGGTTCAGATATTCCTGCTTATGGGTTGTGTGTGTGTGTGTGTGTGTGTGTGTGTACTTCTTGGATTTACTTTAATTTTTAAGAAAGTTCATTTTGAAAGTGTAAGACTGACTCACCTTTGATAAGGGAACTACCAACAGGGAATTTGTGTAACTTAGACCAGGTTTTGGATGGAAGAAAGTGCCCTCCACAAACAGCTGTGGTGTGGAGGTAAAGAGGTGCCCCAAATGAGCAGTAAGGGTACATAAATGACCACTGTTCTCATTTGAATACATGCCTTCTCAAGTTCTTCTGTGCCAGGAACTCTGGCTTAAAAGGTTTTGCTTTGTTTTAATATCAGAAGCTGTGGAATGGTCTTGAGCTACATTGCAACATGATTAGATCTGTGACTTAGGAGGCTCAAGCCAGTGGCTACATGGTGCATGAAATGAGATGGGGAGAACTGGAGGCAGGGAAAACTGCAGGCCACAGTTAGAGCAATTCAAGTGAGAGGTGATGAGGACCTGAACCAAGTTAATGCCTGCAGGGATCGAGAGGAAGAAACTCAGTCTAGAAATAACTCTGAGGTATTAGTAGAAGAACCTGGGGATGAGAGAGAAGGAATATTCAAAGTTTCTATTCTGGAAAGTTGAGAGAATAGTAATGCCATGACACTGAGGTATGGAACATAGAAGAGATACATTATGTGGGAATGGGCTATATTTGGATGTGGACATGTTTGTGTGAGAGCCACGTGCTGCAGCCTCAAGGGATCCCTAGCAGGCAGGAGAAGACAGGAGACCGGAGCAGGGAAGTGGTGAGAGTTATGCTGAAATGAACGACACCAACCGAGAGAGTCTATGGAGGAAGAAGGGAAGAAGGCAGAGGACAGAAAACACTACATCTCCAAAGTCAGGCCAGCAGAAGAGAAACCAGTGAGAGAAACTGAGGTCAGAGAGGCCGGAGCAGAACCAGGATAGCCAAGGGAGGAGAGACTTATCAGACTCAGCTGCTACTGAGAAGGCGTCTAAGTTTGGGTTTCCCAAAAAGAAGAGCCTGAGCTTGGATTTAACAAAGGTAGTGTTTTGGGGAGGGGATCCCAAGAAGCAGCAGTGAGGGAACAGAGTGTGAACTAGGAAGGGAAGAAAGCCAATATGAGGATGTTTTGTTGAGATTGTTATTGTAGGCAGTGGAGGCTCCTTTCCAGTAGAGGCTCCAAATTTAAAGAATGCCTCCCAGAATTGTCCACATGAAGGATGGGAGGCTGGAACATTCATCTGCCAGTGCCTGCACTCATTGGTTGAGGATTGCATCTGGAGGCACTAACTCCCTTGCACTTCTTGGCTGTGTTTGCATTGGAGCTGGAAAGGAGAGGAGTAGTGAGCAAGCTCCCATTGTGTGGGAGAAGGACCTTGTGATGGTTACATTTTATGGGTCTGCTTGGAGGGTGTTTTTGGATGAGATTCAACATCTTAAAAAGTGAATTTTAGGCCGGGCACAGTGGCTCATGCCTGTAATCCCAGAACTTTGGGAGGCTGAGGCAGGCAGATCATGAGGTCAGGAGTTCAAGACCAGCCTGGCCAACATGGTGAAACTCCATCTCTACTAAAAATACAAAAATTAGCCAGGCGTGGGGGCTGGCGCCTGTAATTCCAGCTACTTGGGAGGCTGAGGCAGGAGAATTGCTTCAACCCGGGAGGTGGAGGTTGTAGTGAACTGAGATTGCGCCACTGGGTGACAGAGCAAGACTGTCTCAGAAAAGAAAAGAAAAGAAAAAGTGAACTTTAGGCCATGTGCTGTGGCTCATGACTGTAATTCCAGCACTTTGGGAGGCTGAGGCAGGAGGATTGCTTGAGCCCAGAAGCTTGAGACTAGCCTGGGCCACATAGGGAGACTCTGATTTTGCAAAAATAAATATAAACAAATAAAAAATGAAGAGGTTTAGTAGTGAAGGGAGGGAAAGAGATGGAAGTTAGGTTAAGTATAAAGAACGATCAAGGGAATTATCCATGCTGTCTACGATACCTGCCTGTTATTCACTTAGTGTTGGTATTCGTAATCAGATCGACTGTCCGGGTATCTCAGTGCTTGTGTTCAAGTAATCTTTATTTTACTTAATAATGGCCCCAAAGCAAAGAGTAGTGTTGCTAACAATTTGGATATGCCAACAAGAAACCATAAAGTGCTGCTTTAAGTGAAAATGTGTTAGCTGGGTGTGGTGGCGTACATCTGTAGTCCCAGCTACTTGGGAGGCTGAGGTGGGAGGATCGCTTGAGCCCAGGAGAACAAAGCTACAAGGAGCTGTGATCCCACCACTGCACTCCAGCCTGGGTGGCAGAGTGAGACCCTGTCTAATAAAAGAAAAGAAAATGTAACTTTGGCGTTCTTTGGCTGGAGTTTGGTGCTATCTGTGGTTTCAGGTCTCCACTAGGGGTCTTGGAACATATCCCCACAGATAAGGGGGAATATCGTATCTCTCTTTTGCCAGCTGGCATAGTGTTAAGCGCTGTCAGTAGTGGGTGCTGGAGGAACACTGGAGCAGGAAGAAGTCCATCTTCCTGGTTTTGGTTTGCTCCTTTGCCTTACTCCTGCAGCGTGTGCAATTTCTTCAGTGTACACTCAGGCAGTGCAAAGTGGTCAGCAGTGCCTAGCAGCCAAAAGCTTCCCCTGGCACATTTCTGGGTGACTTCTCAGCCTGTTGCAACTGCTAAGGCACCTCCCCATGAATAACTTGCTTTGGCATCTGCTTGGCCAATTTCACAGCTATTTCAGCCCTAGGAGTAGTGGGTTTTTCTTAAATTTGCTGTTCCTGTGTCCTTTGGAATTCTCATTTCTTCTTACTAGCTAATCCCTTAGTATGCCAACACCCTGTTGGAGTTAATGCTTCTTTATTTTATTTTTGCAAATAAAAATATGAGACACTCCATGAATTTGCATGTCATCCTTGTGCAGGGGCCATCCTATTCTTCTCTGTATCATTTTAGTATATGTGTTGCCAAAGTGAGCACAATACTTGTTTATATTAAACGTTCCTGTTTCAAATGACTGTGTGGTTTCTGTGTCCTGATTAAACCCTGACCGATACAGCTTTAGTCCTAGAATATAGTTCTTCAGGGACGCTAACGATATCCTGTGGTGTTTAACAGGTCCTTCCTCCTTAACAGGTCCTAAATTCCCATTTTTGTTTTCTCAGGACTGTAGACTACTGAAAGTTCTTCTCAGCCTCCTACCTCTTAGGCACTATCTCCTGCTGAGTCTGGCTGCCTCTCACAAATCGATAAATATCCCCCATGGGACAGACCATGCAGAATGTTGGCCTCACCTCAACATGCTTTCCCTTTCTTCTGGGACGTTGGCCCTTCAAAGCCTCCTGCCTTGATGAATTTCCACTGTCTTCAAACATATTTAAAAAAATTTGTACCCAGCTATGCAAAGGCATACAGAGTGGTATAATGGATATTGGAGACTCAGATGTGGGAAGGGTGGGAGCGGGGCGAGGAATAAAAAGCTATATATTGGGTACGTTGTACACTATTTGGGTGACAGGTGCACTAAAATCTCAGACTTCACAATTATACAATTCATTCATGTAACCCAAAACCACTTGTACCCCAAAAGCTACTGAAATAAAAATTTTTTTAATAACTGTACCCAGCTTTTGTAGTTGCTCTCAGAGGGTTGATCTGATGCAAATTAGTTGATCATGGTGAAGTCGGCTAGAGATAACTACAGATGGATAAAATGTTTGTGGAGCAGCAGCGAGGGTCCAGCCGAAGTTAGAAAGCAGTGATTTATTATGGAATCAATCATCATGATTGTGAAACTTTCTCCAGACCAGGAGGCAGAGAAATGCATGCTTGGCTTACCTCAGTTTGAGAAGTGATGGAAAGTTAAGGGCTGAGGAAATCTTGATTGCTTGTGAAAACACTTTTGAAATGGCTCACGTGGATCCCAGGTTGGACAGGGAGAGCACTAACGCTGGAATAGGGGGTTGTTAGTCTAGGAGAATAAAGTAATGGAAATCAGAATTGGTGAGGAGAGAGCAGGGCACAGAAACTCAAGGTTTGGGTCAAAAAGGGGAATTTCAAGGCTGGGCACAGTGGCTCTCGCCTGTAATCTCAGGACTTTGGGAGGCTGACGCGGGTGGATCATGAGGTCAGGAGTTCAAGACTAGCCTGGCCAAGATAGTGAAACCCTGTCTCTACTAAAAATACAAAAATTAGCCAGGCGTGGTGGCACATGCCTGTAATCCCAGCTACTTGGGAGGCTGAGGCAGAGAATTGCTTGAACCCAGGAGGCGGAATTTGCAGTGAGCTGAGATCACACCACTGCACTCCAGCCTCGGTGACAGAGCGAGACTCTATCTCAAAAAAAAAAAAAAAGTGTAATTTCAGAGTTTGGTAGTATGGAATGGAGCATTCCTAAACCCTGGTAAGTGGACAGTATGTTGCGTATTTTAAATTATAGATGTAAGGGTCATTAGATCGAGGAACATAACCTGGAGTATTGGAATAGCCTTAGTCCCCAGGTGGCTGGTAGGGATGAGGTAGAGAGACACCCTGAGCCAGGGGCCAAAGTCCACCAGAGGAGTCCTTTAGGTTGTCAGGTGGCCATGACTCAGATAGGGACAGGGTGGCATGAGTGAATGAAATGAGTGGCACAACCTTCAGAGGAGTTTCTAAGTGAAAATGATCAAGAGTGATTCTGAAAGCTGCTATGAGGCCATGGAAAGGAAAACTCCACTTTCTTCTCTGTTATGTGAAAGGATGGCCTGTCTGTGCAAAGGTTATGAGAGAATGTCCAGGTCTCAGGTAAGGTGAGAGGGAGGAAGTTTTGACTGAAAGATTTGGAGAAACAAGAAGTTACACCAATAGAACAGGGATCCGCAAGGTAGAAGGGGCAAGGTAAGAGGTTGAGATTGTTCCTGGGGAGAAGCAGGGATGGAGGAGAGAAGACAGCAGGCTGCATGATGGCGAATCATGCGGGAGAAGGAAGTATGTTAATATGAGCTAGAAGGGAGGAATAGCCTCCCTCCCTCCCTCTCCCCCTCCCTCCCTCCCTCCCTCCCTTCCTTCCTTCCTTCCCTCCTTCCTTTCTTCCTTCCTTCCTCCTTCCCTCCTCCCTCATTCAGCAAATATTTATTAACCACATGGAAAGCACAAGGCACTCTGTTATGCAATAGGGAAAGACACAGATGAATCAGAAATAGATTCTGCCCTTAGTTTACATTCTGAGAAGTGACATGATTTTGTTTTAAAGACATAACCTCTTTTGCTTGTTTAGTTTGTAAGTTTCCTTTCTATCTATTAGTTCATATGATGTGAATCTCTGTGGGAATCTACCTTTCTTTAAGGAAGCCACACTAATTAACTCTTTATAACAGGGAGAAAATAGAAGAAAGAATAAAAGTTATGATTATTTCTATTTGAAACAAGAAGAGGAGGCCAGGCATGGTGACTCATGCCTATAATCCCAGCATTTTGGGAGGCCGAGGTGGGTGGATCACCTGAGGTCAGGAGTTTGAGACCAGCCTGGCCAACATGGGGAAGCCCTGTCTCTGCTGAAGCATACAAAAAATTAGCCCAGCGTGGTGGCGCACACCTGTAATCCCAGCTACTCAGGAGGCTGAGGTGGGAGGATCTCTCTCTTTTTTTCTTTTCTTTTCTTTTTTTTTTTTTTTTGAGAGAGAGTCTCACTCTGTCGCCCAGGCTGGAGTGCAGTGGCACGATCTCAGCTCACTGCAACCTCTGCCTCCTGGGTTCAAGCTATTCTCCTGCCTCAGCCTCCCGAGTAGCTGGGATTACAGGCATGCACCACCACATCCAGTTAATTTTTGTATTTTTAGTAGAGATGGGGTTTCACCATGTTGGCCAGGCTGGTGTTGAACTCCTGACCTCAGGTGATTCACCCACCTTGGCCTCCCAAAGTGCTGGGATTGCGGTGTTCCAGGTGGCCAGGTGGGAGGATTTCTTGAGCCCAGGAGGTGGAGGTTGCAGTGAGCCAAGATTACGCCACTGTACTCCAGCCGGGGCGACAGAGTGAGATTCTTTCTCAATAAATAAATAAATAAGCAGGAAGAGGAAATGTAAGGGAAGGAGGTAACACTTTATTCATTGGACACTCAAGCAGAAAACGGAACGAAAGACACCACCCTCATGTCGGCCATTGGACAGGTTGGTAACTGGTAGTTTGCTTCTGTTTTTGTTTTCTTCTACCTTGTCTTTGACCAGCCCCTTAGCTGGCTGCTGTGTTTTGTTGCTGCTATACTTAGCAGGGTGGCCTACCTTCATTCTGGAGGGTTTTGAGCACTTGACAGTCCTTCCTATGTAGGCTTGTAGCAATCTTCTGCTAACCCTCAGCAGTGGGCATGGTGGGAAGCACTTAGAGGAGTGCCTGGAGTTTCAGGCATACCCTTTTGGGCTCTACTGCTTAGTAGTAACCTTTTTTCCCCATGATGGTTGGGGTCAATCACAGTAGACCTAAACAATACTGTGACATATTTTTGTTTTTCTTGTTTTGCCAGTTACTTAATTATTTAATTAAATTTATTTATTTATTTATTTTGAGATGGGGTCTTGCTGTTGCCCAGGCTGGAGGGTGGTGGCATTACCATAGCTCACTGCGGCCTCAGCCTCCTGGCTTAGGCAAACCTAGTGCCTCAGCCTCCCAAGTAGCTGGGACTACAGGCATGTGCCACCACGTCTGGCTAATTAAAAAAAAAATTTTTGTAGAGACAGGGTCTCACTATGTTGCCCAGGCTGGTCTTGAACTTCTGGGCTCAAATGATCCTCCCACTTCAGCCTCACAAAGTGCTAGGATTACAGGAATGCACCAGCATACCTGGCCTGCCAGTTCCTTTAATGGTACAAGGCCTAAAATGGGCAGTGGTAGGGGAACCACTCTCGAGTCCCCTGTGCAAGTAGTTATTCCTTGAATTGTAAAATCTCTAGAGAGTCATAGGGATTCGAAGCAAAACTGTGGAGATTGGGTCGGTGACAGCATTTGTAGAGATGAGACCACCCCTTGTGTATTCCTTTCCTATTGCTGCTGTAACAAATAACCATAAACTTAGTGGCTTAAAACAACACAAATGTATTATCTTACAGTTCTGTAGGACAGAAGTTCAACACTGGCCTCACTGGGCTAAAATCAGGCATTGACAGGGCTGTGGTCCTTCTGGAGGCTTTAGGAGAGAATCTGTTTCCTTGCCTTTCCAGCTCTTAGAAGCCACCCACATTCCTTGACTCATGGCCTCTTCCTAGATTTTCAAAGCCAGCAACTCTGCATCTCTCTGTGACTTTTTTTCCCACAGACACAGCTCCGCCTGACTGTCTTCTGTTGCCTCCCATTCCACTATCTTTTTTTTTTTTTTTTTTTTCGGAGATGGAGTCTCCAGCCTGGAGTGCAAGTGGCACGATCTCTGCTCACTGCAGCTTCTGCCTCCCGGGTTCAAGTGATTATCTGGCCTCAGACTCCCAAGTAGCTGGGACTACAGGCACGCATCACTACGCCTGGCTAATTTTTGTATTTTGGGTAGAGATGGGGTTTCACTGTTTGCCAGGCTGGTCTTGGTCTCCTGACCTCAAATGATTCACCTGCCTTGGCCTCCCAAAGGGCTGGGATTACAGGTGTGAGCCACCGCCCCCAGCCTATATATATATATAAATATACACACATATATATATACACACACATATATATACATACATATATATACATATATACACATATATACATATATACACACATATATATACATATATACATATATACATATATACATATATACATATATATATACATAGATACATATATACATATATATATATACATAGATATATATTTTTTTTTTTAAGAGATGAGGTCTTGCTATGTTGACTGGGCTGGTCTTGAACTCCTGACCCCAAGCAATCCTCCTGCCCTGACCTCCTGAGTAGCTGGGATTATAGACATGAGCACTCAGTTTCCCCTTGTACTTTTTAGGACACTTGTGATTATATTAGGCTCATCCAGATAACTCAAGATAATCCCCCATCTCAAGGCCCTTAACTTAATCACATTTACAAAGTTCCTTTTGCCATGTAAGATAACATATTTATAGGTTTTTGGGAACTAAAACGGGAATATCTAATAATTGGGGGTTGGGGGTGGGCCATTATTCTGTCTGCCAAATCTTATTTCTTACAACCACGTATTCTGGTATTGGTTAAACAATCATATATATTAGTCACTAGATGAAAGTACAATGCACATTTAACCTCAGTATAGTATCTCACTGATGGTAAATTAAATGATTACTTAATTTTGCCACTCTATAGATAGGACTGTATGCACCAAAACCTCAGAGGATGTATGGGGCATTTGGAATTGGATAGGGGGGAAAGATTGAGCTTTTGCCCAATGAGACTCCTTCCACATTCCATCAAGGAAAGCTAGATGAGATCCTGAAGGACCAGGTAACAGTTCCTATGGAACACTTTAAAGATGATGAGGAATGTGGGATTCTAGGGCTGAATTTTTGTTTCCAATGGCATTGGATAGCTAAAGGTGAGAGAATAAAAATGTTAAACTCAGAATATCCACCTCAAAGCCCGGAAGAAAATAAAGCACCATTGCCTGGCACCCTTCTCTCTGCAGATATCAGCTAAAAACTGAATTCAGAAATTGATCTTGCACTGTAATCCCAGCACTTTGGGAGGCCGAGGCGGGAGGATCACTTGAGGTCAGGAGTTTGAGACCAGCCTGGCCAACATGGTGAAACCCCATCTCTATTAAAAATACAAAATTTAGCTGGGCGTGGTGGCAGGTGCCTGTAGCCCCAGCTACTCAGGAGGCTGAGGCAGGAGAATCGCTTGAACCCAGGAGGCAGAGGCTGCAGTGAGCCGAGATCACACCACTGCATTCCAGCCTGGGTGACAGAGCCAGACTCCGTCTCAAAAAAAAAAAAGAAGAAGAAATTGATCTTGCAAGTTGTTGAATTGCAGCAAAGTTTACAACCTCACCAGTTTTTTGCAGTGAAAGTAAGAATAATGATCTGGGGCTGGGCATGGAGGCTCATGCCTGTAATCCCAGCACTTTGGGAGGCCCAGGGGGGTGGATCATGAGTTCAAGACCAGCCTGGACAAGAGGTGAAAACCTGTCTCTCCTAAAAATACAAAAACTTAGCCGGGCATGGTGGCGGGCGCCTTTAATCCCAGCTACTTGGGAGGCTGAGGCAGAGAATGTCTTGAACCTGGGAGGCAGAGGTTACAGTGAGCTGAGATCGCGCCACTGCACTCCAGCCTGGGTGACAGAGCGAGACAATAAATATAGTCCCTGTTGAAACAATTTTCACTGTTTTCTTCTTGCAGAGGAGAGAGCGAAATCTGCTTTGCTATTATAGCTCAATTCCTTAGGCTCATCCTCTGACTAGGATAAACCAGAAGGTGGGAAGCAAAAACATCAAAATAAACAGGAATGATGCCCAGAAGGAGCCATGGGAACTTTCTAAGGCAAAATCTGGAGAATTCTATGTGACCATGAACATGAATGTTACGTGGTCATGAATTTAATTGGATCATGGATTTTATCCAAAAAGACAGAACATAATTTTAGAGTGGACCAAATTAATTGCACTAATGGTCTACAATGTATATTTCAAGTGCTTGGCCCACAACAAAGCTCAACATCTGCCCTTTTAAAAGTTTCAATGGGGTCGGGTGTGGTGGCTCACACTTGTAATCCCAGCACTTTAGGAGGCCAAGGAGGGCGGATCACTTGAGGTCAGGAGTTTGAGACCCAGCCTGGCCAACATGGTGAAACCCCGTCTCTACTAAAAATACAAAAATTAGCTGGGCGTGGTGGCACACAGCTGTAATCCCAGCTACTTGGGAGGCTGAGACAGGAGAATCGTTTGAACCTGAGAGGCAGATTTTGTGGTGAGCCAAGATCGTGCCAATGCACTCCAGCCTGGGCCACAGAGTGAGACTCTGTCTCAAAAATAAATAAATAAAAATAAAAATAAAAATAAAAAAACTCATTGGTCTTGCCTTTTGCCTGATGGTCCAGGAGAAGCATAGTTATTGCTGACACTAAGACCTAAGAGAAAAAGTGTCCCTGATCACAGAGTGAGCACTCTGAGTAGTTGCCATAGGTAACCATAAACAACATCTTTAAAATAGATAACAGTGAATCTCACAGAGCTGTTTCTTTTTAACTATGAAAAGAACTTGTTTTGTTCTGTGTAGTACAGAATGAGGGTAATTATGTAGTAGATCAAGAATATCCTACAGTACATGTAAAAATCCTGTGCATGTACTTCGTAAATCTAAAACAAACATTAAAATTATTTTTAAAAAAAGAAGAAAAAAGAATATCCTATAGTAGAAGAAAGAGACAAAAGAGAAAATATTGGTAACTGGAATCTATGGGTAATCCCAAAACCCCATTTCCCTAGTTTGCAGAGGCTGCTAGTTGAGTCCAACAACCTTTCTCGCCATCTTCCTTAGTAATAGATCCTGTCATTTTTTAGCCAGACATACGTCAACTTGGAATAAATACATTTTCTAGCCTCTGTTGCAGCTATATGTGGCCATGTGACTAAATTCTGGCCAATCGATAGTAAATATAAATGGTGTGTGGGGGAAGAGAGTTTGCATTTTTCTGCTTTTTCTCTTCTTGTTGGTTTAAACATGGATGTGACGGCTGCACCATAAGTGGTCATCTCCCATGCAGTGGGATGCTAAGGATGGTGCAGCAGTAAGACAGGAGGAGGTTGATAAGACCATATCTTGTCAACTTTTCAATCGTCAATCATGATCTTCATCAATCTTTGTATCCCAGAGCCTAGCATGGTGTATGGCACATAATAGATGTTCAATAAATGTAAGAGACTGAATATACAGATGGAAAATGGCCATATATAAAAATAGAACCCTGACCCACAATATGCAGCAATTAGTCCAAGAAACTAACCCATTATCTATCATGACCAGCCCAGGAAGCCAACTGCCTAAAAGTCATGCCTGTAATCCTGGCCCTTTGGGAGGCCGAGGTGGTCAGATCATCTGAGGTCAGGAGCTCGAGACCGGCCTGGCCAACCTGGTGAAACCCTGTCTCTATTAAAAACATGAAAAATTAACCAGGAGTGGTGGCAGGCACCTGTAGTCCCAGCTACTCAGGAGGCTGAAACAGGAGAATCGCTTGAACCCAGGGGGCAGAGGTTGCAGTGAGCCAAGATTATGCCACTGAAATCCAGCCTGGGTGACAAAGCGAGACTCTGTCTCAAAAAAAAAAAAAAAAAAAGTCAGACTTGTGAAAAGTCAGATCACTATCTCTAGCAACCAGCCCAGGAATCCAAACAACAACCCTTGCAAAAATCTGCTCCAAAGAGCCAGGACTTGATTAATAACTGACAGCTTTTTAAATTTTTGTCCCCTCTTCCAACTTAGGATCAATCAGAGAAAGCCAAATATGCATTCCTAACCAATCTTGTATGATGCACCATTTCTATAATATTTTTTTCTTTACTCCATTTTGCGGGTGAAATGATGCCCCACTTCTAGTTAGGCCACACATGACTTCCCCATGCCACAGCCTCCAGTCAGGGCATACCTGAAGCCTTCCCTTTGTCCACTATAAAGCTTTCCCACTCCTCTGCCTGCTTTTGAGTTTCTGCCAAAATGCAAGTGATGGTGGCTGACTAACTTGTGATAGAGAGCTCTGAATAAATAGTATTTGCCTGTTTTCATTGGTTAGCCTTCATTTATTTCCACAGGTATTTGCTAATTAGATCAATCAAAAAGTAAAGATGTAGGTAGAGAAATAAGACAAGGTACCTCTCATTAGAGAATTGCCACTCTAGTGGGGTACTCAGACATTAAATAAGTACTTACACAGTTATTTATTTATTTTGAGACAGAGTCTCACTCTGTCACACAGGCTGGAGTGCAATGGCATGACCTCAGCTCACTGTAATCTCTGCCTCCTGGGCTCAAGTGATCACCTGCCTCAGCTTCCCAAGTAGCTGGGACTACATGTGTGCACCACCATGCCCGGCTAATTTTTATATTTTTTGTAGAGATGGAGTTTCTCCATGTTGCCCAGGCTGGTCTCAAACTCCTGGGCTCAAGTGATCTGCCTGCTTCAGCCTCCCAAAGTTCTGGAATTACAGGTGTGAGCCACCGTGCTCAGCCTATGCAGTTATCTTATTATAATTGGGATGTGTGTTATGAAGATCTGAGATGGTAGCTGAGATGTAGAGATGAGTAGAAGGTAGTCAGGCAAAGGGGGTTGTGTAGAAAGAGAGATCTGGGCAGGAAAAACAGCATCTGCCAAGTACTGGAAGCAGGAAGAACTTGGTACATACCAGGAACTGAAAATGCCCAGCACCATGCAAAGGCTGTGCATCAGGTCTTGCTGACTAGTTCCCTAGAAACACTCTGGTTCCTATTCTTCCTGAAGCCTGACTGATTCTCCTTTTCTTTGGTTCTGTGAGGTCTGCCTTTATAATATTCTTCTTTTGCTTAAGTTACAAGAAGTCAGTTTGCGTTGCTTCCAAGCAAACGTCTCCTATTGATAGAATTGCTCTATTACATCTCTTGAATTATTTTTGTTAAGCTCTTTTATTATTGTGAAACTTTTCATGTGTTTACGTCTTATCTCCCAATTAGATAGTATGTATCTTAATGGAGCCACTAAATTTTGGGGGTGATTTGTTATATGGCATTTGTTCACACTTGAGTTCCAGGATCTAGGTGATGAGATCTAGGCTTTTGAGCCTGAGCTTGGTACCACAATGGGATGAGGCTTCAGGGTCTTGTAGGGTGGGGATGAGTATGGGAGGAATGTGAACTGTTCTGACCAGAGGGCAGACTGTGTTAGATTGTGTTTCCCAAAGATGGTCACATGTGTATACCCCATTCTCCATGCTCTTCATACGGTATATCTGATACTGCTTCCACCTAGAGGTGTGAGTGTATGTTCTCACCCCTCCATTCTGGCCAGGGACTGTGACTGTCTGATCAATGGAGTACAGCTATGTGACTTTCAAGGCTAGGTCATAAAAAGGAGGTAGATTCTGCTTGGAGCTCTCTCTCTGTCTGTTGATACTTGCCACGTTGTAAGGAAGCCCAAGCCTCATGGAGCAGTCATGTGTATACATGGTACAGCTGGTTGCCCTAGCTAAAGTCTCAGTCAACAGCATAAACTGCTAGACATGGTGATTCTAGCTCCCAGCCTTCAAGTTCTCCACCAGACATTGCTGAGCAGATAGAAGCCTTGCTCACTGCATCATCTGTATTTTTTACTCAGAGAAATCATGAGGGATAATGATCATTGTGGTTTAAAGCTATAAAGTTTTGGAAGTGATATGTTATGAAGTAATGAATGATACATTATATGAAAACTTGGAATGTTTGTGTTTAACATTTTTCAACTGAGACACTTGAAAGCTATTAGCTTCAATCCTGGAGAAATAAAGACACATTGAAAATAAATTTCTGGAATTTATTGTGAAATTGGGCTTTTATGAATCTCATCAATCTTATCCTTAGGTTTAAGATTTTTTTGCCCTAAGGCCAGGCACAGTGGCTCATACCTGTAATCCCAGCACTTTGGGAGGCTGAAGCCAGAGGATTGCTTGAGGCCAGCAGTTCCAGACAGCCTGGGAAGCACAGGGAGACTGACTCAACAAAAATTAAGACACACCTGTAGTCCTAGTTTCTCAAAAGGCTGAGGCAGGAGGATCACTTGAGCCCAGGAGTTCAAGGTTACAGTGAGCTATAATTGTGTCACTGCACTCCAACCTGGGCCACAGAACAAGACGTTGTCTCAAAATATGTATGTATGTATTTTTCTAGAAATTTATATATCTGTTACTGCATGGGAAAAAATTTTTCAAAATTAAAATTAGCTTTCAGCCATAAAAAGGAATAAAATACTGATACATAAAACAATATGGATGAACCTTGGAAATACTATGCTCAGTGAAAGAAGCCAGACACAAAAGGCTACATATTGTATAATTCCACTTACATGAAATGTCGAGAACAGGCAAATCCATAGAGACAGAAAGTAGATTCATGGTTTTTAGGGGTTGGAGGAAAGGGAGAATGCGGAGTGACTACTAACTAATAGGTATAAGATTTCCTTTTGGGATGATGAGAATGTCTTAGAATTAGATATGGTGATAATTGTGCAACTTGGTGAATATACTAAAACCCACTGAATTGTACACAAGAGTCAATTTTATGGTATGTGAAAGGTATCTCGGTAAAAATTAAAATTACCAAGAAGTTTTCTTTGATCAACTAGGAGTGGGAGAGATCCACAAATCTGTCTATATGGCCTATTGAAGATATGTACATGAAGATCTTTTTTTTTGTGACAGTCTCGCTCTGTCTCCCAGGCGGGAGTGCAGTGGTGCAATCTCAGCTAACTGCAACCTCCACCTCCCAGGCTCAAGCAATTCTCGTGTCTCAACCTCCTGAGTAGCTGAAATTTCAGGCATGTGCCACCATGCCTGGCTAATTTTTTTGTATTTTTAGTAGAGACAAAGTTTCACCATGTTGGCCAGGCCGGTCTGGAACTCCTGGCCTCAAATTGATCTGCCCGCCTTGGCCTCCCAAAGAGCTAAAAATCAATTTTGATAAGGTCATTGACAACTTTGTAAAACTTAAGACTCAAAACAGAATTCGTAGTGTTATTTTTCATCCCTGTGATCGACCAATATAAGATACGTATTTCCTTTTTTAAAAACAAAAAGTGGGCTGGGCTCGGTGGCTCACACCCATAATCCCAGCACTTTGGGAGGCCAAGGTGAGTGGATCACTTGAAGCAGGAGTTCGAAACCAGCCTGGACAACATGGTGAAACCCTGTCTCTACTAAAAATACAAAAATTAGCCGGGTGTGGGGTTACAGATGCCTTAATCCCAGCTACTTGGGAGGCTGAGGCAGGAGAATCACTTGAACCTGGGAGGCAGAGGTTGCAGTGAGCCGAGATCATGCCATTGCACTCTAGCCTGGGCAACAAAGCCAGACTCCATCTCAAAAAAAAAAAAACCCCGAAGTATATTAATATAACTGAAATTATTTTAACCCGTTGCTTTTCCCTTTCTTTACTGTGTGTGCATATGTGTGTATATACACAATAAAGAAACTTTTTTTGTGTGTGTATATATATATATACTGTGTATACATATATACTCTATATATACACAGTGTATACATATATACTCTATATATACACTGTGTATATACTGTGTATATGTATATACTGTATGACTATATATATACATTGTGTATATATACTTTATATACATGTATATCTGTGTATACATATATACAGATGTACAGATATATATGTATACATGTACATATATATCTGTACATGTATACATATATAGTATATATATAGTATATCTGTACATATATAGTATATATATAGTATATCTGTGTATATGCTATATAGTATAGTGTATAGTATATCTGTGTATATATAGTATATCTGTACATATATACATATATAGTATATATATAGTATATCTGTGTATATGCTATATAGTATAGTGTATATCTGTGTATATATAGTATATCTGTACATATATACATATATAGTATATATATAGTATATCTGTGTATATGCTATATAGTATAGTGTATATCTGTGTATATATAGTATATCTGTACATATATACATATATAGTATATATATAGTATATCTGTGTATATGCTATATAGTATAGTATATAGTATATCTGTGTATATGACCTCAGGCAATCCACCTGCCTGCTTTGGCCTCCCAAAGTGCTGGGATTACAGGGGTGAGCCACTGCACCCGGCCTTTTAAAATTTATTTTTAGTAGAGACAAGGCTGGCCTCTTCTCTTCAATTACATTCTCTGTGGCTATACAGATGGTCTCAGTAGGATAATATCCCAGTTGCTCAGAGTGGTGACCTGTTCTGTAGCACACCCTTGGACTGGCTTTTCTTCTTTCCAGTTTCACTTTTTCCATTCTTCTCTTTCTGTTCCTTCTGATTGCTTTTCACTATAAACTACCTACATCCTGTTCTTGTCTCAGGCTCTACTTACTGGAGGAGCCAAGCCTGGGACAGATTCCTGTGTAAAATGTGATGGAATGAATTAGCAAACTTGACAAGGACCCAGGAGGCCTGGGTTCCAGATCAACTCTATTGCTAACCTGATTTGTAAAAGTCACTTTATCTACTGAAAAGGTGGGCATTTTCATCATCATTTTCAGATGGTACTATGGGAGAAGATCTTCCAACCATTTGTTAAGTGAGGAAAAAAAAAAGCAAGAAAAATGCTTGTCACGCGCATAAAAAGAGCATGTGTGTGTGCGTACATGTTAATAAAGGCATACAAAATGGTGGACCATCAAGGTTTACTACATATTTTTGTATAGCTTGAATTGTTTACAAGAAGAATGCATATTAATTAGCTTTATTTAGACCTCTGGGGAAAAGAGAAGACTGCATCTTGTGTAATTAAAAAAAGAAATAAATAACATCCACCTCCAAGGAAGTTGAATGATGCTTGTTAAAGTGCAGAGCAGAAGCCACCAACCAAGGTAAGAAAGCCGGGTTGTGCTCCGGTATGTGCGCTAGGAGGCAGCGGAGCTGAGACCGAGGCCAGGCGGCTAGAGAAACCGCGAACCAAGGACGGGGGGGCTGGGTC
Organism: Homo sapiens; assembly: GCF_000001405.40. Lineage (NCBI taxonomy): Eukaryota > Metazoa > Chordata > Mammalia > Primates > Hominidae > Homo > Homo sapiens. The sequence continues at coordinate 666,804 of NW_018654722.1, forward strand.
TTTCTGGTCGCCAGGGGGCAGAAGTGTAGGGCAACTTAAATCCGCAACTACCCGCTGTTGCCCAGGCTCCAACGCCAGGCCGAGCATTTCAGAAGTCATAAGTTCCATCTCTCTGCCGCAGCCGAGACAGATTGGAGGGTTTTCAGAGTCAAGGGGATGCCCCCCCGCCCCCCGCCTCAGAGAAGCTTGGCACTCTGAACAATCTCAACCACTCTCCCCTCTGCTCCTCCCTTCCCTACCCCCCAACACCCATGAAGGGGAAATTGAGTCATGGGAGGAGAGGCCAGAGTCATCAGGGGAATGAGGGCCGACGCCAGCCCTCAGGGCCTTCCAGATGCTAGGAGGAGGAGGGTTCTCCAGGAAAACAAACAGGGGTGAGAGGGGAAGGCGGTTGGCTGGGCAGGAGCTGAGCCAGACACATGGAGAAACGCTGCCCAGGATCAAAGGAAATATGACATTTGAAAAGAATGTGTGCGTCTGCATGTGCTGTGCCTGCGGGGAGTGGGGCCGGGGAGGGGCAGAGTCTGGGGGAACAGGGGCTGGGCCTCGGGGTCTCTATCCCTGCTTTTCTCGCCTCCGCTTCCCACCTCCCTTGCCCTCTTAGGTACAGGCTGGTTGATGGGTCGAGGTGTTCCTCGTCCTCCCTCCCCGTGGGTTTCTCCTTCCTTTATTTCCGAGATGAAGCTGGAAGGGAAATGTAACCTGAGGAGACCAACCAAAGGAAAAAAAAGAAAAAAAAAAGAAAAAAAAAAAAAAGAAAGAAGAAAATCAAACCAGGCCGCTTCCCCGCTCGGCCTCGGAACATTCTTCTCTCCCCGCCGGCCTGGGCTCTTCTCCCCGCCCCTCCTGTGTTGCGGCCCTGGGCTCGGAGCCGGGGCAGCTCCGCACGTCACTGGGGTCCCCGGGGACTGGGGGGGTGGTCCCCTGGGCGGGCCCGAGGGAGGACCGAGGGGAGGGAGGGAAGCCGCCTCGGCCGCTGCGGAGCTCCGGCCCGTCGGGCCAGCCCTCCCTTCTTTCCCCAGTCCCGTAGAGCCTGTTTCTCATTAGAGTAACGGGCGCGGTCCCCGCCCGGCTTCTGAGTGTTTGTAAACGTCTGACCTGGGGCCGTCGCTTAACCGTTTAGTTGCTGGGATGGGGCGGCGTTGGGGGTGCGGCCCTGAACCGGAGGGATTTAGAGACTGGAGACGCGGCCTCTAAGAGAGGTTGAAACTGTGTGTGTGTGGGAGAAAATGATAACCACCCTCCCATCTCTCCTACCCGCCAGCCTCGCCAGTATCTCCCACCGAGTCACGAATCTCCCATCTAACTCCCTCTCACACAACCCAGGCCTCTCCAAGCCTGACTTTCCCGGAAACTCCAGTCCAGGTCTTCCTTCCTCCTCCAGCCCAGGTGACAGGTGTCCAGCCTGTTGGGGGCGGGGGGGCCAAGGAGGGGGAAGAGGAGGGGAACCCACAGGGTCCGGAGGTTTCAGGCCCCTAGTAAACCTGGCAAGGATTTTTAGAAGAGCCGGAGTGGGATGCTATCGGGTCAGAGATTCATTCCAGACTACAGTTCTAGGGAGGAGGCTGCCAACTTCCCGTGGAGGCTAATTCACGGCCCCTCTGGGTGGCTGGGACAAGGGCAGCGGCAAAGCCTGGCCTGGATCTACGCCCATCAAGGGCTGTGGGCCTAGGGACAGTTCTCAAAGCCTCTTTGGCTCGGACTGCTCCCAGAGGCATCCAGGCTGGCTAAGCGTTCTTCATCTTTGGGGGTCCTGGAGGAATGGCTGATGGAGGCGCTGATTCGGCAGCGCAAAGACTTCCAGAAGGCCCGGGCAGAGTAGCCCCAGGCAAGGGAGGCGGAAGAATAGCCTTTTCCTCTTCCGAGCAACTCGGTGCCACTCTGCCCCCAGGACCCTCCTGGCCTCAGGCTTGGAGGGAAAGGGGAGGAGAAGTGGTTCTGCCTTGCTAGGTGCTATCTACACAGTCTTCAGAATTTAAAAAAGGGTCTTCCGTGGGCTCTCTACCCTGGGGGCCCAGGATGTGGCCCCTTTAAGGCTCTCGGACCCAGAACCTTGAACTGAGACTAGGGGAGGTGGGGGCTGGGCTCTCTGCGGGAAATGATTGTCACAACGGCGGACCAATAGGCAACATTAGTATCACTCTTGAAGGACCGTTTTCCAATTCAGTTTTTTTTTTTTTGAGGGGGAGGGACTGAAGAGAGGACAGAGGGAGGGAGGGTGGGGGAGGACGAGGGGCGCGTGGTTTTCCCATCTCATCCCTGGAGGAGGGGCTGGAGCATCCCCGGCAGCCAATCAGGGACAGGCTGGGGGGGGGACCGCTTTGAAGAAGTTTGGGGGAAAAAAGTTTGGAAAAGTTTCTATAATAACGAGGGGGCTTCTGGAGGGAGGCGGCAGCGACGGAGGAGGGGGCTTCTCAGAGAAAGGGAGGGAGGGAGCCACCCGGGTGAAGATACAGCAGCCTCCTGAACTCCCCCCTCCCACCCAGGCCGGGACCTGGGGGCTCCTGCCGGATCCATGGGGGCGGCCAGCTGCGAGGATGAGGAGCTGGAATTTAAGCTGGTGTTCGGGGAGGAAAAGGAGGCCCCCCCGCTGGGCGCGGGGGGATTGGGGGAAGGTTAGTGCTGGGCTGGGAAGGGGTCTTGGGGTCAGTGAGAGGAGGGCCGGGGATCCTGAGTCTGGGGAATTTAAGGCAGCGAGCCTAGGGTGGGGGGTGAGGGAGTCAGAGGTCGAAGGGAGTCGGGGGGACTCGTTGGCCTGCGGAAGTGAGGCTGGGGGCCCGGGCACCACTTTCTCCTTTTTAGGTCGTGACTGGGGTGGGGGTGGGGGTGCTGTTGGCTGTGCGCCGCCTCCCGGCTGGGCCGCCTGTCACTGAACTGGGGGGCGGGCGGGAACTACGGCCCCAACAGCACCAGGCGCCGCCAGGGGAAGGGGAGGTTTGGCGCTGGAGCTGGCCCCTGGCGGACCGAGCTCTGGCCCGGCCGACTGGACGCCCGGGGCTGGGGGCGCTGTCAGGCCTCGCTGGGGCGCCCCTCCCCCTCCCCCGTCTGGCCGCAATGAGAGGCAGATGGCGGGGACCGAGCCGGGGGCGGCGGCCGCCGCTCGCACGAATCCGCGCTGCCCGCTGCCCCCCTTCCCCCGGCTGGGCCCAGCACGCATCACCCCCTCGGCTGCACCTCCGCCCCTAGATGGCGAGGAGAGAGGGAGGAGCCACCTCCCCTCGTCACCACAGCCCTGACGCCCCCCTCCCCTCTGGCCACGGTTGCGATGGCAACTGGGGCTCCTGCCAGCGCCGTTTGGGGGTTTGGGAACCGCTGCTAATTGGGTTCATGTGTGAGTCGCCCCCAGTCCAGCCCAGTGCCTCAAGAAACACGCCTCCAGGCCCAGCCCCAGCTCCAGCCCCTCTGGACCCACCTCTCTCACCTTAAGACCCACTGGATCGGGTACCCTCGGTCCTAGGATCCAGGGGCCAGTGGGCAAAGGCCTGGCATGCCTGCTTCAATCTCCTCCATCTTCCCAGGTCCAACTCTGCTTTTGTCTTGTGGCTCAGAAGGTCTCTTTGCTGAGGGGCAGGGAGCATAGAAGGACTTGCGGCCTGGCCACTCAAGGAACATAGCCATCTCACCTGCTTCTCTCTTTCCCCCTCTCCCTCTGCTCCTCTTCCCATTTTGACAGAACTGGACTCAGAGGATGCCCCGCCATGCTGCCGTCTGGCCTTGGGAGAGCCCCCTCCCTATGGCGCTGCACCTATCGGTATTCCCCGACCTCCACCCCCTCGGCCTGGCATGCATTCGCCACCGCCGCGACCAGCCCCCTCACCTGGCACCTGGGAGAGCCAGCCCGCCAGGTCGGTGAGGCTGGGAGGACCAGGAGGGGGTGCTGGGGGTGCTGGGGGTGGCCGTGTTCTCGAGTGTCCCAGCATCCGCATCACCTCCATCTCTCCCACGCCGGAGCCGCCAGCAGCGCTGGAGGACAACCCTGATGCCTGGGGGGACGGCTCTCCTAGAGATTACCCCCCACCAGAAGGCTTTGGGGGCTACAGAGAAGCAGGGGGCCAGGGTGGGGGGGCCTTCTTCAGCCCAAGCCCTGGCAGCAGCAGCCTGTCCTCGTGGAGCTTCTTCTCCGATGCCTCTGACGAGGCAGCCCTGTATGCAGCCTGCGACGAGGTGGAGTCTGAGCTAAATGAGGCGGCCTCCCGCTTTGGCCTGGGCTCCCCGCTGCCCTCGCCCCGGGCCTCCCCTCGGCCATGGACCCCCGAAGATCCCTGGAGCCTGTATGGTCCAAGCCCCGGAGGCCGAGGGCCAGAGGATAGCTGGCTACTCCTCAGTGCTCCTGGGCCCACCCCAGCCTCCCCGCGGCCTGCCTCTCCATGTGGCAAGCGGCGCTATTCCAGCTCGGGAACCCCATCTTCAGCCTCCCCAGCTCTGTCCCGCCGTGGCAGCCTGGGGGAAGAGGGGTCTGAGCCACCTCCACCACCCCCATTGCCTCTGGCCCGGGACCCGGGCTCCCCTGGTCCCTTTGACTATGTGGGGGCCCCACCAGCTGAGAGCATCCCTCAGAAGACACGGCGGACTTCCAGCGAGCAGGCAGTGGCTCTGCCTCGGTCTGAGGAGCCTGCCTCATGCAATGGGAAGCTGCCCTTGGGAGCAGAGGAGTCTGTGGCTCCTCCAGGAGGTTCCCGGAAGGAGGTGGCTGGCATGGACTACCTGGCAGTGCCCTCCCCACTCGCTTGGTCCAAGGCCCGGATTGGGGGACACAGCCCTATCTTCAGGTGAGGGTTGCGCCTGGCACTACCGCTCTCTCTAGCCATTCCAGTAGGGGAGCAGGAGGGTCAAGGGATGGATTTGAAGACACTAGTTTCATGCCCTCTGAATTTCAAAAGAGTATCTGCAACCAGCTCAGCAGCTGCCAACTACCTGGTTTTAAAGAGAACTAGAAAAAAAAGTGCACCTCTGGATGATTTACAAGAGGGCAACAGTTCCCTGTGGGACAATTAGAAAAAGCCCCTCCACCCTCCCACCCCTAGCTATTGTAGGAGGATCAACTAGGTTAAGGAGGTGTTCCTGTAGCCTATAGAGTGCTCCCAAGCCCCCGCTCTGCACTGGCATGTGGCTGAGTGTGGAACTTGGGCTGGATTTCAGCCTTCCACTCTGGCCCTTTCAATAGGTGCCAGACCTAAGCAGATTTCCACTCTGTTGCAGGAAATTCCCCTTCTGCATTCCTTAATTTCTAGAGCCTGACCTACTAGCTTAAAAGTATAGCTGCTAACTTGAATAAAATAGCATATATTTGCAAGTCAAATAATTCATATTAAAACTTGCAGTTCTATTCCTTCCACCCTCAGAGAATCTTGCCCATTTCAATAATCTTAAATCTTGAGATGTTAGACTGAGCTGGCTCTGTCCAGAAAAGTTTCTAGGGGAAAGAAACGTTAACACTGGTACCCCTGGGTTTCCCATAGGGCAAAGTTTCTCAACCTCAGCACTGTTAATTCAGCACTACTATTTTGAGCAGGATAATTCTTTGTTATGTGGGGGTGTACTGGACATTGTAGGATGGTTTAGCAGCTTCCCTGGCCTCTACCCGTTAGATGCTAGTAGCACCCACTCCCCTAGTTGGGAAAACCAAAAATGTCTTCAGACATTGCCAAATATCTGGGCAATTACTTGGGGGGCAATTACCAGTTGAGATCCACTGTCCTAGGGTATCAGGGAGCACAATACAGGATAAGTTGTCCCATCTGAAACCCTTAGCTCCCTGGAACTCCACCTATCAAGCCCCAACTAGTGGAAAGGGAGCTGGCTTGAGAGCAGAATGTGCTCAGTCCTAGGTCTGTCAGTAGCTGCTGGCTTCAGTTTCTTTCTCTCTCTCTCTTTTTTTTTTCTTTGAGACAGTGTCTTGCTCTGTCACCAAGACTGGAGTGCAGTGGTGTGATCTCACTCAGCCTCAACCTCCTGGGCTCAAGCAATCCTCCTGCCTCAGCAGGAGTAGCTGGGACTACAGGAGCACCAACTCGCCCAGCTGCTTTTTGTATTTTTTGTAGAGACGGGGTTTCACCATGTTGCCCAGGCTGGTCTCAAACTCCTGGGCTCAAGCCATCCTCACACCATCCCCTACCCCTGCCTTGGCCTCCCAAAGTGCTGGGATTATAGGTGTGAGCCAACGCACCTCAATTTTTTAATTTGTAAAACAAAGGGTTCATATCTGAGGCCTTTTCTGGTCTGAAGCGGCACTTCTTTTTTCTTTCCATCCAGGTCTAGGGATTGAGATGGGCTTGAGAATCCTCTGTATCCAAGTGAAGCCTTTCCACCCCAACCCCTGCGCTCAGAGCTGGGAAGAAGGGAGTTTTAGGCTTGTTGTCATCTTTCACACCTCAAGGGGCTCTGTCCCCTACTTCCCCTTGCTTCTGGACTTTTGGATTTCTTCATTTCTTTGTCCTTTTTTTAGTTTAAAAAAAATTCTTTTTTCCCTTCTTTTCACAAGTGTTAATGTACTTCTTTATTTCTTCTGTGCTTTCCTTTCTCTCAGACCCATACCCCCTCCTCCCTCACAGATCCAGTACGGGCCTGACTGGGGTCTGAGGCTGCACATGATCAATGCTCTTCTCTCCCACCCAGGACCTCTGCCCTACCCCCACTGGACTGGCCTCTGCCCAGCCAATATGAGCAGCTGGAGCTGAGGATCGAGGTACAGCCTAGAGCCCACCACCGGGCCCACTATGAGACAGAAGGCAGCCGTGGAGCTGTCAAAGCTGCCCCTGGCGGTCACCCCGTAGTCAAGGTAAAGGACAGACAGCAGGCCTGATATCCTCTCTCCTCTCCCAGATAGGTTCCAGCTATGCAGACACATGGCACTGCCCTTTCCCACACTCCCTCTCAGCTCTGACCCTGCAGGCAGCCTGGGGGAGGGGCTGGAGTTGGGGGAGGAGGGGTGCAAGGACCCGGATATACTTTCTACTCCTGTCCTTCCACCCCCACTCAGCTCATCCCATGGGACACCAGCCTCATGTCTACTCTGGAAAATGGTGGCCCGCCAGATATGGGGGAGGGTTTAGGCTGAGGACAAAAGTCACTGGGAGTTAAGTTTTCTCTGTATTGAGTTGGGCCAGTCTCTTTGGAGGCTCTTCTGCCTTTGCCCAGCCCACTTTGGGCTTTATTCCAAGAAAAACACTGTGAACTCCAGGCCATGTTTTCTCCACAACGGGTGCCCAGTTCCCCAAGGGATTCCCTTGCAGGATATCCTTTATCTTTCACCATTCCCATCCCATGGTAGACTGAAAATCTAGGGATGAATAAAGGATGAGACGGTGGGGATTTCAATGAGGTGGCCGCTCTCTCCCTCTGCCAGCTCCTAGGCTACAGTGAGAAGCCACTGACCCTACAGATGTTCATCGGCACTGCAGATGAAAGGAACCTGCGGCCTCATGCCTTCTATCAGGTGCACCGTATCACAGGCAAGATGGTGGCCACGGCCAGCTATGAAGCCGTAGTCAGTGGCACCAAGGTGTTGGAGATGACTCTGCTGCCTGAGAACAACATGGCGGCCAAGTAAGTCCCATGCAACTTCCCCTCAGTCCGCAGGCTTTGTACTAGCTTTCTCCACTGGGCCTATGCTAGCCCACTTCTTCCTTTTCCCAGAAGAGGTAGACATTTTTCCTAGGAGCTGGCTTCAGGCCTACCCACCATCTGGAAGAGGACTTTTGGGGTTGGGGGTACCCCAGAGAGGCCATCTCTGGGTTAGAAAATAGCCTCCTAGGCACTCATCGAAAGTCATTCAAGGCTTTGGATGGAGGGCGGGAACTTCCCTCTTTAGGGATGTATCACCATTTTGGCTTCAGCTAGGAGGGCTTGCCATCCATCCTTTGCCTCCAGCATTGACTGCGCGGGAATCCTGAAGCTTCGGAATTCAGACATTGAGCTTCGGAAGGGTGAGACGGACATCGGGCGCAAAAACACACGTGTACGGCTGGTGTTCCGGGTACACGTGCCCCAGGGCGGCGGGAAGGTCGTCTCAGTACAGGCAGCATCGGTGCCCATCGAGTGCTGTGAGCAAAGAGGCCCTGGGCCATGTCTCTGTCTCTTGCAACTCTTTTGTCTGTGTGTGTGTGTCTGTCTGCCCATTCCCTCTGCAGCGTCCTGTGCCCTGTCTGTCCTGGGTAGCTCTATAGAGGACTCAGCTTCTTTCTATTCTAGTTTGCCCCTGCCACAGACTCTGTCTCTGGGGTGGCCCAGAGTGACACTGGACCCTATCTATTCCTGGGGTGCCCTGTGCCCTTGTTTGGGAAACTCCCTGGTCTACCCTGTTTAACCCTCTCTCTGCTCTGGGAGCGGCCCCTTACATGGTGTATGTGACTCCATGGATATTACTGGTTTATTTGTGTGTCTACTGCTGAGGAGGGCTCCCTCAGAGCCCTGTGGCAGTTTTCCCAAAGAGGGTGGGGACAGAGGAGGCCACCCCTCCATGCCCAGCCCAGCCAGTCCTCTTCCTTGCACTGCTCTGCAGCCCAGCGCTCAGCCCAGGAGCTGCCCCAGGTGGAGGCCTACAGCCCCAGTGCCTGCTCTGTGAGAGGAGGCGAGGAACTGGTACTGACTGGCTCCAACTTCCTGCCAGACTCCAAGGTGGTGTTCATTGAGAGGGGTCCTGGTGAGTACCTGCTGGGGAGGGGAGGGCAGGCAGGGAGAGCTTGGGAGTGGCAGGTGAAACATCTCTGGCATTGTCACTAAACTGGCCAGTGGAGCCTCAGTTTTTTTATTTGTAAAATGGGACAGACAGACTACCCTTTCTATTATACTGTCTGCTTTCCATGTGGGATGGGTATGACAGCAATCTAAAATGTTGAGGATGCTGAACAAATGGAAGCAATGCACATTCTGTCTAATAAAGAGGAGTCTGCTTTGAGATAATTTACCCCCATGTAGATAGGGTATATGAGGAGAAGGGAAGAGGTGATTTACACCCTCACAGCTGCCCGCTGGGCCCCTCTTGAGTTATGGGCAGTGATTAACAGAGCCTGTTAGGTGCCCCAAGATGGAGCTACAGGAGTGGAGGAAGGGAAGACTGAGGGTTTGAGTTGCCAGCACCAACCTGAGGCCTTTGCCCTCTCCAAACGCTGCTCACCAAGAGCCTCAGTCCCTATATTCTTTTTTTTTTGGTAGCAGGATCTCACTTTGTCACCCAGGGGAGTGCAGTGATGCTGCAATCACGGCTCACTGCAGCCTCAACCTCCTGGGCTCAAGCAATCCTCCAAAAATATTCTGTGTAGAGACAGGTTCTCCCCATGTTGCCCAGGCTGGTCTCAAACTCCTGGACTCAAGTGATCCTTCCACCTTGGCCTCCCAAGGTGGGAGTGGTGGGTTCTGGGATTACAGGCATGAGCCACTGCCTCTGGCCCCTATATCCAAATTTAGCATCCTGGGACCATGTCAGAGCTTCTCCAGAGGTTCTAGGTCATGATACTTGGGGGTCTCATTGCGTTCTGTCGAGCTAGGACCCTTTCCTACCTTTGGTCTTCCTTCTCAGCATTATCATGGGAAAGGATGTTTGGAGCTGGGTGGGAGGGCTCAAGGGTTGCTTCCGTTACTGACTCCCTCTGGTTTCTGGGCTGGCCCTGCCATTTCCCTTGGTCTCAGTTTGCTTCCCTATACCTTGAGGACAGTTTTAAACCCTACCTCTTCCACTCATATTAAGTTAACATGCAGTGGGCTCCTCTGTGTGTCAGACCTTCTAGGGCCTTCTGAATTTGGCCTTGGCTCTAACAGGAGGGGAAATGGCAGAGAACTAGGGCAGGGGACAGGGGCGCTGGAGTTGGGCTGCAGCTCTCTGTTCCCTCTGGACAGATGGGAAGCTGCAATGGGAGGAGGAGGCCACAGTGAACCGACTGCAGAGCAACGAGGTACCAGTGTCACTTGGATACCTCCTGGGGGGCGGGGGTGGGAGAAGGCAGGGGATTCTCAGCTGGGTCCTCTTGCTCAGGGGAGTGGACTTTTCTGGAGGAGGGAGACTGGCCATTCTGTAAGCAGGTGCATCTCTAGGGAATGAACTTTGCATCTTAGAAAATGGAGAAGGCTAGGAGGTGGAGTCTGGGCCCCTGGAAAGGCTGGGCTAAGCCCAGATGCCCGAGGGCTCCCTGCCTCATTTTTACTCTTCCCTAGGTGACGCTGACCCTGACTGTCCCCGAGTACAGCAACAAGAGGGTTTCCCGGCCAGTCCAGGTCTACTTTTATGTCTCCAATGGGCGGAGGAAACGCAGTCCTACCCAGAGTTTCAGGTTTCTGCCTGGTGCGCTCTGGGACAGCCCATGGTGGGGGTATAGGGATATGGGGAGCTGGAGCAGGAGCAGAGGGAAGCAGTACTCATCATGAGGGGCCAAGGGGTGAATGGAACCTGGGAGGAGCAGGCAGCTGGAAGGTGTGCAGTGGGGAGACTACCAGACCTCTCACCAGCATGTCCTCCCACTTCCTGTCTTCCCAGTGATCTGCAAAGAGGAGCCCCTACCGGACTCATCTCTGCGGGGTTTCCCTTCAGCATCGGCAACCCCCTTTGGCACTGACATGGACTTCTCACCACCCAGGCCCCCCTACCCCTCCTATCCCCATGAAGACCCTGCTTGCGAAACTCCTTACCTATCAGAAGGCTTCGGCTATGGCATGCCCCCTCTGTACCCCCAGACGGGGCCCCCACCATCCTACAGACCGGGCCTGCGGATGTTCCCTGAGACTAGGGGTACCACAGGTTGTGCCCAACCACCTGCAGTTTCCTTCCTTCCCCGCCCCTTCCCTAGTGACCCGTATGGAGGGCGGGGCTCCTCTTTCTCCCTGGGGCTGCCATTCTCTCCGCCAGCCCCCTTTCGGCCGCCTCCTCTTCCTGCATCCCCACCGCTTGAAGGCCCCTTCCCTTCCCAGAGTGATGTGCATCCCCTACCTGCTGAGGGATACAATAAGGTAGGGCCAGGCTATGGCCCTGGGGAGGGGGCTCCGGAGCAGGAGAAATCCAGGGGTGGCTACAGCAGCGGCTTCCGAGACAGTGTCCCTATCCAGGGTATCACGCTGGAGGAAGGTGGGTGTGGGACTGGGGGCTGTGAGTGTGAGTGTGTGCAAGAGATTGCTCTGCATGTTTGCTGAGGGCTGGAGCTGGGCTTTTCAGAGATCGGGCATCCCTGGTCTCTCAGGGCCAGTTGGAGGTTCCCAGGAGGCATGTTCTTGATGCCTGTGGCTGCCTGAATCCAATTAACTGAATTCTGAAGAGTGCATGGGGTAACTGTCTCAGCCTTTCTCCTGTCTCTGCCTCTGTCCTCTGCTCCAAATCATAAAATCTCAGAGCTAGAAGCACTTTCAAGATCATTCCATCCAGCGCATTCAATTTGCAAGTTTAGGCGTTGAGTTCCAGAGAGGGATGGTAGCTTGCTGAGGTCCCAGTCAAGCACACTTGCCATTGCCTCAGCTTTCCCCTAAACACGGTGTCTGTGGTCAGGGTTGGTGAGGAGGAGCTTTCCTGTTTTGCCTCTCCTTCTTCCCATTGGCTACACCCATCTCTGGCCCTGCTGATACCGATTCCCCTGACATTTCAGGCTAAGCCAGCAGGAAAGGGCTAGGACGGGTGCCTGGGAGCCCACATGGAGGGAGTTGGGCAAGATTTGATTCGGAGCAGGTGTCAAGACGTGTTGGGGAAACTGAGGCCCAGTGGAATAGAAGCCAGTAGAGGAGGAATCTAGAGGCCTCCTAGATTAAGACCTGCCTGGAATGGATTGGGGGTGGGTCTTTGGAAAAGGAGGGGACCCACCTCTAGCCCAGTCTCTCAACTGCCCCTCCTTTACAGTGAGTGAGATCATTGGCCGAGACCTGAGTGGCTTCCCTGCACCTCCTGGAGAAGAGCCTCCTGCCTGAACCACGTGAACTGTCATCACCTGGCAACCCCAGCCCCAGCCTCAGCCCTGCCCCCTTTCCCTCCTTCCTGGAGTGGTGGCTACAGAAGCTTGGGGCCAACCCTGGCTCCTCTTTCCCCAGCTTCTGTCTGTCTCACTGTCTTCCCTCCCCTCCCCCAGCTGAGGTGTGGCCCTCAGGCCTGGTGCTGCCTTGGAGGGCTGGGGGAAGGAGTGTGTGGAGGAGGGAGGAGGGTGAAGACTGAGGCTAGGTGCCAGAATGGACTGGAGTGAAGGCGTGTCTAGAGTGTGGGCTGGCTGTTGTGCTGGAAAGCTGGGGACAGGTTGATGGTAATAAACTGCTCAATGACCAGTGCTTCAGGCTCCAGAGCTCTTTGGAGAGATGGGTTGGGGCAGCTTACTCCAGCCCTGGCCCAAGGAGGCCCAGAAGTTGGAAAGAGATGGAATGTGGCTGGGAACATTGCATCCCAAAGAGCTTCTCAGTGGAGGAGGCTGGGGAAGGCATGAGGGGGCTCAGAGGCTCCTTGACTGGGACCAGGATTGGGGGCCAGGGCTTGAGTAGGCCTCTCCACTCTCCTCCTTGGGGGTCCAGATTCCTTAGGAGCTTTGGGATGAGGCCCAGGAGGCTGCATTTTTCCAGGTCCTTAGTCTTGCCACCACACAGATGATTCTGATTCATAGCCAAGATGAGGACACACTGATGTAGCTGATCTCTCATTTACAGAGGAGGATTCTAAAGTTCAGAGAGGGAAAGGGGCTTGCCTGAGGTCACGTAGATAATCAGCAGCACATTGAACGCTGCACTCCTGGGCTCCTGTCCCCAGCCCCCATTCAGACACGCTGACTCAGGAGGTCCAGGCCTCTAAGGCTTCTCTCCCTGGAGTGAGGGTGGAGGTGAGGGAGAGCTGGCACAAGCCCTCCCTCTGGATCCTCCACTCCTGGGGATTATGAAGATATTCTGGAAAGATTTGTGCTTCAGAGGTAGACTGCAGAAAGCAAACAGTCTACCCAGCAGCTCTGAATGTCACCTGCCCTGGGGCTTACAGCACTATATGAGTTCCTGGCCTATCCTGCAAATATGCCCATGCTGGCCTTCTAAATAGCTGGTACATCCATCACCACTGACGGGCCTGGCCTGGAAACCTGGTTTGTCCCCTGTCTTGATGGCCTACGAGAGGCCAAGTTCCACTGGGCTGGGAAAAGTCACTTTGTCTGTCTTGTTCACCTGGAGCCTGACACACCGTAGGTACTGAGTACAAATAGCTTGATTTGGCTAGGCTTGGCTGCAGGGGGACGTGCCTAAAAGACATTCCGGGCATTTGCACTTGGGAAACTTGCCTCACCTTCAGGCTTGTGGGGCCTCTCTATGCCCAATGAGTCCAGGCAGTCCTAGCAAGTACTCAGGAGAGCAGGGGTGGGTGTGACAGAGGCTGGCTCTGGATTGGGGGACAACAGAACCAGAGTAACTCCTCGCCTGTTGCTGCTTTGCAATGAATTTCCTTTACCTTTCTGGAACACAAGCTGCTGTGAACCAAACTGATATCAAGTGATTAGCTCACCGGGCCTTGGTTGCTTTTCAAAGATCCCCTTCAGCCCCCTGCCAGAGTCACTGCCCCATAATCACCATGTCAGAAGGGACCCTAGGGCATTCGTGTCCTATTTATCAATCTTCAGCACCACCTCTAAGATCTCTGAGAGAGGGTGGATCAGCCTCTGTGTAAACAAAAAGCTGTTAGGACTTGTTGCCTCTCAAGGTGGACTATTCTGTTTTCTGCCAGGACACTGCCATTCATGCATTGTCAGATATTTATTAAACAGCAGCAAAGTGCCAGCCAATTTGTCCTGGAGGAATTCATAGCCTCATGGGGCAAAAGTAAATAAACAGCTTATTACAATTCAACAATTCAAACTCAATATTTTTTGTACAGAGAGTACATTAGACCTTGAGGAGTCAGTGAACAATGTGTGTGTGTGTGTTTGTGTGTGTGTGAGAGAGAGGGAGAGATAGAGAGAGAGAAAGAGAGAGAGAGAGACAGAGAGAGAGGGAGAGAGATGGGGTCTTGCTCTAGTGTCCAGGCTGGAGTGCAGTGGCAGGATCGTAGCTCATTGCAGCCTCAAATTGCTGGGCTCAAGCTATCCTCCGGCATTAGCCTCCCAAAGTGCTGGGATAATAGGCATGAACCACTGTGCCTGCCTTCAGTGAACAACTTTTTTCTTTCCCTGCTTGCTCGTTCATCCACCGCCCCCCTCTCGGGTAGTGGACTCCCCACCAAGGCACGCAACCCCATCCACTCCGTCCCACAATGAACAATTTAAGTATGAGATGCAGAGGGAACAGAGGAGAGGCATTCCATCCAGCTGTGGGGGTTGCAGGGAACTTCAGGGGTGACTTCTAAACTGGGACGTGAAGATGATAAGCTAAGAGTAGGGGAAGGGCAGGCCAGGCAGAGGGACCAGAAGAGGCAAAGTCCTGGAGGGGAGTGGCAAGGAAGGAAGGCTGACCGATCTCTAGGGCCTGGTATATCTGGAGAACTCTGAAAGGTTCCACTTCGAGGGTGGGAAGGCAGGTGAAGTTCTGGAAGTGGGGGGCTATAAGAAGGGATTGCGGAGGGAAGCCAGGCTGAATTCTGAAGGACCTTATAGGCTGCCAGGGCATTTAGAGTTTTCTAAGGATGATGGGCACTCTCCCACTAGACTGTAGGCCTTCGGCCGTGAGTGATGTAAGAGATTTGCCATAAAGTTCTTCCTCACATTGAGCTCACACCTGCTTCTTTGTGACTGCTCTGTAAGGGGCTCGTTATGCCCTCTGGGCCCACACTGTTTCAGGCCTAACCCCTCTTCTCTTTGGAATCCTGATGTGGGTCGGCCTCCTGGCGCCTTTGTGTGTAGTCACTCTGAGACTGGGGTCATTGTCTTCTCCCAGGCTCTCTACAGACATGTAGCTTCCTGAGGCTGTAGTTAGGAGAGAGAAGAACGAGGCTGGGTCTCCAGGTGGTGTCAGAAAAGACCTTCTTGGCCCAGGTCTGAGGATTACTTGTGTTTGAACCACTAAGGAGGTTTTTGTTTTTGTTTTGTTTTTAATACAGATTCCTAGGCAACACTTAACCTCCTTGGGAGGGAGGGCTGGACCCAGGTATCTGCATATTAATGAATACCTTTGGTGATTCTTCAGCACAGGAAAGTTCAAGTACTAGAGTCACCTGCCAATTGTCATTCCTTCCCATTCCAGACTCCAAAATAGCCCACTGCCCCGGTCTCTAAATCTTGTCTAGGCTGCCCTGGGTAGAGAGTCAGCTGGTGAAGAGGAGGAGATGGGCACACAAAGTCCTCACATTGCAGTTCATCCTTCCCCTCACCTGGCTCTGTCCTGCTAGCTAGAGAATCTGAGGATGGTCTCAGGCACAGCCTGAAGCCCCAGTACAGGAGCATCTGCCCTCTGAACTTACTGAGTCTCCTTCTCTGGCTGGAACTCTGGGCCTCCACGATGCTTTGGGGAGTGGCGTGTTGTGCAGCTTTCCATTGGGGTTTGGGATCTGCTTGGATTGAGTTCTGTGATGCCTTGGAACCCACTGCTGGACTTTCTACATTGTCATGGAGAGGAATTCCTGGAAATTCCAGATGCAGAAAGTGCACAGGGGTTTGGCTGCTTTTTTGGGAGCCTGTTTTAATGGCCTCAGTGTCTTGACTGTTCAGGTAGCCAATTCCCCACAAAGTGCTGCAGGGCCCCTGCTCTGTGCCAAGCCCTGTGCTAGGCTCCAGGGACATGCATCTCACTGCGGCCTTGACCTGGAAGAGCAGACTCTCTCTCATCACTAATGAGAGAGACCTTCCTGCCTAGAGACTGAGGTGAACAGAGCAATGAGTAATGGTGGGGAAGTCCCTGCGGCTTTGGGATGTCAGAGAAAGGCACTGAATCTGTCCTCTCTCGCTGCTTGTGTATCTCTTGTAGTAACAGTAGACAATTACGTTTTGAGATAACCTGTGAGTCCATCCCTTATGGTGGGAACATGACATTCTCTGAAAGGAACAGATGGTCCCAATGTTCATTCTACTGGAATAAAGAGCGTCTGGGGTCAGGAAATGGGGATTTGTTACTGAGGCCTTGGGTAGAGTTAGAGGAAGCATCTCTCTGTACTTCTCTCTCCTGGGCGTGAACCCTGAGGGCACTAGTTAGGCCAGGCTGTTCCCAAGCAGCCCCCACCAAGGTGAGGGAGAATCCTGGCAGGGCCGGGAGCCAAGGGCCAAGTGGCAAGGAGGCAGCTCCATTGCTGGGTGGCGCTCTACTTTTATGCTCCTTTGAGCAATTCCTTTCAGTTCTTCCTGGATGTCTTACTTTCCTAGGGCTGCTGAACCAAAGCACCACAAACCGGGTGGCTTAAAACAACAGAAATTTATCGTCTCACAGTTCAGGAGGCCAGCAGACTGAAATCAAGCTGTTGGCAGGGTCGGTTGCTTCTGCAGGCCCTGAGGGAGGATCTGTTCCATGCCTGTCTCTTAGCTCCTGATGGCTGCTGGCAGGCTTTGATGTTCCTCAGCTTGTCGAACCATCACTCCAATCTTGGCCTCTGTTGTCACATGGCTGTTCCCTATGGCTCCTCTGTGTCTGTGTCCAAATCTACCTCCTTTCTCTTATAAAAGACACTGATCATTGGATTTAGGGCCCACCCTAATCCACTATGACCTCATCTTAACTTGAATACATCTAGAAAGACCCTGTTTCCAAATAATGTCACATTTACAGGTACTGGAGCTCAGGACTTGAACATATCTCTTTTGGGGACCCAACTGAATTCCCTACACTGGGTTTCCTGCAAAATTTTGTCAGTCATTATGATCTCAATTTTGCTATGGAAGGTTAAGTAAAAGTGCCCGTGTTTGAGTCCAAGTAGTGAAGGGGAGAACATCGTCTTCTGATGCCAGCTTGGTAGATGCAGCCATAATTCATGGGATTCCCAAGGGAAAGGTGACTTTTGAAGGAGGAAAAAGTAGGAATTTGAGGCCCAAATCCTCAAGAAATTCTTCCTGTCCTGCTGCCCTTAGACAATCTTGGTGTTATTTTATTTGGGATGCTGGCCGACTGTAGATTTACTTACAACTACATTTCCAAACTGGAAAGAGTTAATAAGATGAAAAAGGAGTAAGTCATTACATGAGGATGGGATTCTTCATGAGTATTGTATATTAAAAGCTCTGAGGAGTCCTCTGAGAAATCCCATTAGCTGTTTAATCCAGTGTTTCCCAAACTTACTTAATCATGATGCTCTTTTCTGTAGGACAGTACTGTGTTCATTAATTACTCCCATGTAACACATTACCCCATAACGTAGTGGCTTAGAACAACAATGAAAAACTATTTCTCAGAGTTTCTGGGGGTCAGAAACTTGGAAGTAGCTTGGCTGAGCAGTTTTGGCTTGGTATCTTTCATGAGGCTACAGTCATTGGAAGTGTTGCTGGGACTGGAGGATCCATATTCTAGGTGGCTCAGTCACAGGGCTGGCAAGTGGGTGTTGGCTGCTGGTGGGAGGCCTCAGTTCTTCACCCTCTGGGCTCTCCACAGGGCTGCTTGTGTGTCCTCATGACATGGCAGTTGGGGCTTACCCCACCGTGAGCTACCCAAGAAGCCAGGGTGGAAACTTCATAACCTTCCCTTGGAAGGAACTGTCACCTCCACCATACCCTATTAATCACACAGACCAGCCCTAATTCAGTGTGGGGACACCAGAAGGTGAAGGTCATATGGTGCTATCTTGGAGGCCGAGTGCTACATTAATTAATTCACTCAACCAATATTAACCAGTACCTAATAGTGCCAGGCACTGTTCTAGACACTGAGGATACAACAATGAACACAACAGACATACACTTGTCTCCATGGAGCTCACATTCTAGTGATACTTCATTCAATGCTTGAGACAATTTGGGAAATGCTGTTTCACAGGTATTTGGAACAGTAAGTGAGAATTGTGAATACAGAATGATAAATGTGGCCAGGTGCAGTGGCTCACGCCTGTAATCCCATCACTTTTGGAGGCCAAGATGGGCAGATCGCTTGAGCCCAGGAGTCTGAGACCAGCCTGGGCAACATGGCAAAACCCTGTCCCTACAAAAAATACAAAAATTTGCCAGGTGTAGTAGTGCACGCCTGTAGTCCCAACTACTTGGGAGGCTGAGGTGGGAGGATCACTTGAGCCTGGGAGGCAGAGGTTGCAGTGAGCCAAGATGGTGAAACTGCACTCCAGCCTGGGTGACAGAGTGAGGCCCTGTTTAAAAAAAAAGAAAAAGAAAAAAAGATAAATGCTAAAACAGGAGAGAAACTCACAATATCAAGGGAATGAGGTCTCCTGACATAGGCTTGGAGAGTGGTCAGGGATGGTTTCCTGAAAGAGGTAGACGTGAAGTTAGCCAATCACAGGAGGAGTGGGAAGAGGAAAAGTGTTGCAAGCAGATGGAACAGCATGTACAATGCCCCAAAGCTTGATACAGTTGGAGAACGAAAGTGGCAGGAGCATACTATGTGTGTATATGTGTTATGTGTGTGCTCGTGCATGTGTGTGCCTGCCCATGCATGTGAGGTGGGGAGAAGAGGTGAAAGATGAGGTTAGATGAGGTAATTTGCTGTGGGAGGGGAGGCACAGAGATGTCAGTGATGGCATCCATGTGCCTGGTGTCAATCACAGTGATAGAGTATAGACGGGGAGAGAAGGGAGTGGAGAAAAGGAGTAAGAGAGGTTTGGGTTGGTTATGAAATGAAGAACTCAGTTTTGTTCACACTGAGTACAAGCCATCTTTGGGGTTGTCAAGAGCCTGTTACAGGTTAGCAATTCCGCAACTGCTTTCTATGCATACCAGTGTTGAACAAATAAGTAAATAAACTGTCGCTAGTGGGAGGCAGGTTTCTCACTGTCACAGAAAGAAGAGGGGTGTTAGGATGGTGGTGGTGCTGGATTTGAGCTGGAGATATCAGCATGAATTCATGTGCATTTTAATACATATATGTACACTCAATAGTATAGAATATCTTTAATAGATCCATATAGATATCTTTATCTATCTATAGATCTCTATATGGATTTATAATCCATAGATGTCTATATGGTGTGTATGTATGTACAAACAGATAGAGAAATAAATATAGATATGGTATACACACACACACAAACACACACACATATATATATATAAAATGTATGTTAGTATATATACTTATATTTGTTAGCTTTGTCTGCAAAGAGGGCCTAAAAGAAGTGATACCCCATTAGCAACAAGAGTACTTAGCACCCAGATCTTGGTTTCTAAATAATATTCTCCAATAAAGGAGCCAGGGTTCCTTGGAAAAATGGTTAATTCTTGAGCTGGGACAGGGAACACATAAGATGATCCTGGAACAACTTTTAGTGCCAGAAAATAAAGAAGTGCAAAAAAAAAAAAAAAAAAAGGGAAGGAAGGGGCATATCAAAAGGACACAGGAGCCAACCTGAAAGAGCTCCCAATGGCCAAATCTGGAACAGTTTGAGCAACGGTAATAGATAATAATATTGGATTATAACTCCAAGAGTAAAATAAACCTTTATGAATCCATACTGATGTAAATAAAGTCTTGAATAAATAACTAAATGAGAGAGAAGAACTAAATGCAGAAGAATTCTAATTATAAATGTATAAGGAATAAGGAAAATAGAAAATCAGTATTAGATCATCACAATAATAATTGCTACAGGCAAGATCCATTGATTAATGCTAAAAGCAGTAGATAAAACTTTAAGGAAAAACAGGACATTTGCAAAGCCTTCAAGTATCTGCCCCAAAATACATGAATACCTGAGTGGTTTTCACACACTATCACAAATTCTTTGATTTCCCTTTCTCCAGGAGGTGCAGCTTATTTCCTCTTGCCTTGAGTGTGCTCTGGACTTGGGGACCTCCTTCTTACGGACTATGGAAAGAAAAAAACAGTAACTTTACAGTAGAGAAACCTCACAAACACCACCTGAACCGAATGGTCAAGATGAAGATCACCAGCAATAAATCATGTTGACATCATGTGCCCCCATATACTGCAACGAGAAGCGCACATCACCTTTGTGCTACTCCTGCCAAAATCAACAACCTTAGTCTTTTCATGAGAAAACACCAGACAATCCCAGATTGGGGGACCTTCTACAAAATACCTAACCATGAGTCTTAAAAAGTGTTGAAATTTAAATTAAAAAAAAATTTTTCTTAAATAGGGTCTTACTCTGTTGCCCAGGCTGGAGTGCAGTGGCATGATCATTGCTCACTGCAGCCTTGGCTTCCCAGGCTCTAGCAATCCTCCCACCTCAGCCTCCAAGTAGCTGGGACTACAGGTGTGCACCACCACGCCGGGATAATTTTTGTATTTTTTGTAGAGACAGGGTTTTGCCATGTTGCCTAGGCTGGTCTCAAACACCTAAGCTCACGTGATTCACCCACCTGAGCTTCAAAGTGCTGTGATTACAGGTGTGAGCCACTGTGGCCCACCCACTTTACATGTTTTAATTCTAAATTTGCTGCAATCCTAAACCAAGGCTCAGAGCAATTGATTAAAAACAGCAGCAGCAGCAGAAGAAGAAAATACGTTAAGGAGGCCGGGCGCTGTGGCTCACACCTGTAATATCAGCACTTTGGGAGGCCGAGGTGGGTGGATCACTTGAGGTCAGGAGTTTGAAACCAGCCTGGCCAACATGGCGAAACTCCATCTCCACTAAAAATACAAAAATTAGCTGGGCATGGTGGCGCAAGCCTATAATCCCAGCTACTCGGGAGGCTGAGGCAGGAGAATCGCTTGAACTTGGGAGGCCGAGGTTGCAGTGAGCTGAGATCGTGCCACTGCACTCCAGCCTGGGTGACAGAGAGACTCTGTCTCAAAAAAACAAAAACAAATAAACAAAAAAAAAAACAAAAGAAGAAAACACGTTAAGGAGTATTATCTGCTCCAGGAGGCTTGACAAGCCCTTTACATACATAGCTCATCTTATTTAATCATCTCCCAACAATCCTGAAAAGTCTGTCCTGTTATTATTCCCATCTCACAGGTCAGGAAACTGAGGCACAGAGGGTTTAAGTAATGTCTGGAGTTCCACAGCTTGCCAGAGACAGAGCTGGGATTTGAAAGTCTATTTCCTAACTCCAGGTCCGGCGATCTTTTCCACAACACTGCAGCCAATTCCCCACCACATGGGTGAAATCAGATGAAAAGTAAACATCTAGGGCAGTCTTCAAATGAGGCAGCCAGACAGGCCACAGATCGAACTTCAGACTTTTAACCAAAGGTTCTGGGATTCATGCTCCCAGTTGGACACTGTTTACTTCTTAAGTAGTAAAATGAATGGGGTTGGATAGATCCAAACAGTGCCTAAGATCCCTTCCAATTCTAACACTCCAGGAGTTTATGTTTCAAAAGAACAACCTGCAGAGGAGCCTGCAGAATGGGACCCTCCCACTCAGGGTGGCCTGGTAGAATATAGGACATGCATGTCCCACCCCCAGTCCTCTCTGCAAAAGGTAGAGTCAGGGAGGGGAATATGGGCTGAGTGTTCGTACAATGAGGCTGGTTTTTAGCCCCCACGCACTCCCTTTCCCTACTGCATTCTTTTTTTTTTTCTTTGAAAGATGCTGCTCAGCCTTGGAGAGAAGTCTTCTTCATCCCTGATGGCAAAGGGCAGAGGAAGAGAGACGCCCAAGGGCTCGATCAGCCTTGGTACCTTGCCAACCCCCAGTCCCTAGCATCAAAGGTTTTTCCAAGACAGAGTAGGTAAATTTCAATTTTATTTTATTTATTTATTTATTTTTTTTTGAGGCAGAGTCTCACTCTGTCACCCAAGCTGGAGTGCGATGGCACGATCTCGGATGACTGCAACCTCTGCCTGCCGGGTTCAAGCAATTCTCCTTCCTCAGCCTTCCTAGTAGCTGGGATTACAGGTGTATGCCACCATGCCTGGCTAATTTTTTTTGGCATTTTTAGTAGAGGTGGGTTTTTGCCATGTTGGCCAGGCTGGTCTTGAACTCCCGACCTCAGGTGATCTGCCCGCCTTGGCCTCCTAAAGTACTGGGATTACAGGCATGAGCCACTGTGCCCAGCCTCAATTTTATCTTGTGTTGTTTTTGTATTATTTTCTCCATCCTCAAAACTCGGACACTTCCTAACTTAGCACCCATTGGCTACTGCTCATAGTCCTGCCTGGTTTGGGGTTTCCCAGTTTGGGGTGGATCTGGCTACACTTCATTTTCTGCCTCCATCGAGACTCCCTATTGTTTCTTTGAGGTTCCATTAGGTCAAGGCAAACACTTCTCTTGTTCTCCCAACATGTAGCAAAATGTCACAATTCTTTTTGGCTCCGTTGTTCATTAGCCACTCCATTTCGTTATTCTATTTGCACTACTTCATCATTGAGCAAACTTTTTTTTTTAATAAGGATTTGTGATGGTTAATTTTATGTGTCAATTTGGCTGGGCTAAGTGATGCCCATAGAGCTGGTAAAATATTATTTCTGGGTACATCTGTGAGAGTGTTTCTGGAAGAGATTAGCATTTGAATTGGTAGACTAAATGAAGATCTTCCCTCATCAATGTGGGTCCACATCACTCAATACATTGAGGGCCTGAGTAGAACAAAAAAGTAGAGGAAGGGCAAATTATCTCTATTTGAGCCCAGTCGTCCATCTTCTTTTACCCTCGGACATCAGAGCTCCAGGTTCTTGAGGGAAGGGCACACATAGATTAGTGTTTTCTGCACAATCAGTTCACTCACTTCTCCTTGTCTGACCCATGAATGTGTCCGTATCTTTTGAGGTTCATTGGTTCAGATGCTACAGACACCACCCTTCCCCAGGCTGCTGAAATGACTTTCAAACTTGGACTGAATTACACTACTGGCTTTCCTTGTTCTCCAGCTTGCAGTCAGCAGATTGTGGGGCTTCCTGACCTCCATAATCACATGAGCCAATTCCCATAATCTCTCTCTCTGTCTCTCTCTCTGTTTCTGCTATTGGTTCTGTTTCTTTGGAGAACCATGACTAACACAGGATTATAGAAACTGCAGGAGAAAATGTTAGTGCCTGTTGGGATTAGAAAGGCACATACGATAAAGCCCTATCCTCAAGGCTGCTGCAGCTGTGATAGGAGCTCCTCTTACAGCTCCATTTATTTGTTCACAAAGGATTTACTATGTGTTAATTATCAGGCAATGGTAGGCACTCAGGATACCAAGATCAACAAGATATGATTCCTGTCCTCAAGCAGTTCACACCTAAGAGATCACTAACTGGTGACTTGAGGCATTTGATTGGCAAGATGCCTTAATTATTTCTCTTTGTTATCTATGGCTGTGTAACAAATCACCCCAACTTAGTGGCTTAAAACCACAATAATTTACTTTTCCTCACAGTTCTGTGGCTTAACCTGGTGATTCTCCTCCTGGTCTCACCTGGGCACACTCATGTGGTTGCATTCAGATGGCAGTTTAGCTAGTTGGTCCTAGACAGCCTCACTCCCAAGTGTGAAGCCTCAGCTGGGGCGGCTGGAATGGCTGAGATGAGTTTCCTTCTGTCTGCCCATGCGACTTCTTTCTGCCGGTATCTCAATTTCCTTCCTTCCGGCTATCCTGGGCCTCTTTACACAAGAACAGAGCATTCCAAGAGGCTCAAAGTCAAAGTTGCAAGACTTTTTGAGGTCTCGACTCAGTGTTACAAATGTTACTCCCACTGCATCTTATTGGCCAACACAAGTCACAAGGCCAGGCTAGAACGGGGAGGAGGGGGAATAGAATTCATCTCTGATGGGGGAGCAGCAATGTCCCATTGTAAAGGGTGGGCAGATAGAGATGGGAGGAATTTGTGGCCATAGGTTGCAGTCTACTACAGCTGCTACAGCGAAACAAAATTAGATTTCACATAAACGTCAAGTTTACAATATTTTTTCCTTAACAATGGGGAGATTTGGCAACAAGCCACTGGAGCTGAGTAACTGCTGTGCCATTTAGACTGGACGTTCTATCTCTAGCCCATCATAGTCTCTACCACTTCTTTTTTAAAGAGTTGGGTTCTTGCTCTGTTGTCCAGGCTGGAGTGCACTGGCATGATCATGGCTCACCGAAGTCTCGACCTCCTGGGCTCAAATGATCCTCCAGCCTCAGCCTTTAGAGTAGCTGGGATTACAGGCACTCACCACTCCAGCTAATTTTTTTTTTTTTGGTAGAGGTGAGTTTTGCTTTGTTGTCCAGGCTGGTCTTGAATTC